>NC_000012.12:89960128-90585128 GCF_000001405.40 Homo sapiens
GTTTGGCTATCTCAGTTCAGCAAGCTCTTCTAAGCCAGAGGTTGGAACATAAAAATGATTGAGACATCTCTCCGCCCTTGTGTCCAGTGGAGGGGCAGGTTACATAAATAGATGTTTGTGAAAATCAAAGTAGAAGCTCAGTCCTAGAGAACTCTGAGGATAGCCTGTGAGCTGCAAGTCTGAGGAAGCCGAAAGGAGAATGGTGAGTAATGGGAGTTTCCCTAGGGGTGACCAGCTTGTCTGGTTTGCCTGGGACTTCCCCAGTTTTAGTACTAAAAGTCCCACATCCTAGGTGATCCCTTAGTCCCTGGCAAACTGAAATGGTTGACCACATAAGTTTCTGCTGGTTTGGAGAATTGCTAATTTCCATTAGGGAACTGGGGGATTCCTAGTCAGTCCTTGTTGAGAAATTAATATTCATGAGCATCACCCTAAAAATGATAACCTAATCTTCTATGAGAAATATTTTGGTTAAGCAAGCTTGATTTGCTACTGTTTTCAATTGGGAGTTCAATAAATTTGCTTTGTTTTCTTGTGTGGTAGGAATCCATGTTGTCATCAGGGATCTTGCAAACTCAAGTGTGAAGACAGAGGCAATCCTGCATGGGTCCCATCAAGATAATGGGCACACAAACTGCTTGTGAGGGAGCAGACTGTTTAATGAATAAGGAATTAGGTTACACAGGCACCATGTTCAAAAGTCAGCTGGCAGAGTTTCAACAACCTCGTCATCACTAGAACAGTCCTGGGTGTGCAATCCTATAATGCCTGGGCAGGGTGACCAGGTTTAATGTACTCTTTTACAGCTCATGGGTATGGGGCTTATCACATGCTTCAGCAAGAGCACCCTTTTATTATTTTGAAACTTATAGTGTCACCTTAACGTTTTATGACAAGCCTTGTCCATCACATCACCACTATAAAAATGTCAATAACTTAGAGAGTTGCTTTTTCAAATATTTTGTCACATAATTAAAATTTTATTCTTCTTTTCACTTTTCCTTTTTTCCTCCCTTGAGAGCCCTTCTTTATTTTTCTTTTTTTCTTTCTTTTTTCTTTTCTTTTTTCTACCTCTCTGTCTTCCTTTCTCTTTTTCTTTCCCTTTCTCCCTCCATCTATCCTCTCCACTTTCTTTTATCCTTTCTTCCTTTTTGAAGGAAGAGGGGATTTTGATTCTCTTCAGATGCAACTCTCCTTCCCTGTCACATGCATCTTCTCAAAAACTTAAGCTAGGAGGGTGACTTGCTGAGACCTTAACTAGAGTTTTGTTTTCATTTCCGTACCAAGAAGTCTCCCTGAGTATCTTGCATCAAAGGAGGTAGATGAAAAGGGAGTTATTGGCCAAAAGAAATGGCATGCATCCTTCTTGCTCTTCTAAAGAATGTACAGGTCTTCGATGTTCTATGGCCTGGGTACATCCTGAGGGGCCCTTAAGTTCTAATATTGGTGATGAGAAATAGCATGATCTCTTTTGTGTTGGAATGAAAGAGAGGAGCTGGATTCTGAGGAGAATTGAAAGTTTTTGTCAATTTTGTTTTTTTGTTGTTATTGAAAAGAGGGGGAGGGGTTGGGGAGAGAAGGGAAAGACGGGCAGAGCTCGGGTAGTGGGACACTTCTAATACTTGAGTCCTATCCCTAAGTTAATTCTGATATCGTCAGTAGTTTCAGAGTTTCTAGGATCACTGACTCCAGAAAAGGGCTGCATCGAAGGTCCTCTTATGAATGCCTAGAGCAACTTGATTAGAAAATCCATCTTTATACCCCTTCTTGGAGACCTATTAGTAGTTCTGGCTGTCCCAACATAACAGCAGAATCCTACTCTGATCTGGGTTTCTGGAAGCCCCCTGTGAACCATCATACCCTGGATGACAAACTCCAGTAGCACTGGGGAGAGAGCACTTAATGACAAGTAGACCCCCGAAGGGCTATAGAAGGAGCTTGTTTATCTTAAATATGGGTGGGATGGGGGGGAAATGGGGCACTTTTGTACACCTTGAGAGATCTGTGGGCAGAAGAGACAGGCTACCTCTGTTACACACTAAGAACTGACAAGAATGAGACAATAAAACACTCCGTTACACACTAAAAACTCATAAGAATGAGCCTTTACACATATTGTCTGTGTTAGGAGTATATGGGAGACTGGCACCTACTAATGGAAAGGAAGAGTGGAAATTCTAGCTCTGTTGTCTTCCAGTAGCCATTTACCTGCCCTGTAAAGGTGGCTCTCAACTCAAGACTCAAGAGTCTCTGTTCTTGAGGTTCTTTTTGTTTGTTTGTTTTTGTTTTTTAATTTGTGATGTGATCTCTTTGAGTTTCTTAGTGTGATTCTTCTGTTTTGTAATTTAGGAAGCTGCTACACTTCTGGGGATGATAAATATTATTTAAATTAAAAATTACATTCAATTTTAAACTGACTTTTTAGAAAAATTCCATTTAAACCTCCCACCTCATATATAAGGATAGTTCCCACACTTGGGACCTGAACTTCCAATTGAATTCAGATGACTGAATGTATCCTGCAAATAATGCACAGAGCTTATGAGAAAAAGTCCAAACTCTCTCTGCCATGGGCGTGAACCGTTGAACCATGATACCTCATTACCTTCACACTCTGGTTACTGTTGGAAAAATTAGACTGCCTAACCAGTTTAACCAGACAGGCCTCCAGGAAGTGACCCTTTCTCCTCCCCTCTTACCCACTTAAAACCATAGATTCTTGATTACTTTTAAAGGAAGAAAATCAGTTCCTTGCCAAAGGATTTTATGACTGTGTTAACTAGTCAATAAACGAAGTGACTATGAAAAAGAACTTTTCCACCCCTCTACTGGAGAACAATGGAATCACCAATCATCATACAATAGTGATTTTACACTCACAATTTCAATTCTGCCAACAGCGGAGAATTTCTCCTTTGCCATAGGAACATGATTAAATTTTACTTAATTTCTCTGTAGGATGCCTGAGAAAAATACCACCTTGAATGAAGGAACATTTAAAATAAGCACTTTGAATAAATAGAATGTCTTTTTATAGGATCAAATATGTCCCATTTTGGAAAATAGCTAGGCACAAAATATTGGGTAGCTCTATCATTGAAATTTTGGTTTAGGAATGAAAAAAAAAGCATAGACAGTAGGGAAAAAGAAAAAAAAATTATTCCCCCCTTGCTGAAAATTTTACTGTGGGCAAAACTCCCATGTTTTTGATGGTAGTAAGACTCCAGTCTTGGGGCTTGGCTTGAAAAGTATGAAAAATAACCATAAAATAAAATATATTAGAATTAGAAATAATGGGAACATAGTGACTATGATTTAAGTCTTAAGTCCAAGTCTTGGGGCAAGAATATTTACTTTACTGAGCTGTGGTATAAGAAATACTAGCTCTCCCTGCTCCCCGCCAAAAAAGAAAAAAAAAACTTTATATTGATTTCCTTCAACTAATTCCTAGGATGCTGTCTTGAGTATTGTGCATGTACCCAAATTTGTTTGAGGTAGTAAAGTAGAAACTAATGCCATCTCATATATGGGAGAGGAAATGAATAAAACATAGAAATTCCTCCCTTTCTTTCTACCTACAGAGACATTTTCTTCCTGGGGTAATGTAATATCCAACTAAAACAGAGGCACAAACCAAAACCTAGGCCTGGGTCTGAGATACTATGAAAACAGTGCGGTAACATAAGCTTCTCACTGATAGTCCGAATACAAATATTTAAAAATTCAAATGGATAGTCAGGTTTTGTATCTATAAACACAACATTTGTTAAACATACAAGCATGCTATTAAAAATCACTGTACAAAAATATCGAATACTCATTCATCTTACTTTGAAACACTAATAACACTATTTATTGACATACTGGTTCTGTATTACATAAAGGGCAGGGATTATACTAAGGAAGAAGAGATAATAATGAAAATTTTATAAATGTTTTCTTAAAGGATCTGATCAAAATCAGTTTTTGCAAGGCTATAAATTAAAAAAAATTGGCAGAAGGAGTAGGCAAATTACAGTGTTCAGGAATTTTATTCTTCCGCCCTTGTTTTTCAGTGCTGAGAAGCACAATCACCCTCAACCCTGCAGGGAGATGGAATGCAATTCTTTTCTAGGCTTGAAAACTTCTAAAAATACTTTCAGTGCTATAATTTCTGTTTATAGATATATACCAAGAATAAAAATTAAATAAATTTAATGGCATCTCATCATATTGCAATGTATACAAACTATCTTGCAAAATATTCAAAGGTGGTTTATGATGGGGAAAAGAAACCTTTATGATGGCAATATATAGATAAGCAGAAGTAATTCAGAAAAAGCAAGTCAGACCAGACACAAAAAAACATCTTGGATTTGCTGACTATAAAAGTCATTATACTATACACTCTTTGAAGAAACTAAAAAGCCAGCAGTGGCTTTGATGAAGGGAATAGGGCATAAAAGTGAGAAAGGTGTAACATGGCTTGTCTTCCTTCTTGCCTTTTTTCATTTATTTATTTATTTATTTATTTATTTATTTATTTATTTATTTATTTTGAGACAGAGTCTCGCTCTGTTGCCCAGACCGGAGTGCAGTGGCACAATCTCGGCTCACTGCAACCTCTGCCTCCTGGGTTCAAGCGATTCTCCTGCCTCAACCTCCCAGGTAGCTGGGACTACAAGCATGTGCCATCACGCCTGGCTAATTTTTTATATTTTTAGTAGAGACGGGGTTTCACTGTGTTAGTCAGGATAGTCTCGATCTCCTGACCTCATGGTCCACCTGCCTCGGCCTCCCAAAGTGCTGGGATTACAGGCGTGAGCCACCGCACCTGGCCTCCTTCATTTATTTTTCAACAAACATTTCTCAAGCATCTATGATTGTGTTAGGTCTTCTGTGGATGAGGATGGCTGGACAAGAGAATATATCCAAAGGCAGAGGAGAAGCATCTGAAAAGATAGGCTCAGTTTAGACTGCCGACAATACTGAATGTCAGACTAAATTATGATAATAACTAATATTCATTCATTTAGTGCTTGGCTTTTCTAAATGATTTTTGTATACTGACTGAATTCTTTCAACTACCTTAGAGGTAAGTGCTATTATTACCTCCTTATTATAGGTAAGGAAACCAAGGCACTGAGACCCTGGGCAAGTTTTTTAATCTCTCAGTGCCTGGCAGAGTTAGAATTTGAATTCCAGGGAATGTGGTTTTACAATGTGTTTTTGACCGTGATGCTACACTGTGAAATGATTTCAACTTTATTCTTCAGGCCATCAGGACCCATTTTGCTGTTGGGCTTAGTTTTTCTTTTTTCTTTTCTTTTCTTCGTCAGTTCCCTCACCTGTAAAGTAAGAGTAATAATAAAATACCTACCTGACAGAGTTGTAGTGAGGATCAGATAAGAGAATACATGGGAAATTGTTTTGAAAGTTTACTTCAAATTGCTTTGAAATGTGCCACATGGCATTATGAGTATTGTGTTCAAGTAGTAAATATGAAACAAGTGTTCAAATAAGGAAAAGCTTGAGTTGTCACTGTTTACCAATGGGTACAGCCTTTGCGATATTAGCAGATATATGTCAGCCCTGAATGAATAAATGAAAACATATTAGTAAAGGAAGGACACATTTGAGTGAGAGGAAATAATGACAGCCATAATGGTGATTCTACTGTGGATACTTCGATCTGTGAATCACATATTGTTGAGTGCCTATTCTGTAATAGATATCTGACCAGATTCTATATGTGGTCTCTGTCCTCATGTGCTTGCAGTCCGTGACCCTTATGATTTGTACCACATTTCATGGCTCATGAAAGGCTCTAAAAACCTTTATCACATGTGGTTCTATCATCCCTTGAGAAACCTGCATGGGAGGTAAAATTATTCTTGTTTTTCAGATCAGGAGTTTGAGGCTCAGAGCTTGAGTGACTTGTCCAATACCACACAGTGGGCAGAAGCATCAGGACTGAAACCCAAATCTCTTGCTCTTCCGAACACCATTCTTTCTGCAACACCAGGCTGCCTCAATCACCATCATTATCATGATAATAATAGCTGAGCACTTCATGCCAGACATTGTTCTGAGTGCTTACATGAATTAGCTTATTCAGCCTTTACAACAAACTCCTGCAAGGTATATCCTGTATTGCCTTTGTGAAGTACTAGGCTGTATGTTGAAGTAGAGTGATGTCCTTTGACACACGTTGGCAGACTTTTCTTAGCTTGATATTACCTTCTCTGAGGACATTCAATTCTATAATTAATGAATCTGCACACTGGAGGTAAGAGGTGGGGGCTTGGAACAGGAAAGTCTTTCCAACCTGATGTGATATTAACAGTGGAAAGGAACATTCCTTCTTCCGAAAGGAGAAGAAAGATTAGCACTGTCCATAGTTGAAATCTCCTCCTCAAAAACACAGCTCTGTGTTCCTTCTATAGCAGTAGTAGCCTGGCTAGATCACTGGAGAATCAATCTCACAGCTAAGTCTGCCTCTGTTACCTCAAGATGTGAAAAAGCTGAGATGGCCCCTTCCTTGACATACTAGCCTGGATCAAGGTAGAACATGAACAGCAGAAAATGGAACAAGTGAGTGACAGCCCTCAGCCAGAAAACTGAAACGTGGCACCCTTTGACCTTATCAGTAAAAGTTCTTTTTAAGAAACAGAAGGATTGTTCAAGGGAACAACGAGAACTGATAATTGATGATAATTAAACAGTCATAGGGAGAATGAAAGTTAAAAAATAAACTCTAGGACATTTATCGAGACCTTTATGGGGGTGAAGGTCACAGCCTATATTTAACAGCAAATTTCCAAAGACATTTAATAGAAAAGAGAAACTCTTGAGATATTTGATCTCCTCTTCATTCTAACTCCTCAACCCTGTAACCCTGGGACCTCAGCCGTGGAATACACATGTGTCAAATCAGGTAACTGAGACTGTCCTGGTGTTGCATGCCTCTTCTGCCAAGGAAGAACTGAGAATTGCATACTCATTTGCTCAGTAAAATGCCATGCTAAAAGTCTAATTTGGAGAACCAATACCTTGTTTTTTCTAATGGTATATTGTCTTCTCAATTCTAGAAGGGTGTGTGTGTGTGTGCATATTTGGTGGTGGAGGAGGTAAAGGAGGGTGTGGGTTGGCGTAGGGAAAAGGCTACTTCTCCATGTTAGGAGTAAATTTTTATTTTTTTGATTCTATCATTTAATTCACTTAATTTCTTTAAAAGTACAGTTTTTCTTTTCACTAGCAGTATTCCTGAGAAATCAAAACAACTGATTAATCTTATTTTTTAAATGTTCAATGTATTGACAATAGAGGAGAGACAGATAACCCTGTAGCCAAAGTGATGTTGAACACTCGAAGTCAATTTTAGTTTAAAAAAAAAAGAAAAACTTCACACATTCTGTGTCTTAGTATGTTCTGGCTGCTATAACAAAATACCATAGAATTGATCACTTAAGGCTGGGCATGGTGGCTCCCACCTGTAATCCCAGCACTTTGGGAGTCCAAGGCAGGTGGATCACGAGGTCAGGAGTTTGAGACCAGCCTGACCAACATGGAGAAACCCCATCTCTACTAAAAACACAAAAATTAGCTAGGCTTGGTGGTGCATGCTTATAGTCCCAGCTACTCGGGAGGCTGAGGCAGGAGAATCTCTTGAACCTGGGAGGCAAAGGTTGTGGTGAGCTGCGATCGAGCCACTGCACTCCAGCCTGGGCAACAGAGCGAGACTCCGTCTCAAAAAAAAAAAAAAAAAAAAAAGAATCTATCACTTAAACGACAGGGCACAGATCCCATCTTGGTCCCCACCTCCATGACCTCATCTAAACCTAATTACCTCCCCAGAACTCTACCTCTGAATATTATCACATTAGAGGGCTAGAGGGCAGAGCTTCAACCTGTGAATTGGTTGGAGGGAAGATACAAACATTCACTCTGCAAATGTATTTTATTGTAAGGAAGAAATACTAAATGAATTAATCAAGTAAAATAATATAAATGCAGTTCATTTTTCTCCATAATAAAGAACCATTAATAAACTGTTAAAACACAATAATTTTCCCTGGGCTTCTGTGTGTGCTCAAGATTCACCACCCTTTTCTCTTATGACTTAATTATGACAGTGTAGCACGTGGATGTTGCCTTTGACTTCCCAACATCTTTTCTACCCTCCCCCAGTATGTGGCTTTAGTGTACTTTGACCTCAGCTTCCAGGTGAACTTTGATTTGCTGTATCCAATCGTAGAATCCTACTCCCCTTGCTAGCAACTGCTTAAGAACCCAGAAGTAAGCCAATTATTTCATAACTTTCCTCTGGAGCCAGTTAATGGCTCAGGGTTGAATATGTGAGACCTTTTGGCCAAACCAGATTGAGGAAGGACTTATGTTCCGTGGTTGGGGAAGATGCACGCTTTATTTCCCTTTAGATGTGAGGAAGGGGAACATGTAGCCTGGCTTATCACTGGCAATCATCTTGCAATCACAAAACTGGAGAGAAGAAAAGAGTATACGTCCTCAATCATATTATTGACTTGCTTGAGAAGCTGTTATGTTTATTCTTCGCTGCACATTCATTTATTTGATCCAATAAATTTCCTTATTGGCTTTTTAATTACTTGTTTAAAAAATGTGATGACATACACAAATAGTACAAGTCTTGGTGATGAACATAGTGGATCTAAAGAGAAACTTAAAATTCATGAAACATTTGCATCACTTTCTGTAAAAAACAAGTAAATACAGATTAAAATATTATTTCACTTGAAAATTTAAATTTGTACACAATAGATTCACTCTCAACACCAGAGGGTGGGGACAATATCTAGGTTTACTTTCTGTTTCCAGTACCTACTATGGAAATTGAATAATTTGTCTCTACAAAATTTAGTTTAATTAATATAGTATTTATTATTATGTATTTAGATTGCTTGTATTAACTCAGTGGTTTGAAATATCTTCGGAATTATAACATTCTGTTGCTCAATTTGGATTACTTAGAACTCTTAATGAGCTCACAGCTTAGTCGGGGAGACAGCTATAAATAAACATTTATGATATAAAGTGATAGACACAAAAATAAAATGCTTCCAAGGCGTGGAGGAAGGAGTACCTGGCTCTGACTGCAGTGTGGTCTTGTTGAGGAAATATTTCCTGATAATTGCATTCTTTAAAGTTGTGTAATAGTTTACCTGGCAGGCATGAGGGTTGGGGAGGTGAAGAGAGGGCCTTCTAGGCTAAGGGAACAGCGCATGCAATAACGCAGTTAAGTAGAAAATAAATCATGGCATGATTAAGAAAATCTAAGTAGTGTAACATTTTTGGAGAGGAAGAGAAAGGAACCAACATTTGTTGAACAACTAAGTTGTGTTAGGAGCTGAGCTAGATTGATTTAATTATTTAATTCTCCCCAAAATTCAAAGATTAAGAATATGCGGTTCAAATGGAATGGAAAATTTGGCTGTTTTGGCACAGCAAGTAAACAGTGGAGCTAGGATTTGAATCTGGGTTAGTTTGAGCTAATATTCAGGCTTTCTCACTAAAACATAATTCATATCTGAATCTTAGGTTACGTCTAGGCCATGGCAGGAGATAAGGTTCAAATTTAGGCAGTGCCTGATAGTAGGATCCCTGTGTGCAGTGGACAGTTGGAAACAAGGCCAAAGTAGAGATGATTTGGCGGGTAATAAACAATTTGATAGTTATCATCCTACTGGTTGTATTCATCACATATCTGTAGTCACAGTCATCCAATGATACCATTCAGGGTGAGAAGGGAGAAGGCCAAAACAAAGCTTGAAGAACACCAATAATTAAGGAATATTCATGGAAAAGGAACCAGAGAAAAGAGACTGAGGAAGAGTGACCAGAGAGTTAGGAAAGAGTAGGAGATGGAAGCCAAAGAGTTTAGAATTTCAGCCTAAAGGTGGCAGTTAAAATGCTTCAGGAGAAGATCACAGGCAATTAAGCTTCAGTAATATAAGTTCTCCCATCTCCATTCCAGTAAGTGATGGGTGGATATTATTAAAGGCAATTATTCCCAATCAATTTTTTTAAAAAAACATTCTTGCAAGTAGACTGGCCATCCAATGGGAACAAGATATTTCAGGGAACACTGATCTCAGGAATTCTATTGGAATCTCTAAGTTGGAAGATACCTTACCAGTCACCTTTATGTAGTGGATGAACTAGTTGTATACTTATGCCCAAACTTGCCCATCCGAGTATACAAGAAACTTATTCCTGATATCACTTAGGTTAGAGGGCTAGAAGACACCTGTCTTTTCTTGTTTACGTGACCATTTGCTCTTTAGAATATATCAGTAATAACAAAACAATAAACATTTCCAAATTTGTATCATTTTTGAGGTATCTTGTAGGTTTCAGTGCTCTTTCATACATATTTATGGTTTGATTCTCTCCTCAAGCTTGTGAATGAGACACAGAAATAAACAGCTCCATTTTACAGATGAGCAAACAAAAGTTCATTGAGGTTAATGTAAATTAACTTCAGGTCTCTTAAAGGTTAATTAATCAGGGCAGAAGAAAAAAATCAGCTCCGATAACTAACCTTCTTTTAATCACAGTACCATTAGATAGATGATTATATAATCTTGTGTACTGGTCTTTCCCTTTTCCTCACTTTGTTTTATGTAAAGCTTGCTTCTTCAATTCTGCAGTAATCCTCAAAGAATGCATTCAAGATTTATATCTCTTCTGGTGGAATCTAACAGTAAAGATGGGCCATGCCCAAGAGTCCTTTGTATGTCAGTTACCTGTAATTTGGACCACATTCCCTGGCTTGCAGTAGAGATTAAGAAATAAGTGTTGCTTATTTAAGTGAGTGAGCTCGCCTTTGAAGCTGGATAAAATGGTGACAGAGTTCTGTTTTTATAGCATTTAAGAGAGAGATTAAAGAGTCTTCTGGGTAATTTAACCACTATTTTATAGCATTTAGGAGAAAGATTGAAGAGTCTTCTGGGTAATTTAACCACTATGGAAAGTCAGTCAGGATATGTCAGCCTGTTGAGTAGGCTTTCCTTTGGCTTGAATTCTCCATACAATTCTCTGTCCTGGTCAAACTGATGAGCCATCTGCTGAGCTTGCCCTTCACAGTGCTCCAGAGAGAAGGTGCTGTAGAACATGGATATCCCATGCCCTACAAACCAAACAATTCATAAAGAAAAAATGCATACCCAAAGATAGACATGACTTTTTATTTTTCTGACTTTTTTTTTCTTTCTGTAATCTAAGAGCAGTGTTGGAGTTAGATTTTAAGTTTTGACATTTAGATTTTAGAGATACATAGAATTCATAACTTAAAAAAGAAAAGCTGTCCAAAAATGTAACTTCTATGGATAGAAATCTTCAAATGAACCTGTTTCAGGGGCTGTGGGCTTGTGGTTTACAAGTTGGTTTTGACTGTTTTCACTGTGGGTCCTCCGATCTTGCCCCTGGCTATTCTTTTTCTCTTCACAGGCATTTCTCAAAGGAAAGAGGAATACATCTGTGACCAGATTATGATATATCCATCTCATACATAAAGAGACTTGATCTTGCTCCCAAGGTCATGCTATCATGCCCTTATCCAACTGATCTACCACACACACACACAAACACACACACACAGACACACACAAACACACACACACGAGAGAGAGAGAGAGAGAGACTCATTGTCTTTTCCTTGTCCTTTTATGAATGTACATGGAGAAAATTACAGCCTTTATATAGGAACAAAATGCTTTTCTCCCATTCTGTTTTATCTCATTGTTCTTTCCTTGACTCCACCCCCTCCCTCTCAAACATGATCTGCTTGCCATCCCCATTCAGGCTGGCCTTTTTTAGTGCCTACCCACAATTTGCTGAGTAGGTAATCTGGATAAGGAAATATCTGCAAGGCCACTTGGCAAGACATGAGATTTTCCATTCTTTGTGAAAATGAATGAAAAGGCAATTATTGCCTCACACTGTTCTGAGTATTCCACAAAGAACCTCTTCTCTACTTCCTGAACAGAATCCTTGGCTACTGCCTTTTATCTTCAGCCACTCCCTGACTTCTTGGCCTGATGTTATCTGACCAGCACTGAGGCAAGCATGTCTTTGGGTCTTGGGAAGTGGCTGTGTTTCTCTGTTGGGAGCAACCATTGTACAAGCAGGAAAACATTTGTCAAATGCTCAATATATGCCAGGAACTGAAGGATATAGAAGTAGATGAGATGGTCTCTGCTCTTTGCAAAGAGTTCCCTATGTAGTAAGTGGGACTATCATGTAAATAAATATTGCAATTTCAGGCTGGGTGTGGTGGCTCATGCCTGTAATCCCAGCACTTTGGGAGAATGAGGCAGGTGGATCACTTGAGTTCAGGAGTTCGAGACCAGCCTACCCAACATGATGAAACCTCATCTCCACTAAAAAAATTAAAACAAACAAACAAACAAACAAAAACAGTGGGTATGGTGGTGGGCACCTGTAATCCCAGCTACTCAGGAGGCTGAGGCAGGAGAATCACTTGAACCCCGGAGGTGGAGGTTGCAGTGAGCCAAGATCGCCCTGCTGTATTCCAGCCTGGGCAACATGACAAGACACTGTATCAAAAACAAAAACAAAAACAAAACAAATATTGCAATTTCAATTTTGTGAGACTCTCAAATCAAAAGAAGCTTACACTAAGTTTAGGATAGAGAAAAAGAGTCTGTAACTAGCTTTGGGGGTGGTGGGTAGGGAAGAATTTCTGGAAGAGTTGAGCTCTTTGAGCTAGATCTTGAAAGATGAGCTGGGCTTGGTGGCTCACACCTGTAATCCCTGCACTTTGGGAGGCCAAGGTGGCTGGATCACGAGGTCAGGAGATTGAGACCATCCTGGCTAACACGATGAAACCCCGTCTCTACTAAAAATACAAAAAATTAGCTGAGTGTGGTGGTGGGTGCATGTTAAGCCCAGCTACTGGGGAGGCTGAGGCAGGAGAATCGCTTGAACCCAGGAGGCAGAGGTTGCAGTGAGCCGAGATTGCACACCTGCACTCCAGCCTGGGCAACAGAGCAAGAGTCCGTCTCAAAAACACAAACAAAAAACAAAAAAAAGAAAAAGAAAAAAAGAAAGATGAGTAGGCGTTTGTCAGATGGATACAGGGAAAATGGAGGTGGGATGGTGGGGGAGGGAAAGGAAGGAAATGAGATTTGTAACAAAGGCAAATGTCAGTTCATATGGGTCTTTGGGGAACATGATCAGATTTGCAGTTAGAAACATCACTTTGACTTAGCCTAGATGATGAATTCAAATGCCAGCGCTGGGACCAATTAGGTATCTATTTAAATAAGGGCTTGATAAGCTACTGCCAGGGCCAAATCTGGCCCACAAATATCTGTTTTTGTAAATAAAGTTTTATTGGAACACAGCAACACACATTTGTTTATGTGTTTTCTGTGGCTGCTTTTATACTACCGGGAAAGAGTTGAGTACAGTTGGTTCCAAGACCCACACGAATACCAAAATCTGCAGATGCTCAAGTCTCTTGTATAAAATGGCATAGTATTTGCATATAATGGGTGCACATCCTTCTGTATACTTTAAATTCATCTCTAGATTGCTTATAATATCTAACAGAATGTAAATACTATGTAAATAGTTTTTATGCTGTCATGCATTACTTAACAATATGAATATGTTCTGAGACAAGCTATTTTATTCTTGTGTGAACATCACAAATTGTATTCACAAAAACCTAGATGGCATAGCTTTCTACACACCTAGGCTGTGTGGTATAGCCTATTGCTCATAGGCTACGAACCTGTACGTACTGCATGTGACTGTACTGAATAGCAATTTAACACAATAAATATTGTGTACCTAAATATATCTAAACATAGAAAAGGTACAGTAAAGGTATAGTACAAAAAGTAAAAAAATGTTGTAGTACACTTAACTACAAATGGAGCTTGCAGGACTGGAAGTTTCTCTGGGTGAGTCAGTGAGTGAATGGAGAGAATCTGAAGGCCTATGATATCACTGTACACTACTGTAGACTTTATAAATGCTGTACATCTAGGCTATGCTAAATTTATAGAAAAAATTTTCTTTCTTCAATAATAAATTAACCTTAGCTTACTATAACTTTTTAACTTTACACATTAAAAAAATTTTTTTTTAATTTTTTGACTCTTGTAATAACACTTAGCTTTGGATACGTATTGGATAGCTGTACAAAAATAATTTTTCCTTATATCCTTACTCTATAAAGTTTTTTCTATTTTTATGTATTTATTTTTACTTTTGAAATTTTTTTGCTCAGACCTAAAATACAAACACACACATTATTTTAGGCCAACACAGGGTCAGGATCATCATTACCACTGTCTTCTACCTTCATGTCTTGCCCCACCAGAAAGTCTTTAGGGGCAGTAACACACATGGAGCTGTCACCTCCTATGATAACAATGCCTTCTTCTGTAATACTTCCTGAAGCACCTTCCTGAGACTGTTTTTACAGTTAACTTAAAAAAAGTAAGTAGAAGGTATACACTCTAAAATAAAGATTAAAATTATAGTGAATACATAAACCAGTAAAATAGTTGTTTAATATCATTATGAAGTATTATGTACCATAAATGAGTGTATGTGCTATACTTTTATATGGCAGTGCAGGAGCTTTGTTTCAACTAGCATCACCACAAACACCTGAGGAATGTGTTGTGCCATGATGTTAACATGGCTATGATGTCACTAGGTGATAGGAAATTTTCAGCTCCATTATAATCTTATGGAACTACAATTATATATGCGATCCATTGTTGACCAAAACATTATGTGGCACATGACTGTACTGTATTTTTTTATTTGAATAATTTCTTCTTGTTTTTTTTTATTTTTTAGAATATTTTCTATCCCAGGTTTGTTGGATCCACAAATGCAGAACCTGCGGATATGGAGGGCTGACTGTAGTTGTAACACAGGCCTGCAAAGCCAAAAATGTTTACCATCTGACCTTTTGCAGTAAAAGTTTCCCAATTTAAATAGTGCATGAGTTGAAGTAATAGAATATAATGGCTTGAACTAACACTGGGGCAGGAACTACTGAGGAGGAAGAGAGAATAGAATTTCGTGAATGATTGGGTTGGAGGGAAGGGCAGAGATGTGGGAGACAAAAGGATCTTGCAGGTTTTCCCAGTTTCTGGATCTCCATTTAAAATAGTTTTAGCATTGTGTCTTGCACAAAGATGTGAAAGGAAACTGTCTTTGTCCTCAAGGAGCTTCACCTCCAGTAGAAGAGATAACATGTGTACATAAAAGTATTTAATACCAGTTTGAATACGAGGTCATGAAATTTCAGGGGTGAGAGAGGATGATGTTTTGTTGAAAGTTTAATGAAAGCTTACAGGAAGAGGAATCATTTGAGTTTTGAAGAATAGGGAGGACTTGAGCACAAAGGATTGATGGGAGGGTGCAGAAGCAAAGACAGAGATCTGGAGACCGGGTGGAGAGAAGACAGGAATGCCAACTTTCGGAGCTTAGACTACTTAATAGGCATTGTAAACCTGAGGGGTTTGAGCAGAAGCTGTACTTTGGTTACTCTGGCAATAAGATCAGAGTCAGTTGAATGAGGAAGAGTCCAAAAGAGAAAAGGAAACTAACATTTGTTTTTTTCAAAGCTTAGCTTTGCTGACTCAGCAAATATTCATCCTTCCTTCATGTTCCCATCACACCCTAGCACGCCTTGAATTAGGACACTTATTACTTGTCGATAGAACATGAGAGGCCAGAAACTGTGACACTCTTACAGAAAATATGGTGCAGTGATTAAGATTTGTCTGGGTTTAATAATCAGTTTGTTTAAATTTTTTTAAAAGTTTTTTTGCTTATTTATTTTTAATTGACAGAATTTTATATATTTATCCTATACAGCATGATGTTTTGCAAGATGTATATATTGTGGAATGGCTAAATTGAGATAATTAACATATGCATTACCTTACATACTTATCTGTTTTTGTGTGTGTGTGGTAAGAACACTTAAAACTATTAACTCTAATCACCACCATTGACCCCTTTTTGATCTTACCCTCTTGATGTCTTGGTTTCAAGATGCCTGGGCCTAATAATTATAACTCCTTCTACAATTAATGACAATTGTAACCATTTGTTGTGGTTATTAAATGATTTAATGTGTGAAAAGCACTTAGTGGCTGGCAAGTAGTGAAGGCCCATAAATGTTATTGATTATTATTTCTAGTGCCTAGCTAAGTGTTTGGGAACTAAAAAGATTTGTGTTGAATGAGTGAATTTAAGGGCCGCTAATGAGCCAGGCACTTGGAATTGGCTCTTTGGGGTTATCCTCATAACTCCCATGTGAGGAAGGTATTATTTCTAATTTTAGTGAATTTGCAGGGGCTCTGAGAGTAAATGACAGAGCAAGATAGAGACTTCCAAGCTCTGTTTAATGGGGAGCTGGGGGGAGAGGTAGAATGTAAAGAGATGAGGGTAATGAATGGAGTGAAGTCCTGGAGGAGATGGGAGAGGAACTGGAACAAAAACACAAGGGAAGGTCTTTGACTGCTGTCCTGCAACAACACAGACAACAGAGGGTAAATGTGAGGGGAGAGGAGGGAAACAAAAGCATTAGCTGAGCCGGAGGTAAGCAGGGTTAGGAAAACTGTTAAAGGAGAATTCAAAGAAGACTCCAAGTTCTTGAGCTTAGATGACTTAGAGGAATGATGATGCCATTTATAGAAACAAAGTGGGCAGATTTGCTTTTTGGGGTGTGAATTTGCAGATTTAGTTTTAAATATAAAGATTCTGATACTTCCCAAACCTTGAGCAATGAGTAGGAAATGTGGCCCTGGAGCTTGGGCTAGAGATGGGCACTGGAGATAAACATGTGGAAGTCATCTGCCTAGAGATGAAGATTGAAGTCAAAGGCGTGGCATTTAGGAAGCAATACAGGATTAGTCGGTCCCACAGTCTGGTTCTCAACTCAGCCTGAGAAAGGACTGGCCAAAGGGAAACTGCAGTCCACGCCTGATCCATACTCGCTGGCTGATTTGTGACACTGGACTTCTTCATTGCTCAGTAAACATTTGGCAAGTGACTGGTGAGCAAAGAGTCAAATCTCAGGATCTTTTTGTGTGAATAAAAGTCAGTGGATGGAGACAGATAAATATCTCTAAAACAGGAAAAAAGGAGATGGAGTGAAAGTGGGCCTTAAAGTGTCAGCTCCTTCTTAGTTTGTGGTGCTGGCTACAGAGCCAAACCTCCTTTAGGCACAGAGCTGTGGAAATTAATTGAATCTGCTTAAAACTAGTCCCCCCTGCCCTGCCCCAGATAATTCAATGCAAGCGAACATATTTGCCCAGAGAGGGTCATAAACACATCATAAAATCTGACCTTTCCAAGAGGGGATTATCTATAAATAACTGCGGTTATCCCGAGGGTGCTAGGCATAAGCTTGGTGGAGGGGCGGAGAGGAGACCTATTTCCTCTGCAACCTGGGCATCTCTCCGGAGGTGAGCAGCAGAAAGGACTTGCAGAGGCTCAAGTATAAGCCCTTGCAGTCATATCCCCAATTTCCACTGGCAGGGCTGCAGCTGCTTCCACGGGGCTTCCTTCACTTTGCTGAGCAATGGAATGTGGCTACCGGGAAAAGAATAAGATTTCTGTTTCTAAATATGTCACTGATGAAGCTCCTTTTTAAAATATTAATTGTGGCAACGTTGGAAACGCATAAAAGAACTGACAATCATGCTTGTTCAGACCACAGAAGGTTTAATTTCAAAATGTGGTTTTGAATTGCTATTTTTTTTCTTCTGCCTGTAAGCAATGGATTCATCAAAATCCTTTCTTCTGAATAAAAGAAGATCCCCTAATGGTACTCATTCTGTGTCATTAATGTGGAGGAGGTGAGCTATACGAGAGGAGTCTATATTATTTATGATGAGCTGAATCATGAGCCAAATGAATTTCAATAAGGTCTTCTAGCTGATAGTGATGATATAAAAGATACAGAGAGGAGGCAATGAAAACCCATTGGAGTGGCTGCTAACAGATCCATTCTCTTGGCTTGCCATGATAAGTAAGAATCTACCTTATTTTTAAAGGCTCCAGATTCAGAGATCACTACATGATTACTCAGTAACTATGCTGACAAAACCTTTTCTTGTTTACTGAATAGATAACTCATTTTCTCTTTGTAATTCATGTTAAGTAATCCTAAATATATCAAGAATTGGAACTATGGGATCCTGTGGCTGGGTGTTTTGTAAGCCTGATGTGATTGAAGGTAGGGGTAATATCTCACACAATTTTTAAAAAAATTTTACTGCAATGCTCACAGAGCCTGAAAAATAGTGTCTCTAAAGATATAAAGGAAATCGTATAGAGCTTGCATCTCAACAGGGGAATAACACATTGAACCAGGTGAAAAAATGAATTTTGGGAGCAGCGTGAAAATACCTTAGATGCCAAAATGGTTTGTGATCCTCCAAAGCTGAAACCTCTGTTACAAAATATAGCATTTATTTCATAGGGGTGAATAGGAAATAAATGTTCAGAAAGGGTTTGTGGGTAAGGGAGACTTTCATTATTATGACAAAATATTTGGGAAACACTGTTGGCTATGGAGAAAAAAGTCCTGGTTTTTGGAGTCAGAAGGACTTTATTAGGAGTCTCAGCCCACTAACCACCAGTGTAGCTTATCTCTCTGTTTCAAACATCTTCCATCTGAAACCGTGATCATAATACACAGAGGCGAGCAACTTTATTCACTTCACTGTCTTCTACTCTGCACCTAATACAGTGACTAGCATAGAGTAAGCTCTTAATGAGGATTTAGTGAATGAATGCATAGAGGAATGAATGATTCTCCCTCAAAGGGTTGTTTGTTGATTAATTGAGGTGATGACTGCAAAACTTCTATCTTAGTACTTGGCACATTTGAGGTGTTCAGTAAATGACGGCTGTCTTTCTCCACCCCTGCTTCCCCCACTGTCTAGGACACACAGACTTCACGGGCCAAGACAGGGCAAATGACTCTCCTGGTGTCGTATAGCAAGTCTATAACCCTCTTAAAAATTGAAGCAGGTTCTCTCAGCTCCAACTGAGCCTTATTTGATTGATTATTATTACAAATATTTTCCTAGAATATTCACCGAGTTATCTATATTCTTGGAAAGAAAGTTCTTACATCACTGAAGTATAATCAAGTCATATCTAAATTGATTTTGATTGGGTACCGTCTGGATGTGCTAAGTACAAATTCACATGCCTGGAGCGATGAGGCAAGTTCTCTGCCCTGACAATAAAAGGGTCTTGAAAGGGCTTTTGGGAAGCATTCTGAGGGGCAAACTGACATACAGCACCTTCTCCAGCGTAACATGCAGATAATTCAGATAGGAGGGCTGGCAGGCACAACATAATGCCCTGGAAAAGCCAGATATCCATATGGCAAGGGGCTGGGTAAATGAAGATGCATCATCAGTACTTCATTAAGGGTCTTGCCAGAGTTGCATTTATAAACCCACATTGTACACCTACATGTTCATCCAAGTATCAGAAAATCACATTTGAGAGGGTGGAATTGTCTTTAAGAATTTTTAAGCTGTCAAATTCAGTAATAATTCATGTAAAATGAAAATGTTCCTTTCTCCTGTTTGAAGATCCTTTCTTCTCGTTGCATTTTTGTATTTAGTAGTGCCTTATGCTTCTACATTTTTTAAATAAATTCAACTTTGAGGGCAGAGACTATATGTTGGGCCCTTTGCATAATCAGTTTCCTTACTTCGCATATAGTAGTTCCTCAAAAATGCATGTTGAACAAATGAGAGTATTTTATAGCTAAAGGGAAAAGAAAGCAACCCTAACCTCTATGGATCATCTTTTATGTTCTAGGCACTGCATGGTGCATGTTACAGCTATTATTTCATTTAACATTTATAATCAACTTGTAACTAATTTGCCCAATGTCACAAAATTATTAAGTGGCTGAAACTGGAATCAATTAAGGTTATTTCTGATTCCAAAGACTATGCTCATTAAGAAAAAAAAAATTGTTTCAGCAGCCATGACAATGCACCCCAAAGACCTCCTACTGTAAGTAGTATAATTGACCAAAAAGCCCCAGCAGCATTGGCCAAAGACGCAGCTGCTGTGCTCCCCACTTTTAACACAGCTGTCTCCACTCTTCACAGAGGCCATGCCTCCCACAGGCAGCTTCCAGCCAGGAACTGAGGGCAGCAGGAATAATGAGCAGTTCGCCTTTGGCTTAGGGGCAAATCTTCCCTAGGCCTCATGACAGTCTAGGATGGTTCCACTCAACTTTCCACACAGTCTGGCTCTTTCACTGGGGTCAGATTGCATCATGATCCAATGACTCTTCCAGCCTCCTCCAACTTCCTCTCTATTTTCTCTTGTAGGCATTTCCCCTAATAAAATGCTTGCACATTTAATCCACTCTTGGGAGCTGCTTTATAGCAAACCCAATGAACACAGTTCTAAATACTTTTCCCATTCCAAGCTGCGATTCATAGCTTAAGTGAGTTTTCATCAGACATTTCCTCAAAACACTCCTGGTGTTAGAAAAGAATAAATATGTACTCTCCACCCATGATGGTCTGGGGCCTGCCACAACTAAGAGATTTGTTGGAAGTTCATGCTTTGTCCCACAATTACTTGTCCAATGTCTGTCTTCACTGTAAAATAATAAGCTCCGTAGAATCAGAGTGTGACTATCTTGTTCAGTGTTATATGCCCATTGCCTATAATAATTGCTGGTGCATAGTAAGTACTCAATAAAAAAAAAAATGAATGGGAAAAAATCTAAGAATTATTTTTCTATTCCATAATATAGTCATACTTGTCTTTTTTTTTTTTTTAAAGAAAACCTTTTATCCTCAGCAGAATTTAAATGACATTTTAAATGCAATATTAAACCTTTAATCTTTAGCATATTAGTACATTCCCTGGGGGCAAAAATATCCTTGTTTGGAAGTTACAAGTTCACTAATTTGCCCCATTGTTAATGTTAGGAAAAAAACCCAGACTTTTCACTTTCTAGTTCAGGGTGTTTTCCTTCTCATGCACAATATTCTTTTGCATTTACCTCTTACTATTATAATCTACTTTGAAACTTTTTCTCCCACTCTTCCATTTTAGGCATTCCTAATATAATTAACTTTACCTACATTGTTATTTTTCTGTTTATACATTATGTTCCCTCCTAGCTTTATTTGAGCTATGACTACTTCTCCAATTCATTGTTATAGGATTGTAGTCTAACCTCAGGATTTAGTTCTTACCTTTTAGTTTGGAATCATCTGGAAATTTAGGGAGGGAAGATTGCATCTAATTCCTGACATCACTTAGCATTTTCTCTCCCTTGGCCCTGAATCAGTGAGCCCCTGATCAGAAACGTTGATCTTTCATTTTGTTTCTTTCTCTGCTGAGGATGGAGTTTTGTTCTTACTAAATTTTAGAGAAAAGCCTCTTTGTGGTGCAAGTGGTCATGATAAATAGTGTTGTTCAGTTACTCTCTCTCCTCTGTGCAGACCCTAACACATAGAGATGCTTAAAATTTTCTCTCACTCTCATAATTGAGTGGGCTCTTAAAGAGGCAACTCCATTTTTCTAGCTCTGGCTAAAACCCTTGGAGACATACTTGAATCTCTTCTTCTCATAGCCCTCATCTTCTCTATCAATAATTCCTGTAGGTTCTACCTTCAAAACATACCTAGAAGCTGGCCAATTCTCACTGCCTTCACTGCTGCCTTTCTGAATCAAAATTCATCTCCAGCCTGAATTATTTCAGTAGCCTCCTGATTGGGCCCCTCACTTCCACCCTTGCTCCTTGGTAGTCTATTCTCAGTACCTTCAGTATGGAAAGCAGATGGAGTCACTCTACTCCAAGCTTCTGCTGGCTTCCTAAATAATCCAGAGTGAAAGTCTGAGTCCTTAGAGTAAACTCCAAGGTCCTACTCAACTCTCAGCATAAGCCTCAAGATCTTGTTTCACACTGCCTTAGCCATGCTGGCTTCCTTGCTGTTTCTCAAGAATAAGAGCCATGTCCCAACCTCAGGGATTTTGCACATAATGTTTTCTGCCTTGAAGGCTCTTTTCCTTGATATCTGCATGAATTGTTCCTTTACTTCCTTTGGGATTCTGCTCAGATGTCATTATTTCAGAGGAGGCTTCTTTGGCCACCATATTTAAAATTACAACCCCTCTCACCCCTGCCTGACACTCTTTTTTTTTTTTTTTTTTTTTTTTTGAGACAGGGTCTTGCTTTGTCACTCAGGTTGGAGTGCAGTGGTCTGATCACAGCTCACTGTAGCCTTGAACGCATGAGTTCCAATGATCTTGCTGCCTTAGCCTCTCAAGTAGCTGGGACTACAGGTGTACCACCATGCCTGACTGATTTTTAAATTATTTTTGTAGAGATGGGGGTCTCACTGTGTTGCCCAGACTGGTCTCATACTCCTGACCTCAAGCACCTGCCTCAGCCTCCAAAATTTGCTGGGATTCTAGGCGTGAGCCACCATGCTCAACCTCTGTGTGACACTCTTGATCCCTTCTCTTCATTTTTAAAAAGCTTCATAAACATAATATTTATAATCATCTGAAAAACCATTTATTTGACCTATTTAGTTATTTTTTTAAATTAGTCCCCTCCTGGTAAGATAAAAGCCCCCTAAGAGCAGGAATTTTTTATTTTTTCACTGCAGAATCCTTGGTGTTTAGAAAAGCTCCTGGAATGTAGTAGACACTGAATAAAAATTTGTGGAATGAAAGAATGAATGTTCTGCTGCCTTATGCATCCTTTAAGTCCCACCTGGAATATGAGGCTGTCAAGGCTTCTCAGCAGTTATAGCCAGCTACATATCCCTTCCTTTTAAATGGAGCACTTTGGATTTACATATTTTATATTATTGATTTATGGCATACATTTTCATAGAGTTCCTTGATATCTTTCTTCCTAAACTATAAGCAACTCAAGGGAAGTATGGTAACTTATTAGTCTCTATATCCCCTAACATTTAGAACAATGCCTGGTACACAACAGTGATTCAATAAATGCTTATTGGTTAAATAAATTAATGGATGAATATCCCAAGAAAAACGAAGCTGTCAACAAATACGTTTGCTTCTTCAGAGTGGTAGCTGGTACACAGCTATCATCATTGTTCATGATAAGAGTGATGATGATAACAGAGTTACCCCAAGACTGAAATGGAGCATCTTCAAAATATTTTTGAAAAAAGGATAATGAGAATTTAGGTTTTTGGCTTCTATCTCTTTATGACAAAGGGTTAGAAGACTGAAAAGCAGGTTTTGGTACCACTGACTAAGACAGTTTCCTGGTAAATTGGTGAGCATGTGCTGTGAGGCAAAACCAGGATCTTGATCAAATAGTCAAGATAAATCAGTAATTATCAAGGTCAGTCAAACATAAAGGCATTAACCATGTTCCTAAGATCACTTAGGTCTGAAAAGGAAGACACTTGGATTATATATGTTCTATGATCTGAGTGGCTGTGTTTTTCCTGAAATTC
Organism: Homo sapiens; assembly: GCF_000001405.40. NCBI lineage: Eukaryota > Metazoa > Chordata > Mammalia > Primates > Hominidae > Homo > Homo sapiens. The sequence continues at coordinate 89,983,651 of NC_000012.12, forward strand.
GTATATTGAAACCTAAACCCCTAAAATGGTGGTATTAGAAGGTAGGGCCTTTGGGGGTGATTAGATCATAAAGCAGAGCCTTCAAGATTAAGGTTAATGTTCTTATAGGGCAGACCCCAGAGAGCTACTTCATCTCTTTCATCATGTGAAGACAAAAGGAGAAGTTGCAGTCTATGAGGATATGGGCCTTCACCAGACACCAAACTTGCCATCACCTTGATCTGGGGCTTCCCAGTCTCCAGAACTGTGATAAATGAATTTCTGTTGTTTATAAGCCACCCAACTTATGGTATTTTTTATAGCACCCAAATGGATTAAGACAGTATAATTAGATTATTCTACCAAGGTTTGCCTTCATTTATTAAATTATTTGATTTTTAAAGAGAGGCATTTCTCTAAAGAAATGAGGCATTGGAGATTTTTTTCTGGTATCTTTCTATTGATAAAGCAAATCTATAGACTGAGAAAACATACACAGTAACATATATATTTTATGAGTATTCAAAGTTACCACTGCATAATAAAGGCCAGGGAAATGAAGTGTTGAATGTTCTGATACTACTAATAACCTTAGATAATTCGGCAGAGTCACTGCTGTCTATGTGGCAAAGGAAATGTCACATGTCTATCTGCCAAAGTTTGGCATAAGGCTGGTACAGTATTTCAGCATAAGTGAGCAGAAGAGTGTAAAAAATACCATTTTGATTTTTCTGATTCAATGGGAGCACATATTTATTTGGTTTTTACAAACCTGGTCGTTGCTAAGTCTCCTGCCTTCCCCCCACCCACCTAAGAGAAACTAAAATCTATTCCTTTGCAAGGGACAGTTCCTCAGGTGGGGTGAGGAAATGTTAGAAACCAAGCAGGAAAGGAATTCTGTATTTTAAAGGTGTCCTACTTTTCTATTTTTTTCTTTATTAAAAATTCAGCTTCTTTCAAGCACAGAAAGTGAAAACATGCCACCTCACTGATGTAAGTAATGAAGTGGTCCTTAAAACAAAAGGATACATTGTGATCTGAAAATATTCCACCAAGTTATGAAAGCAAATGATTCTTTGGGAAAGAAATCAGCTAGAAATTTGAGAAAACTTTTCAGGGTGCAGTGGAGGCATGAAATCTGTGTTTTTGAATGGTAAAATTTGTGATATGTATGTGTGTTTCTATATCTATATCTACATCTATACCATATATGGATCTTTGCTTCTTACATTTAAAAAAGCAAAAAGAACAAAACACCACCACCAAAAAAAAAAAAAAAAAAAAAAAAATGCTGCCCCAGATGGTGTGCCCATCCATGTGGATAAGTGTCACTGAGAAGACTGAAACACACTCTGCGCTCTGCGTCCTCCCTGCTGGACACCGAGCCCTCAAGTGACTCTCTGCTGTCCCTGGTTGTGCCTCCTGCTTGTGTCGCTGCCTGTTCTCCTCACAGTCTGCAAGCTTCATTTGCTCCAAAGACGCTGTTCCTTTTCTGCTTGCTGCAAACCGGGTTGGACGGCATGGCTGTTGCTTCTCAGCAGTTGTGCTGCACCTCCGGGTAGCTGCCCACCCTGGCCACAGTTACTCTGCCCCTTCTGTTGACCATTTGGCCACTGACACGGAGGCTGAAGTTCGTTTCTGATTAATAAGGGGTATGGCATGTTGGGATACTAATGAAGTGGCTCAGTAAGTTGCATGAGAATTTGACATATATCCAGGTGTCACTGTCACAAGCTACCTTAGGGGTTGGCTTCTCCAGGGACATTAAAAAAATATATTTTTTTAAGTCCTCATTCCTGATCTCTCAGCCTCCATACCTCTTTCCCACCATTCCTATGTTTCTGCCAATAATTGCTAATTTTTATAAAAACCCAGCCCAAAGAATACGATACTCTGCTAAAAACAAACAAAACAAAAAACTACCAATTACTGACTGAACATGAGCTAACTAACTCCTTAAGTCTGGCATTCAAGGCTCTGTGCTTATTTGAGTCATACAACTGGTTCTAGCAGCTTTCTTTCTGTGTCAATGAATGATTACAGTAGCAATACTATTGTGTGGTTTTATTGGACCTTATTAATTTTAAAGAGCATTCATTTTGATTATTATAACAAGCTTATTATTCCCGTCCCTCACATGAGGAAACCAAGCTGTAAGATATGCTAGCACACATTTGGGAGCCTTGAGCAGGCCTCAGAACCCTCTTCATGAACACTTAGGAATTCTAAAGAGCATCATTTTGATATCCATTTGTAAAATGTACGGACTTTGAATAGTAACTCAGGGACCTGAATTATATTACACTAGCCCAAGATTCTCTATTCTTTTCCCATTGTTGCTAAGTAGATAGACTATTCTAAACTGACCATTTGAGCTTGTCTTACTCCCTTGGCAATGCAGACAGACTCCAGGTGTTCTCTAAGCTTTTTAGACATGTTAAGAATGTCATATCTATTATATATTTAGACATGTCATATCTATGTCATGACATAAGCATGACATGAGAATGACATGCCATTCTGTCGTAACATAAGAATGATGTAAGAATGTCATATCTATGTCTATTTAGACATATTAAGAATGTCTTATCTATTGAGCATTGAGGCACTCAGAGGCTGAGGCATGGAGCTAATGTTTGGGCATTTGTAGCTAAAAGTAATTGTTTCAAAATAATTCCAACCAGGATGCACCATTATTATTTTATTATTACCTTGCCACAGCCATGATTGCTTACTACAGTCATAGGAGAGAGGGATCTGCTTTGATACAGATGCCAGTGTCACCTTTTCTTGAGAAGAATGCATAGCAGTGATGCTGCCTGTAATCCTAGCTACTTGGGAGGCTGAGGTGGGAGGATCCTTTGAGCTCAGGACTTCGAGGCTGCAGTGAGCTATGATCACACCACTGCCCTCCAGCCTAAGTGACACAACAAGACCCTGTCTCTTCAAACAAAACAAAACAAAAAATTCTAGAGTGTATTGTTGAGTACATAATAAGATAATAAGTTGTCAGTAATTATTTGTGGGATGCTAAAACAAATAGAAGCATGGAAACATATACCTTTAATGGTGATGAGCATGCATCACTGCTGTCTGGAAAGCCTTTACGATCTGCACTTTATCATCTCAGGTACAATGCTCTCAGATTTTGAGGTTTCATACATCTCTTGGTCCCACGCTGAGGTATAAGTTCAGGCATGCTCATTCTGTTAGTTTCCCTGGATTGCTGAGTGTCATGTGAACACAAAAGAATGAAATAATGTTGGGGAACAGCTGAAATGCTGCCTCTATGACTTCCAAATTTCTATCCCAGCCACGTGGCAAAGGGAATCATCTTACCAGCAATAAAGAGGGGCTGCTTTCATTGAACATCTCCTACATGGCAGTTAGAGGGTAAGCTCCTTACTTGCTTGAACTCTGATTTTCCCCTAAACCTAATTGGGTAGAAATAATTATCCACCATTATAGATAAAATATCAAAGCCCAGAGAGGTTAAGTAAATTGTTCAAGTTTGCTAAGCTAGTAAGTGGCAGCACAAAGATTCTATTCAGCAATGCCTGATGACAGTGCCTGTGAGTCCGCTAACATGCCATTCAGTTTTGTAGTGTGGGTATGGAGAGACGAAGGAGATAAATTGAGTGTCATGTGCTGTACAGAGTTTCTTTATGTTTGTTTGTTTGTTTGTTTGTTTTGAGAGGGAGTCTCACTCTGCTGCCCGGGCTGGAGTGTAGTGGCACAATCTCGGCTCACTGCAACCTCCGGCTCTCAGGTTCAAGTGATTCTCTTGCCTCAGCCTCCTGAGTAGCTGGTGTTACAGGCATCCAGCACCATGCCCGGATAACTTTTGTATTTTTAGTAGAGATGGGGTTTCACCATGTTGGGCAGGCTGGTCTCGAACTCCTGAACTCAGGTGATCCGCCCACCTCAGGCTCCCAAAATGCTGAGATTACAGGCATGAGCCACCGCGCCTGGCCTCAGAGTTGTTTTTAACTTTTCTCAACAGCTCTAAAAGATGGGTGTTACTGTTCCCATTTATAGATGAACAAACTGAGACTTAGAAATTGTGAATAAATCGTATCCAACTTTCTACACCTAAGATTTTACTTGGTGATAATTCCTAAATAGCTATAGATTACTTCAGCCATGGTATACTACATGAGTTTTCATGACTTGGTTTGTGAACATATGGATGTTCATTTTTTTAAATCCCAGACAAGAAGAATTTGGAGAGGGTGCATAGGAGAAATTATGAAATAGGGGAAAGTATGAAGTTAGAGAGTGGTGGACAAGGCCCCTTCTAAAATATTATTTTGGGACTCAAAATTTAAATGTTCATTACTTAATGTAATCAAGGAGTCCTTTATGTTTTTGAAAATTTACCTTTAATACACACCGGGTCTTTGGTATGAGAGGGAAAAACAAAACAGGACAATAAGTGCCTGCTTCATTGGAAATAGATTTCCAGCATTTAGGTTTGAATATGGAGCACCTTGGTACCTGAAAGACTGTTTTCCATAGAATAGATTCTGCTCGAACCACTTCCTGAAAATGGTATCTTCTCATCTCAAAGGCTGATGGCACTGCTGTTGCCCAGCTGTTTACAGATGTTTTCACCCTGTAGGAACTTCACCCTGAGTCATTAAGTTAATAGTTTGGCTGTCGCCTTGTGATTTATCCATGAAATTGCTCCTCTGAGTGCAGAGTATATATAAAAGGATGTTCAGCTTATAACTCATACTGTTGCATAGCAGCAGTAATCATGGATAAGACAAGCCCTTTAAAAATCAAAGCTGTTAGTAAAATAATAATGTTTTCTTTACTGTAGTACATACCATGTTGCAGTCTCATGGATAGTGTGGCATCAACTATTTGGATATAATTTAGCCTTTGTAAACAGAATGTGTTTGTGAAAATCGTGAGAGATTACTTGGCGTGTTGGATTTTGCTTTCTGGCAGCTCATGATCCTTATGCTCTACATGAATTACCAGGTTAGAGGTTTAGTTTGGGCTTTAAAAAGCAGATAGCAGATCATGCCTTTTCTCTTTGCAATGACACAGGATTATAGACTGACATCTGAATGTGCCTGAATAAAAGCAACTCGGAATTTGGGAGGATGGTTGGATTATGTTAAAGCTTTCCGAATGCTGCAAGCACCTCTACAGCAGCCAAAGGATTTTCAGGGCCACAGGGACACAGTAATCAGCTCTAATACTTTTCTCTCTGGCTTATGACCTCTGAAGTAGCTTAATAATTAAAGAGGTGCACCATCAGAAAGCTTTACAGACTTACATGGAACTGCTTGTTTTGGCCCAATCCAAATATATAACAGATTCAAGAGAAAATCAAAAGGAGCAACGATGTTAAAAGGTTTTAAGACTAGAGTGTATATGATAATATCCTGGTTGCCTATTTAGAATGCAGGAATTAGACTTTTAAGAGCTATAGATGGATCCATTAGCATGTACTTGTTGGTCAAGACTGTGGCACACCTAGCCCTTCATGGAAAGAAACTCACCCATTTTGAGCCACCCACAAATACTTTCCTTGATTTATTCAGGACTTTTGCCTACGTTTACATGTTTTTCTCTTACAGGCCACACAGCATGTCCTGTGGGACTGGAGAAATATGGAGAATGCAGCACACTTGCTTCCTACTGAAGTAGGTATTTTCTTTCCAGATTTCCTTCAGTTGCAAAGTCTGATTATTTCAGTTTTTTTGGATGAAATAGAAAACGCTCACCTAAAAATATAAGTCAGATTTGTTAAAATCACTTCCAAAGGATACTGATATGTCAGGTAGCATTTGAATACATAATAATTTCTTTAAAATACATTTTCCAAATGGATTTATTATTATAGCCATATTGAAAGTAGTTTTCCCTATTGTGGAGAAAGATACAATAGTCTAGCTTAGCCCAATTCTATTAACAGGTGACTCTTTTAACCAACTCCTCTTGTTTTGATTGCATGCTTATGTGTGCTAAGCTGCCTTTCTTAGATGGCCTCCAAATTATTCCCATGTCTTGGCATTCATGCTCTGTGTAATCTCCTCCCCTCGAGTGTAGACTGGACCTAATAACAATTTGTAATTTGTTAAAAGGCTGGCTTTTAACAAATAGAATATAGCAAAAGTGATGGGATGATCACTTCTGAGATTAGGTTATGAAAGACTGTGACTTCTGTCTATCTTGTACTCTCTGACTATCTCACTCTGATGAAGCCAGCTCCTATGTTGTGAGTTGCACTGTGGAGTTGTCCATGTGGCCAGGATGTGATGGTGAGCAGCCTTTGGTCAACAGCCAAGCAGTCACTGAGGCTCGTAGTTAAACAAGCTTCAAGGAATTGGATCTTGCCAACAACTACTGAGTGGGCTTGGACGTGTATCCTGCCCCAGTTGAATCTTGAGATGACATGGCCCTGACCGATAGTTTGTAGTCTTGTGAGAGACTCTTTTGAGCTGGAAAACCTAGTTAAACCACACCTAGAATTGTAAGTCATAGAAGCTATATAGATGTGTGCTGTTTTAAGTGGCTAAATTTTGGGGTAATTTGGCATACAGCAGCAAATAGCTAATACACCAAGCCATAAACCAATCCTTCCCCCTCATTCCTCCTTTTCTTCCTTCCTTCCACCTCTTGGTCTTTCAGATGTAGGTTAGGCATCTTCTGTGAGCTAGGTACTATGGTTAGGCATTGTGAATGCAGTACTGGGCATGGAAGACTGGCTAAGAAATGTAGTGATGACTGTATTCGCTGGGCTTACATGCTCACGGCGGGTACAAACATTGAACAAATGAGTGACATAAAATAAATATAAAGAGTACTCTGGAAACATGACAGAGGGTCTTGAGCTATTTCTGGGAGAGATTGGTTATCAGTGAAAGCCTTCCCAAACTACGAAGTGTGAGTGGAATTATTTTAATTTGGTTGCCTATTAAGTATGTCAGCTGGGAGAGAATTCTGTCCCTAGAAGGTATCCTGCCATCTAGACAGCTATGTTTCTTACTATAATGTGATACATAGCATTTGAGAATATCCCTAAAAAAGACAAATACATAGGCCATCTGCTGACGCTCAAAAGCTTTTCTTTGTTAAGTAAGCGATTCTGGAGTATATGTCATTTTACCTATCTTGTACTAAATTTGTGTTGAGTGCCGATTTCTCTGTGTTCTTCCTCCCAACCCCCACCTGCGGATGCCATGTCTCTGTAATGCAGGAAGACATTTCTATGATTATTTGTTAAATTACACATGGCTGGGAACCTGAGAGTGTCACAAGAGCAAACATGATTGTTTATTATCCCTGCCTCTCCCCACCCTATTTTTAAGGGGAAAAAATAAACTGTCAGAGGTCAACTATGTAGTAATTGTGAAGGCCACTCCCATCAAAGCATGTAGTTGAGTTATATGAAGATGGCAGTATGTGTGTATTTATTTTCCTGGCATCAAACTCAATCTTTACTGTGCTCTGACCACAATCCTTATTATCTCTCCCAAGAGTCTGAGGTCCTGGAGTTCTACAAAAGCATCAGTGTGAAATAGCACCAAGAGTTAACTTAAACTTGAAATCCCTGAAAAAAGTCATGGTAAAAAAGCTTAGAGCCATGGTACTGGATGGATGCATCCAATGATCACATAGTGAAAGGTGATAAAATGTCACTGAAAAGGGTGATTGAAAAATGAAGAAGGTGAAAGTTTACTCAACTGGGGGACAAAGAACTTTTTTTAATCGAGAAAAAGGACATAAAGTGGTTGGCAGTGTAGAAATTATTCCTGAGAGCAAAGGCTGCGAAATTTCCTAGAGTTAGATATAATAAAAAAGTTGCGGTGCTGCCTCAAAGCAATGTGGGAAGCAAGTGTGCAGTAGACACTACAGCTGGTCCTTAGCAGTCACCTCTAGGTCCTGGCTATGAAAATAAGAAAAAACATAAAAAAGAGAGGACCCTATAATTTCAGATTAGGATAGTCTCATTGGCAGAAGTGTATGCAAAGCTGATGTTTCTGAGAGTAGACAAAAAGGATGCAGAGCAAGAGAGGAAGAACAAAAATCAGGAAGCTATAGGTGCCAACACAGGCAGTCTTTTTCTCTATTTCTGCCTAGAAGCTGATAAGATCTCTACTTAATACTGGCAGGTTTATAGAAAGCCTTGAAATATGAATATAATTATCCGATAACCAACAACATGAAGATAATAAAAATGATGATGTTTTTAGCATACAGAAAATTCTAAACTTGTCTAATAAGCTTCTTGGTGTAATTCATTATATTTGCTTATGGAACTCAGGAAAGAGTAAACAAAAAGTTATGACTATAGGAGGAGGTACTAGATGAAGAAAGCGCACAAAGAAGTTCCGTAATGCAGCATGGTTTCATGATTACTGTGTAATTGTGGTCGCAGTGGTAGATGTATTGTTGGGAATCTTCTCGTTGCAAATAACAGAACACATAACTCAAACTGCTAAGGTAACAAAGGTTGCGTGACTCAGGAAAATATATTGAATAGATAGCTGGGTTCTATCAATGCAGGATGGCTGTCAATTCTTCTGGAGGCTCTAAGTGTTCACACTTAAAGAGTATGTCAATGGAAGAGCAAGGGATCTTCTTTTTAGTGGTCTCCATCTAATTATCTCCTTACTTATTATTGCTCTGCATTGGGTACCAGTCCCATGTCTAACTCAATCACTATGGACATTGGAGTAGGCTCTCTTGTTTAGCTGAAGCCATCCAAAGTCCATTGCCAAAGCAGAGAGAGATCCGTTTCCTCTTGAAGCACATTGACTGAATGAGGAAGCAGCTTATATTTGAAAAAAAAAAAAAAAACTCAGGATGCTATTATTAAACAGAAAAGAAACAGATACAGGGCATCAAAACTCAGCAAAATCATCTGCAATGGGCAATAAGCTCTTTCACATTGGGATAGAAGGTGTCTGCAGTTTTTTCAACTTCTTATAGTAGGTGCAAGTAGAATGAAAGGCATGGCCTCTTAGTTTAGTTTAATAAAGGAAGTAATTGCTTCTCCTGTGGAATAGTCAAAAAGTTTAGTACATGAAGGTGAGGAGGCAGCCTGGGGGCGTTTGTACTGGTATTTAGGAAGGCTCTGATTCCCAAAGAAGGGGAACCACAAATTTTACATGTGACTCAAGACTGTTAGTTCTTTGGGCCTCTTGGGTCAGGTGGCTTCTGACTTTAAACATTTGGCCTTCCTCTGAGATGGGTGGCTGCACATAGCATAGGTGTGGATTATCTGTTAGAAGCCTCTAAATATGCAAAAATTTAAAAAAATTTGCATTTTTACAGCTAATGAATAACCCAGTGGCGCATAAAAGGAACCATAGCATAGGCTATTATTTTTTCTATAATGATTGAGACAGGGCCATAATTAATCAACAGTCATACAAATGCCAAAAACTGGTAAAATTGTTTAAATAGGAGGAAATAAATCCTCCACATCAACCCACAGGTGACCTTCTACAGAGAAAATGGGTTTTATGCCATAAATAAACATAAGTATAATGAACAGGAAGTGGCTCATTGTTAAAAAAAAAGAGAGATCATCTGATTATCTCTTGCTGATTATATAAATGCCAGAGAGTAATTTTAAGTATTCTAAAGATAACTAGAATAATTTACAAATGCCTTTATACAGAGTAGCAAAGGAGCAGTGTGTACATTCAAAAAGCATGGTGACCTTGCCAAAAGACTTTCATAAATTAACTTGAGAGAAAGAGCACAGATTCTGTTATACCATATGGTCATTGGCCAACATGAAGTGTAGCTAATTCTTGATTTTTGAGTAAAAAGATAAAGAATCCTTTATGGGGAACAGATGCAATTAAAATAGAAAAATCTCATTAGAGTGTTAAAACCAGTCTTAAGTCCTCCACCATGAGTTCAGACTCTGGAGTTGTATATTTCTGAGATCAGTCTCAGTTCCAGGACTTCAATATCTTGAGGCTTTGGCAAGTCACTGCATATCTCTAAGCCTTGGTTTATGCATCTATAAAATGGGAAGTAATAGCAACTACCTGACAGACTTGGGGGAGTTAAATAGGAGAATATATGTAAAGCACTGAGTATAATGCCTGTCACACGATAAGTGCTCAAAACCTGTTATCTCTTAAAGAAAGTATTTTCTCCTTTCTAGCTTGTAGGCAAGAAATTGCAGGGGGAATGTCATACTTCAGGGATCAATGTCATAGGTTACCCAGCTTCTCATGACTCATCTTCACTTACTCAGTGAACAGAAATACATATCATCACAGGTGTATTTGACCTGGTTTTGCTCATCAGGATTCCTCAGTGCCCCCAAAGAACCTGACCCATAGTAGATACCTAATGAATATTTGTTGTCTAATCAACTGACTGATGGGTTGTCTGGGAACTGGGCAGCTGCTTGGTCCTGCTGGGTGGTATCAATGACACAGCCTGTCCCCACTCTGGCTGACGAGGGAAATGTGCTGTTTTAACTTGTACATTTTTCTTTATTCTGCCCAGAGTTTTGACCAGACCTGGGTGTTCCTCTCAGTCTTCCCGCTTGAACCAATCCCATCTGTCTCCCTTCCTTACCCATTAACAAACTTGCTTATTATCCTCAACGTGATGTTCCAAATATGGTCTTAGCAAAATTGAGATCAAATATCCTTCTTCAACTATTGCTGGAAAATATTTTGATGGCTACAGAAAAGAATTCCTGACTTTTCATTGCTTTTCCATCTTTCAAACCAGAGATCTCTGCTTGCAGGTGACATTTAACAATTTTCTTTCTTTTCCCAGTTTCTGTAGCAAAAGAAAGAAGCTGCCATTTCTGAGTACTGAAAATGAGGCAGTGCTGTGCTAGGTGCTTTTACATAAATTACACAATTTAGGACTTTTCATAACCTGGGGGATGTAGCAAGTATTAATATTTTTATTTTATAACTCAGAAAACTGTGGCTCAGAGAACCTGAATAAATTGCTCTAGGTCACAAAATAGCAAGAGCCCAAACTAGGATTCAAACAGAGTTCTACAAGGTCCCAAAGTCATGCTATTTTCTACCTGATTCCCTGCCTCTTCTATATTATATGCTTTTGATTATTTTCATCACATACTCTAGTTATCTTAAAGCACAGGTCAAATGGTGCACATTCTTTTATGCCAATGTTTCTAACTTTGTTAAAAATATTTCCCTTTTTTTGAGTGCAGAGATTTAACCTGTATTCTAGAGGTAAAATAAATCTCACAAGACCTTAGGGAGAAATTGTGGCATGAGTGTAAAAGCATGGAATTTGGAATCAGGCAGATGTGATTATGAGCATCTCTGGAAAAGATTTATAGTCATCTTTCCTACCCTTTGTTTATCTGTAAAATGGGGATATTAATACCTAACCAAGAAGGGCTTTTGAGGATGATATGAGTGATACATATAAAGCGTTCAGTGTGAGTCCTCAAACTGTGTGCTCCCTTCAAGAGCCATGGCTCTAATCCAAGTAGCATATGGCAGGTTGAGGCATTTTTCAACTTCACATGATCCTCATGTCTCAACTCAAAGAAAAAAGGAAGTAGGCATGGTAGGGCATGAAGAGAGGAGAAAAAAAATATTCATTCCCAAGTTTGGGTTCTGGTGCCTACATTTTTTAGTAGCTTCTTCTGGATTGCAGATGTCTTCAAAAACTTGAACTTTGTAGTTGCAAATCCACTGAGATTTAATACAAAAGTGGAAACAAATGTCTATAAACATTCCAGCCACCTATGAGATCAACTAGTTTACCCAATTCTAGTTTTCTTCATCTGCCAGCTCACTTCATACTGAATGTAAGCTATAAAAATTGTATAGAAATCGTCTTATGTGTTTGACCTTTAACATCACAAATGCCAGTAAAAAAATTCTCCTTTTTTCCATTCCATAAAAAAAAGCAAAATGATTCTAGACCTCTCATTAAGAACCTTGAGAACTGATTTTGAACAAAGATAAAGAAAACAATCTTCTTTATTTAGCATTTGTCTATAGCAAGATGTGAGAGAGAGAAGAGCGAACACATACATTCTTGTTTTTAACAGTTTCTCTGCTTGTCACATGAGTTCCTTTCTCTCAGCCGTGTATAGGTTACAAAGTTGGAGGCAAAATGGGTAAACAACAAACATGTTTTTACTACAAAAAATGCTCTTTCTCCTATCTAACTTAGGAAAAAGAGAAAACTCTTAGCAGGTGATACTCACAGAGACTCAATAACTGTAGTTTGAGGTTTTAAGAAGGAGCTTACACTTTTTGTACAGATAAATCTGATTTTCTGGAATGTTCCTCTTTCTCAGCCACACATCCTGGCTAGGAAAACTCCTACTCAGATTTTAAAATACGGCTGAAGTGTCACCTCCTCTTCCCTGGACCATGCCCCAGATCAACTTCCAGGAGAGAAAGTTGGGTCCACACCCTCCCACAGCACCATGTGTGCCTCTGATGCAGCTCCTGTCACACTCTCTGCCAGAGGTTTGTTTATGTGAGTGTCACTACCATGGTATGATGAGCCCTTTGAAAGCAGGCATTCTATTCAGTCCTGTGTTCCCAGCCAGTAGCCCAAGGATTGGGATATAGTGGTTTAATATATTTCACTGACCAAGGAATTGAAATGTATTTGTTGTTTTAGGAATTGGGCATTTCAGTTATTTGCTTGTGATTCTGCTATTTGAGCAGGGCTTGATGGGGAAGCCCTTCCATTCTATGTGATTTGGCTGGGGCAGCTCTGATGGGGCTGGAAGATCCAACGTGGCCTCAGCTGGTATCGACAAAAAGTCTGGGGTTTAGGTGGTCCTCTTACCCTCAAATCCTCAGGGGCCTCTCTGCATGTAGTCTTTTTTGCTAGTAAAATGACTGACTTCTTATGAGGTAACTCAGGATCCAAGAGGGTGAAAGTGAACACTGATAGGCCTCTTAAAGCAAGAACTGCCACTTTTCTCCCATTCTGTTGTTCAGACAAGTCACACGTGGTTAATCCAGATTCACGGGGAGGGGGAAATGGACTGGACGGCAATGGAAGCAGTTGTTGGTGGCCATCTTCGCAGACATTCTATGCTTGCTACCTCAGATCTAAGAGCTTTGCTGAGGACGAGGGCCTACTCTCTTGCCCTAAATTATTTTCCATATATAAAATCTTCATGTAGAAGATTTTAGAAATATTATTTTTCATTAGTTATTTTGAGTATGTGTATGTATTTGTGTGTGTCAGGGGGTATTATTGTGGTTATTTGACTTTTTTCTGAAAATCTCTTGTGACAACATTTCTAGGTTAATTGCTTTTGAAAAGAAGAAATAATAACTGCCTTTTATGATGATTTCTTTACATATGTATCCTTGGGCTTTTGAGAACAGTCAAGTTGTGAGAAGTCATATGAAATAAAGTATTCTTTAAATTGGTATTCAAAGAGAAGGTTCTTTTTAATAGTAGATAAAGGGGAGCATCTATGGTATTAATTATAGGTATTCTCCCCTATATTTTATTTTTGCCATTATATGCAATGATTTCCCCCCACCAAAGTAATCATTATATCCTTTTCTTTTAAAGAAAAGCTGTTTTGTAATTTCTTATTTTTTTAAATGAAATAGTACATAACATTAAGATAAGAGAAAACAATTACATAATTACTGCACTGCACTGTCTACTTAAGCTATTTGTTCTCCAAAGCCTTTTAATAACATAATTTCTTTAAAAGTAGAGGAGGCTACAGGATTCATAGAATGTTAGAGTTGGAGAAAGAGGTCCCTATCATCATCTTGTCCAACACCTTCGTTCTGTAGACAAGAGATGGCTCTGGAAGTTACATAATGCAATATATTAAAATTCAGAAAAAACTATTACTTAGAGAAGGTGTTAAGCTGAAAAGTCACAGAAATCCATCTTTGAAATGTTATTTAAGTCCATATATTACCAGTACTTCTGGAAAAAAATTTGAAGGAGGTATATATTAAGACAATTAAATACGCAGTGGCTAACTGAATACCTTTAGCAAGAGAGTCTAAAGTTCTGGCTGCCTTTAGTTCTAAATAATAGCTACATAAGGAGTCATTGTTTCAGGTACAAATTATATTTGGAAACGTTCCCAATTTGTAAAAGTCATTCCATAGTTTAAACTCAGAATGCCATTTATTGACTTCAAATATGCTGCTCACATAGATAGCAACATGTATGCATGTGTAACTGGCCAATTATTAGCTCCATGCAGACTTTACTTAGTCCTTCATTCATTCACTCGACAAATGCTATTAAGCCCCATTGATGTTGTCAGGTAACATTTAGCGGTGAACAACATAGACACTCCCTTTGCTTGTAATGAGAATTTATATTCTAATGAAAGGCTTAGTATTTTCTTACTTTGTAATAAAACTAGAGTGAATGCTTAACTAAATATTTAATAATGTACACACCTCTGAGTGTAGATTCTGTGGAATGGGAAAATACCTCTTAGGCACTATGATTTTGTCTTATTCTTTTCTTGTCAAATTGTAGCACTTCCCACTTACTAGGACACATTTTTTTTTAAACTAAATTAACACCATAACAATTTTTGTTGGACTAATTATAAACATTGTCATTATCATCATTCCAGCTGAGTTAACCCTTATATGAGGATGGTATAGAGAATATTAGCATAATACCTAAAAGCTAACTTGCCAATTCGTCATGAGCATCCCTTCTTTCTTTTAAATAATTGGTTCATTCTTCAGAGTTCTCTTAGCATTTTACATGTACTTTTAATGCAACATTAATTAATTCAGTGATACAGCTTGTTGTCTGTGTATCTGTATCCATTACTAGGTAGTGAATTCCCTGAAAGTAGGACTATGCCTTATTCATTCCTTCTTCTCCATAGCACCAGCTTAATTCATTCAGCAAAAGTTTATGCAATTAATATTTTCTTTAGAATTTTATTTCACCAAATGCCTTGTGAGACAGGTAGTGTACATGTTATTTGTATTTTATAGACAAGAACTTGAAGTCACTAGAGGTTATTATACACTCACAGCCATAGTGGTTATTATCAGGATTGGACAAAGAACTTGAATTTGCATTCCATGACTCCAAGTCCAGTGGTCTTTCTTCTGAAACTACATTACCTCTGTGCGTATATTTACATTTTTTATTGTCATAGGCTCATGGGTGTGTTCATCACCACTCTCCTTACATATTTCCATTTCTCTTTGCTTCTATCTCTCCTGCTTGCTTAACCCTGAATTGACCTTTTAACCTTTATCCCGATTCAATAGCCATAGCAGAAGGGAGGCCAGAACAATTAAATGATTATATTACTCTTCACTAAGAAATTAGCCACCACTTTGTCTTTGGCTTGTATACTTTTGATAAGTTTTAAGTTTAATAGAGACTTATCTAAAAGAGTTCCAGGGTTAAGAGTAGTTATAGGGAGATTAATCAGCAGACAATTATAAGCTAGTAACAAATAAACACATACAAGTTGTGATATGCTAGATTGAGTTACATTTAAAAAGTTTAGAAAGAAAATAGAGAAGGAAGGGATTGAGAAAAAACAGAGCAGGGTGAATTGATGAGATTTTAGCTTTCATGAACTAAGATCAAAAGTGTGGTCCACTGGAGGTTCTGGTTATCAAAGCAGGGTGGTATCCAAATACTTGACTTACTGGCTCAGAAACTCTTAGGGTGGGGCCCAGGAATCTTCATTATAACAGTGCCTTCAGGTGATTCTTATATACAGTATACTATAGCAAGAGATTAATAGACAAAAGCAATGTTTTAAAATTAAATATAAATAAATTGCATATAAAGCACCTGGAGACCTTGCTAACATACAGATTCTGATTCAGTAGGCCTGAAGTGGGGCCTGAGAGCATGTTTCTAACAAGTTCCCAAATAATGCCAATGCTGCTGGTCTGTGAACCACACTTTTGAGAGTAGCAAGTCACTAGATACTGAGGTAGCTGCTGTGATCTGTGTGCTATGGAAGGTGAGATGGAAAAAGTGGATTTTGAGAAGCTTCACTGATTTATGACAGAATTCTTTGTCAGCTCATCAGGAAACTTTGCAAGATACTTCAAATTGCTTTTCAATGTTTTTGCGGGTGGGACTCTAGTTTTGACTAGCCAAGAGGCAGCTTGATTTTATGCAGTCTCAGTAGTAAAATTCTGAGTGGGAGACCAAGAAATACTCCACCAACATATTTATGATGGAGCCTCCTGCCCTGCCATTTCTAGTTTCAAACAGTTCAGAAAAAAAATGCAAATTTCTTTTCTAGTTTCAAATAGTTTGGAAAAAATGTAAATTCTTTGTGTAGCACATCATCTGGGCTAGTTTCTTAATGCTCATCTGTTTCATTCCTGCCAATTAAGAGCAACAGCTGTCTTGCAGGGATGGTGGTCGTTAGGAAGTGACACAGCTGTGGGATTTAGATGAGATAACGGTTGTACAGCCAAGATAAGGCATCATTGGAATGCAAACTGCCATAAGCCTGATTTATAGCACACATCCAAGGGGAAGAAACTTAAACCAAAATCAACTAAAATAACAACTCACCCAATAGGGAAAACAAAACAAAATATCAACCAGAGATGTTTAGCCCCAAAGTCAAGTTTTCTCAGACTATTTTAAAAACAAGATTTGGACTAAAAATTGACTTAGAGGGATTCCAATTACCTCAGTTGTCTACAATGCCCAGACTTATGAATTTGTATCTAAGAACTAAATAGTTCTGCAAACTCAGTCCCCTTGTGGCTCAATACTATTTGAGATGTCCAAATCTCTAGGCCTTATTCTGTTACAGAGGGTAGACTTGCTGAAAACAAAAACAATGGTCAGTGACAAGTATTTGGAAAGTGGTATTATCATAGTAAAAATGTCATTTTACCAATATAACAACCCAACAACCCAATGGACTCTGCATAAATAATTATTTTAGAGCATTATATACTTACATGTTTCAAAAAGAATGTTATAGTCATAATGTAATTAATCATTACAAATAAATTCTACCACCTAAAGTTTCTTGTGTACATTCCATGATTTTTAAGACTTCTACATTTTTCTCAATGCTATTTCTCTTGGAATACATATTATTCTCATCCCTGGACACCTAAATCCTACTCATCTTTCATAAACCATGTGAAATACAAATTATCTGTGAAGCTTTTTGGGATCCTCTCAACTGAAATCAATAGATTCTTACCTTGAGCTCCCATCACAATTTAGCTGTATATTTCTTATGCGACCTAAATATTTTTCCTTGGAATTACAGCCACATAAACACATGCTTTATTTTCTTTACTAATCCTCAAATCCATTGAAATCAAGATTCATGTCTGACTACTCACCATGGTATTCTTATAACCTATTTCGTTCTATTCAGTAAGTTCTGAATTAAAAAAAAGTTGGTTGAACAAATTCCCCTGGAAGTTCTAAGAGGAGAGCACCCACTTATTATTTCAATTTTGATTTTTAAAAAAGGGACTGGACTTTAAGAAAGATACGTAAGACAGATCATAGAGGCTGGGAAATCTTACTGTCAGGAAGATGAGAAATATTATTAATCCTGAAATATTCTAGTATATTTCCTTAGCAGGAATGGAAGTCATCTTGCTAAAATTCATTTGCAGTCATTCTCTACATTTAACATGGGCATAATATACAATATACGATATGCTAAAGGACATAAGAGATTGCTATATAATTTAAGAGGGGAAAAAAGAAAAGAATACTTTCAGTAGTGATGACTAAAAAAAGGTTTCATTATTTATTTAATCAGTACCTGTATTTCAGGTCCTTGACCTCATGGAGTTTATGGTCTGATTGAAGAGATATGTATTAATCAATACAATCATACAAATAACTGTAAAAATCAGATCTAAGAGTTAGTAAGTTAATTGATACATAGTATAGTGTTTGTTATATTACCTAACACTTACTAAACAATTGTTTAATAATCAGCTATTCTAATAATTAGCTTTTAATCTGTAAGATATGGGGTGCTACCAAAAGTGAGCAAGAAAATGAAAATGACCAGAGATATGTTTTCTGATGCTTAGTCCAAGATTAATTTGTCAGAGGAGCTGAAGTGGAAAGTGACAAGAATTGGGTGATCTGTTGTCTCTCAAATCCATATTATGTATATCATAATTTAGGGCATCTTCAGTGAGAAGATAGAGATGGAAACATACATTAGAAATGTTATGGAGGTAGAATTGTTGTAGAATAACTAATTTGAAGGAAGTGAAAAGATCACAGAGACTTCTAGCATGGGAGACCTTGGAGAAGGTGACGATATTGAAACAATCTCGGGACACAGCGTTAAGAGCAGGTTCATGAGGGGAATAAGGAATTATCTTTGAACTCATTGAGGTTGAGATGTTGAGATTCCCAGGTGGAGAGTCTCAAAGAGTGATTAGAGCTGGAGATTTATATTTGCGAGTCACCTGCACAGATTTATAGTTAAAACTGTTGGGATATATAAAATTAGCTTTGACAGACCATAGAAGAAGGACAAAGACTGAGTCTTGGAAATTCCCAAAATTTGGGGTTGGAAGGGAAAAATAGGAACTGAGAAGGAGAAGGGAAAGCAGAAAGTTGCTGGTGTTGTGGAGCCACAGAAGGACAGGAATTCTAGGGGATAGCAATTTCAAATCCTGGGACTGCCTGAGCAGCAGCTAAGGTCTGTTGGATTTGGCCATAAGGCATCATTGCTAATCATCACAAGGGAAATTTTAGAAAAGCTGTATGGGATACCAAATTATAATACTGAAGAATATTCAGGAACTGAAGGCAGTGAGTATGGACTGCTCTGAAGAGAATTCAGGAGAATTAAAGAAACTTAAGAGCAAAGTAATTAAATAATTTAGGCTGACAAGCTGCAAGTGTGAAGAAAAGTTTTCTTAGAATGTAGGAGATCTAAAGTCGGGCTTGTATTTGAGATATGAAGGTATTATGCATGCTTTAGTTATATTATTTGGCTAGATTAAATATTCTGAAATGGTGAGTTCATGCAGTGAAATTGGAGCAGATGCATCAAAAACTGTATTAGACTTTGTGCTGTTCTGATTTGTTCTAGAAAGATAACATACCTGCATATCTGTTATTCAGACTGACTGTGGAATGGCAGACTAGGCCCTCTAGTTGCAGTCCATTCTACCTGCTAGATATGGTAAACCCTGACCAGACAGAAAACACTCATTCTGTGATCCTGCTAGTGGTACTGAAAAGGATAACAAAGAATTTATAACATTGCATTGTTATTCTAGGTTGGCAGTCTGATCATATCACTATAAATGGGCCCACAGTGATGTACATTTCCAAATTTGGTTTAATGACTTGAGAATTTTTCTATCTATGGTTGGAGCTGGAGGCAATATTCTCCAAGGCTGGTAGAATGTGTATTATATATGAATGAATGCATGTGTGCAGTTATATGTGTATACATATACATATAATTACTACTAGTACCAAGTGATTACTAGGTTGCAGGCATCATGAAAGTTAGATTAAAAATATCATCTGTAATTATGATCACAGCCTTACAAAGTAGAAAATATTATCCTGTTTTTATAAGTGAAGAAACTGGAATTGTAGATTTATATTATCCAAGGTCACACAGCTATGAGGGATTGCAGATGGGCTCTAAACCCAGCTCTGCCTTGCACTTTCTTTCTCCTTTTGGAATATATAAACAGAGGACAAACATAGCAGTGGTGTATCTTTTATAAGGAATAAGAGGAAGCTACTGCTAGAAATTGTGTTCTGAATTGCATTGAATTCATGAGGTGACCTAGTTTTTCTTCACCTCTTATGGGATTTTTTGCAGAAAGTTGAAGTTGGACCTAGTTTTCCTTCACCTTTTATGGGACTTGTTGCAGAAAGTTGGAGTTGGAAGAGAACTAAAGGAACTTTATTTCTGGAAACTGAGGCTAGAAATTTGCTCAGCATCACCTAGATTGTTCGCTGCTGAGCCACAATCACAACTGAAGCTTTTGTGTCTAAGCCTTCAGTCTATCCTAGGCCTACATTAAAAAGTGTGAAGAAAAGAGAGTCTATGGATTTCTCAGTGATTTGCTTTCATCATTTAAAAGGCTTCTTAGAATTCTGGGCAGAATCTTCTTGTAAACCTTGGGTGCCTTGAACTCATGTGGATTTTGTTATGCTAAAAAGTTTTCTCAGTAGAGTTCTGCCCATTATGTTTTTGACTGATATTTCATTTTTATTTTACAAGCTGAAAGATACAAGGGCTCTAAGGTGTACAGTGTAAAAGCAGTTGTTAAAATAAAGAATGATGGCATGTCAAAATGATTCATATGGGCAATTTAATTGGAAATATTGCCATTAACATGAAACATTCCACTTGATATGGGCTTTATGTTCCTATTAAATACGAGAGAGTAAATCTCTATGCATTACATCAGAATCATGCAAAAGATGATCAAGTATTTTTTCTACACAATAATATTTTATTAAAGCAGCACTAGTGGTGATAATCCTTAGGGTAGCTTATGTTTATCCAGAATAAAGTCACAAAGCCTTTCAAAGAAGTTTCAGCTTCTTCCAAACACTGTCATTGGTCTGCTATATAAAGCACTCTTGCTCCTTCCACTGAGGCTAACCTTTAGAAATAGATGCTGCAGAGATAAAATACCACCTGGGATATTTCTCCCTTTAGGCAGGACAGTAATTATAAAAGGCTTGGTACTTTTGTAAGTTTATTTTAAACATTCCTTAAAAAAGTAGGGTTTGTAATTTTCCTTCAGATTACAAGCTGACATTTTGAAAAAGAAAAAAAAAGTTGCGGGGAATGCAGCACTTCTGTGTGGTGGCAGCTGATAATTACCATAGTGTGAGTGGGGCTCGATATAACCCAGGCATTTAAGAAACATGGCTGATTACAGTGCGTTAAGAGTAACTCAATTCGGGAATTTTGCTTTGTTAGGCAAATTGAACTGTCTTGCTTCACCAATCTCATCTCACTTCCTTCTTTTGCTTCCAACGAAGAGCCACCTTTATCTTTTCAACTGCAAGGCTGTTCTCAGGAAGAGCTATGTGTAAAACTTAAAAATAAAATGCAGACAATCTAAAGGGAAAAAGCATGAAACTGATTGTTACCATGAGTATGCCTTTGGAAAATTTCACTCTGCAATAGCATTTTGCATCATTTAAGATGTTTACATGGGTTTTGTTTGTTTGCTTGTTTGTTTCAGATAAAGTAAAAGAATCATTTTGTGGCTAATGTCAAAATTTAAAAAAATCACACTGGCTGGGCTTATATATGTGCATACCTAGGAAACTCAGAGAGAAGAGTTAATCCTAACTTGTAGGAGAAGAAGTGAGAGAAAGATGGTTTCACATGAAAAGAAACTAGAAACATGCTAAGGAATATTTTTCTATTACAGTTATTAAACATACACAATTCACTTTTAAAATAATTATACAGATTAGCAGCCCAGATCTGAATGCAAACATAAAAATAAATGTGTGTATTATACGTGTGTGTGTGAGAGAGAACATTACACAGAGATGAGTATATGAATAACCTAGATATTTCTGAGCACCTGTGGTTTGAAAATTGGTTGAAGATGCACATTCACAGGAATGCAGATTGTAGTAACTGCTCTTTCAACAAAAAACTGTTTCTCAAGCATGGTATTTTATATAATATGTGAGCTAGTATTTGTTTCAAGTAAATACCCAGTTTTAAGCATTCAGCCCAAGAAATGTCCCAAACCTCTCTTTCTGAAAATGGTTGAAAATACTTACAATCAGGAACAGATTCAGGTTTTGTGGAGCCAAAGCCCTCTTAAAGGAAAATAACACAAAACTGTTAAGATTAGATCAACTGCCCTGGAATGAGCCTTGAGGGGCGTGGAAGCTGAACTTCATTTGCTTTGTGGTAAGTGCACCTCTACTTGGGAAATATTCTAGCTTCTACAAGACCAAGATGAAAACCTACCCACATTTGGTGATCCAGTGTTCCTCCAGGGATCACCATGATATTTTTAAAGTTGAGATGGCTTTGCCTTTATTGGTCACTTTCCTCCAACACCAATCATTCATCCTACTGTCTACCTTAATGATTTTCTATTCTCTCTTCTACCTAACTCATACAGATATGACTGTACTTTTTACCTCTGTCACTTCTTCAAGCCTGAATCTCCAATAAATACTTTACATTGTCTTGGGCTAATGTAGCATTAAATTAGTGTTGTGGACTGAAATATGCCCCCCACAAATTCATATAGTGGAGCCCTAAAACCCAGTACCTCAGAATGTGACTGTGTTTAGAGATAAAGCCTTTAAAGAGGTAAATAAATTAAAATGAGACCACCAGGGTAGGCCCTAAGTCAATCAGACTGGTGTCCTTACAAGAAAAGAAAATTTGGATATGCAGAAGAGATCCATGTACACCAAAGGGCCATATGGAGAGGCAGCAAGAAGGCATCTATCTGCAAGCCAAGAACAGAGGAAACCAACCCTGTTAGCACCTTGATATTAGACTTCTAGTCTAAAGAACTGTGAGAAAATACATTTCTGTTGTTTAAGCCACCAAGCCTGTGGTATTTTTATTGTGGCGGCCCTAGCAACCTAATACAGTTACCTAGAATTTATTAAGTAAACTGTCATTAACCAACATCTTCTTCACATCAATATGCTTAATAACAGAGCAGAAACTAACCAAGTGCCCACAAACACATCATATATACTAGTTGAAAGAAGGAACAAATTCTTGCATGCATGCATATGTGGAATTAGAGTAGGGTTTAACAATAATTTGTGAATAAAATACACTCTTCCTTTTATTCTTCCCTTGGACAATGTTAACTATGAGGAGAAACTGTAGTGATGAAATAAAAGTCATATTTCACCGTATCTTACTGATGATCAAATACATACATTTATTGAGTCCTTATACTGTGAAAATTTAAAGAAATAAGAAGTGCCCAAAGTTCCCTAAATGTATCAGGGCATGGAACTCATGGAAGACATACTTTTCCTGCTGAAAGTATTATCTACAAGGCGCAAAATATACTTTTTACATGGTGTTGTACAGTGAGTGGTCTGGCTGTTTACCCCAGGCATCATATGTTGCTGTCTGAAAATGGGAGTATCCTTGGGTGTAAGAACCTATATGGTCAGGTTTTTCTGAAGAAACTCTAGGAAAGCTAGTTCCTTCAGCCCACACAGATTATATGACTAATCTTTCAGAAAGCCAACTTCTTAATTTATAATCAGTTACAAATTATTATCCTGAGTGTAACAATTCAGGAAAACTAATCATGGCCTATGTGGCTGCTTGGTGAAAGCATATTAAGAGCAAAGGGAAAGTGTTGCTCCTAAAGAAATTCTCATCTAGCTAGAAATGCCTTCTGATGAATTGGTCTTCGATTTTCTGGGGATATTACGTTTGGATTGCAAAGACTGTTCATTCATCCATTGTACTATTCACTTCCTTTTAAAGCATTATTTATTGAGCCACTATAATGCGCTAAACATTATGCTAGGCATTAGAAACACAATGATAAATAATACAGACATCGTTTTTGTCTGCATGGGACATATATTTTAATTGTCATAGTTTCGCTAGTGGACTGCATTTACTGTTTCCATGAATTAACAACATTTCTCTTTCCTTTGGTTCAGTAGTACTGCTCCTTATTTTCTGTGGTGCTTCTTTCTATAAATGTTTACCAAAATATTGCATGTGTCTAATAAAACCTTTTTTGGAAGAATGGCTCAAAGTTTTTCCTAACAGCTTAAAGCATTGTGAATTGAAGTCTTTGATGGCACATACTCTAAAAACTTAGGCATCATAACGATACAAATCAAAGTGACAGAAAAATGTACCTGAAAAGTATCTGCAAAATGAACACATTTATTTTATAAGGGTCAATGTACAATCAAATATTGAGATCTATGTCTTCTTTTACCATGTTTAGAATGAGCCTATGGGATAATTTTCTAAATGCAGAAAAATATTCCAATTTCTCTGGACCAATATTTGATCTTATACTTTCTCCTCCTATTCACACCAAATCAAGTGAAATTTGGACTTGCCTGAATTCTATGCACTCATGCCAAAGACACCTATTCTTCTCGTGACTTCCTTGCCTACCTAGCAGCTTACTAAGATGAAATTGTCTAACTTTGATGAGCACAGTCATAGTTCTTGAGGTTCGCACACATGTAATTCACTGGTTTATGTTAGAAGAAAGAAAGGAAGAAAACCTCCAGTTTCAAGCCACCTTGTATTTTCTGGGTTGATTCTATAGATTTTTATCCAAGGAGTGGGCTTGTAAAAGAACTGCCTGAGGTGGAAACATATGAAGGCAAAGAGCTACAGAAGTGGCCCTTTATCTAACAACATCACCTCTCAGAAGCCATGACCCCTGTGAATTTGATAAAAGGAGCTGAATGGCATAATAGCGAAGGGTACAAAAACTAGACATCTGAAGAGACTTTCTTTTTCAAGGATATACCTAACAGACTTTAAAAATATTCCTTTAATGGGGAGTTTAAAGGAAGTTCCTTCCTATTGTGAGGTCCACGGTTCCTTAGGTAGGTCTTCCCTTTGTCACTTTGGGTGACTTCAAATATAATATTGTGACACTGTCTCTAAATTTTAGAGAGGCTTTTCCTTTGCCTTGAAAAGAAATTAGATATTTAGAAAAGACCAATTCTCTGCTTTTAAACACTACATACTTATACTTTCCTATTGGAGGCTGAACTAACATTTAAACATGTTATCATGATGCACATAAATACTGTTGGCAAAGCTTTTATGGCTACCGATGACACTATAAAAATATGCCTTCATTTTAGAACTCTAGAGGATTTGTACATCTGCATAAGCTCCAGAGTTCCCCGCTTTGTGGGGGAAGATCTGATGGGGAAGATGAGATCATTATCTACTTCTATCCTTGTTTAAATTCGTGGGAAGCCTGATTGGAAAGTACTTTTCCTCACTGTAGTTCTGCAGTACCCAGTTTTATTACCCTCATAAATCTATTAGACACATATTTGTCCATATAAAGGAATTTTTAGAACAATCATTGTTTCATCATGTATGTTTGGTGTAATATACCTTTCTCATATATTTATGTGGATAAACATTTTATTTTAGTTCCAAGTCTTTCCATTCTAGTTAAACATAGATTGAAAACATGCATAAATAGAATCATTTCAAAGGTCTTTGGTCTCTCAGTTTTTAAAATTTTACTTCCCCATATGGCCGGAGAGTCCTGGTCCAGGCTGGACCCAGGTGGGGACCTGGTTTCTACGTTTCATGCAGGCCACTTGCTTGCTGTGTAGTGTGACTATGACCAAAACCCTGGACTTCTTGAGACTTCAGTTTCCTTGCCTGTAAAGTGAGAGCTCTTCAAGTTCTTCCAACTGTACAAGTCCATGACTTTCTTTGAGACATTACCAAGATATGCAATACACACTATGTGATTTTATTTGTCCTTCAGCACAATTAAGCACCTCCTGATAGGAACTTTGTTGTATTCCTTCCTGAGGATTCTTAGAGGTTTCATAGAGTATAGCAAATGTTTCAGACGCTCATTACATCTATGAGGAAAGAGCTCAGATTCAAGGGAACATAGTCTTTGGCTCTCTGTCATTTGGAGGTAGTTTAATGAAATGTAAAAGAAGAGCTTCCATTCAGGTACGGTTTTACAATAAACTGCTTTTGGTGGGATAGAAATTCATTCAACATTTGGTTGGACTTAATCGACCTTTTGAAAATGGGGTAGGAAGCAGCACTGTTAGGTTTTAATATATCTGTTTCTACTGGTGTTTATAAACAAGATTCCATGTGAGAACATTTGGACACTGCACATAAGATGATTATTTTCCTCTATTTGTTTATGCATTCTGCCCTAATTCTAGGCACTTAGACTGTATCAATTAAAAAAAAACAAACATCACTTCTTTGGATCTTATATTTTATTGAGGGAGAAGGGGATGCTGACAATTGACAATAGGTGTAATAAAAATTAAATAATATAGTATAAAATTATATATACGTGTAACAGTGTGTGATAAATGAAATGGGGAAAAGGTAGAAAGAAGAGGGTTAAGGGGATTGGGATGTTAGAGGAGAAGTTTTATGATTTTAAATAGGCTTTTCAAGTAGGTTGCATTGAGAAGGTGATATTTGAGCTTGAAGTAAGTAAGTTAGTGTGCTATGTGGATATTTAGAGAAAAAGTGTTCTAAGCAGAGGGAACAGCAAATGTAAAGATTCCCAAGTTGTACAGTGCCTGGAGTGTGTCAAGATATATCAAGGTGCTAGGGCGACGGCAGCGGAAGGAACACAGAAGAGGCGAGGGCAGATCACATAGGGCTTTATGCTGAACGTTTTTCATTTGCTTCCCCAGATCCATTCATTTCTCTTTGCCATTGATAAAAGCTTCACACTGTTGCTAGCCTCAGAGTAGCACACCATGTATATATGATTTTTTAAATGCTCATCCTCACCTTTGTAAACGTTCTCTGTTAGGGTTTGAATGTTTTTGTCCCCCTAAAGTGCATAGGTTGAAACATAATCCCCAACACAAAAATATTAAGAGGTGGAGACTTCGGGAGCTGATTAGGTCATGAGGGTGAAGCTGTCATGAATTGGATTAGTTTGCCCTTATAAAAGATGTCTCAGAAAGCTAGTTTTCCCCTTCACCATGTGAGGGTGCCGCGAGAAGGCAACATCTATGAAGTAGTGGGTGAGTCCTCACCAGACACAGAATCTGCTAGCTCCTTGATCTTGGATTTCCTGGCCCCCTAGTCTCCAGAACTGTAAGAAATGAGTTTATATTGTTTATAGGATATCCTGTCTATGGTAATTTGTTACAGCAGCCTGAATGGACTAAGGCTTAAACTTTCCTTGATGACCAGTTTAATTGTGTCACCTATTTTTTTCCAGGGCCCTAAATGATAAAGGCATTGGAGACCACTGTAAGGATGTTGACATTTATTCTGAATGAGTTGGGGAGAGATGCAGCGAAGTAGCTTCTAGTCCAAAAGTATCAGCCTGGCCGCTCTGTTGACAATAGTCAGCAAGAGGGTAAGGTTGAAGCAAGGACAACAGTTAGGAGGTGACTACTGTAATCCAGGTGAGGCACATGTCATCTGGCTATATAGGCCAGATTATACCCAATGAATTCTAAATGCATCTCATACTTTTTTGTTTGTTTGTTTTTTGTTTTTTTTGTTGTTGTTGTTGAGACAGAGTCTTGCTCTGTCGCCCAGGCTGGCGTGCAGTGATGCCATCCCAGCTAACTGCAACCTCTGCCTCCTGGGTCCAAGTGATTCTCTTGCCTCAGCCTCCCAAGCTGGAATTACAGGTGTGTGCCACCATGCCTGGCTAATCTTTTGTATTTTTAGTAGAGATGGGGTTTCACCATGTTGGCCAGGCTGTTCTCAAATTCCTGACCTCAGGTGATCCACCTGCCTCGGCCTCCCAAAGTGCTAGGATTACAAGTGTAAGCCACTATGTCAGGTCAGAAAACAAACTTTTATTATGGCCTAAAGTTCAAGATGGCTCTTTAGAAGTAATTTCCCCATGCCAGTTTTGGTTCTTTTGAAGTGAATCCTATGTATTGCTGTGAAGATAACTAGTGATTATAAATAGAATTTTAAAAATGGAATTAAATGCCTATCCTTTATGAAATGTCATTCCATTTTTTCTTCATAGGTTATTTGCTCTCTTTGTGAATAAAATATATTTTAAACACATTTTTCAGTTTTCCAACAAAAAGTTTTGAATGCCTATATGCTTTTTTTCTAGGCAAACTGTTTCAAGGTTAGGAAGAATGGGATGGCAGGTGAGGGAGGAACAGATATTAATCAAATATTACATAACTGCATATCAAATTTCAAACTGAAAAGAGCCATGATGGAAAGATACAGGAGTGTTAAAAGGCTCTAATAAGAAGATCTGTCCTAGCCTCAGGGAATTCTGTGAAGACTTATCTTAGAAAGCAATATAAGTTTTACAATTTTATCTATTGTAAAACTTCTACCTATAATAAGCAACAGGCACTTCCACCAAGAATAGGAGTTCCTTCACACTTGGTATAACCAGAATTCTTTTAGGAATTCTTCCACTTCATTTATTTGAGAGCAAATAGAGGATACTTACTAGTTTGATTGAAGCAATTGAGGTAGATTCTCATCTACTTTCTCATGGCTGTGTTGTAGCCCTGAAGTTTGACTTATGTTAGGGCCACTCTCATAGACCCTGTGCCTAGTTATGTGTGTGACTTATTTTCCCCAAGTAAACCATGTTGAGTTTCAAGAGAAAGGGATGGAATTTCCACATGTTGAGTATAAACTCTGTATAGGCACTGTTCCAGGAATTCAAGTGCATTTGCTCCTCTGTCTTTTCCTCACAGCCCACATCTAATCTAGTCTGTCAGCACTACTATGAAAAATAGATCCCCAATCTGACAACCTCTGCATTTCCTCTTTAGTTTAACCCACCATCATCTTAAATTTAGGCTTGTATAATAGACTTCTAATTGGTCTTCTACTCATGTGCCCCCATAATCGGTTCTCCATATGGCAACCAGAGTGAAGTTAAAAAGTTAATCAGAACATGTCGCTCCCCCTATTCAAAGTTCTCCAGTGGTTTCCCTTTGCCTTGACAAGAAAATGGAACCCCTTACATAGCCAACAAGGTCCTGGATGATTTAGCCTTTGATTTTCCACCCGTCTTGTATTGCTTTCAACCTCTCTGACTGTAATCTGGCCTCTTACCATTCTTGGTAAACTCTAAATGAGTTCCTGCCTTGGAGCTGTTGCACTTGCTGTTGCTTCTGCCTGGCTATGCATATTCTTCACATAGATTATCCCCTAATAATAAATAATGATTTCTTCTCCTTATTCAGGTTTTTCCTTGGATTCTCAGAGGAGCTTTCAATTCAAAATGCCAAGTTCTACCCTCAATCCCTCATCCATGATTTCTAATACTTTATTTTATTTTTCTTTAAAGCCCTTACCACCTTCAATGCAATGTGTATTTATTTGCATATTTTTCTAGACTACAAATTCCATGAGGACACAGACTTTCTTTTTTAAACCAATTCATAGTCTCAGAATCAAGCATGTTCTGGTCCATAACACTGCACTATAATATTTATGAATATTTCCAGAATAACTGACTGATGTATCTCCTTCAAACTCTTTGTTTTTGATGATCTTGAAAGGCAAGCACAAGAAGTTCAGGACCAGTACAGTTGTTACCCTTGCCTTGTATCCCATGAACATAGTAGACAATCAGCAAATATTTTTTGAATAATAAATAAATATAACCATGAACATTAAACTTTGCAAATTGCCATTGAGAGGCAATACACTGTTGTAAGCAAGTGACTGGCTTTGTGGTTAGACTGGACTGTTTGACTCTTATATCTGCCACTTGCTGTGTCAGATTGAGCAAATCATTTAATCTCTCTGAACCGGGTCTCCTTACCTAAAAAATTAGGCTAATAAGGAGTAGCCTCATGGGGAGAATTGTTGTGAGAATTAAGTAAAATGGGAAATGTATGCAGCATTGGGTCTCCATGTGTTATCAATAAAATAATCCTCCAGCCTGAGTTAAGTGCCCTCCTCTGCTTGCTAGTGGCCCCTGAGCTTTCCTGTGGCAGAGCAATTATCCTAGTCAATATTTTCTCTTTATGTGTCTACTCTTCTCCAAGTTTTAAGCATCTGGAGTGCAAGGACTTAACTTTATTAATCTTTAAATTGCCAGAACCAGTACATGGACGGTCCTCAATGCATCTGTTTTGAATTGAATAGGACTGAATTAGAGGGATAGCCTTTATTTCAGAATAAGGACACTGTGATATTAATCAATGTCAATTTCAGTGAGTCCTTAGTAAGTATTAATAAGAGACAGGCATCTATCTACAGGTATGTTTGCCAAGTTATTAGCAAAACCTATTCTAGACAAGCTGTAAATGTAGGGTCTTAGTTGTGGTGGTGGTGGTGAAGAGTGAATGAGGAGGAAGAGAGCAGCACCTACTGGAGGAGGATGTCCCTTGGTGCAGACCTTGTCTCTTTCCCTGCTGCTACTGGCTTTTGCCAAAGCTAGCTTCCTAAAGGCTCTGGTTGGATCTCTTTTATCAGTTACTAGGTAGAGCCAGTTGTGTCAGCTGAAGTGGTGGAAATTTCTGTTCAACTTATAAATAGTTGAAGAGTCTGTCTTGGTGAAATGTGAAATGAGCAAATATTCCATTTTCTCCCGGGAGGGTGGACCAGGATTCGGTGTATGATGCTGTGATGTCAGCCGTGTCCAGGCCTCTGTTCATGAGGCTGTACAGCCATAAGTTATTCATATGAACCTAACACACAAAGTCTTAGCCTTACCAAATAATGAGGATTCTTCTCCTGAAGCTTGCTCCCCTGCTGGAGGCCTCAGTCTGCAAGGTCACCCTGTCAGAAGCAGAAATGGACATCATATCCTTTAGGATTGGTGTACTTTATGAATATGGAAAAAAAGTGATGCACTGAGCAACTTAATGAAGCTCCAGGAAACTTTATACTCTCTCCTGTGTATCCTGGCTGGATATCAGATGTTGTCTGTGTGTGTGTGTGTATTCCTTCTTAATAGCTTTTGTTCATATATTTGGGTTGTTATTCCCTGGTGTCTTTAGTTAAAAGATCTGAGAGAAGAGAAATTTCTTAGAGTGATATTTAGTTCTGTCACGCACAGTTATTAATATTAAAGGAAATATTATTTCACAGGATAAATGAAGATCTGTAAGTAGCTATTGTTTCTCCTTTTTGGCCTTTGACTTGGAGAAGCTCTGGAATCTTTATAGTAGACAGTGGAAAAAAAATATATATATATATGGGTTTTGGAATCAGGTATAGGTTCAAATACCAGGTCTGCCCTGAGACCATAAGCAGGAAACTTTAGCTTCTCTGAGCTGTATAACAGGGAAAGCCAAGCCCTAGAAAGTTCTTACTATATGACATCACATGCCCAAAGCATCGAGTACCTGTACTCTGTACAGTGGATGCTTAATAAATGTTAGTTCCTTTTCTCCTTCAACTTTTCTCAGAAACAAGATCCTCTTCTTCTTTGTTGACTCATTTGAATATTGATTACCTAAGTTTTCTGATTACCTTTCAGGTTATACCTACTGTTCTTAGGACAATGTTCGAACTCCCTTGCATGACCATTTTTAGATTTCTTGTGTCCTGCTGTACTCCTCATCCACTGGCTGCAGATGCAACTGTGGTATTTTGGATAAGAATTCAGACTTGGAAATTTATTAGTCGGGTTCAAATCCCAGCTTTGCCACTGACTGCTGTGTGAACTTGGGGTATTCAATCTCTCTGTGGTGCAGTTTTTCTAACCTGTAAAGTAGGGATAGTAATAATTCTTATTTTGGGAATTGTTATAAAAATTAAATGAACATTTCCATGCAATGAGCTTATAACAGCTGTAATGAGCTTATAACAGGACAAGGCATATTGTAAACATTAAACATTTTTAAAAGAGAAAAGTAGTCTTGCAATTAAGTGTGAAGAACCAGGTGTGGACTCAGAATGGGGCAGGGTGCCCACAAACAAGAGGCATAAGAAGATTGAAAGCACTTTATTACCCTTCAAAAGCTGACAAAACTGAAGAATTCTTGTCTCTATATAAAGTAATATCACTGCAACTTCTCCTCCTTCTCCTCCTCCTATGTAGAGTGGGTGAGTTTAGTGACAGACTGTTTTGGAAGGAGCTAGAAATATCAGCTGGAAAAATGCTTGGCAACCACTTTAGAATGATTATCTGACTTTAGGAGGAAGGGAGAATACTGAGGTATTCCTCTTATCCAAATTTAGAAATGTCATGAAGGCACAATGAATCATCTCTCAGAGGCTCTAAAAACATTTTTCCCATACTAGGTGTTGCCTATTGTCTACCATTGCTGGCAGTTCTGAACCTCAGGATCACTCACCAACTCCCAAAGAAGCTACCCAGTTTGGGCAATTACAGGATCTGCTTCAGGGTTTTCTTTCCCACATTTTGGTGGACGTTGTGTCTGGCTCTCCAACCTCCATCCCACCCCTTGGATCCGTCTAAATCAATCAAGGTTAATCTCACCCACCTTGTCAGGCATGAGCTCAGTGTGGGCCTGTGCCATACAAGAAAGGGGACTTGGGAAAAAGAACTCAGCCTTTCTCTCCTGCTGAATGTGAACAGGGAAGCATGTTGCTCTGATTGCTGCTGGCAGCCATTTCAGGACCAGGTAACCAGCCATAGGAGGAAACAATGCTCTGATGGGCAGCTTGGAGAGATGGGAGGAATGGGTCCCTGAGGACATGATTGAGTCCCTGCAGCTGCCCCAACTCTGTAATTCCTCTTTTGCATTTTACTAAATTTCTTTATCATTAAGCTAGTTTAATTTGAGTTTCTGTTATTTGCAGCCAAAAACATTCTGACCAAACTCACTCATGACACTTCCCTACACTATCTTGTAGGCAGTTATTTATGTCAACGTGGGTGTCCCTATTAGGTTGTGCATAACTTGAGGGCAGCAGTCATGTTCCATCCATTTTTTTTCTTTCTTTTAAAACATTTAACGTAGTGTCTTGCAAATAGTCACAATTTTACTCTTTTTGATAAATAACAATGTTGAAAGCAATATACTCTGACAGCTTTTGGCCTCACTTAACAGCAGTGAAGCCCCTATTAAAAAACAGAATTTGCTTTTTTGATCTATAATTATAAAAGCCAATGCTTGGTAGAAATGAATAAAATCATGATCTTTCAGGATCTTTTTAGTGTTGTTCATGCAATTGTTGGATATAGAAAATCTTATTACAAATTAAATAATTGAATTATGTTTTCATAACATGCAACCAAGTACACTCCCCCTAGCTTTCCCTCTATAAGGACTAATTTCAGGCATCTGTTTGTACAGTGAAGATGAATTTTATTGGTGACAAATGCACTCCTGCATTAACAAATTAAGTGCATTCTCAAAGGGGAAAAAACAAACTCAGAGAAAATTGGGTTGTCTGTTCTTAAAGTCTAAAAAAGGACTTCTGTCCTCGGGGGACATTCGGCATTTTTGTAATCACATAGAAAGAAAAACATGTGCCTCTTGGGTATAGCATTAAAATAAATTAATTTTGCTGCCTTATTCATAATGGCTAACGGCAAATTGGGAGTGTTTATTTCTAGACTCTTCTTGCTCATAAAACCAGGTTTTCTTATGACCGCCTTCTCACTGAAGATGAATAGCTGTGTTAACTTATAGAAGATGAAGAATGTAGTACCTGTTCCTCCACTTGTGGCTTATTAATAATAGGTGAGTTGTCATGGGGACTAACAGGACCCTAAAGCCTCAGGATCTTGAATTCATATCGCTAGAACATCATCCTCTATTTTCTTCTCAGTTGTTCTTGGGATGCAAAATGTCTTCTACACCTTGGAGAAATGCTGCCTTGTGAACAGACTCTGGAGACAGTTGTTATCATTTCCCTCTTTCCAGCACAACTTGTGGTCATTCTCCCCCCATCCTGGCTGCTTTCTCCTAGCCTACACCAGGGTTTCCTTCACTTGTTCTTCCCAGATTAGCCTGTCTGCACATTCACTCGCCTGAAATCCTAGAAAATTTACTCACCCTTAAATATTTCTTTGGTGTTCTCCAAGATGGGTGTGGAGAGGCACCAATCTGTGGCAGGTATAGGTTAACATATATATAGTAGCTTCCAGTTAGATGGGGTGGCTATGGATTTCCATTGTTTTCCAATACAGAGTCTCATAATGTTAAATACTTGACTTTCACGATGTTGTAAGTATTGGAGAGGTGTGAATGACCTCTGCAATCACTGAGAAATTCTTAAGAATGGCAATTCTTCCCTGAATTTTACCAGCTGGAAATCTTATTTCATAAAGAAATGTTGCAATAATTGGAGGAAACCGTAATATTTTCTTACAAAAGAAATATGCTTTTGTAAATAAATAGCTGCCATGTGACCACAAGTAGATTTGTACAAGTCTAGAAATATTTTGAGGGCTCATAGATATGATTGTTGCTTTTGTGTTCCCTTTGATTTTTTTTTCTAAATTTATTAACAGTTATGGCATTTAGCTAAGAAACAATATTATCTAAGCCTATTTTGTAAATAGCCACATGTCCCATCGCCCAAGGTAAATAATTCTATCAGGTTGATTGCAGAATCCAGGTTTGTTTGTTTTTAAAATCTATTTAATTACATTGGACTTGTCTGATGGAATAGTTTTTATTTGCAAGACAGAGTTATGCATGGGAGAAACCAGAATAATCATACTTATAAGAGAAATTTGGGACAAAATACTAAACTAAGCTTCTTTTTTGAACTGCTCCCTAACATCTTGTCAGTTAGAAAACGGCTGAGTTGTAGCTGAAATGATGGATTCTTTTGCCTTGTCCTACCATGGGGCAGAAGTAAGGGGTTGAACATGAGAGACGAGTCTCACAAGGAAGAGACTGTTGTTTGCAGAGATATTCTGATTCAAAAGAATTCTTTATGTTCCAAGGAGAAACTGTTCTTTGGTAAAAATACTAATATGCGTCTTGAAACCATTTTTCTAACCTTTAGGTTAAATTTTAAATCAAGACTATGGAAAAAGAGGGTTGTCTTTTCATAACATATTTTTGCCCCCTAATCTGTCCTCCTGTTAGTTTTAAACATGATTAACCGTTTGACATAACTACCCAAATGACAGAGTGTTTGTATTAAATACATATTACAATTTATTTTCCCATATATAATTAGGAATAATCATTGCTGCCAGAATATAAAATGACACATCAATGATAAGTAGAGATAATAGCAGCTGCACACAAGAAAATGCATCTAAACACCTGAAGATTATAATTATATCTCTCTCCCACCCCTTATGTTTGTGTCATGATGCATCTTAGGTGGCATAGACCTTAGGTAGTCATTAAAGTCACGTGAGTATTCTACTAGTATCTACTGCAAATATATAGGTATCCCTTGAGCATATGCTTTTTCAATATTGAAAAATATCAATAACTGAGATAATAGGGAGTGCATTTTACCAAAATGAGAGCTCTCCTTAGGAATCTTAAGTTATACATCATCTTTGTAATTCATTGAATTCAATTGAATACCCACTCTGTGCTAAGTACACTACTAGTCACTTTGGAGGACACACAGAAGAATCACTGCTTCCCTTCAAGAGAGTTACAATCTCTGTTGGAGGTGGAGACAGGACAAGACAGAGCAAGGAAGAACAATTAATATCACACTTGTCTAATTTTTCTAAGTTGTATAGTTTCGAGAGTTTATGTGTTGTAGGAATTTGGAGAGAGGAAGTCAGGAGGGATGTGTAGAAGATGTAAGCTTGAGCTGAATTTTGAAGGTTAAGAGAATTTATATAGGTATAGATAGGTATCAGAGACATTTCTCAATATTTATAAGTATTTTGTGGCTTAGTCTTAATTAGATTTTCTTTCTATTTTCTGAGCTATATTATGTTCTTTCATTTAACCAACATTATCTAACCTTTATAGATAACTTCGTTTTGCTTTTAAGATTCAAAAGAAGTAAGAAGCATGGCCCCTAATGTGATCAAGTTGAACAATAGAACATAGATTCATCAAGCTACTTGGCAACAAATACATGGCAAAGGACTTTGGTTTTATCTGTATTTTAACTCCATTAGTACATGGACCATATGGCACTAACTTTCCTAGCATTTTCTCAACTCACAACTCGGGAAGTATGCACAGTAGGTTTAATAGTTTTCAAACAATCTGAAAACTTTTACTGGCTTAATTTTTGGGTAAAGTGTGGCAGACAAGTTTGTCAGAGTTTGTTTTTATTTGACTTGTTGAAAGTGATACTTAAAATATAACTGAAGTGGATTAAAAGAGATTTTATAAAACCATAGATTAACTCTTTAAGTGCAAAACACATACAAAATTCTGCAGGGTGAGTTATTATTTATGTAAAGCCATAGAGTTTTGAAAGCATTTTTGAACATGATATTTTATATTTGATAGTAAATGTTATTTTGTTCTTATTGGCTACTTATATGCTTTTATCTGCAAAACAAAAATTGGATATTTTAAATCAATGACTTTATTAGAGTTATTTAAGCAAAATATCTTAATCCAGTCTTGTCTAACACTATAGCTAAAGGCAAAGTATAATTTTAATGACTTAAAATGCTTTATGACTTTGACTTGTGCTGACTTATGTAAGGATAATACATTCCTATAAGAGGTGTTATGATTAGAAACTAGTGGCCCTGATTTTATCTTTAAGCTACCTGTAGTCCTTGAGGTCTTTTGGGGGCTATTCTTCATGAGAATAGTGCCTCCAAGGTCCCTGCTCATCCAGATATCACAGGGCAGAGAGGCCTAAAAAGAGTAGACCCTAAAATTCAGGGTAGACAAAACTGTTGTTGTGAGAGCAGCAGATTAGGGCATATGCACTTCTCCAACCTGGTAGAGCTATATAGAACCTGCTATTCCTGTGCTTCTGCAAGGGGACAATCTGTAAGGAGTACTAGGAATATAAACTCTTTTTGAGAGGTCCATCATGGGATCATCTTTGTGAATCGGCACAAGTGTTTTCATGGTTCCCATGACTTCAAAACCACAGCTCATGTTGTCCAGATGTTCCATGAGAATAAAAGAAGAAAAAAAAACTATGGTTTTATTGTAGGCTCCTGCATAATCACACCACTTAGACCTATCAGGGTGGCTTGATGTCAGCCTCAATCATATAAATACTGTTATAGGAAGTAAAATAATGTGGAGCTAATTAATTAAATTATCATTGATTCAAGTCAACAAGTAACATAATACTGTTAAGATACTATGTATTGTGAGCAATATGTGGATAATAAAAGAAAAAAATTATCCTCAGAAAGAGCTTAAAATCTCGTAGGAGACATTAGGACAAGTATTTACCCACTGTTACCAAAAAAGAGAGAGAGAGAGCTATGTGCTTTGAAGTTATGATAAAGTCCTTGAAGAAGGTAGAATTACAGAAGAGAGGTGTGGGGGTGGAGGGGGAGAGATCTCACTTCTGACTTGGGAACATCAGAAAAGGCTTCACAAAGGAGGCAGAATCCGAAATGAAACAAAAAGGGTGAGGAAAGCAAATGATGTGATTTTATGATTTTGCAATCAACTTTTAATTTAATTTAATTTTTGTCTTCAGAGTTCCATTCCTGGGATTTGTTAAAAAAAAATTCCTCTCCCTAGCAAGCAGACTTAGAAAGAAAGAAAAAAATATTGCTGGAGGGTCATAAAGTAATGATTGGGCTAGGTAGTAATGCCATCCAATAATTCGCTGGTCACTAAGTATAAAAACATGATACAGATTTTTATGCTGTGAATATTTAGCTACACCTGCCACTGATCATACTTTAAGAGAGGGGTAAAAGGACGTTTGTGTATACTGCTCATTTGGTTAACTGTGAAGAGGTTTGCATTATAATTACGTGACAATTACGTGTTACATTGGTTACTGTCATTGAATCCCTTCATGCTGGAGTAGTGCTGCTGCTGCTGCCCTTGCTGTGGAATGATAATATTACAAGGCTTGGAAAGGTCTTGCACAGCCCTGTCCCTTATGTTGTAGACGTCCAAACTAGAGGGCAGGGAGAGGAAAGGTCTCATGCTTGGTAGTAGAACTCTGATATTAATTCGGTTTTCTTGAGCTCAATTTCCTAGAATTCATTCCACTGGGCATAAAATACCTCCTTCATATTGTTTAGTATATCTACATGCCTCTTAGCTACTGAAATGGATAGTATCTGTAGTAATTGTAGCAATTTAGTAACTTGCTAGTTTGATCTGCTTTGTTCTTCATAGACTACTAGGAACCAATAAATATATTTCTGAAATAACAGTGTTAATGACATTGTGACATTGGTTTTTACTTCTTTTCAATAGATTCAGATATACATGAAAATCATTTTGCATAATGAAGGTAAGCTTAAAAACATTCTTAAAGTTCTACGAAAGCCTTGATATAAAGAGCAAGGTTTAAAATTTCTAAGAAGTCTTTCTATTTGAAGCCCCCCCCGCCCCCTCTCTCTATCAGTGATTTCCTTGGTTGTTCAGGTCTAATATTGACCATAATGCTACAAGCTCAATATAATAAATTATAAAAGCAACCTCATTTTATAATTTGCTACCTACTTTAAGGTGTACTTATTTTCATACTAATGCCTTATCTGCATGTGAAGCCACATGCGAAACATGTCTCATATTGCACTTTGACTTGTATTATGTGTCCATAAGTTCACCTGAACCCTGAAACAGTCAGAAAAAAATTATTGCAGATAACATTATAGGTTACTGAGTTTAGATCTATTGAACTTCTGAGGTTGTTTTATGATATATTGTGTAAACATAAAAAGGTCACTTTACCATGAAAGAAGTAAAGACTTTTATAAAAACTTGTTTTATTGCAGTAATCTTAGCTTCATAAAAAACTCATAGGTAGCATTAAAGGGCACTGAGTTTAGCAAGGAAAGGCATTGAGGTAACCTTTGTGCTTTGTGAAGACATTGATTAGTGCCAACTCTGCCCTTTGACTTAGTAATTGAAATCTTGGCATTTGATCTCAAGTAAGTAACGTAATAAAGAAAATATGTGCATGCAAAGTTATTTATTGCATCATTATCCAAAACTATGTATAATTAAAAAAAAGTTAATATCCAATAAGATGGAATTAGTTTAGTAATTTATAGCATATCCTCTTAGCCTCATAGGATGATGGAGCCAAGAGTAACTCTAAAATTTCATTCTCAAGTATTGTTATTATAACATTTCAACAATAAAATGTGACAAAATGTAAAAATAATAGAGTAATCTGCAAAATACACATGCTTTTTGTGAGCAGTGTTACTAGTCCTGATATGCCATATCACATCAGATTTTAAATGTGTAAACTACTTTAAATTGTTCAATTTTGAAATAAAAATGAGCAAATAAATGTGCAGTTTTGATTTCAAAACTAAACAAAAGTAAGCACTATTTTTCAAAGATATTGCTAAATCGCACCATTACAATAATAATATATAAAATTGTAAACCATAGTATAAACCTAGATTATGGTGTTTGCATAATGTTGCAAAATAGTGCCTGTAAAAAACTCAATGCTGCATCTTTCATTGCTAGTAATTTCTAATTATATGCCTGGTTCCTCCATGCACTGGAGCAATACATTTACTGCTTTTGAATAAATGCAGATACAACCACATGGACAAAGTAGTTCTCACTTGGCCTCAAGTTTTGTCTCCTTTTTTGAAGTCCACCACCACAGACACAGAATACTCTAAAAGCCAATATACTTTTAGGAGGCACTTGGAAGAAAAAATGTTTCATTGAAATTTAAAAACTTCATATGAGAAACCAAGAGCAAAGCCAAGTAGGTGGAGGTGCTGAGTTTCTACCCTGAACCAGAGAATATGGAGGATTCACCACGCCTTTGGGGCAGCTTTCCTTTCCTCATGAAGAGGACTTTTGAATTCTTGCTAGGCTTAATTAAGGGAGGAGCTCTGGGAGGATTTTCAATGAAAAGCCTGAGTGTGGATGCTAGAGAGGGTCCTCCTCCTTGTCGCCCTGCAATTGAAGCCTGGAGCGGGAGATTAAGTCCCCCAGAGGGGTGAAGGGTTCTAAAAAAAGGAGGGACTGGCATGCTGCTCTGCTTCTTGTTTGGAATTCCAGAAGGAGACACCTCCCAGACTCTATATCCATGTGGGGCTGCCTTAGTAGATGGAGATGGTGATGTGCTACTTCACACAGAAGGGTCTGAGTCACCCCTTCCTCTGCCTCACCCTCAAACCCCTTCCTCCCTGGATGCATCTAGGAAACCTGAAACATTGTGCCTGAGGGGATTTAAACTATAATTGAAAACTGTGAGATGTCTGTCTGCCAGGGGTTAGTGGGGTGATTGGGAGGTGAGGCCTCAATGGTCAAGATCCAGGCTAGAGGGTCTCAGAGGATCAGCAGTTTTAGCAAGGGCTGAAGGGGAGCAGAGCAGCAAGACAACTGAGCTTTTTGAGCAAAGCTTGATGGATGCTTGAGTCTGGAGACAAAGCCCTATTACCATCTGTCTCCTGGGCTAAAACCTAAGACCTGGAGGCTGAACTACACAGGCCAGGCCAGAGGAGGACTCTCAGACCAGAAGCTCCTGCCCCTAAGCCAGGATGATACATAAGCCCTGAGAATTTAGATCTCTTCTAGCAGAAAGGAGAAAGGCAGCTGGGTGAGGATGGAGAGGAGCAGTATTCCTTTCCCACCATTAGGAGAAAGAGGGGTTTTTGTCCTAGGTTATTCTAACAATATAGAAATTTATGTTTTTATTTTTGTTCAGCTGTCTTTTTGTGCCTCAAGAAATAAATACCTGCTAAAGCCATGGTTTGTGTATATATATATATATATATATATATATACATGTGTAAGTCTCGGAGAGAATGAGATTTTATTAGTGATTTCTTGCCCTGGGAAAACACATTGAGGCCTAAATTATAGTGGATCAGGGATGGATGAACCAGTGGAAAGGATACGGGGGAGTAGATGAGACTGGGAGAAAGAGGGAGCTTAGCAGGATGGATAAGATCTTGTTGGTAATCTCAAATTCGGTTTTTATCCAAACAAGGTTGTAGCCCTGGAAGCCAGGGAGTTGCTGGAAATGTGTCTGATCTGGGGTAAATCGGGGTTGGTGTGGTGTAGAGGAGCAAGCAACCTGTCTAGATAGCATAGGGCCCGGATATAGGAATTCAAGAGATTCAAAAAAAAGATTACAGGCCATGGTATTTGAGGCATATTGCCTAATGGTTTATTTTTATGATTTGTGTTTCCTACAAATGCCAGGAATGCAATTGGTTGGCTCCCGGGCATTTGGAAGGAAATATTTGCAGCTGGTTAATAGCAAAATAAACAGTTGCAAGTATGCTCTGCAATTGGATGGAGAGAGGGCTGACAGGGACAGAAAGGGGAGGCTAAAAAGAGAAGTATGGGATGCAGCAGAGTGTTGCCGGAACAGTGGAAAGTTTAGAGTCGAATGCGTCTGGGTTGAATCTGAGGAATTCTGTTTACTTACTGTATGTGGCCTTGGGCCAGTCAATTTTTCTCATCTGCAAAATGGGGATAATCACATTTACATTGCTGGGTTTTGGTAAGCATTAGGATTATTAGGATTATGTGTATAAAGCATGTAAATCCTTCTCTGGCACCTATCCAGCAGGTGCTTGGTAAATGATAGTTATCAATAGAAAAAGATATATTTATTTTTTTCTGGAGGGGGACTTTTTTTTTAATTACGTCTTTTTGTTTCCTTTGTTTCTTGTGTTTTTACCTATTGTATTAGTTTTCTGTGGCTGCTGTAACAAATTACCATAAATCTAGTGGTTTAAAGAATAATTTTACTCTCTCACAGTTTGAGAGGCCAGAAGTCTAAAATTGAGGTGTTGTCTACCTCCAGAGTGGGGAGGGGGAGAATCCTCTACTTCTTCCTCTGGTGGTGGTTGGCATTTCTTTGTTTGTGGCTGCACCGCTCCCTGCTCTGTCTTCATAGTCTTCTCCTCTGAGTGTCTGTGTCTAATCTCCCTCTGCTTCTCTTTTTTTTTTTTTTTGAGACAGAGTCTCGCTGTGTCACCCAGGCTGGAGTGCAGTGGCGTGATCTCGGCTCATTGCAAGCTTCGCCTCCCAGGTTCACGCCATTCTCTTGCCTCAGCCTCCCGAGTAGCTGGGACTACAGGAGCCCGCCACCACGACCGGCTATTTTTTTGTATTTTTAGTAGAGATGGGGTTTCACCGTGTTAGCCAGGAAGGCCTCGATCTCCTGACCTCATGATCCACCCGCCTCGGCCACCCAAAGTGCTGAGATTACAGGCATGAGCCACCGCTCCCGGCCTGCTTCTCTCTTATAAGAGTCCATGTGATTGCATTTAGGACCAACCCAGATAATACAGGATAATGCTCCTGTTCAACATTCCTAATCAGGTCTTCTGCTATATAAGGTAATGCTCACTCTTTTTTCATATAAAGTGATAGTCACAGGTTCTGAGGATTAGAAATGGAATATATATTTGAGGGGCTATTTTTTTTCTGTCTAGCAAATCTTTTTAAATATTTTAAGAAAATTTTATAAAAAATCCAGCCTAACAAGTAAGGTTCTAGAAAACAGTTTGACTTTCCTTTAAAGTGGGCTGAGGAAATGGTGCGCATGGAAATGGGGAACTTAGTTTTCAGATTTAAGA
Source organism: Homo sapiens (assembly GCF_000001405.40). Classification (NCBI taxonomy): domain Eukaryota; kingdom Metazoa; phylum Chordata; class Mammalia; order Primates; family Hominidae; genus Homo; species Homo sapiens. The sequence goes on from NC_000012.12 coordinate 90,025,839, forward strand.
AAGGAAGCCAAAAGATGAGCACCTGAAATAAAATACCACCATTTGGAAAAATGAGAAGAAGATTTGAAATAATGATGATATCTTTTAAAAATGCAGTATCATTTACTTTCCAAATTATTCCAACACATTTAGCTCTGCAGTGAATCCCTAGAAATCAAATCTTATTTTGCTACTGATTTTGACTATATCCTTGGAATTATCCATCTGTGGAAAAATCTTCTCTGTGATCTTAACTGAAACTGTGTTTACAAAGAGCTGGGACCCTTCTCATAGCATTGTTATCAGTTCAGACACTGACATTCTGAATGTTACAGTGCTTTTCTTGTGCCCTCCTAAAAATTTCCCCAAATTATAGAAGTGCCTCCTTGACTGGGGAATCATTGAACTGTGTATTTGTAGTGCCTCTCAATGGACGTCGTAATTTCCAATAAAGTTGGACTTCCTTGATGATCACCAATATTAATATTTAAGTATGACCATATTTAAATATGACATTTGGACTTCAGTGACTTATAAAGCATATTTTCTCCCTATTTATTATTGTTTAATAATTCTATATTTTAAAATGAAGGATGTATATGCAACTAGGAAAATGATGTTTTATTTTGTGTATAATCAAATTTTTGCCTATAAGGAAACCGTCATATATATATATATATATATATATATATATATATAAAGAGAGAGAGAGAGAGAGAGAGAGAGAGAGAGACCGAGTCTCACTCTGTCACTCAGGCTTGAGTACAGTGGCGCTATCTTGGCTCACTGCAATCTCCACCTCCTAGGTTCAAGCGATTCTTGTGCTTCAGCCTTATGAGTAGCTGGGATTATAGGCACGTGCCACCACGCTTGCCTAATTTTTGTAATTTTAGTAGACACAGGGTTTTGGCATGTTGGCCAGGCTAGTTTTGAACTCCTGACCTCAGGCGATTGCCTGCCTCGGCCTTCCAAAAGTGTTGGGATTGCAAGCGTGAGCCACCACGCCTGGTCATTATGCATATTCTTAAATTTGAGATTTATTAGTCTCTGGTCTTAGCATCAGAAACTTTTCTGTAGCACTTGATATGTTTTAAAATTCATAGACACTCTGAATTGTGTACATGATCTGATTTCCCTTTTTATGTTGATTGTTAAATTTATTACCCACCTATAAAAGTATAGAGAATTTTGTCATATATTTTTACAATAATTTTCTTTTTGGTTGCATTTTATATGGTTGCTGTCATTTTTTTTTTCTTTCATGTGTGTCTGTTGTGGGTTGACTTGTGTTCCCCAAAGAGATATAGTAAAGTCCTAACCCCTGATACCTGTGACTATCACCTTATTTGGAAATAGTCTTTGCAGATCTATTAAGTTAAAATGAGGTCATACTGGGTTAGGATGGGCTCTAATCTAATTACTGGTGTACTTATAAGTGGGGGAGAAGACACACAGACACAGACACACACAAGGAAGAACACAGTGTGAAGATGAAGGCAGAGATTATAGTGATGTATCTGCCAGTGAGGGAATGCTGAGGGTGGCCTATCAGCCACCAGAAAGTAAGAAGAGGCAGACAGAGGATTTCTTAGAAACTTCAGAGGGATTGTGACCCTGTGAACAACCTGATTTCAGACTTCTAGCCTCTGTAACTGGGAGAGAAGAAGAATACATTTCCATTGTTTTAGGCTGCCCAGTTTATGACATTTTGTTACTACAGCCCTAGGAAACTAATAGTGTCCACACATTTGAGTGTGTGTGCATTAATATTAATACATGTGTATGTATGTGATTATATATGTGAGAGAAGTTATCACCTCAAATTTCTGCCAGCTACTTCATATTGTTTTAAAGAATGAAATTATTTAATAAATATTTAATAATAATTATAATATTATAATAGTAGTATATTCCTCTCATAAACTCCTTAGAATATATCTCCTTGTTCAAAGTAGTTATTGGAATATATACTCTTTGTGTATATATATATATATATATATATTTTTTTTTTTTTTTTTTTTGAGATGGAGTTGCTCTGTGGCCCAGGCTGGAGTGTGGTGGTGTGATCTCAGTTCACTACAACCTCAACTTCCAGGGTTCAAGCGATTCTCCTGACTCAGCCTCCCAAGTAGCTGGGACTACAGGCGTGTGCCACCATGCCTGGCTAAATTTTGTATTTTTGGTAGAGATGGGGTTTCAGCATGTTGGCCAGGCTGTTCTCAAACTCCTGACCATGAGTGATTCACCCTCCTCAGCCTGTCAAAGTTCTGAGATTACAGGCATGAGCCACTCTGCCCAGCCTTCATAAAAATTTAATTAGTTATATATTGCTTCTAGGACAATGATCAAGATCTAAACCTATGCATTTTCCTGACTTTGCCAGTAGTGAACTTGATGGCATTTTGCAAGAAGCTGCCTCAAAATTCCAAATAACACATAACATGATTAGGGAGCAAGTGACTTCTGAGTATGAAGATCCATGTGGGTGTTTCATTAAGATGAAATGTATCTGGGATTTGCTACGAGATAGGTCAAGCCAGCACGCATCCAGGTCTGTCCCTCCATGGCATCTGTGCTATGTAATGTGGTCACATAAAACCTCTTCATGAGACAGCAAGCAGATAAACTGGAGACATCTCCTAAGACAGAAACAGATGAGTGACAAAGGCAGTTTTCCTCCTCATTTCCATTTTATGCATTTCAGGGTTTGGCAGGGTAAGCTCTGCTTTAATGTAGATGATAATGCAATGCTGTAAAAGAATCAAATCGAGCAAGATTCTCTCTAAGCTGTAGACCAGTTTCCTGTTTTATTTTCTTGAATGTTTTCTTTTACTTTTGAAAACAGACAGTGAACCTTAAAAGCAGGGAGGCAGCTTTTAAGCTTGCTATCATCATTCAGATCAATTTGGAACCAAGTCTCACCTCCCATCTCTTCTAATTTTGATGTACATTCTCTGTTGGCCACTGGCCAGAGCAGAAGTCAGGAAATGATAAATACTCATTTATTCCCAGACACAGCAGTTTGTGCTGAGATGGGAGACAGCATTTACAGTCATTAAACCTATTGCATTTTTAGTGTGTTTATTAATAGCAACCAAAGTCAATGTTGATGTCATCTCCACTAGTGATAGTCAACTTTCAGGTTTGTTATTCTTAGTGGATTTCCTGCCCAAGGATCCACACTTGTTTTGTTCAGCCTTCCACAATGATTTATAACATGACTGTCAAATCAGGTTTAACTAGTTTAACACCAGCTAGACATAACCAGATATCATATAGCTGAAAAAATTGCTTTAGTGGGTATGTCAAATATCAGAGAAACCCAACAAATGTTAAAGAAAATATCTTCAGAAGAGAACATCTTGTTTGTTCTAGTGCTTGAGAAAAGTATCTCTGAATTTTATAATTCTGAAAGTCTCTTGATAAATAGGCAGATTAATCAGTATAGTGCTTTCGTTTCTTCTTAAAAAATATGTAACTGCTACTCAGGTTTTTTTTCTTATCCTGTCAACCAGGCAACTGAGTTAGTTGATCCTCAGGTTAAAGTTGGTGGAAGAAATAAAAACCTCAGAGTTGTCAATATCTTGCTATGTTTTGGTGCATCTGATATTCTGATTTGGCTTTCACTAGATATCACATAGCTGAGAATCATCTTACGTTCTGGTATTTGACAAGCATTGAAAGCATCCGAGGCAATGAGTTGGCATGGATTCAGCCTGCCTTGGCAAAAGCATGGCCAGAACTGATATGATGTCCTACACAGACAGCACCTGCTCTTGAAATCAGGCCCATTGCTCATCAAAGGACAGCCCCTCCCCCAACAAATATGCCATTCAATTTATTCATTTTTAAAATTAAGATGGACTGAATAAAAAAGAAAGCACAATTGCTTTTGTTTGGACAAATAAGCAGCCATGCGATTAGCTTGAAATCGCACAGGTAAAAAGCACAGTGACTAAATTATCATTTAATGATTTTTAATAAAGAGAGATGCTTACTTGCTTTTAAAACAGAATCTGAAAAAGGGAATGCAAGGTATGTGAATGTGACATGAAAGCATAGAGTGATATTTTACTAGATTAAGCAAGACATGAAAAATTAGAGAGGTGATTCTAAGCAATGGATAAAAATACAACTTATACATTAAAACCAGTCACTGTACCTGGAAACATACAAAGTATTTAATGTAGCAAATTTACATTTGCTAAAAGGAAGATTGGATCCTATTTCTACCACACATTTTTTCCCTTTTGAAAATTATACAGATTATTTATTCTTTCTTATACTTTAAGCTCAGTGGCACCATTAACAAGAGAGGGTATTCATTTAAACCAGAAGAATGGAAGAGTTCAAACTTTAGGGGCAATGAAGGAAACTGAGGAAAAGGAGGGACTTCAAGGTCAAATTATGTGAACTGTGAACAAATTATTGTGAACTGCAAATTACACCATTTTGTTTTTTTAGGCAGTTTCTTATTACAGTATTTCCAATAGCAGATAATTGCTAAGATCCAAGGAAGTCCTAAAAACAATTCAGGATCTTGATTCTATGACATTCTCAATGCTATCAGGTATCTAAAACCAAACATGGTGCTGAGAAGCAGAAACTAATCATAAAATATTATATGTTTGCAGCTTTGCAGTCAGAAAAATTGAGATTGAAACATGCTGCTGGCTTCTCAGTAGCTATGTGATCTGGGGCATTTGCTTAACCTTAAATTTTTCAGTTTTTTTCATCTATAAAATTCAGATAATAGTAAACCTATCACATGAAATTATTGGGAAGACTAAGTGGTGTAATGTATGCAAAGCCTAAAACAATAACTAGCACAGTATAATGGCTTAATCAATGTTAACTTGAATTAGCATTTTTGTGCCTGCTTAAACAGTGATTTTCAAATGACCCATATAGAGCTTGAATATTATTTGGAAATTGAGCCATAAAGCAGATGAAATCACCAAGGATTTGTTTGGTTTGTTTTTATTTGCAGGAAAAGGGAACATGACATTTAACATCAGTCTGTATGTTATGTGATCTGGACATTAGCTGTGTTGGCTCTTGGCACAGTTGACACCTCCTCCTTTGCTCCACTCTGCATTGTGGGGGCTGGAAATCTGAGAGCTATATGTTTCCCAGTCTCCTTTGCCAGCAGGCTTCTGAATTGGCATTAGGGTCCATCAGTGAGATACATTTGTGTAATATTTGGAAGGCAGAAGAGTGTCAGAAACAGTGATGTGTCAAGTTGGCTCATAAAAGTTCAAAGGAACTGATCATGGACATCATTTTCCAACTATGCATTCAGTAGCTTTAAATCAGCCATAGTCGGAATTTTTATACCACAGAAATTGGAAAATACTACAAATAAGCACTTTTTTCATGCCCAATGAATCAGTTAGATATTTCTTGCATACCAGTGGATAGAAATAATATTATTCCTCTACCTGTATTGGCAGGCAGATAATCAGGCATTGAAAAGTGAGATTTTGCAGTGGACTTTGGATATTCTCCTGATTATTATCACTGGTCTCAATTGGATGTTCCCCTGATTATTATCACTTGTCTCAATTGGGGGCATTGAAGTAGAATTCCTGCTCTGGGTTACAGTAGCCATTTTCTGATTGCCTGAATCCAATGGCAAGCCTGTGCTAGTGGTAGCTTTCTCTGGCTTTTGCCCTTCCAACAGTTTTGTAAGCACCAAATTATCTTTGTTAAATTTCTTCCTGCCCCAAATGCCTAGAATACTCTCTGTTTTCCTGATAAAACTCTGATAATACATTAAGTCATAAATACGTAAGTATAGTTATCTGGGCAGGACTCATGTCAACTTGAAAAAAAATAGGGGCTTTAAAAAATCAGTGATAACAAACTTTCCGTATATTTGTGAGGATGCTGCCAGTGAATTTACCTGAATTTGAAGATAAGCTCAGAGAACCAAAGAAATAAATCAACCTACAAAACTACTTGTAGATCATTTAGACTTGGAGACTTTGGCATTTATAGGTTTTAGTATACTTTAAATCAAAGACCAGAAAAATCTGTTAAGCACTCTGAGTGAGGGAATTTCCTTTTTTGCTTTTCCAAAGCTAGTCTATCATCTATTACCTTTGAACATCTGGCTAATTTTTGTACTTTTAGTAGAGACAGTGTTTCACCACGTTGGCCAGGCTGTTCTCTAACTCCAGGCCTCAAGTGATCCGCCCACCTCAGCCTCCCAAAGTGCTGAGATTACAGGCATGAGCAATTGTGCCCGGCTTCATCTTTCAGAAGGTATGTTGTTTGCAAGTATTTCCTCCCAGTCTGTGGCTTCTCTTTTTATTCTCTTGACAATGTCTTTTGCAAGTTATAAATTTTTAATTTAATGAAGTTCAGCTTATCAATTCTCTCTCATGGATTGTGCCTCAGGTGTTGTGTCTAAAAGGTCATCTCAAACTATAGGTCAACTAGATTTTCTCCTATGCTATCTTCTAGGAGATTTATAGTTTTGCATTTTACATTTAAGACTGTGAACCATTGGAGTTTACTTTTGGGAAGGGTGTAAGGTCTGTGTTTAAATTCGTATTTTTGTGTGTGTGTATGTTCAGTTGTTCCAACATGATTTGTTGAAAAGATCATCTTTTCTCCAGAGTGTTGTCTTTGCTTCTTTGTCCAAGGTCTATATTTATGTGGGTCTATTTCTGGGCTCTCTATTCTCTTCCATTAATCTATTTGTCTATTGTTTTACCAATACCACACTGTCTATAGCTTTATAGTAATTCCTGAAGCTGAATAATGTCAGTATCCAACTTTGTTCTCCTTCAGTATTGTATTGGCTATTCTGGGTCAATACCCACAAAGTACTTGTAGGAATTTTATGGAGATTTCACTGGATTTATAGATCAAGTTGAGGAAAACTGACATCTTTATAATACTGAGTCTTCGTACCAATGAACATGGAATGTATCTTTGTTTATTTAGTTCTTTTTTTCTTTCATCAGAGTTGTATAGCTTTCCTCATATAAATCTTGTACAATAATGTTATTCTTATTTTCAATAATGTTATTCTTATTTTATTTGGTGGTCTCTAATGAAAATGGTATTGTTTTTTAATTTCAAATTCCATTTGTCCATTGCTGCTATACAGAAAAATAATTGACTTTTATACATGAACATTGTGTCTTGCAACCATGCTCTAATTGTTTATTAGTTTTAAAACTTTTCTCTTTTTTGCTGATTTTTAAAAATTTTTTACGTAGATAATTATGTCATCTCCAAACAGAGACATTTTTATTTACTCCTTCCCAATCTGTATACTTTTAATTTCCTTTCCTTGTCTTGTTGCATTAGCTAGGTTTTCCAGCATAATGTTGAAAAGCAGTGGTGAGAGGAGACATCCTTACCTTGTTCCTGATCTTAGTGGGAAAGCACTGAGTTTCTCACCATGGTAGTCTGAGAGCAGATATTATATGATTTCTGTTCTTTCAAATTTGTTAAGATGTGTGTTTATGGCTCACAATGTAGTCTGTCTTGGTGATGTTGTATGTGAGCTTAAGAAGGAAGTGTATTCTGCTGCTATTGATGAAATTATCTATAGATGTCCATTATACCCAGCTGATTGATAGTATTATTAAGTTTAACTATGTTCTTCTTTTCTGCATGCTGGGTCTGTTCATTTCTATTTAGTTTTCAGGCTAAGACATGAGTCAATTTTAATGGACAAAGTGGAAGTGATCATTGATGTTGCTGGATAAGATGATAATATGGTAGAAAGGCTAGAAAAATATTGAGAGGAAATAATATATTCATTCCACAATTGCTTGTTAAATGTAGATTCTGTGTAAAGCTGACTTTCAGTGATGGCCAACATGGATAAAATCCCTGCCCTCATGCAGAATATAGTCTAGTGAATATGATTGACAAGTGTAATGGATTAAATGGTGTCTCCTCAAAATTTATGTACACCAGGAATCTTAGAATGTGACCTTATTTGGTAATAGGGTCTTTGCAATTATACTTAAGGATCTTGCGATGAAATCTTAGAATAAGGGTGTTCTATAAGAAGAGAAGAAGAGGCAGAAAAGAAAGCCAAGTTAAGACTAAGACAAATATTAGAGTTATGCTGCCACAAACCAAGGAGTATCAGAAACCACCAGAAACTAGAAGAGGCAAGGAAGGATTCTCTCCTAAAGCTTTTGGAGGGAGCGAGGCTCTGGTAAAACCTTGATTTTGGTCTTCTGGCCTCCTGAACTGTGACAAAATAAATCTATGTTTTTGTAAGCCATCAAGTTTGTGGGACTTTGTTAGAGCAGGCCTATAAAACTAATAACATCAAATAAATAAATGGGTAGGATGTGTTTGGTAAGTACTATGATAGGTGATTAGGTTGCTCTCTAAGCGGATAGGTAGGTTGCCAATCTAGAGTAGTTGAAGCAAAGGTTCGCTAAAGCTTTCTTGAAAAAGATGGCATATAAACTGAAATCTGAAATATGATTAGGAATTAACAAGGCCAATTGATTACACAGAGTATTCCAGATAGAAAAACTCATATGTGAAGGTCTTGTGGGAGAGGCCTGAAGAGTTTAAGGGATATTTTAAAAATTTCGTTTTGGTTCAATGAGGAAGAGTGAGAGGAGAAAACAAAAGATGAAGTTGGAGAGGTAAAGAAGAGCTAGATGATACAGAAACTTTTAAACCATTCCAAGAAATTAGGACTTCAACCTAGCAGCAAGTAGAAGAAGGTATTGTCTTTGTAGAAAGAAAGAACTTGAAAAGTTTCGCATATCACTTATGGATGCAATGTGAAGAGGAGATTGGAGGGGCATACCTGAGGCCAGGGAGATTGGTGAGTAGCTTCTGACTGAGACAGAGGAGGGTCTCGGGCTGGGCTTGTTGCTGAAGGCATGTAGAGAAGTGGACTTTGTTTTGAGATATGTACTGATTATGATAATACTCCTAATAATCATAGCATTTATAGTGACAGATGAAAATTGCAGAATGCTTACCATGTGCTGGATGTCATATTTGCATTATTTTGTTTAATTCTCAATAGTTACTATTAGAGTCTCTATTTCATAGAAAGGTAACACTGAAACTTAGAGATCTTAAGCAATTTCTTCAAGATATGCAGCAACTAAGGTGTAGGGCCAGGACCAATGCTGTTTTCTGAACTGCTGTGCCAAATATTTTATAGTATACTTTGTGATTCAGAGTTAAAGATAATTACTAACTGGGATGATGGCGCCCTTTTATGGAACAAGGAACAAAGGAGAAGGACTAGGTTTGTGAGGGCAGATCGTGCATTTGGTTTTAGACACTTTGATTTTGAGGTGTCTCTGGGGCCTCTCTGGGGCCTCCCACTAATAAGTGGAAAGGTCTGAAGATCCAGAGAGAGAATGAGGGAGAGTGGGGAGGGTGGAGAGTGGAAATAAGTGGAAATGTCTGAAGATCCAGAGAGAGAATGAGAGTGAGGGAGAGTGGAGAGGGTGGAGAGCAGGTTTGGGGATATAGATTTGGGAATTAGCAGCATAAAAATATGAAGTTACAAACTATGGGATTAGATGAGATGGTTCAGGGAATGGATGAGTAAAGTAAATTATCCAGGACAGATTCCTAGGAACATGGAGATTTAAGGGTATGGCAAAGGAAGACGAATGAAAAGAGAAGCTTATTAGGAGCTGCTGGACAAAGGAAGATGTTTGAATATGTTTACACAATTGTGGAAAGAAGACGGTGGAGGCAGCAGTGGCGAAAATTAAGGAACGAAGGAATACTGCAGAATAAATGCCTTGGGAATGCTGGAGGGGATGTGATCCAAAGCATGATCACAGGGATTAGGCTTAAATAGAAAACACCTCATTCGTTTTAGTAAGAAACACCTCTCAAAAGGTATAACTAGAATGTTCATAACACACACACACAAAATAATTGCCTGAGGTGATGGGTACACCATTTACCCTGATGTGACAATTACACATTGTATGCTCATATCAAAATATCTCACATTTCCCCAAAATATATATACCTACTATGTATCCATAGAAGTTAAAAATAAAAAAAAATTAAAAAATAAAGAAAAGAGGGCCAAGAGAAGGTTGTAGTTTAGATGGCAAAAAGTTGGATTACTTGTATTTTCTCTGGGAAGTAAGATACAAGGTACCCTGCAGGTCAGAGTTTGAGAGAAGCGGAGAAAGTTTGGAATCACTGCTGTGCAGAACGTGAGTGTTGACTATGGAACATCATTCCTCATGGAAACATGGAACTACAGAATCACATCTAGGCATTAATATACCAGATGAGGGCAAGGCCCTGACATGAAAGTAGTAGCAATTTGCCCAGTTGGGTAGTTTTCTCTAATAATACTCAGCACGTTGGGCATTGGTAAGAACAACTACTGCTTTGCTAGGTGGATATGATGAAAGAACAAGGCAATAGACAAGAGACCTGAGAATGTTGGCAAGAGAGTGAGCAACTGCAAAGCCAGAGCAGTGGGATAATGAAGTGAGGGAAAAGAATAGTAGTAGAGTAGAAGTCTAGAATCTTGGTTACCTATTCCTGATCTACCACTAGCTGGTTGGGTCATGTCAGGAGCATCTCTTAATGCTGTGGGCTTCAGCTTTCCTTTTCTATAAAGTGAAGAACTGGACTGAATGGTCAGTCTCTAAGGTCTAGTTCAGCCTGAAATTATGTGAGTCTGTGACTATTGCAGGAGGTAGTAAAGGAAGGAAAGAATGGAAGTGAAGAGTCAAGATGAGCTGTGAATTCACACCAGGCATTTGAGACACACAACTGAATGTATTGATTTCAGCTGAGATGTCTACATAAAATGCATTGCTAAGTTTCAGGAAGACTCAATATTTTAATCAAAATTCGATTAGAAAGTAAACTTAGGCAACTTTGATTGTTCTCTGTACTTTGATTAATCTTCATCTATAAAAGTCTATAGTGAGATTTATATGGACAATGGGATATGGACATGTCCATGAAAGGGAAAGGATATTAAATAGAGGGTGAAATTGAAACTGTGAAACCCCTCCCTAACCCATCTCCACCCACACAGGAAATGACTCGCTCATTTTATGAGAGGATACTGAATAATTTGGCAGGATGCTAGTAACCCCTTACTAGGCTATATAATTTGTAATTCATTTTTTCAGCTGCTCATATCCTAATTCAAACTAGTTAAAATGAAGGAAAAGTCATTTGGGATAAAAAGCAGAAGGCTTTTAAAAGCTAATTTTGGAGACGTAGACATTGGGAAAAGAAATTGAGAACACTTATTTTCTGTCCACCACCTATCATTATCAAATTAAGTGAATACTTACAAAGGAGAGGAGATAGGTACCAAAGACTAACGCTATAAGAAATCTCTCCATCTCCTTTTGTATGTGAATAGCAGTGTGAAGAAGTCTCTTAGCCTAGTCGTCCATCAGTTGGGATCTTTAGCACAAATGGCCCCATTTCAAGTCTCATACACATGTCAGTGGATCTCGTGGTAAATTTTAGGAATAAAACATCCTCCTGTGTAACAGAAATGCAACTGACATGACCTCAATATGTTATGAATCAGACCAGGAAGATTTCATAAGGAAATAAAATGAAAAAGAAATTCTCAAATGCAAAGTTAAAGAAAGATTTTTTCTGTGTGGAAGACAGATGATGGTATTATTAATAGTGAAGGGTAAAAGCTGAAACATTTGAATGTTCAACTAAACATCACCAAATTTCTCATTTCAGTGTGGATAGAAATAACTGCTCTGGAGGTATTTCCATAATCTCAGTTTTAACTCCAGCCAGGAACCAAGAAATAAAAAAGCCCTTCTCAAGCAGTTTATAAACTAAAAATAAAGATGACAAAAAGTCAGATTTAGATTAAATTGGAAAAGCTGGTTTTCAGAGCAGTAATTTTATCTCCCTAAGACAGAAATATGTAGGCTACAGTAAGAGAAACGTTAAGTATTTACTGATACATACAGAGAAAAATAACTAGTGCCCAGATTTAGCCAATACATATGGACACATGATCAATTAAACTTTGGCAATCACCACATTATTAATGAATCCAAAATGGTCACATTTTCTGATGACTGAGTGCTGGAACCTAAAGGAAATGATGTATGCCACTTGTTATACAATCTCTTTTTGAACATCTTCCAGGGCTTTGGTGAGCTAAGACAGCAAAATATAGCTCCAGTTCTGCTGAGTTGTTCCTAAGGACTATAATTACATTTTATAGTATTTAGCTCAATGAAATCATTTTTCCTTTTAAGTGTAATGAAACAACAAAAGCCTGAGACCTTTGAATTTTGCCCCCAATATTACTGTTTTGTCACATACATCCTAACCTAAAGCCCCACCTGCACCAAAAATATGCTGTTTCTGTCATTTAACTCTGAAAAGGGGATTTGTTTATACTAAGGAAGGCAACATGTTGGACTAGAGGAAACATTGAGTTCTTAGGATATCTGGCTTTCAGTTGTGGCTTTATCTATATCTGCCATGTGACCTTGGGAAACTTATAAACTTATCTGGGCTTCATTGGCTTCCATGCAAAATGAAGGGTAGATTTAGATTCTTTGTGTGAGTCCAATAATAACTTCCTATAATTCCATAAATATATAGACAATTTACAAATGTAGATGCTATCTGTCATAATAGACCACACTGTCCTTTACATCAGCTCCATGAGAAGTGGTAGAAGTGAGAAGCTTCTGCTTTTGATTAAAAGAAATATCTCTGACAGAATTTTGAGTGACTCATTTCAGGAAAGGATAGAGAAAATAAATTAATTTCAAATGGATGAATAGAGAAATTAAACAGTCATTTAAAAACAAAATTTAGACTTGTGGAAGAGTATTTTTGTGATCTAAATAAGGCATAAAACTTTTCAAAAGAATTATAAAGGAGAAAACATATAAGGCTCACAAATCTGGTGAAAGGAGCGAGAAGATTAAAAATGCCAACTAACAGGATTTTATTTTTTACTTGGGGCGTGTATATATACATGTATTGTGTATATATATCTCTATGCGTTTATATCTATGTGTGTATACATACATATAAACATATACAATATATGCACCTATGCATAAATATATAAATGCAGTCTCTTTAGCACATATATGTACTGTAACCATAAAAAAAGACAGAAAGAGAGAATCAAAAGGTCATCTGTTCCCTGTCACAGAGGAATTACCTGTGGTAAAAGATAACTGGCTTCCCCAGTCTAATTTACAGATGATACTGGAGACAGGGCTTGGGGTTGTGTGCTAAGGTATGGTCATGTTAGTTTGCTAATTATACTAATTTACTTTCCACTTTCCTGAACCTACTGAGAAGGTATGTCATCTTACATGGCAAGGACCAAGTCGTATTGGTGGATCTCAGTGACTGAGGTGGGTATGGCCCATCTGCTAGAAGAGAGTTTTGAATTGGAGATCCCTATGGTTAGCAGTTGAGGAGAGTTTGTGATAAATTACTATTTTTCTGGATCAAAACAGGAGAGTAGTCAAACCAAGTAGCTCTAGGGTCCGGTGACTGCCAGTCACAGTAGCAGCAATATGATGAATGTCTTAAAAGGGTAGAATACTTTACATTTTACAAACTCTTTTCAATATTTGAAGCTCACAATAGCAATATTAAAAGAACTTGAGATGAATTAGTGACACTGGAAGGATGGTGGTAGCAGATGGCAGTATGGTGGGCTAAGGGGACATGGTTGACCAGGCATCCAGGTTAAGACTGACTCAAAACCATAAATGGCTTTGATCAGTTTGGTTATAAGTGAGACCCAGGGTTTCTAGACAACTGTGTCTTATACTGTCCAGATGAGAATTACAGATTCCTCTGGGGACTTTGATAATGATGTTTGCAACCAGTAGTACAAAAGCATTTTAGTTCATTCATTTATCCATCGACTCATTCATTCACTTATTCATTAACTAATTTATCTACCTTTGCACCTCATATGGTACTAAGACACTTGATGGCCTAAAAATATAGTTCCTATCTTTTAGGAGTTTATCATTTAATAGGAGATTAGAAGTATAATCTAATAATTTCAATGGAATGAGATAAATGCTAACATATATGTATTATATCATATAATACATGTATACATGTGTATTATATGTATATATTACATACACATACACGCACACACAAAAGGTCATTGGTGTACTAACTGAGGGTACTCTAACTGTACCTGAATGTAAAGGCCTTCAGTTAGGAAAGGTGTGCTTGAGGGTAGCAAGGAGGTCAGTGCAGTTGTAGCTGAGTCTCCAAGCAAAGGGGAGTTCAGGAGGAGATAAAGCTGGAGGAGTGTTAGCATGAGGGAGTTCTACAGGCCTTTGTAAGGATTTTGGCTTTTAACCTGAATAAAATAGGCAGCCACCACAAGATTTCAAGTAAAGTCAAAATAAACCACTTGATGGGAAATTTCTTCAACAGAGTTTAAAATCACAAGTCATGGGCTCTAAACCACTGGCCTAAACTGATGATATCCTACAAGGATAAACCAAGACATTTTTCTCTGTGTATATTCTCTTTCTTTCAGGTACCACTGACTTTCTTAGGTTCTAGGTTCTGGGGTGATGTTTTTGCCTGTTATAATGCTCTACAGGCTGGGAATTGACATGCTAATAATTTTGTGGGTGTGGGAACAGCACTGTAGAAATCTCAATTCTGGCTGCTTCTGGAAAGAAGGCGTGAACCTGCAGTTTGTAGCCATTTGGCCAGATTTAGGCTATATCCTCCAATACAGCTTACCAGGAATAAAGATGGTGTTTTGATCTCTGCTTGACTGGCTTCAGTATCTATCTCTCAGTTGGTTCTAAAATAAAGAGAGGGGTATTGTATTTAACATTCCTACATCCAATAAATGCTCCATTTGTTCATGTGTCAAGGCCTTGGTGCTGAAGCTGGAGACTAACAGAAAGAGGGAGAGAGGAGAGAGAATGAGGGTCTGGGAGAGGAACAATAGCATTTTTAAAGAACACAATTATAATAATTATATTCAAGATTACTTTAAGAAAATACTCAAGAATGCACTCTCTCTGCTTCTCGGTCTCCCCTTTCGCAGACTCCAGAAAATTAGGGTAGCGATCAATTAAACATTCTTTAAAGTGCTCTCTTATGAAGGCAAAATGAAATCCAGTCAACTAAAATTACATTGTTAAAGAAAATAAGTATATGAGGCGAATTGGTATTGGGTAAATTGGTTTTCAGTAAAATGGCCATTCAGGTGGATTGATTATTTGGCAAACTGGCTTACAAAGAATTAGTCTTTGGCAGTTTAGACTAGAGCCAAATGATTAATGGATCCTCTGTGCAAGAACCATGAAAAATGTCATCCAGCCTCAGCTTGAACACCCAGTAATGAGAAATATATTGCAATGCAAGGCAATTCAAAACAATTTAAAAATTTGTTTTTAAATACTTGCATTATACATGTTTCCATTGGTTCATATCCAACCCTCAAGAACAACATTTAATTTTAAAAATTCGTTCTTTATATGCAAGCTTATGAATAAAAATTAAGAGTTATTGTTTTTTTACCCGATGCTCCTTTAACCTAAACAGCTTGAGTTCCTTGAGTCGTCCCTTCTGTGGTTTGGCTTTTCTAACCCTTCACCATCTTGGTTGCTCTGTCAACATGGCTCTTGAGGAAAATCACATGGAAAAGAACATTACACTGCTCTGAATTCTGCTAAGAACATGAGCATAGCCTTCTTTATTTTGAAACTTATTATCATTAGGATTTTGAACAAGCAAATCTTATCAGATACAATCAAAATGCAAGTTTATTTATGTGTTTGTTTATTTGTTTAAAAAGTCATCCAAATCTCTTTTAAAAATGTTTCAGTGGTAGAAGTTCTTCTCTCCTTTGGATGAAAAATCTGTCAGGTTCTTGAATTTTCTACTTACTCTTAGGCAATATAGAATACTCTGTTCACATTAATTCACCAAATACCTTCTTAATTTGATAAAATATCAATCCCTATATACTAATTCAGAGATAAATCTCCCTTCTCTTCCTTCCGCGAGCCAGGGCTTGACTGTAGGCAAGCAGCCTATCTTCTGGGAAGTGGCCTGGCGGACTTACTGTTTCTAGCTCGCTTCCTTCTCCATCAACCCCACTAGCTGCTGTCTCTGACCTCTTTTGATTCTAGTGATGGGACAGGTAGGTGTGAGGAGATAAAGAGGTAAAAAGGTAGGCTGTTTCTTGTTTGACTGCTATTCCACTCAGACACTCGATAGAGCTCTATTATTCTCTGAGTGAAGCCCTCTTGAGCAGAATTCCATTTAAAATGGCCCCAGCCAGTCTCTCTCTCTCTCGGGGCACATACACACACGTGGCTCACATCTGATTGCTGGGAAACTCTCACTTACTTTTTATCTTGACAAAACTCAGTACAGGTGAATCTTAATGCAACAGCATCTCTCTCCTGGCTCTGCCCTCAGACATCTCACCTGTAGACACTCAGGCTCCTCTGGCATCAGCACAATGTGCCTCCCAACTCCAAGGGACAGAAATGAAGCTCTCTGCAAGTCTCAGAGAAGCCCTGATCTCTAGGCTTGAAGCTAAGGGGGAAGTACCCATCTCCTGCTGTAAGGGTGGGGAAGGGAGACTCAGCACTGAAGCAGTTCTCTCCAAAACATCTCTTCACAAACCTAGCCTTAGTTACTACTCCTATACCTTCTCATATCTTTCTTATGGGGTTCAGAGCCTTTAAATAGCTCTAGGTCACTTAATTAAAAACTTTTACTCAGTGGTCCAATAGCTCACTTTGGAATTTAACATCTTATGAATTTGCCACAGTTAAAACTCCCAGTTTTACCTCCTATCTGTGCTTCTTTTAAAAGCAGCCCAAGATCAAATTAAATTTTGTTAACACGCTTATGGCCCTCTGTATGTCCTTGACTGAACTGCTTCACCCTTTATTCTTGTTGTAATTAAGGGTGTTCAGAAGAAACAATTTAAAAATGGGAAATAATAATACAAATTAAGCATGTGCTATACATTTATTAAGTCATATTAAAACCTCCTTTTAAAGCGCTTGAAGGTTCACATATTATATACAGTCTTAAAAATCATGGCTTTTGGTATAATTTTCCAGCTCTGAGGTGGTGGAAAAAAAAGAAAGAGAGGGAACTAAAGGCAAGGAAGGGGCTGACCGCTGCGCCCTTTGCACCAAGAGAATAAACAACCTGGGAAGTCATCAACCCCAATTCTGAGGACAGTGTCAAGGGCTTTGTTAATATCCCTGGGATACCAATTATTTTCCAAATAAAGCTTTGCTGGTGTGTGCATGCACGCACACACACATGCACACACACACGCACACACACACACATTTCCCACCCTTGTCCTGTGTATTTGCAATTCAGGCTATGCACAGTGCAGAACAGCGTGGCTTAGTTTTTAGGAAGTTTATTCCAATGGAAAATGAATTCTTGGATTTAATCCCAAATAAATTATCTTTCTAATCATATGAAGGTATATTCCCATATCCACACACAATAAAAAATCTTGAACTGAAATAAAACTCATGCTCAGAAGAGAACAAATCCCCAGGAGCCATTTTCCACTGATCTGTTTTTATCTCCTGGAATTCATTCTCTCTCCTTTACTAAGAGATTTCTGTGAAAGTATGACTCAGTTCCTCCAGCAGGTCTTGACTACTATCTCTGAGACAAATTTCAAAACCCATCTGACACATTTTAAGACCACTGTTCATACAGCATTTTCTGACATACTTTTCAGTGTTCTGGAAAGTCAGCTGCTTTTTCATCTCACTCCCCACTCCTCAAATCCTTTTCCTTTTAGTGCTTCATTATAAAAGCAATATATATTCATTAAAAAAGTAAAATGTAGACAAGCAAAATAACATAAAGTGCACTCATGATTCAGTCAGAAATATTCATTATGTTTCTCTGAATATTTTTAATATCCTTTTTACATGCATGTTTTCTTAATCTGTAGGTAGGAATCACCTTTAAATGCTATTATAGGTAACCATATTAAACCAACTTGATAGTTTTTGACCACTTGCATTGGTTCCGATTTCCTTACCATAAGTAGGGAAGAGAAGAAATTATTGGCTTTAAATGAATTACATATAAATAGAAAATACATATGAAAAAACTTTAAATACTAATTTCTAACAAATTTTAATTTTCACCAAATTATTGTGTTCTCTCTCACCTCTAGCTCCTAAGCTCAGCTAGGTTTGTATCTTTCCATGCTTATGTATATTCTTTTATACATATGCACGCACTTTTTTTCTAAATAAACCTATACATGCACATAATATTTTGAGAATTGCTTATTTCACTTAACAATATCTCTTAGACCTAACCAATCTTTTGAATAGTGGATTGCAGGCTTTGATTTTATTCTACAAACAATGAAGAACTTATTTACTTGCCAAGCTGGAATATCAGATGGATAAACAGGTTCCTGGATTGTTTATGATAAGTAGCCTCATGGGAAATAACACCTTATCTGTAGATAAAGAAATTGCAAAATAACTCACTGTGGCTGAAAATCATTCAGTGGCAAGTTGTACAACATCATCTCCTTCAAAGTCAAGTACTCAAGACCTAAAAATGGCAAATATTATAAATAACTTTTCTATAAGTTTTAGAAAGTATATTATCAAGAAATAGTTTTTAAAAAGATATATATTATTGCATTACTTTTTTTGGAATGATATAAGTTAAAAAAATTTTAAGTCTCTCTTAAAATTAAAAAAATTATTTTAATTTATATAATTAAATATAAAATTATTATTGTTATTAATTTTTACAGATAGAATCTCTCTCAATTGCCCAGGCTGGAGTGCAGTGATGGAATCATAGCTCACTGCAGCCTCGAACTCCTGGGCTCAAGCAATCCTCCCACCTCAGTTTTCTGAGTAGGTAGGACTACAGCTGCTTGCCACCATGCCCAACTAACTTTTAATATTTTTTGTAGAGATGAGGTCTTACCATTTTGCCCAGGCTGGTCATGAACCCCTGGCCTCAAGTGCTCCTCCTGCTTTATCCTCTCAAAGTGCTGAGATTACAGGTATGAGCCACTGTGCCAAGTACCAAATTACATTAAATTAATCAGTATTTAAAGAACTCTAAATTCAAGGTTTTTTTTTTTTTTTTTAAATTAAAGTTCTGGAATACATGTGCAGAACAGGCAGGTTTGTTACATAGGTATACATGCGCCACGGTGGTTTGCTGCACGTATCAACCCATCATCTAGGTTTTAAGCCCTGCATGCATTAGGTATTTGTCCTAATGCTTTCCCTCCCATTGCCTCCCACTCCCACAACAGGCCCCAGTGTGTGATGTTCCCCTCCCTGTGTCCATGTGTTCTCATTGTTCAACTCACGCTTATGAGTGAGAACATGCAGTGTTTGCTAAACTCAAAAGTTTTTGAGCTTGGATCTTGTGTGTGTGATTTGTAATTTCTTTGTGTGTAAAAAGGCAACATTTCTGTGGTAATTACCATAGATGGGGTGTGTGTGTGTGTGTGTGTGTGTGTGAGAATGTGTGTGTTTTGACAAATGAAAAAGTGAAACCTAAAGAATTATTTGGTAGACTTAGACTTTTCCTTTCTTGTGGCTTCCTCCAAAAAATTCTGATAATAAAAATTTTGTAATTTATTCAAGCAAGACAGCAAGATGTTTTATAAGTTAGCAGGTAGCATAGAAAAAGAATACCAAGAAACTTTTGGGCAACATGGGCCCTTTTTTAAAATAGTCACAACCAGCACTTTGCCTAAATCAATGGTCTCTAACCTGGGGTGATTTTGATCCCCAGAAAACATTTAACAATGTCTGGAGACATTTTTGTTGTCACAACTGGAGAGAGTTGCTACTGGCATCTAGTGAGTTGAGACCAGGGATGTTGCAAATTATCTTATAATACACAAACCAGTGCCTTACAACAAAGAATTCCTCAGCCCAAAATGTCAACAGACATGCCAACCAATTTGAGAGGAAATGCCTTTGTTTGGATGTTAGTTTTGAAGACATCTGTCACTGCTCAAAATAAACCAGAAGTCTCTCTTAAATATATGACTGAAATTCTTTCCATCCCTGAACTTCTTTGGAACACACCAAGAAGGTGGTTTGCTCACCAAGTCTGTGTTGGAGAGAATATGTTTGAAACCTAATCTGCTGACTCTTGAACCCAGGAACCAAATATATAGACTTAATATTTTTACATTAAAAGTCAGTAACTGCCTCAGTTTCATGGTGGTGGTTGTCACTAGATCTGACATTTGGCTTAATCTTGGGAAAAATTGGAAAAATTATCTTAAAGCTTTTTTCTTTTTTCAAACGGAGCCTCACTCTGTCGCCCAGGCTGGAGTGCAGTGGCGTGATCTCGGCTCACTGCAAGCTTCGCCTTTTTTTTTTTTTTAGACAGAGTCTCGCTCTGTCGCTCAGGCTGGAGTGCAGTGGCGCGATCTGGGCTCACTGTAAACTCCGCCTCCCGGGTTCACGCCATTCTGCCAAGTAGCTGGGACTATTGGCGCCCGCCACCACGCCCAGCTAATTTTTTGTATTTTTAGTAGAGACGGGGTTTCACCGTGTTAGCTAGGATGGTCTCATCTCCTGACCTCGTGATCCGCCCGCCTCGGCCTCCCAAAGTGCTGAGATTACAGGCGTGAGCCACTGCGCCCGGCCATCTTAAAGCTTTTATCACAATTTTCTCTTATGTCGTATTTCCAAAAATATGACTATGTATCTTTGGTGATGATGGAGGACTACACTGATGATTATTTTTTTGTGTGAATAGTTATCATATCCATCTGTTGATGACATTTGATTGCTTCCTTGGTAAATTTGTACCTAGGTAGTGTTTTATACTTTTCTAATTAGAATAAGCTTTGCGTAAGTCAGGTTCTCATTTGGTCTTTCAGTAACTTTAAACGCTCAACAAGACTGTGTAAAGAGAGCTTGGGTGACAGTCTCTGAATTCATTAGGCGTTAATAGATGGGCCTACTTAATGGTGCTCAAAAGAGGGGGACATATTAAACATGTGGGGGCTTCCTCAAACCGTAAATGTCAGAAGATTCTACTACTATGTTTCTTTGGAGCTTAGTGTTAAATACTCAGTATTCACTTTCTTATCCCAGGCTCCTATTATTTTTTAATTTGTGGTGGTTAATTTTATGTGTCAATTTGACTGGGCTATGGGGTGCTCCAATATTTGGGTGTTTCTGTGAGGGTGTTTTGGATGAATTTACATGTACATTGGTGGACGGAGTAAGGCAGATTGCCCTCCTCCTGTGTGGTTTATAACGTTTGTTAATGCGATTATTAGTGTGGGTGGGCTTCATCCATTTAGCTGGATAGAACAGCCTGAATAGAACAAAAAGGCTGACGCTCCTCATAATAACAGAGGATTCCTCCTGTCTGCCTTTGAACTGAGGCATTGGTATTTTCCTGCCTTTGAATTCAAACTAAAACATTGGCTCTTCCTGGTAGATTCCACCAGCCTTCGGACTGGAGCTCCACCATTGGATCTCCTAGGTCTTTAGCTTGCCAATTCACCCAGCAGATCTTGGGACTTTTTATCCTCCATAATCATATGAGCCAATTCCTTATAATAAATCTCTCTCTATAGACATAGATATAGATCCCATTGGTTCTACTGCTTTGGAGAATCCAGACGAATGTATTATTTATGTAAATAATAATGGCAATAACAATATTAATAATGATAAAAGTCATGGCTAACATTTGTTGCCATTGAACTGAATATTTGTTATTTTTATTTGTTTAGCACCTTTTTCCCTTTTTGGCTTTGAATACCTCTTTCCTGTGAGGAGCTCATTTATTGCAAATATGATGTAACAGACGTAGCTTTTTTCCAAAGATCTAAGAGTGGGCATGAGGAGTCCTTCAGTGTGCCATTCTTTTCTCTAGCCATAGTGATTGGTTCAGAAATGGGCATATGATCCAAACAAAGCCAATCAGAATCTTTCTTTGAGCTTCCCTCCAGGATAATTTGAGAAAACCCTCTTTTTCCATTAGGGTAGGATAGAAGCCAGTTAGAGAATGAAGCCAGGCAGAAACAAGGAGAGCCAAAATATGGCAAGACAGAAACTTGACTTCGTTTGAGCTCCTGGAGCCATCTGTGCCTAAAGGCATAATTGCTTTTTTAAATTTCCCAATTGCAATTCCCTTTTGTGCTTAAGCTACTTTTAGTTGAGTTTTTGGACACTTACAACTGAATGGTAATAAGAACTTACTATGTTTTGGGCACTTTTTAAAGTACTTTATATGTATATACTCACTTGACTTTCATAAAAGTTATGTGAAGTAAATAACTTTATTTCTATATTTCATAGACAAGGGAATTAAAGTTAAAAGGAGTAACATGTCCATGGTCATAGCTGGTGAGTGGTAAAAGGGAGGTTTGAGGCTGGGCGCGGTGGCTCACACCTGTAACCCCAGCACTTTGGGAGGCCGAGGCGGACGGATCACGAGGTCAGGAGATTGAGACCATCCTGGCTAACACGGTGAAACCCCGTCTCTACTAAAAATACAAAAAATTATCCAGGTGTGGTGGGTGGCGCCTGTGGTCCCAGCTACTTGGGAGGCTGAGGCAGGAGAATGGCGTGAACCTGGGAGGCAGAGTTTGCAATGAGCCGAGATCGCGCCACTGCACTCCAGCCTGGGCAACAGAGGGAGACTCTGTCTCAAAGAAAATAAATAAATAAATAAATAAATAAATAAGGGAGATTTGAATCAAACAGGCACATCAGAGCCTTCACTGAGACCCACTATACTCAAGTGCTTATGCTGCGGACAACATAAATAATCTCATTTAGTTCTAAAAGTATCCTAAGAAGTACTATTTTCTCTATTTTATAGATTGGGAAACTGAGGCTTAATAAAGCTAAGTCATTTGCCTAAGATAATATAGTAGTAGTAGATATAGCAGTATGTGTTTGTATATCTCTTTTTAATTTTAAGACAGAATGGACAATTTTAAAACTAAATGGCACTTCTTTTCTATTTATAAGTAGGAAGATAAGGGTAAAAAAATAGGGATAAAAATATTATGCTATAACTGAAAAGTAAAGTTTTGTCTTCCAAGTGCTACAAATAATTAAAAGTCTTGGATTTGGTGGGTGGGGGGGGGTCCTTCAGATTCTTATGAGAGTAATCTGCTAATATCTATTTGTTAAATAAATAGTGGATAAATGTGACACCTTCTGAAGCTCAGTAGTCACTCATGGCACTTAGCAGCCAAAGATGAAGAGAGTATGTGCCTTCAGAGCCCAACCTGATCCCCCTCCTTCCCCTGAGGTGATGAGTAAGGTTTTACTCCCTTGTCTAGATTCCAGAAGGAAGTACAGATTTGTTCAGTCATAATTTCACCCATGCTATAGGGTGAATCAATTAGGCAAAATCAGGGATGGAAGTTGCCTGGGTTTAATTTAACATTGGTATCACATTCCTCTTGTATTTCCAAAATGTGTTCTTAAATAAAAAGATACTCAAATCAATAGGTCTATATCTGCTGGAAAAAAACCACTACATTGACATCATACCATCTTATATATGCCTCTATGAGAAAGACTTGTAACATAGAGAGATTATTAAAGCATTATAAAAGCTCCTAGAAATCACTGCTTCATGATTTATTTGTTTCATGTGTGGCAACTTTATATGTCCCTATTTAGCAGATTTATGCCATTCTCTAAGGACATGTCAGGTGACTTCCTCACTTTATGGCTACCAAAATTGAAAGTTAACAGGCTCAACTTTTTGCTACCTACGTAATAAGAAATAGTTTCATGAGAATAGGATAGTAATATTAAAAATACTATATTTTATTTGCAGATTATACAGTAATAAGAAGAATACTGTATTTATGTGTTAAAAACATATCTATTTTGACATTTTAGGCATTCATTCTCCATGGCTAATGATACTGAGTTCCTAGGCTGCTCCAGATGAGGGATTAATGATTGGCCTTCACTGGCTGGGGAACATGTAGAATTTTTTTCTCCCATATAAGTGACCACAAAATATAAACCTTACATGTCTCTGCTATGATTTGAATATTTGACCCTTTCAGACCTCAGGTTAATTTTTTTTTTTTTTTTTTTTGGTCGGAGACAGGGTCTCACTCTGTCACCCAGGCTAGAATGCAGTGGCATGATCACGGCTCACTGCAGCCTTGACCTCCTCGGCTCAAGCAATCCTATCACCTCAGCCTCCTGTGTAGCTGGGACCACAGGTACATGCCACCATGCCTGGCTGATTTTTTTTTATTTGTTGTAGAGATGGGGTTTTACTGTATTGCCCAGGCTGCTCTTGAACTCCTGGGTTCAACCAATCTTCTGGCCTCAGCCTCCCAAAGTTCTGGGATTACAGGCATAAGCTATTGTGCCTGGCCTCGTGTTGAAACGTGATTACTAATATTGGAGGTGCAGCCAAATGGGAGGTGTTTGGGTCATGGAGGCAGATCCTTCATGAATAGATTAATGCCATTCCTGGGGGTGGTGGGGAGTGAGTGAGTTCTTCATTAGTTCCTGCAAGAGCTGGTTGTTAAAAAGGGCCTGACACTTCCCTGTCTTCTCTCTTGCTTTCTCTTTTATCATATGATCTCTACTTGCCTGTGGCTATCCCTTGCTTCCCACCATGCATGAAAGGAGCTTGAGGATCTCACCAGAAGCTGCTGCTGGCACCATGCTTCTTGTACAGCCTGCAAAACTATAGGCCAAATAAATCTCTTTTCTTTATAAATTAGCCAGCCTCAGGTATTCCTTTAAAGCTGTATAAATGGACTAAGCCAGTCTGGTTTCATAATTCTTATGGTTCCAGTCAAAATGTCCACCACTTTCTGGCTTTGGTTGATCTGATCATGGGATATCACATCTCTAATTTCTAAGAGGCAAGTCAGGCCATGGAAAGAAATAGGCACTATTGACTAGTCTTTTGTCATCATAATAAAGTGAACAAAATCTGGGGTTGGCTACTGCTTGGTGTTGGCAGAAACAGAAATGAAAAATGTGTCAAAGAGGCAGGTGTTACTGGAAACTGCACTAAATTAAAAGTTTTCCTTCAAACAGCTTTTTTTTGACTCACTTCACCAAGTTAGGCTTCAAGTAAGGCCACTTCTTTTTTGTTTCCCCAACTAACTTCTTGAGCACCAGTAAGGAAAATTTGGAGAAAATTCTCCCATGAAGTCTTGAGCCACTTGATGCCCGGCCAAAAAATAAATTTAGTTTATTATGGTGATAGAAAATATTAAAATTAAAATTTTCCAAAACCAGGTAAGCCAAAGATCATTGTTATCTTCCTATATGATGTTGCACATCCACACTGAAAGGGAGAATTTTTTTGTTTGCTTGTTTGAGATGGAGTCTCGCTCTGTCGCCAGGCTGGAGTGCAGTGGCGTGATTTCGGCTCACTGCAACCTCTGCCTCCTGGGTTCAAGCGATTCTCCTGCCTCAGCCTCCTAAGTAGCTGGGACTACAGGGGCGTGCCACCACACCCAGCTAATTTTTGTATTTTTTTTTTTTAGTAGAGACGGGGTTTCACCATGTTGACCAGTATGGTCTCGATGTCTTGACCTCGTGATCCGCCCGCCTCAGCCTCCCAAAGTGCTGGGATTACAGGCATGACCCACCGCTCCTGGCCAAGGGGGAATTTTTTTTTTAAACGACCTCGTTATCTCTCGGCACCCTACTTCTTTATTTAGTTTGGGATATCTATGTCTTTCTTTAAGGATTTTCCTGAAATTTGCTCCTCTGCAAAGTCTAGTGGATTAAGTTTTGTGGAAATTTCAATAAATGCTCACATCTCTGTTTCTTTTATCTTTGCTAGAGGTAAAAAAAAAAAAAAAAAAAAAAAAAAGGAACCAGGACACTCCTTTCAGTTGCCTCCAGTATTGATAACTCAGAATTCCTGCTAAGGGTTAGCAGGCTGCTGTGTTAGGCAGAATTAATGGCCCCCACCCATGTCCCATAGATATCTACACCCAAATCCCTGGAATCTGTGAGATTTGCAGATTTAATTAAGTCAAAGACCTTGAAATGGGGACTTTATCCCGGATTATTCCAGTGGGCTCAATGTATTCAGAAATTTATTTAACAAGGGCAAGAAGAAGTCAGGCGAGTGACAGAAGATGTGACATTAAACGTAGAGATCAGAGTGATGAGATTGCTTGAAGGAGATCATGAGCCAAAGAATGCAGGCAGCCTCTAGAAGCTAGAAAAGGCAAGAAAATGGATTCTCCTCTAGAGCCTCCAGAAGGAAGACAGCTCTGCTGACAACTTGAGTTGAACCCAGTGAGATTCATTTAATAATTCTTATTTTTGGAACTATAAGATAGTAAATTGCATTGTTTTAAGCCAACAGGTTTATGTTCGTTTGTTACAGCAACAATAGGAAACTAATACAACTGCAAACACTCTCCCCTGTTCATCAGCCCCAGTAAGCAAGAAACACTGGCCTGGGACTCAGACTCAGGACTTCTAGAACACTTAAAATTGTCTGATTTTAGGCACAGGTCTCAAAGCAGTGTGGGTAATATTAAGTATGGTTGATGGTATTAAATTAATAAGAAAATAAAATTTGTGTGAAAGCCTTTCACTGATTTCTGTTTTTCTAGTCCTATAGTTTCCATTTCTTTGTGATTAAGAATTAAAGTTTATGTTGATTAGAGAGGGAAGGCTCCTATAATGTTTGGCAGATAAGCACTCACCTGTCTTTAAGCATAATATCTCCCCTTTGATCAGCAACCTCAAAATGATCATCAGCCACTCCAATTATCTAGGAATTCTAAAGGTTAGTCAGTACAAAGAAGGACAGGCAGTTGGACATAGAACTGAAGATGGCCTTTGCTGCTGTCTGCCACATGGTGTCCTGCTGAAGACTGTTCTGCAAAGATGAACTGATGTTTGCTTCATCTCCATTATGCTTTTGTTGGTCCATGTCCTGCAGGTGTGCCACACTTGGATGCCAAGGAAGCTGCACTTGTTTTCATTAATTACTCTTCAAACACAACATCCAGCAAACTTAAATGGGGAGATTCTCCTGGATGATTCTATAGCCCAAGGGGCTTTCTCCCTAAGCCATATATTGTGCCGCCACTAGACCTTCTCCGTAAACACCTACTTCCACGTGGGACCTTAAAGCCGTAATTGTTTCTCCCTTGTGCTCCTGATGAATTCTCCCGTTGAAGTTAAAGTCACTTCAGTCCTCACTTCTAGGTTCCCCTAATTTCAGCTCTTGGGATCTACAGGCCAGGATCCAAGTTCTTTCTTTCCCAGAGAACCTTGGACTTCTTGTGACAGTAGCTTCACTTCTTTCCACAGGGATTGTTTAATGGGTTTGCTGGGGAACCCATTAGGGCATTGGATGCCAACTCTACCTACATTTACACACAGAGTGCACTTATTTGATTCCTGTCAGGACTGAAGTGGCTCTGACTTCCTTTATGAGGGAAGCATCATCTTTCCACAACATTTAATCACTCCTTTTAAAACTCTCTGGATAATAGGAGAAATATGCAATGAATTCTCATACATCTGCCAGGTAGACACAGACATAGCAGTGATTGTTCTCTGATCTATATCCTATGATGTTTTGATTTTTCATCATCATAATCAATCCTCTCTGAGCAAGCACCAGTCTGTTAATTTAGTCCACACAGGGTTAAAAAAAGGATATTTATTTCCCGTCTGCTGAACTTCAGACTGCTATTCACACAGCCCAGTAATGAATTCACTCTTTTAGCAGCAACTTCTCATGTGAATTTCTTGAACTCACAGCCAGGTAAAATTCTTCTTAAGTTACTTGTGTTATGTGTAGCCTGTGTCTGAATATTCATTTTATCTCTATTTCATTTCTTCTTATTTTATTCAGCTTAGATTTCAATTGTTTCAACAACATATTACAGATATTATATAAAATTTTAATTATTTTCAGATTTCATTGCAATAATTTCTCTATTGTCAATCAACTTTTCGAAAAAGGCCAAAGATACCTCGTACCTTTCTTCAGCTTGACATTCCTCTTTTGGTTAGCATTCTTTGGGTGAAAGTGCACAAAGATACCCTTTATTGACAAGGAATATTAAAGAATCAGAAAATCCTAGGTTAAAATCCTTGTTTTTCTGTTACTAGCTGTGTGACGTTGAACAAATTGCCTCACTTTAATTTAATAAATAATTTTAAATATCATGGGGATATTTATTGGCCACATTAGATTATTGTTCTGGTGTATGTGTGTACATGTATGTATGTGCATGTGTGTATGTGTTTCTATGTATATTCTAGTGTTTTTGCATTGTGTGTATATACATATGTTTATGTGTATGCCTGTGTGTATTATGTGTGTAGGTATGTGCATGTATGTGTATATATGTGTTTATATGTGTTATGCTGTATTTATATTTGTGTGTATATGTGTGTGCTTGTGTTTGTGTGTATATGTGTGTATGTTGTTGCATATTAGGTGTGCGTTTGTGTGTATGTGTATATTGATTATGTGTGCATGTAGCTGTATGTGTATTCTGGAACATATTAGATTGTCAATAAACAGTAGATATTAAATTAATAAGGCAAACTATGACCACAACCACCAAATGATACTCAACTATATCTGAACAATGTCTTGCACAGTGCCTGGTATAATAAATATTTCCCTTAACCACTCTGGTAAATATAGATATAAAGGAAATGATATAATCCTGGCATGATTTGAACTTCATGAACCTGTTGGTCCTTAGTGATCATCTCTTTACTTTATAAGTGTTTACCAGCCCCTTATACTCTAACATTTTGCTAGGGATCTATCCAATGTCTTTGGCATATAGTTTAATAAATTGAACTGCTTTCACCTCTTTGAAAATGGAAACATGTATTTGCCCTTTTTCCACCTGCCAGCAAGACTTCTCTTTTCCATAGTTCTTCAAAGATGACTATTTGCAGTTCCCTGATGTCAGGATGTCATCTGAGCCATCTTTTGGTCTTGTGGAATGGAGCCTTCTTTGGTCATCAAAGTCCTTTGAAATGTGCATTTTTTTCAACCTCCTTACCTAGCTTAAACTTTAATTTCCTCCTCCCAGTGTTTGCTTTCTCTTTTCTAAACTGACAATTAACCTTCTTAACCACTATATTAATAAAGTATCTCTTAATTAAAAATGCAAGAAATCCAACTTAAACTCTCTTAGGACAAAAAGGAATACCTTGGCTCACATAGCTGGGGGATTCAGGGGTAAGGCTTATTTCAATCAAGGCTGGATACAGGGATTCAGGGGATGTCCCAGGAGCCCAGTTTTCTTGCCATATTTCAGCCCTTATTCCTTCTGTGAATAAGCTTTTGACTTGGTAGGGAAGATAACTACTGAATTTGATTCAAATCCAAAATGATGAGAAACTCTTTCTCTCTCAGCATCCATGAATCAAATATCCTGGGGAGAATCTGACTGGTATGTTTGTTTATATGCTCATGGCCATAGCCAGGCAGGCTGGGCACTGTGGCTCATTAGACTCATGAGATTGAGGAGGGATCCAGGACTGTGAAACAGAGGTCTGCTACAGCAGAGAAAGGTCATGAAAAGTTTTGCTTTCTGCCTGTCTTCTGCAGACTTTACACTATTGTCCCCAAACCTTTCTGTTGCTTTTTGTATACTTTCAAAAAACCGATTTTCATCTTTCTTGGTAATTTTTACAATATTTCCTTTATTCTCTTGGTATTAGTTTTCACTTGTTTTTATTATGTTTTCATTCTTCCATGTTTTAAAAATGGCATCTTTAAAATTATTCTGTTTATCTAAGAGCCGGTTGAGCTGTCAAAGTGGTTTCTTTACCGCCTCCCCCTCATCTTCCATGATTAGACTCTCAGATCGGTGTGTTTAAAAGCCTAGTCTTTTTCTTCTCCGGTCTCTGCTTCTCTGGCTATGAGATCATGCATATCTTCTTTCTGAACCTCTGGAAAGCCATCTTCTTTTACTTTGGAGCATATATATAGCTTTGCTCAGGGTTCAGAGCTTCCGGACTGTAAGATTCTATTACTGGTAACCCCTCTTCTGGCAAAGAACTCTACCATTTTCATTTTGCCAAAGATGACTTTCTCTCCTGGCCAGAATTGTGTCCTAAGGAGCTCCCTTCATTACTTTTTCTGTCTTCAAAAAGATGAAGTTATTAGAATGATATATCCCATGCTTTGCTCTTAGCTGGTAGTGACTTCCTGGAGATGTTTAGATAAGCAGAATCTTCATCTCTTCTGTATCTTGCCTCTATATCTGTGCCAGCTTTGTGATCAATGCTAGGACATGATTGCCCATTCTTTCTTCCCAGAATGGCTGTTGTACCAACCATCCCCAACCCTATCACCAACAATAATATCATTTTGGCAATCTTTCCTTTCGTCTCTACCCAGATGCTCTTTATCATTCTGCCATCCCTGATTTGGGGTTTTTTGCAAAGGTATATACCTTCTTGAAACAGAGTACCACTCCCTTTGCACAATGTAGTAAATTTTATGAAAGATGCTTCTTGTGAATTCTATTTCACGAAGATGCAATGATGTTTATGTGGGGGTGTTCATTTTGTTGTGCAAACATCAAATTGTATTTTTGGCCTATTGGTATTTAAACAGCTAGGAACCTAAGTGCTATGTCCTTCTGCCTCTTAAATTATTTTCTGCTGTGAATTACTAGGTACTTTATACACTGGCTTCATACTTTAGAGTTTTACCTGGGCTTTTCCCTCCTTTTTTCTTCCACTGTTTCAATTTTAAATCCTCTAAAACACCCCAGTGAATGCATTCTTCTCTTTAGGAAAATAGATCAAATCTTATTATAACCAGTGCAAAAGAAACAATTCTCATTTTTCTTTTTTTTTTATATTGGGAATGTGTATTTTCAAATGACATTTAGCACAACAGGGCCTATAGATTGGGTTTGCAAAATTCTTTTATAATGATTCTTGTCATGGATACCTATAATATGTTTGACTTAGAACTGTTGTTCAGTTTGACTAAATATACCACACCATGCTCCAAGTTATTCACATCTACAGAACATGTTCCATGTGGGGCTTTTAAGGTCTCTCCTAACCCTAAGGGCTGAAGAAGTGTAGCTGGAGAAGTGGAAAATGGCTCACAGTAGTAAAAGTAGACCTTTTTCATAGCATAACCAGGACCTGATAGGTCTGAGGGCTCAGATAGAGAAGCTGCAGAAACCCAGAAGTGGTGATGGGGGGTGTTCTATTTTTGCCTTCTCTTGCCTCTGTCTCTGACATGTACTCCTGCCTTTGCCCTGCCCTCAAGCTTGCTTCTGTCTGGTTATTTCTCCCACTCTTACCGCATCTCTGCTCCTTTGTTGTGAACCTTGGTCCAACTTTGTCTTATGCCTGAATTTGGCTCATGCCTGACTTTGGCTCTGTCCCACTTCTTCGCCTGCCTCAGGGCCTGCGCTTTCCCTGTGGCCAAGGATCCTGAGGACAAAGGCATTCTGAATGTGATATAAGAGTTTCAGAGCAGCATGCCTGAAGACAGTTTTAAGTGTTTACCAGTTTCCTTTGCTCCTCCTGGGGCGGAGGTAAAGAAGGAGAGGAGAGGAAGAACTGGCATCAAACATTTAGAAGATAATTAAGAGGACCTCAAGCTGCCTTTGTTGAGTGTATCTCCTGAAGTGCAGATAAAATCAGTATCAAGGATCAGACCGACCATGAGGATGAAAGTCCCATGGGAGAGGAACTAGAAATTTCATTGAGTAGGACTCAGCACAAGAGGTGCCTCAGCAGCCTCATCTTGGGTAAGCCACTTACCATCTTTGAGCCTTTGTTTTATTATCTGTAAGATGAGGACAATAATGCCTGTGGTGCCAGGTTGGGTTTCTGGCAAGCAGAAAGTTAATTTGCTGAATTATTAGAGAAGGCTCTTGGTATCAACACCCATGAAAACTAAGGAGGCAAAATCAGAATGGCGTAGGGAAAAGTCAAGGTCGGGTTTGTCCTGCATTGATCTGAAATGCCTGGACCTTCATACCCCTGCCTCCATCAGTCACTGGATGAGTGCCACCTGGGAAGGATGTAGGGGGTCTGATCCTTGAAGGGGCTGTCAGTTGAAGGATGCTTCCTGATGGCTCTCTCAGTAGTAGGAACAAAAAGTCATTCCTTGACGGGATCTGGGTAACATTTTTTGTGTGTTTCTTACCTATTAAACCTGGTTTTGTGAGAGAAACTAACTGTAAAACTTACTATAAATGTTAATTTTATAATTCATATGATGATCAAACTTTTATTAAGGGTCTACTGTGTAATAGCTACTTGATATAAATAAAAACATTAAACCTGACATTTTTCTCTTTCCTTTTTTTTTGATACTGAGTCTTGCTCTGTCACCCAGGCTGGAGTGCAGTGGTGTGATCTTGGCTTACTGCAACCTCCACCTCCCAAGTTCAAGCGATTCTCATGCCTTAGTCTCCTGAATACCTGGGACTACAGGCAAGTGTCACCACACCCAGCTAGTTTTTGTGTTTTTAGTAGAGACAGGATTTCACCACGTTGGCCAGCTGGGCTTGAACTCCTGGCCTCGTGATCCACTTGCCTTGGCCTCCCGAAGAGCTGGGATTACAGGAGTGAGCCAGGGTACCCGGCCTGACTTTTTTTTTAATGTATGTTATTTCTTCTCTTAAAGTTGATAGTCTTTAGACCCATTGCAGTAATCCTCAAACAACCATTGAAGGATCAGGGTCGCACAAAAATACATATTGGTTACTAACTATGTTCAACACTTCAGAAATGTGAATCTTTTCTGCATAAAGTTCTTCCTTGGCATTTCAACACCATAAACAGTAGAATATTTTTGGCAATTGTTAAGCAGGGTAATTGCCAATACATAATTTTTGATCCACTATGACATAATTACAATAACAAAATTTACATATCTTAGTACTTCTTGAAGAACAAAATAAAAAATACTTTTAAGTTAAAACATTCTTGAAGAATACATAGTGGTATAAAAACTGAGCCTCAGGAAAAAAATAAAGGGAAATGCCATTTAATATGTTTTATTATCAACTGGGGAGCCAAAAATAAGTCATACGTAATGGAATTTCATTGTGTAGCAGTGGAATTTCCCCCAGAGTTTTATTAAAAGCTTTAACACAGTTTGAACTCCTCAGTGAAGTCAATGGCCTGGCCAAGGTCTGAGTCAGCATTTTAAGTAAATATGCTAATTTTTTAGCTCAACAAAGAAAATGTTACTTTTAGTGCATTTCCAATTTAAAACAATCTTTTTACTCTACTAGTTATAAACTATTCAGTGTAACCTAACTGAATGTTTTGATTGGTTATATTAAAATTTGCATTTCCTCAACAGTCTGAGAATGGTTTACTTGTTGACTGATCACAGTAAGAAGATTAAATTAGTAGTCCATGAATTAATAAGAAGTGCATTAGATGTTGATACAAAGCTTAATACAAATCATAATAGTGATCATTTTGCATTTGTATCATTTTACGCATTCAAAAGGATAAACCACATTCATTAGTTGATTTTAAAACATTAGATATGTCTATGTATGCAAATGAAAGTGGAGGATAAGAAAATAGATCTAAAAAATTAATTTTTCACTTGTCCTATCATTATCCGCTCTTTAGAAACCCTGCAGGTATAATAGAAAATTCTATAATCTTACTGTTCAGAGTGTGAACCTTGATTGAGAATAGGTGTCACTTGGTTGCCTGTTAGAAATGCTGGTTTTCAGGCCTTACGCCAAACCTGCTACACTGGAATCTGCATTTTACCAAGATACCCAGGTGATTTGTATTCACATTAAAGTTTGAGAAGAATTAAATCTGCAGTGCTTTTGTCTCTGACAAACTGAAGTTAAAATTCCAGTTTTTTTAACATTATCCAAATAATTGCTTCTTCCCTTTAGTTACACAAATAAATATAAGTATAACATATTCTGAGGCATAAAACTCCATACAGAAATGTGAGTCATTGAAGTTAATTTCTGTTTTAAATTCTGAGGAACTAAAGGTATAGGGTAGAATTAGGAAGCTTCTCTTTGAATAAAAATGTTCAAGTTATCCAATTACAAAATATGATTAATAGGCCTAATTTTATTTTTGTATATATTTGACCTTTTCCATCAGAATGATTTCCTAGAAATGTTAAATGGAGGGTTCAGGAAGCAAGCAAAGAAAACAATTTCCATCAAATAACATTATTTGACCACTGCTTACACAGAACAATCATCTTATGAACTATTTTCTCATTTCTTTGCATAAGTGAAATTTCAAAACAATGCTTTCCCCCACTCCCTTCATTTCTTGTGGGTAGCATAAGAGGATTTGCAACCCTGCTTGGTTTATGAGTCTCATATTACTGACTTTGCTCTGCAGATAGATGAAATAGGACCTCAAATGCAGTGGATGTTATGGTTAAAGCTGTTCTTATGTCATTTAGAGATTGTTTTTAGATTAAGGATCATTTGACCTTGAGTGACGGTGGTTGCTTAATTACCTATCATGGTGCCTCCAATAAGAGGTTGTCCAGTGCTGTCAGCCCATTACCTGCCTGTGCCATTCTAAAGCTTCTTGCTTCAGAAGATCTCTCAGCAGGGTTAGAACAAGGTAAAGAGCTTAAATAAGCAAGCTATATTTATCAGCAATAAACAGCAGTCCCTGCAAATGTCCTACCCAGTAAATTAATCTATAAAGGGATGGCTCTACCTGCATGAAAATAGAACTGATTTTCTAAAATTATTTATTAGTATTATTGTGAGCAGATAATACTCTACCATTGATAATAATAGAGACTTGTATAGCAGTTTCATGGCAGTCCCTATAAATATATCAGAAAAGATGAGTGTTTTTTTTTTTTTTTTGAGACAGAGTCTCACTCTGTTGCCCAGGCTGGAGCACAGTAGTGCTATCTTGGCTCACTGCAACCTCTGCCTCCTGGGTTCAAGCAATTCTTGTGTCTCAGCCTCCGAGTAGCTGGGACTACAGGCATGCACCACCATGCCTGGCTAATTTTTGTATTTTTAGTAGAGATGGAGTTTCACCATGTTGGCCAGGCTGGTCTCAAACTCCTGAGCTCAAGTGATCTGCCTGGCTTGGCCTCCCAAAATGCTGGGATTACAGGCGTAAGCCACCGTACTCGCCAACGGTCTCTTTACATTAAAAGAATTTAGTCAGTCTAAAACTTCACATGGTATATTCTGTAGTGAGGAAACCGCATAGAAGGAAGAATGTCTATAGCAGCTTCAATAAGATGGAATTGATTAAGTTATATAAGATTTGAAACAACAATGAGGAAAGTTGTAAGACTGAGAGGAAAGTTGTAAGACTTGTTTAGATGGCTCAAGTTAGGGATAATTTCAGTGCAAAACACTAAAACTATGCCATCAAGGAGACCAATATTGGTGGCAGGTGATAAGGAGGCAGTAGATAGAATAATGGATTTGTGCCTGGAGAATTAAGTTTCTATGAAGCTGCAGCTTATGTTAATAACAGGGCAATGTTTAGATTACACGTTGGCAATTAACCCTAAAATTTGGGTTGTTAAAATGCTGCAGCTTTTACTTTTCTTTGACTGGGGCCTTCCCACATCCAATTGCTACCTTGTTACCTAACATAGTGCCTTACATAAGTGATTATTACATATCTGTTAATGACAATGAATTTTTAAGAATATTTTAGGAAATGATGGCCATAACGTGGCTTTGGATAGGGGCTAAATAATAGAGGCATCATATATCTTACTGAGTTCTGTGGTAAACTTAAATAAAGCAGCACCAGAGCTTTGATTGTATCACTTAAGAGTATGTTCACAGATCACGGGTTCTCTCTCTCTCTCTTTCTCTCTTAAACACAATCGAGAAATGCCTGCAGCTCTGGCAAAAAGACATAAGCCAAATGTAGATCAAAGAAACATCTAAGTATTGTATTTTCTTAGCCACTGGTACGAAATAGGGTATGATAATAGAGAGCAGTTTTATGGCTTACAGAAATAGAAAACTATTTTATATTTATTTTGGTCTCCATTCAAAGGCAATATTTTTAGATATTTCTATACCACCAAAGGACTTCTATCTCAACAACAGTGAATGGTAATGCACTTAAACAACAGGGTTCAAATTATTATAATAAAGTAAACCAGATTCATCTTGGCTATAAAAGTTAAAGACATAAAAATAGACTGGTATTAATGTGTGACTCACCCTCAGGAGGGCATATGCTTTTCCAGTAGCAGTGATAGGTCTGACCAGATCCATTTCTACTCTCTTGCCCAGCAATAGTCCCTGGTGGCATTTGTGTTTACTGGGACTTTGCGACAGGCAGTGTTTGACTGCTTTACGGGAAGTACAAGGGTAGGAAAGAAGTTATAAAACCTATTTCTACAGGTATGGAGTGAACAATGAGATTATTATAATGGAGAAGAATCTTAAATGTAAATGTTATCTTTATTAAAATACAGGGAAGTTGAGTGACCATTACGAAGATAGCAATTCTGTAAAGTAATATATAATTGTGATTGAAGAACTTTGGAAACCAAATAAATGACTTGTCTGATAGCCACATATTATTGGTTGCAAAATATTAGTTAAGTGGGCTGGGCGCAGTGGCTCACACCTGTAATCCCAACACTTTGCAATGCCAAGGCGGACGGATCACTTGAGGTCAGGAGTTCAAGACCAGCTTGGCCAACATGGTGAAACCCTGTCTCTACTAATAAATTAGCCAGGCATGGTGGTGTGCACCTGTAATCCTAGCTCCTTGGGAGGCTGAGGCACGAGAATCGCTTGAACCCAGAAGGCAGAGGTTGCAATGAGCTGAGATCATGCCACTGCACTCCAGCCTGGGCAAAAGAGTGATACTCTGTCTCAAAAAAACAAAAAACAAAAAAAACAAACAAAACAGTAACAACAAAAAACCCAAACAGAAATGTATTATTCACAGTTCTGGAGGCTGGGAAATCCAGGATCAAGGGACTGGCAGTTTCCATGGCTGGTGAAGGCTCACTTCTTGGTTCATAAAGAGCCATGTCCTAACACAGTGGAAAGGGTGAGAGATTTCTCTGAGATCTCTTTCATAAAGTGACTAATTGCATTTATGAGAGTGCCACCCTCATGACATAATCACTTCCCAAAGGTCCTGTCTCCTGATATTCTCATATTCAGGGTTCGAATTTCAACATACAAGTTTAGGGGAGGGGAACACAAACATGCAACTGTATGTCCATTGAAGAATATGAGCCGAGGTGACGTGTTTCCCCTGTTCATCAGTGAACCTTCTCCACCTTCTCTTTCGCCATCTATTGGCTGGAAGTAAAAGATTCCCAGGCCCCAGAAGATGGTGTGGCTATGGGATGGGAGGAGCCTGGGAACCTGAATCACTCCCTGGAAGGCTATCCTTCTAACACCTGCGTTGAAATATTGTATGAACAAGGACATATTTCTATCATGTTAAACCACTAAAACTTTCTGAACTGTTTATTAGAGTAGTCATTATTATATCAAGAGAGTGTATGTTCAAATTTTAAGTAAATTTTAACACGCAAATAAAAGGACCTTTACCTCTTTAAACCAAACCTTTTTGAAAATCCTCAAAATCAAGTATTCTTGATAGAAGTTCAAGTATTGATAGATATCAAGTATTCTTGATAATAAGCACAATTTCGGTGTAATTTATACTTCACTTATTTGGTAGGCACTTATCTTAGTTCTGATTTTCCCATGTGAAGAATCTTTATGCTTCAACTGTGGGAATATTAGAATGAAATGTTCAGATGTCTTTTCACTGTGAACTTTTCTTCCTTTTTTAGAATTGTGAAGTATACAGGCTAACGGCCCTGGAAAAGGCACCTTTGAAATAGACTAAAGATGATGATTGGATTATCAAGATTTGAATAATGTTTTCTAATGTGCTTTTATACTCCTTAGCGGAAAAACCTGAATGAGAAACAAAATTGTTTGTGGCCTGGCTAGTGAGGCAGGGGCCCCTTTGAAATGTGAATTTATCCTTTCAAACATGAGGATCTATTTATCCAGTAATCTATTTTTAGGGTCAATATTTTTTACTTCACACATTATAAAATAATAGATGCTTAGTAAAATCATGAGAACAAATGTTTCTGTCTGATAAATCAGAGGTACCGTTTATATTTACATTTTGCTGAGTCTTTTTCTCTGTATTAAAGTGTGTTTACTTCTCCGGTTTGTTTTAATTCTGTTTATTTTAAATTTTAATAATCTCATGCTAATATTGTAACAATGCAAACAATAAAGAAGTATATGTAATACAAAGAAAAACTCTCTCTTCACTTTGCCCAGCCCCACTACTCTGTATAGAATAAACCCTTTTCCTTACTTAAAGTGTGACCTTCCAGATGTGTCCTTTTGCATTTAGGCATTTATATATATTTGTCCATGCAGATAATTTCAAATGTAATTTATATATGATATATAGATAGGATATATAAATGGATGTATATGTGTAGGTGTATATGTCCATATATATGATATATGCAAATACATGTTATGTTTTTGTACTTAACATTATATTTAGAGGGCTTTTCTGTGTAATGAAACACATTTAATAAAAATATAGTTCTTCACACAGCCATTTTGTAATTCATTAAATTATGACATATTAATAGGACAATTTCTTTAAATATTTTAAAATTTAACATTGCTATGGACATGCATCTTTGATTATCTTTTTCAAACAAATTTCTGAATTAAAATAGGTAGGTCAAATAATATAAACTGTTTCATGACTATTGATGTAAATGTTTTCCTCTATTTTAATAAACGTATCTCCCAAATAAATACCTGTATCTTTAATATTTCTTGATTTTACAAATCTGGAAATCAGAACAGAGAAAAAAATTCCTTTTTATCTTTCAGTCTGGGAATCTATCTACCGGAAAGCAACATGAGCCAGAAATGTCACAGTCATTGGCTCTCAACTTTTTCTGCATATTGGAATCCTCAAGGGATTATTAACTAATAATGCTGGCTCCCACCCTTCAGATATTCTGATTTAATTGGGATGGGTGCAACCCGGACACTGGGATTTTAAAAAGCTCCCCGGGTAATTCTAATTTGCAGCAAAGTTTGGAAACCACCCTCATAGAGCATTCAACCATTGGAAGATACCCAGACACATGTGGCCAAGAGGTCAAATGAAGGTCACTGGACAGATTTCTATGCTTGTTATTTAGAATAAGAACTATTTCTTCTGGTAGTGAAAACATTGCTGATAGATACACTGCTGATAGTATTCAAAACTACTCATCACCTTGACTCTCAAAATAAATCCAACTAGAAAAATAGGATTGACCTAACCTAATACTGTAATACTCTAAAGCACTAGATTGTAAAAGCATCTTCCCCAGCGACTGCTGGAGAGTTTGGAAAAAAGCCTCCCCTTTTTGCAAATTGATTTTTGTCTTGGCTGTAGTGTTTGCTTGTTTAAGCATTAATGACTTGATTTGGAAAGAAATAGCTTCCTGTATGGCCCAGATTAAGAAAAGCCATCTTTATTCTGCCAGAAATTGTGTACAAATGCTAGCATGTAAACAGTGCAACCTGTGACATTTTTTTTTACACTCAAACAGGCAAGGTGACACACATGGCTTAAGGGCTAAAAGAAACATGAGAGCTGTAACGCAGTTACAATCGGAAGTGCTAAATTTCCCTTGGGACCATAAGGAAAGCTTCCTGCTCTTTGTAGATTGGCCTATTATTGGAATACATTTGCCCACAGTTAATCCTCAAAGTAATTAAATGGAAGGAAGTGATTAAATCACCAAGAAAAAAGTGACTGCTGCATCTGAAGCATTCAGACAGATTGTTGGTTAGTCATGAACATTAGTTAAGGAAGCATCTGCCAATTAACCTGGGCTACTAAATATGTGTGTGTGTGTATGTGTAAGCAAATAGTATTGAAATATGAACTAAATCTCTAGTCTGACTAAGAACAGGAATTTTAAAAGTCACAGATACTTTGGTAGAATTATGGTAAACATATATTGTACATAGTCCTTAGCCAATTTAGTAAAGCAGTATTATATTTTCTCCCCAATGACTTATAAATGGAAAAAATTATTTAATTGAACTGAACTGAAAGTAGAACAGACAAATACTAACATGTCTTTGGTAAATGTTAGTTTTATCATGCCACTTCCATTTTTAGTGGATTCAGGAAACCTGGTTGTTAATCTTACTGTTTTCTTATTACTCAATTTTGGGCAAGTTACTTGACCTTTTAGAGTTTCCACAAAATAAAGGGATGGGGCTGCAGGATTTTTAGGTTTCTTCTAGCTCTGAAAAGCTATTGGTCTAAGAAAAAATAGAAAAACACAACCAGAAATCACATGTGAAATTATTAAAATTCAAGATATTATCAAAATAAATATGAGTGGAAAATAAAAGATACATAATGGAATATGTTACATACATATCTGTAACAATCACAAAATGAGATTCCTTGTTCTTCAAGAACTTTGTGTTATGAACAGGAATCCAAAGCAGTATCAATGAGAGTCATCTAAAGATATCCATTTTTCTATGCCTCTCTGCATTTCTCAATGATTTTGTGCATTGAAAATGCATTACATTTTCATGATTACATGCATTTAGATGAAGTAGTTCTAAACAGTTACCAAAAATTGTCCTTTTAAAGTAACGGTCTGTACTTATAAAATAACTTTAAGACAGATGCACAAAATTAGATAATGAGTCTTGTCTTGGTGGCAACAAGAAAATAAAGTGTCTGCTCTTTGGAGATGGAGTGCATTAGCTTTTTTAGGCCATCTGTGCATTGTTAGGAACTTCTCTCTTTTAATACTCTGAAAAAAATTAGAATGGTTCTCTCATTGCAAAATGATCTGATTGTCCTATCCTGGCTCGGTTATTTTGGCCTAATTAATCATCAGGGTAGATTGTTGCATACTTGATTTGGTCATGGTGATTGAGGATATGTGGGTGGGCAGAATTATTCAATTGACTAGAATACTGTTAACTTTTTATGCATCTATTTAATTTTAACAAACATTAACTGAGCTCCCGCTATCAATATTATATACCATGGACACAAAATTATGTAACCTCAAATGCTTCTTTTTTAGTAACTCATGGTAAAGAGTTAAGTTGAGGGACAAAAATAATTTTATAAACTATAACAATAATGTTATTCTATATTCTACTAGGATTAAAATCAAATTGTTTTGGGACAGCAGAGGATGAAGAAACTCATTTTGACTGAAGTTATTGGATGAGACATGGCTGTGGACAACTTCAGAGAAGATATATTTAAGCAGAACCTTAAACTTATGTCAGAATTTTTAATCACCAGAGATCAGCAAAGCCAAAGGTGTGATGTGAAAGGACATGGGATGTCTGGGAAGCAGGGAACAGCTCAGAGGTCTGGATCATAGACAGGATTGATGGACATGATAAATAATGGAGTAGAGTGACACAGAAAAGGGTGTTGGAGCCAGACCTTGAAGGACCTTGACTTTGTTGCTAGAGGAAATTGTTGAAAAGGGTCAAAGTGAGAGTGTATGTTGGCCACTATTAGCTGCCCTAAGTGGTACATGAAAGAAATGAGATTAGGCAAGAATAGGCTGATATTAAAGCAAAGTTAGAAGGAAATGGGAAGAAACCAGAGGTCTTATGAGGGTTAGCAAAGTTGAGTGCTTTCATATCTCAAATAGTGAGAGAGAAAACTGAGAAAGAGTTTGGGCATCAGAGGTCCAATAAGGCTTTTCATTCAAAGAAAAGCCTCAGCCTTATGCTAACATTCCACTTAGAGAAATTTTTGTTTCAGATAAGCTAAAGATACCTGCCATTAATGTATGAAAGAGAATAACAAGAAAGTGAGATAACAAAGAAATACACAGATGCGAAGAAATATGTAGGCTGTAGACTTATATGGAGGAAAGAATTGTTAGGCTACTACTATTTGGAAGGGACTGAAAGCAAATAGATCAGAAGCTTACTAAGTTTTTATGTGAATTGTGCTGCTAAAAATTCTTGAGATTAAAGTAAAAAATAAAAGACTTTGATTTTTTCAAACCTGAATACAAACTATGGGTTCAATGTTTGCCCTAGCAGGAAGTTCCTACAAAGGCTAACATTGTCAAAGAAGGCATATTCCCAAAAGCCTATCTTATATGTAGCCGTGGAGGATAATGGACAAGGAAGAATATTCCAGAGACAGTGGATCTAGGGCCAGTGTAAAACAATGGACAAGAGAGTTCTTCTCAGAGAATAAAATCAGTCTAATCTAGGATGTTTCCTTACTCCAGGGCAAAGGGCTTTCCTGCCCACCCAGCAGAATTTCAGAATTGCTAGGAACTGGTGACTGCTGTATGTTTTTCACTCTTTCCTTTTTCAAATATAATTTTTTTTTTTTTTTGAGAGGGAGTCTTCCTCTGTTGTCCAGGCTGGAGTGCAGTGGCAGGATCTCTGCTCACTGCAACCTCCGCCTCCCGGGTTCACACCATTCTCCCTGCCTCAGCTTCCCGAGTAGCTGGGACTACAGGCACCCGCCACCATGCCCAGCTAATTTTTTGTATTTTTAGTAGAGACAGGGATTCACCATGTTAGCCAGGTTGGTCTCGATCTCCTGATCTTGTGATCCGCCCGCCTCGGCCTCCCAAAGTGCTAGGATTACAGGCGTGAGCCGCCGCGTCTGGCCCCAAATGTGAATTTTTATTGCAACTATCCTTTCCCTGTTCCATCATTCGGAGATTTTTTTTTAGAATATAAATTGCTGGTCCATAAAAACCTCTCTCAGACCTAAGGGAAGATACTGCATCTGGGCCAGGGATCTTGAACTTTGAGCTGATTAA
Organism: Homo sapiens; assembly: GCF_000001405.40. NCBI lineage: Eukaryota > Metazoa > Chordata > Mammalia > Primates > Hominidae > Homo > Homo sapiens. Next base: position 90,068,643 of record NC_000012.12, read on the forward strand.
AATGATTGGATGAATTGCTAGGTTGTCTTCTCTGGGGAGGCAGTTAATGTTTGAAATAAAGAGTGAAATACTCACTTGATGACAAAGGGTAGATAATTGCAGAGACTGCTATATGTTCACTAAAACGAGTCCTCTTTTCTTCCTAGGCATATAGACTATTTCTCAGATGCACTTGTCAAGATGAGAGAATGTGGGCAGAGGTATGGCATTTCACTCCTGATCCTTAACAAATTTTCATGTAATCTTCTACTTCCTCTCTCATATATTGCCTGCCTCCCATTAAGTATCTCCCATTTTCTGGTTGAATGGAAGGGACTCTGAGGACTTAGAGAAGATAGAGACACCAAATGGTAAACCCTGGGTTCCTAAACGATGGAATGCAGCAATCTTGAGAAGCCAGTCAGCAGCTGATTAGACTTAAAAGGGAAAGAAAGAAACTGCTATTATGTAAAACCACTATGATTTCGGTGTTTTTCTGTCATAGCAGAAGTCACATTGACTAGACATACATCCAAAAGTTCACGTTTGGTGGACTAGGCGAGGAGTTCACAGGCCAGAGTGAAGTACTGCATAATAAATCACTAATAGTGAATTCCGTGGCCTAGCCTATGGTCTCACCTCGGCTCCCTCAGGTGGCTGTATTTAGGTGGTGGGTTGACTGGTGGCTGGGCTTAGCTATGATGGCTGAGTTGACTGTTTGTCTCCATCTATGTTGTCTTTCATTCTCAAGGAGCCTATATTGGGGCTTTCAGAGCCTGGTGATATCAGAGTTCCAAGAGGGTGAGAGGAAGTTGCAGGGACTCTTGAGACCTTTCTTGAAAATAGTGCAACATTATTTCTGATGCACTGTATTGGCCAAAGGAAATCAGGTAGCTTGGCCACATTTGGGAAGTAGGGAAACAGACTCTGCCTTTTTGATGAAGAATTTTTGACTATTTTTTATCATCTACAAACCCTTACAAAAGTACTCAGAATATAGTAAGTGCTCAATAAATGGTTGTTGAATTGTATGCATGAATGGAGAAAGTGGGTTGGAGTCCTGAAAAAGAAGATAACATATTGGCAATGCTGCTATTGAAAATGGAAAAAGGAACCAATCATGGATAAGTGAAAGAATTGCTGAGCAATACGGATAGTCCAGCTGAGCTTGAAAATTGTAAATTTGTTTTTCCGCCAATTTTCTCCAATTGCATTTGGTAGTTTGGGAGCAAGCCCACAGAAACAGATGGTTGGGTTGATCCAGGTTAGGGATTAGTACTCTGCAAACTAGCAGTAGTGGGAGGTTGAGTCTGCCCAAGTTGGTTCTGTGCCTTCTCAGCTCTCTGCTCACTCAGGAGCTGGCCACTCCATGGAATACTCTGCATCCTAAATGTCCTCACTCATTCTGGTCCACTGTCTGATACCAAAACTCCATGTTGGATTACAAAGTAAGTTAATTGAGGTTGTGACCTACATGGTTCAGGTCTAAAGTGAAGTACAGATAAACACATACACACACACACACACACACACACACACACTGAGGAATTCCATTTGCATTCCTCGGAAGACATATGGGGATCTGATTTTTGCATTTATTTTCTTTCCTTTTCAATTCTCCAGGCTACTGCTGGAGCCTTCTACTTCCCACCCCACCATTCTCTGCTGTCAATCTAGCCCTCAAGGAGAGCAGCCCTATTCATACTCCTCCTACCAATTTTCCCCAGTTCTTTCTCCTGGCTCTTTAGACCCTTCCTTTCATTCTGCATCACAAAAGTCTTAAGACTGTCTGGCAGAGTCAGGCTTGTCTCCAAAGGTGGATATGAGGGTGAAAGGGCGAATGTGAGAGTAAGTTGAAAAATTGACAGTTACCAGGTCTTTTTGGCAACTGAGGGAGTGCTAAAAACCATGACTACTTCTACCTTATTTTTCTAGATTTTTACCACTCAGACTAATTTTATCTTTTTTCACTGTACTTGATATTTTGAACCCATATTTACTTTCTTGGTATTCCTTGCCCAAGATGAATGACCTATTTCCCTTTGTTCCATGGCTCATAGACAATTTCTGTTTTGCCTAGGATTCTTAGCCTCAGGGAAAGCCCTGTATCTACACAATCATATCTCCCTTTCCTAATCAGCATTCCTATGCAGGGGAAGACAGACAGGAGGAGGCAAGTAAATCAAAGAATCAAGACTTAGTGCTGGGATGTAAGACACCGAAGCAGAGGAGGTTGAGGAATTGGGCACTTAGATGATTTTTCAGTGTTGGTAGTGGAGTTGCCTAAGATAATGGGGGAGACTACAGAAGAGAATAGCTATGATATGGTTTGGCTGTGTGCCTACCCAAATCTCATCTTAAATTATAGCTACCATAATCTCCACACATCATGGGAGAGACCCAGTGGGAGATAACTGAATCACAAAGGTGGGTTTTTCCTATGCTGTTCTTGTGATAGTGAACAAGTCTCATGAGATCTGATGGTTTTATAAAGGGCAGTTCCCCTGCACACATTCTCTTGCCTGCCACCATGGGAGATGTGCCTTTGTTCCTCTTTCACCTTTTTGCCATGATTGTGAGGCTTCCCTAGCCACATGGAACTGCGAGTCCATTATGCCTCTTTTTTCTTATAAATTACCCAGTCTTGGGTATGTCTTTATTGGCAGTGTGAAAATGGACTAATACAACTATAAACCAATTAACAATGTCCTGAGAGAATATATGGGGCTGCACTGAATGTTGGTAGATGCTGGATACAGTGGATAAGAGCAATGCCAGTGGATGGAGAGTTTCAAGGAAATGACAAGACAGTGGATGAGAGGCATGGAAACAGCTGTGGGAAAGCAGGAGGAGCATGTTCTGACTCCTTGATGTGACAGGCTAAGTGGATACTAGGGAGCAGCACTTTCCATGGAAGAATTGGAGGGAAGTTACAGCATCTGCAAAAAGTTAAGTGGAGTCAGTAATCTCAGTTTGTACTTTCAGGCTGTAGATTTCAGGATAACAGGAAAAAGATATTGTCAGTTCTAAGAAAGTTACCTTGTTAGCTGTTTTGAGACTCCAAAGTGAATCTTTTAGTATAATTCCTCAATTCATTCTTGTATCAAATAGTTATTGGCCAGGAACAAAACTGAGTGCTTAAATATAAGGATGAATGAAATAAGATTTCTGCCATTAAGCAGCTCACAGTGTTTTTAAGGCAAAAGGAAAAGAAACAGGTAACTTAAAACAAATTGTAAGTCATGTGATAGCAGTGAGCACGGTTCTATGGAACACCGAGTAGAGGCATCCTACCAGAATAGGGGGTAGGAGGTGGACTGAGAAAAAGAAGCCTGAGCTGTGTCTTTAAATATGAGTTAATGAGGTAAAAGTGTGTGTGTGTGTGTGTGTGTGTGGGAGAGGGAGGGGATTGAGGCCCAGGAGCAAAAGTGATTGCATTAGTCAAATTAACTATATTTCCATTTTACTTCATTCTGGGTAGTCACGTTCTAAATAGTTGAATCGGGTTTAATCGAATCTCCAACGTCAGGAGACTTTGCATTGTTTCCTTTCATAAGAGAAGTGGAGCCAAGCCGAAGCTCACACTTTGGCAACTGATCCTGTGTAAACTGTATTGCTCCCTGAACTAACCCTTTCTTGAGGCTAGGAAGACACTTACGCTGTGTGACTCGATTTGATCACAGGACAGCTTGAAGGAAACCAGTATCAACAAACCTCTCTTTGGGCTGTCGGAAATAGTGTTTCCATTTTATTTATTTGAAAGAATCTTGTGTCTTAAATCTTGGGACAGGCCATTTGAGAGTTGTCTGATTATTGTGCAAATAGTTTTAAGAAGTCTCACAAGAAATGATTGCTTTACCTTTCTATTTTAGTGCTAACCAGACATGGATGGCAAATAATAGCACCACTGTATAGTAGACATTTTGGTGGGAAGATGCTGTTCACAAGAAGAATCTTGGCTAGTTTCACGATATTTTGGTCAACTTGGATTGTTAAGAAGATAACTTATGTGACTAGCACATTCCTGAAACTGCAAGACTATTCTCCCCACATTCAAACCTCCAGAATGAATTGTGTTGCTTGCAGTGGGTAGCACTGCTTGTGCTCAGTTATTTGTGGCCCCCAAAAATAGAGAACAGGAGATAGCAAATGCTTTATCTGATGTTCACTATAATTTGAGCAATTGCAAAGTAGTTCTAGTTCTTGGCTACAGCACTTGATGGGGCACTAGAGTTGAATTCGTGACATCATAACTACATAGAGAGAATGAAAGAGGGAAAATGGATAAGAATTTTATAAGGAACCAGTTTCTCAGTTGTCAGTATTTTCCTTTTTAAAGATAAAAAAATGAACATTCGACTTTGAAAAGTATTTTATCTTTCATGGGCTTGGTTAGGTGAGTAGAGAGAATTCCAGTTGAAATGGACAGACAGAGAGCCAAGGAATTTTAGTAAAAATACTGGATCCTTTCATGTGAAACAGATCTGAGTCAAGGTAGTTCTGTCCACTATAATCTGTTACAGTAATCATTTCCTTTGGGACTTAAAAAAAGGACTATTGACATTTGCTCCCTCTAGGTACCTATAAAAGAGTTCCAGCTACATAGAAGGGCTATGATACTTTCAGATAAGCAAGGAAGAAGTTGTAAATGTGGGCAATATAATATGATAGGTTTCACTAAAATTTATATTATTTATTCCATCAGCTGGTTGCTTTTTAGTGAGCACCTATTATGTGCTTTCTTGTTAAGAGCAGAGGATATAGTAATGAAGGATAAAGTATCTACTTTCTTGAAAATCTGAGTCTATCAGAGAGAGAGATAGTACTCCAATAGTGGATTAATTGTGATTATGAACATCTACTATAATGGGTAAGCACAGGATCTAGGAGCCTGTGCAGTAGGGTAATGGAAAAGTAGGGGATGGGATGAACTGAGAAGTAAGCACCTAAGTAAAGATATCTGTACATGCAAAGGGCCTGGGGTAGAAAGGGATTTAGTTCTTTGATAGAATCAAATGAAGGCTTGTGTGGCTGGAGAAAGGGAGAGAAGAAGCATGGGAGAGATTGGCAAAATGTCAGCTTGGAGAGATATGGAGGGACTAAATCTTACTGGGCATCACGAACTTGGCAGAAAGAAAGTGGGAGTAGTTGAAAGGCTTTAAGCAGTGGAGCAACATGATAAACAGTACAGCTTAATGGGATTTTAATAAAGCATTATATTGTTGATTATAGAAGTAATCTTCCTTCAGGGTTTTTTTTAATTGAAGACACAGTTTTTCAATTTTTTTATTCTAATTTCTTTTGCAGATAGTAGAGAAGATAATTTGTATGTAATTGAAGGACCGCATTCTTCTTAGCTTGAAGTCATTGTGATGGATAAGAATTTATAAATAGCAAATCTGCTGGATTTAGTTATCTGTCATATTGGAATTTAGAAGTGGCAGATCTCTTATCAGTGACCAAATACCAAATAACAGAAATGTAACCTGATAATTTTTTAATTAAAAATACCCTAATATATAATCGTGATGTAACTGAGGTGAATATCAAAATGTGTTTGCCACTATGTACAAAAATAAAAAACATAAATCACAGATTTTTCACTTCTAAAAGAGAAGTGAAATTTCTAAAGGCTAATAATGTTAACTGAACACCTGGTTCAGACAACTAGCAATGGGGACTCAATGCAAATGAATAGGGAGGTCTCATAGAAAATGGCTTCATACTAGATTAAACACAGGCAGTCCAAACTCTAATATATATAAAGGATTTGTTGTCGCAATGGTAGTAACACCAAAGTCCAGATTTTCCAGGACAGTCTTTTTATAAAATAACTCTCTTACATTTTAGATACATTGATGCTTTCTAGACAACCACGTCTCCCTCTTGTTTTAAGAAATATGTCTAGTGGCATCAGGATTCTAATTTCTTCTTTGCTATCACTATCTAGAATCTCCTCCTCCTCCTCCTTCTCCTCCTCTTCCTCCTCCTCCTCCTTCTCCTCCTCCTCCTTCTCTTCCTCCTCCTCCTTCTCTTCCTCTTCCTCCTCCTTCTCCTCCTTCTCTTCCTCCTCCTCCTTCTCTTCCTCCTCCTCCTTCTCTTCCTCCTCCTCCTTCTCTTCCTCCTCCTCCTTCTCTTCCTCCTCCTCCTTCTCTTCCTCCTCCTCCTTCTCTTCCTCCTCCTCCTTCTCTTCCTCCTCCTCTTCCTTCTCCTCCTCCTTCTCTTCCTTCTCCTTCTTCTCCTCCTCCTTCTCTTCCTCTTCCTCCTTCTCTTCCTCCTCCTCCTTCTCTTCCTCCTCCTCCTTCTCTTCCTCCTCCTCCTTCTCTTCCTCCTCCTCCTTCTCTTCCTCCTCCTCCTTCTCTTCCTCCTACTCCTCCTTCATCCTCTTCCTCCTCCTTCTCTTCCTCCTCCTCCTCTTCCTCCTTCTCTCCTTCCTTCTATCTCATCTTGATAATCTGAACTCCAATCCCCAGGATGCCAATCCATTAATTAAATGTCCAATACAACTTGCCTTTGTTTTATCACTGAAGATGACTCTTTCCTTTAGTCTTTTAGCCTTTCCAAATCTGGCCATACAAATTCATGAATGGCTATGATTGTGTCAGAGGGATCAAAAACACCAAAAAGATGAAGACCAGCTCATAGGTTGAAGGAATTTTATTCTTGGTTTTCTTAATATTACTACTAGTTAAATATCTTAGAAAATGTCAATCATGCCATGAATTTAATTTGGGGTTGCAAAAGAAAGTGGAAAACTATTCACTTGGGTTTCCTTTTGTGATGTTCCAGGGAGTGGATGCTACTCATGAAGAGTAATAAGCGGGACAAGTCCTAAAGCACTGAGAAGGAAGTGATGATGGTAGTGATCAAGTAGTCACCATTTTGGAAAGTGGATTATGTACCATCCCTATGCTTAGTGCTTTACAGACATTATCTCATCTGATCTTCTCAACAAACAATCAATGCTGTTTTTATAGTTATTTTGATATTACAGATGAAAAAATTGAGGTTTAGAGAGGTTAAAGAAATTTTTAAAAAGTTTTTTCACTAGTAAATGAAAGAAGTGGAATCCTATGTCTGTCTAGCCTGACTCCAGAGTCTATACTGTGGACCACTAACTATCAAGGGGTTAACAGTAGAACTGATCTGTGGCCAAGAGATGTCTCTAGAGCTTGAATGTCCTTATTCCTTGGAGCATCTTATTCATACTGCCCTACCCTGTTGTATCACTCTCTGTCCCTTTTCACTGAAGCTGAGCTTGCTGTGGTCTGGAAAAGCACAATGGTTTCTTTGGTGCAGCCTGTGGTTTTAGAGCTTACAGTGAGAAGAGCATGCAGATAAAACATAGAGCATCCTACTGAGACACAAGTCCAAGCAATGCTGCTGTAGAGAGCCAGAAAAGCAAAATGGTTCTGACCCTGGCAGGAAATACCATGGACAAGTAGGGAAACAGGTTGGGCAGACCCTAAGATGGGAAAGCTCTGTGCCAGCGCAGAACTCCCCCAGTGGCTGCCATCAATCCCCCTTTTAGTAGCATGTGTAAGGACTCATGAGCATCAAATGTATTCGACACGAACAGCACTGGCCTTAAATGTTTCTTTCCACAAGGATCAGAAACTTTACTACGGTTTTTGTGTCAGGACCTGTTGTTAAATGAACTGATGTCTTTGAAGTGCTTTTCAGTGCTTGAACAGTCATAATTTTAATAATCAGGAGAGTAATCCCAGCATTTTGGAAGGCTGAGGCAGGGAGATTGCTTGAGCCTAGGAGTTCAATACCACCTGGGTAACATACCAAGTCTCCACCTCTACAAAAATTAGAAAATTAGCTGGGTATGGTGGCTTGCACCTATAGTCCTAGCTATTTGGGAGGCTGAGACAGGAGGATCATTTGAGCCCAGGAGGTTGAGGCTGCAGTGAGCTATGATTACACCATTGTATGCCAGCCTGGGCATGAGAGTGAGACCCTGTATCAGAAAAGAGAGTTCTTGTCACTGATCACTGATGATAAAAGTTCATTTCTTCTAAAGATCAAAAGCTCCTGGTTTCAAATTAAAACTATGTCTGTGTGTGCATGCAGTAGAATAAAAGACAACTAAAATGTTAATTCCTTCTCCTTTTAGTATCACATGGAGTCTACCTGGCATGTCACAAGCAGCAATTCTGAGGTTTTGAGAGAGCTTCTTGCTGAACTTCTTGTTCAGTTTGCCTCCACGCTTTCCCCTACCACCAGAAAATTTAAACAAAACAACCTGCTTTTGCCTGAATGACCTAGGTAACAACCTACTTTAGCTTGAGCTGCTTAGATATTTCAGCTAAAAATGGCTTATTTCCATGAGTCACCTGGATAATTGCATTACTCTGCTGGCCCACTTAGCTGGGTGGGCCAGCAGGTGTTAAGTGCAACTGTCAACGAGTACTTCATTGTTTTCCACTCTATGGATAGTACTGTGACAGTTTCTTAGTGCCTGGAGAAGTACCTCTTAGATTCACTTTCAGCTCTTGAGCCTCTTTCTTTTAGATGGATCATCCTTGCTATGTGACAAAATCAGCCCCCTTCTATCTCCGTAGGGCAACTTTGTATCATGCATGTATGTGTGTGTAGCTTTGTGGTTTTGAAGAAAAATTACTTCAACAAGTACTTCTTAAATACTTCCTGGCAGAGCGCTGTCTGTAGGAGATACAAAAGGAGATAAAGACAAGATTTTTTCCTCAAAATACAGCTGTTTAAGTAGACTGGTATATATAAACCATTAGAAAGTCTCTACATGTTTACTGTTGACCTGTTTGGAAGTGTAATCAGAGTTGAAAGTTGAAGAGGGACAAAATATTTGGAGAAATCTTTGGAAGGGCTTACCTTCCATTACTTGAGATATAGATGCATTGTCTTTTTTTTTTTTAGCTGGGTTTCACTCTTGTGCCCAGGCTGGAGTGCAGTGGTACAATCTCGGCTCACTGCAACCTCTATCTCCTGGGTTCAAGTGATTCTCCTGCCTCAGCCTCCTGAGTAGCTGAGATTACAGGCATGTGCCGCCACGCTTAGCTAATTTATGTATTTTTAGTAGAGATGGGGTTTCTCCATGTTGGTCAGGCTGGTCTCGAACTCCCGACCTAAGGTGATCCACCTGCCTCAGCCTCCCAAAGCTGGGATTACAGGCATGAGCCACCATGCCCAGCCACATTGTCTTCTTTTTTTCTTTTTTTCCTCTGCAAATGTATTATATAGTTTACTTTGACAAAATATAACCCAATTTTCTAGAATGGCATCGCTGAAGAAAGATAGTTGTCTGCCTCATTTAGAGAGTAACTCAGGGTTCGTGGTTCTCCAAAGGAAAGACGGCAGACAGTTTTGGCTACAAAAACACTTGAGGTATTTAGAAAAAACTCCACACTGTATACTTTACTTTTATGACCGAGTTTTTTAGATGCTTCTGAGAACACAAAATAAATGGAAAACACATACAGGAAAAGAAAAAAAAAGACTTGCCTCATGTGGAACAATCAACATTGTAAAACTAAACCTTAACTAATTTTTGAAATCTATTTATATGTAAAAAAAATTAGTGCCCTAGCTTCAGTTTTAAATTTCATATAATTTGATGTCATGAAATAAAAGGTTAGTTTCTCTGCTTTTTTCTTTCCCTTTTCCCTGGTTATAAAATGATAGATTTTAAAATTAAGTGGTAAGACCAAGTTTTTTTTTTTTTATTTTTTGTTTTTAAGTAGATATTTGAACTTTGATGTAAGAGCTCACCACTTCTATGCTTACAGTGTTTAAATTCTCTGGCATGAAACTTTTAGGCTTGAAATAAATGTCACTAACATGATTTTGAAGGTCAGGCTGGTGAACCACCAAAAATGTCTGACAGCTCGAAAATAGAGTATTTACATGTGGCTCATGGCATCGTGCTCTTTGCTATGATGTAGTCAGGTTGAATAAGTGGAGCAGTGTGAACTGAACCTTGGTAGAATTTGACATTTAACCCCAGAGGTCTATATGCATCGTTTTATTCTCTATCCCCTCCTGCCTCCCTCCACGTGGGCAGAAGAGACATAAAAATCCACTGGCTTTCTGCAGGAACACTTGGCCTGGTTTCCCTGTAATACCTGTTTATACATGAATCAACCCAAAATTAACATCAGAGACAGCAGGATATGCCTGACCTTGTGAATTAAGTATGAAATGCACTAGAAATATGATTAACCAGATTTCTTGGTAAATGGGTTGTTCTGTTTAGCCAGAGCTCTGGTTGTTTAAGAGTGAGTTCTATTGCTATTTTTATTTTTGTACTTATTATTTAATTGGCATTACAAAATGTTATTAGCTTTCTTATCATTGGAAATATGGTTATTAAATGCTACTTGATCTTCCTTGATGACGTCCTCAGATGATCATTCCAAACATCAGTAATCTAAAGATCATGGTAGACATGCAGAAAAAAGACAAGGCTGAGGACTAGGATTGAGGAAAATGGGATGGGGATTGGAGGGCATGGGCAGAGGGTAGTTTAGTTTTAGTTAACTGGGATTATACTGCAGAGGAAGTTCCTGATAACTGATTTCAAAACTTTTAGTAATGTGTCCTGTTTACATTTAAGCTAGATTCAAATAGAAAACCCTAAAGAATTTGTCATATATTTGTATGAGATCATCTTTTAAAACAAGCAGACTAAATTCATTCCATTTCTAAATTCATCTGATAAAAGAAGAACACATGCAAACTAGGTGAAACGAGTTTGGAAAATAATCAATATTATGTCTGGGGCCTTTAGAGTACTGTCCTAAAAGTATAATATGCCACCATTTTTTAAAACCACATTTTTTGGGGGTGCAAGCAGAAAAATGAAGGAATCTGCAGTCTGACTTATGCTCTTGTCACTAACCTTTGGTTTGTAGGTTGAGAGAAGCATTAAAATAAGCATAGCTGCTGAACTGTATTCTTTCAGCAGCCAGAAATGGAAAGCTTCAGGGAATAGCAAATGGTTGCAGGACTCTCTTAAGAGATTACTTATAAATCCAGATATATGTCAGATTATTAGAATAATTGAAAGTCCAGTGAATCAGAGAGATAGAAGGAAAGTCTCTTGAAGCATGATTTATAACTCTATGCAGAGTTTTAAATGCCATTCAGCAAGACATTCCAAAGTGTCTACTGTGAATGAACATTTAGAAGGACTATAATTTTTCTTTTTAATTGAGATACCTATCTGTGTCCTCGGTAACACAACTATTCCTTTGGCTTGTTAATTATAAAAAATAGTCCCTACCTCTTCTGAATTCTGCATGCTTTCTTTAAAGACACTGCAAAGCATTTGAAGCTACTAAGATTTAATGCATTCTTTACCTTAAAGCAAGCACCGATTGGCGGCACAGAGTTCACACAGAGATAAAGAACGAGAAGGACAATGAGAAGTCATGTGACAAAGAGGTCAGAGCATTCAATCCCAGAGAACTGGGATTGTAAATAAGTTCTGCCACTTTCCCACTATGTGACTTTGGGCCAGTTACAAAGTATTCATGAATTTCAGTTTTCCTCTGATGTAAAATGAGGTTAATGGTAATTGTTTTAATGACTCAATTATAACCATATAATTATCTGTATATTTACGGCTCTATATATTTAAAATACCTTTTAAATACCTGGCACAGTATAAGTACCCAATATTTCTCTTAATTTTAAGATAACAGATTATAACAGATTATAACAAATTTAAGATAACAGACTACAAACCTGAAGGAATCAAGTTTCCAAAGACCAGCGATCCATCTGAAGTGGATGAGTAAATGGTGACATTCATCCACCCAGTTGCTAATTCATCCATCAGTCCTTGAATAAGGCACATGCTTACTGGCTTACTGAGATTTCTCCAGTGTCCAAGATAGATAGAAGCAAGACTTAACTGATGTTTTCTCACTCTTAGTCCAATGCTGCTTTATGGTATTCAAAATAAAAATCCTTAAGGCTGAGAAAAAATGAGAAGGGCAAGTTCAGAAATGTAGAATATTTTAGAATTTCATTTGAGAAGAGAGGTGAAGAATTTTCTGATGGTATGTTCTGATAAAATAGGTGTGAATCAGAACTGTTATCTGTCAAGAAAGTAGATTTCCATTATAATCTCTGATACTAGATCCCCATGAATGGTGGATCAGATAAAGAAAATGTGGTGCATATACACCATGGAATATCACACAGGCATACAAAGAATGAGATCATGTCCTTTGTAGCAGCAACATAGATGCAGCTGGAGGCTATAATCCTAAGTGAATTAGTGTAGAAACAGAAATCCAAATACCACATGTTCTCACATGTAAGTGAGAGCCAAACAATGGGTACACAGGGACACAGAGATGGGAACAATAAACGCTGGGAATTCCAAAAGAGGGAGGGAAGGAGTAGGGAAAGGGTTGAAAAACTACCTGTTGGGTACTATGTTCACCACTTGGGCAATGGGTTTATTAGAAGCCCAAACTTCATGTAGAAAAAATAGCGAAAACAGGGCAAATCGACTGTGACTGGTAGGAGCTAATCATGTAGTTAGAATAATGAAGCATTTGCCAAAGTAAATCCAAAACATCTGTAAAGCTGCCAATTAAGTACAAATTGATAAGTCATTATGTATAAGGGTGATTCATAATACTGGAGATAATAAACATTAATTCTTACAGTTCATTTGTCCATTTTGTGCCGGGAAAGTCACTGAGGTTTCTGGACTCCTTTCAACTCATTTATAAATGGGTGAGACATGACCAAGCTTTATCACTTTTATATAAATCGCTTTTATTATTTAAGACATACCTTTTAGGATTCTACTTTTAAATTCTACCATCACCACTTGTCTTTCTTCTTCTCGCCTTCAGTTCCCAACACACAGACACACACACACACGCACACACACACACACACACACAAACACCATATTTGAATATCACATGATGGGAGAAATGAACAACTATATTAACCAACAGGTGAGTTATTGCAAGCTTTGCATAAACAAGAGTTGAATCCCAGTGGGTATTACAGGCTTCTCATCTACCCTTTGATTCTCCCTTCTGCCATCACATATAGAATAAGCAAAGGTCTTCTGATGAAAAGTTGCAAATATGTGGCAAAACAGGAAAGATGGAACACTGATGAAGAGTTTTCTAATATTAGTTTTGCTGAAGAGCTGGTGTGATTAGAGGCAATAATTAGTTTGAATTTTTGTAGGTAAAATACAGCATCATGAGCCACATTTGGCCATTCTTTGAAATGTTCAACCAAAATAGATTGTTATGCCCATATCCCATTTTGCATTATATGATCATGGTTAGAATTAACAAAACACTTGTGAAGAGCTGCCTGTTGCAATGGCTGGAGATTTGAATTGCTCAGAACGATTTCTTTTGAGATTGCCAGTTCTACTTTGAAACTAGACTTATTAACACAAACATCTAAGATGTACCTTGAGGCCCCCTTGAGAATTACTTGTCTGCAGCTATTTATTCATTATTTAGTCATGAACTGGTAACATGTCAGGCATGGAGAAGAAATTGTGTTGCCTTCCTGTAAAGGTAGAAAAGTCAACTATCTGTTAAATGAAAACGTGTAAGTTTGAGAGCTACTTCTCTTGCACTCAATATTTTCTTTAAAATTTTTAAGAAGCAGGTGGGTTATCAGTGTTGAAAGCTAATGTGTGTGTGTGTGCGTGTGTGTAATTAGATTTCTCATCACCTACTTTTGTCCCAAGAGACACTTTCCCTTAATGCTATATCATCATACTATTTTCATAGGAGCAGAATATCATCTTTTTCTTTTTAACTCCCTGTCAAAACCTGATCATCTACTTGCCTGAGTTGAGTAGCCATTAATGTTAGATACTTTATTAGCTAGTTCTATGATTTGGGAATATCATTCAACTTCTTTTTCTCTCAGTTTGAAGGAGTTAGATTAGATAATATTTAAGCAGTTTCAACACTCTATCCCTCTACAAAATAGCAAAATTTGTATTCACTCACTTGAATGTACCATAAACAGTTGTGGGAGTGAATAGCTATGGAGTGCCCATTAAGTAATGTCCAGCATAATTATGTTTATTGGCTTGTCATCACTGTGGTTGATGGGCAGAGAGCAGGTATTCTATTTCCTTTACATGTACCCTAGGTCCTCAACCCTGGTTATCTAAAACTGTGATCTACATAGAGTGGTTGCTCAATTGTAGACTGTCTTATATTTGAAAAATATTACAGAGTCACCCTTGTGGGTAGAGGAGTAAAAAGGATTGCTTCTCCAATGGTTTTAATCTATGAATTTGGATGTGCATGCACTATTATTAGAATTCTCATAGGATTAACAAAATCTGCATCTTCTAACAATATTGCAGTGGGTGATGGTGATTTGAAACTTGTCCAAAGTCACACAGCTGGTAAGTGTGAGATGCAGTACTAGTAGCCAGGCCTCTGATGTTAACAGTTGCTGAAGCGTTCCATGATCCCATCATGGCAGCCATAACTCTCTTCTCTGTGCTGTCATGGTATTTTATTCTCACTGCTAGCATAGAACTTATGATGCTACATTGATTTTTGTTTGCTACGCCCCTAAGATGTGCGTGGTACATAGTAGTCACTAAAAAAATAGTTTGCCAATTGAATATTTGAATGCACATACAAGTGTCTGCTTGCACCAAACAGCTGTAAGTTCCTTAAATAATGGACCTGATCCTATACGTCGTTATATCCCTAGTTCTTCAGACAGTGACTGACACCTTGCTGGTACTTAAATATTTGTTTAATTGAACTAAATTCTTACCAAATGTAGTTCAGTGCTGCTTGTGTTTCACTAACATCACCTCCCATTTTTTTAAAAAACAAATCACATCCTTCCTTTTATTTCTATGTCCTTTTTACTTTTCCCTTTCATTCCTGTTCTTCTTTTCCTATCTTTCTTTATTACACTCTATTCTTTCACTTTAATGACTTAATTTATATAATTTATATCCCATGCCTCTTCTTTTTTTTTTTTTTTTTTTGATGGAGTCTTACTCCGTAGCCCAGGCTAGAGTGCAGTGGCGCGATCTCGGCTCACTCCAAGTTCCGCCTCCCGGGTTCACACCATTCTCCTGCCTCAGCCTCCCGAGTAGCTGGGACTATAGGCTCCTGCTACCACGCCAGGCTAATTTTTTGTATTTTTAGTAGAGACAGGGTTTCGCTGTGTTAGCCAGGATGGTCTTGATCTCCTGACCTTGTGATCCACCTGCCTCGGCCTCCCAAAGTGTTGGGATTACAGGCGTGAGCCATTGCGCCCGGCCATCCCATGCCTCTTCTATGCACTTGCTACCTTGAAGGCTTGGTGAAAATGTCAATAGACAGTTATCACTGTGTTGAGTCATGAAGTCGATCTGAAGTGGGATAAGCTAAGCTCTATGCCAGAATGCACCATTTTTGTATATGTATACTATTGTGTAGGAGGCAAGAGGAATATAAAAATCTACAAACTTGGTGAGGTATTGAGGAAAGTTGGCTGACTCCTTAATGCTTTTCAATGTCCAATTTATGGCTGAGAAAGCAACATTCATGGGAACCATTCAAAGCACCAGATTCTGTTTATTAGTGACTCAGCATTAATGCCCATGACTAAGGCACAAGTGTTCCAAATTCCAGTTTACCTTTTAACCCATTTTGTACGACTAGACCTCATGAACAGTTGTGGCTATTTTTTAACTGGCAAGATTGTATTTGATTATGCCTAAAGACCAATTGTTGTTTTATTAGGATTAAAGGAGCCTGCATTTCTTTATGAATATTTCTGCCGCTATTCTGATGCAATAGAATATGGCACCACAACACGACTTTCCAGCTTGCCATAAATATGAAAACTTAAAAATTGCATGAATTGCTGCATTCTTCTTAGTTTGTCCGGTCTCTTCTTCAGTTCTTAAAACAAGAAATGACTTTCTTTCAATTCTCTCTTCTTGGCTCACTCCGTTCCCCTGGTAACATTAATTTATTGATTTTCAAAATATAAATCCATGTGCATTTCTGACTCACTTAACATTAATTCTTCTGCTCTTCTTTTCCATTCAGTTCTTCTTTGGACCATTCCATTAAATCTGGAAAATGTTCTGTTGGTCTTAGCAGACACCTTCTTATTATGAGGTCCCAGCTTCTAGTTCTGTCTCCTCAAACATCCAACTCCATTTCGTAGCTGCATCAATTTAACGGCTTTCTGAAACTCTATGTTAAATAGCCCTTCTGGGAAGAAAAAGCATATAGGTTACGTTGTAATTCTAAAAATAACGAGCATTATAATTTTACGTAGTTTTTACTGCAATGCCTTATGTAGCATTTAAGATCACTAATTGGAACTAATTTTCATTTCTTCCCATCTTCTCTAATTCATCACAAAAGATAACACTGGAGTGATTACCTTACTCACTTACTGGATTCCAATAATGGACTTATTATGATGTTGGAAGGCATAGCTTTTGATGATTCATAAATATACCTCAAGATTATAACTATTGACAAAATGAGATCTATGTAATTAATGACCTATTTAGGCCATACATTTCCTTACTTATTTTCAAATCTTTGGGAAGCGTTCATTTTAGTGACTTCTAATTCCTGGTCAGTTCTTTGGAAGGTTCGACCTGGAAGGGACCTGAAGAGTCATCTAGTTTTAGCTCTCTGATTTACTGATAAGGGCCTCAGGGGAAACATTATGTGTATGTTTTAAAGTCATCTAGTGACTGGTAGCAGAGGCCATAGTGGGTCGCAATTTCATCTACACATTAGAGTCACCTGAAAAGCTTTTTAAAATGCTCATGTCTGAGCTTACTGCAGAGAACTTGATTTAATTGTCCTGGGGTTGTCCTGTCCATTGAGATTTTTTAAAACCTTGTTGTATAATTCTAATGGACAATTCTAATTGGGGTAGCAGTCTAGTGGTTTAAAACTCAGGATTAGAAGGCAGAAAGAGTTAGCTTACTTATCCTATCTAAGCTTCATTTTTACTCATCTTTAAGATGGGGTAATATGATATTTTCCTTACAGCTTTGTACTGACAGTTGAATGAGTGAACACAGCTGGAAAGCTGATCACAGGGACTAGCAGCTTGGCTGAGTCGCCTGACTCCTAGGATAGTGTACTTCTGTGTGGCTTCTGCAATTATTTGCGATCCTTTCCTTTCTGACCTGATGGTCATCTGCTTGCTTCTCTCCATTCCTTGGCTTTATTTCTTGTGTTTTTAGAGCTATGGAGCCAAAACTGTGACAGGACTGTCCACTTTTGCACAGTGAAAGCCCACGTTTATTTTCTAAAGATTCTGATCATAATTTTGTGCTCAGAGTTACTTTCTCCAGCTTCCAACACCCTGAGATAGCCTTGCATGTTTTTGCATGACTAATTTCATGTCTGGTGGTGATACATTGGAAATTTTCTTGCATGACCCTCTGCTCTCATTCTTGGATTAGAGTAGAGAAGGTGCTTGTGCTGCATGTTCTTTTCACCCTGAAACACTCTCCACTGTCCTCCTTTGTACTGTTGCTGGTTTAGTTGTCTTTCTCACTCCAGTATGTGCTGCTGCAGGACAGGGCTAATGTAAATTCTACTCACCATGATATTCTTGAAGACTACTAAAGTGTCTATCACATAGGTGCCAGGCATTCAAAAATTGAAAAATATGGAAAGAAGTTGTAGGATGCTAAGAATAATGATTGCATCGTTTTCTAGGAATCTTAGCTGAAGAAAATATGAATGGAATATCTTGCTGGTTGCCTTCAGACTCACAGAAAAGTCCCTATTATTATGAAAATGTTTGACTGATATGCTTCACAGAGACTAGCAAACTGGTGTGCATGAGACATACAGAATGACACAGACTTCAATTTATTTTTTTTTTCTGTTACAAAATTGCTGGTTCTAGTCTGAGTCACTAAGTCTCCAGTCTTTACCTTTCTTTGAGCATTTCTAAGAGCATTTCTAAGCAGTAGACAGAAAGTTCTGCTATGCTGAAAGTACTAGGTTTCACACTTGGTCCAATAGCTAGGGAGGCCTTGATGAGATAAAGGGTTGTTACTCTTAGTTTTCTATACTGAATAAAGTCTAAGTGCTATGGAGTTAAGTCATGCAACTTTTAAAATAATTTTTTAAAATTGTAAATTGCCAATGTATAATTGTATAAATTTATGAAATAAAAGTGGTTATGATTTATGGATACAATGTAAAATATAATTAATCAAATGAATTAACATATTCATCACCTCAAATACTTAATACTTTTAGTGGGGAGAACATTTGAAATTTATTCTCTTAGCAATTTTTAAGTGTGTAATACTCTATTATTAGCATAGAACTGAAAAAAAAATCTATTATCTTTCCTGCCTGAGATTTTGTGCCCTTTGACCCCCATCCTTGGCCTCTGTAACCCCCATTGTATTTTCTGCTTGTGATGTGGATTGTTTTAGATTCCACATATAAGTGAGAACATGTCTCTTTGTCTTTCTGTGCCTGGCTTATTTCACTTAGGATAATGTTCTCCAGTTCCATCCATGTTGCTGTGAATGACAGAATTTTCCTTTTTTAAGGTTGAATAGTACACATTTTCTTGATCCATTCCTTCATTGATAAACACTTAGGTTGATTCCATAGTTTGGCCATTGTGATTAGTGCTGCAATGAACATGAGAATGCAGATGTCTCTTCAACAAACTGATTTGAAATCTTTTGAATAAATACCCAGAAGCGGAATTGCTGGATCACATGATAATTCCATTTTCAGTTTCTTGAGGAATGCCCATTCAGTTTTCCATAATAGCTGTGCTAATTTACATTCCCACCAACAGTGTACAACAATTCCCTTTTCTGCACATCTTTGCCAACATTTGTTATCTTTCATCAACTGATATATAAAAAGATGTTCAACATTGCTAATCATTAGTGAAATGCAAATTAAAACCACAAAGAGATATAATTTCACACCTGTCAGAATAGTGTTTATCAAGAAGTTACGCAACTTTTAAAAGGCTTTTGGAGTTAATCTTTTGTTTCTGGAGAAATACTTTTGTCGTTTACCAGTCTCAAATTTTAATTTATACCTGGCAAATGAACAAATGACGTTTTGTTTAACTCTATTAAAACCTTGAGAAGGAAATTGCAATATGATGAATTTTAAAATAAAATAGACCCAGGAGAAAAATTCCAAAGGAGTAAAAATCTTTCAATTAATGACAAGGGAAATTATTTCAGCAATAATCCCATTGGGATTAAAAGAAGAGTTGTTAGATGTTAGGATGTTGTCATCTTAGCATGCCTTGTAGTATTAAATTCTTTGTGGTATATAATCTCATTAAAGTAGAGCTGGAAACCTCTACCTGTTTACCTTTTCTATTTTCAAATGTACTTGTGCTTATTTATCAGTTTAATAGTACTATTTAGGCTAGTGAGGGTGAACTAAGAATAAATTTATTTTCCAATGCTTGGTGTGTAATAAAAATTTGCTTTTGCCCTAGTGAAAAATTGGAGTGAAGAATGTGCTTAGCTTTGTCTGCAAACCTTTTTCCTATGAAAATATTTATCCAATAGAAGCTAGAGGACAGGTGGAGCTTTGAGTTCTATTCGTGCTCTGCCGGGATTTCATTAGATTTAGACTTAACTTTCATTTCCCTTGACTGATTTTAAGATGTATAAAATTGCTCTGAAGACATTCAATGACAGCCAGCCTCCTTAAAAGATGTGTTTAAAAGTGGAAGACTTACACAGTTGCAGGACATAAGAAAACAGAAAAAAAAAAGGGAAGACCATGATACTCAACAACTTAGTGAACCCAAGAAGCATTTTATGGTATGTACTCCTTGAGAGAGGTTAGGTTATGCTGCAAACATACAACCCTCAGATATTGTTCACTTAAAACTGAAATGGTTTCTTGCTTTCCACAGATAGTTCACTGTGCTCTCTGTCCTTACATCATTGTTTTCCGTCCTTGCTGATTCAGCCATGATCCAGAATGCTGCTGCTTAGTATGGGAGAGGCAAAAGCGCATGTGGCAAGGCGCACCATGATCTCTTCAAGCTTCTGCTTGAAAATGACACTTAACATCCATTTCTTAGCCCAAAAAAATAATACGGTCACACGTGAATTCATCAGGATGAGGCAGTACCATCCTAAAGTAATGGAAAACGTATGAAAATTAATATTTGTGAACAGGCTGAGACCTCAGGTACCCATAAAAGTCTTATTCATTATCAATTCCAAATCAATTCTCAAATGTAATTATTAGCCCTTACTCTGTGCTCACCTAGAGGGCCTTGATTTATAAAAAGTGTATATAAGGCTTAGTTGTTCAACCAACATGTCTGCCTGAGACCTGTACAGGAGATGGTACTTTGCTGGACCCTGACTCTAAGGCAATGGTACCCCTATCTATGGTGCATCTGCAGACAGACTAGCGCTGCCGACAAGAGGACCCAGGCAAGAATGAGCTAGTAGAATTTGTGGATGGATATCTTTTGTTTTTAAATTTTACTTTAAGTTCTGGGATACACGTGCAGAACATACAGGTTTGTTACATGGGCATATGTGTGCCATGGTGGTTTGCTGCACTTATCAACCCGTCATCTAGGTTTTAAGCCCCACATGCATTAGGTATTTGTACTAAAGCTCCCCCTCCCCTTGCCCCTCAACCCCTGACAGGCCCCGGTGTGTGATGTTCCCATCTCTGTGTCCATGTATTCTCACTGGTCAGCTCCCACTTATGAGTGAGAACATGTGGTGTATGATTTTCTGTTCCTGTGTTAGTTCGCTGAGAACGATGGTTTCCAGCTTAATCCATGTCCCTGCAAAGGACATGAACCCATTCTTTTTTACAGCTGCATAGTATTCTATGGTGTGTATGTGCCACATTTTCTTTATCCAGTCTATCATTGATGGGCATTTGGGTTGGTTCCAAGTCTTTGGTATTGTAAATAGTGCTCTGATAAATATATGTGTGCATGTGTCTTTATGGTAGAATGATTTATAATCCTTTGGGTATATACCCAGTAATGGGATTGCTGGGTCAAAGGGTATTTCTGGTTCTAGATCCTTAAGGAATTGCCGCAGTGTCTTTCACAATGGTGGAACTAATTTACACTCCCACCAACAGCGTAAAAGTGTTCCTATTTCTTGTGGATGGATATCTTAAGCCAGCCTTAGCAGTGATGTGGGGATTATAGAAGAGGTGAATTTCAATAGGTGGAAGACAATTGGACATTTTCTAAGTAAAAACTCAAGGTAACTGGATGCAATTTCTTTTCTTTCTGTCTCTCTCTCTTTTATTTTTATTTTTATTTTTTTGGGATGGAGTCTCTCTCTGTTGCCCAGGCTGCAGTGCAGTCGTGGGATCTCCACTCACTGCAAACTACACCTCCCAGGTTCATGCCATTCTCCTGCCTCAGCCTCCCCAGTAGCTGGGACTACAGGTGCCTGCCCCCACGCCCGGTTAATTTTTGGTATTTTTAGTAGAGACGGGGTTTCATCGTGTTAGCCAGGATGGTCTCGATCTCCTGACCACATGATCCACCTGCCTCGGCCTCCCAAAGTGCTGGGATTACAGGCGTGAGCCACTGCACCCGGCCTCTTTTCTCTTCTCTTTTCCTCTCTTTCTTTTTGTTTTCTTTTTTTTTCTTTTCCCTTCCTTCCTTCCTTCCTTCCTTCCTTCCTTCCTTCCTTTCTTTCTCTTCCTTCCTTCCTTCCCTTTCTTTCTTTTCTTTCTTTCTTTCTTTCTTTCTTTCTTTCTTTCTTTCTTTCTTTCTTTCTTTCTTTCTTTCTTTCTTTCTCTTCCTTCCTTTTAATTTCTTTCTTTCTCTTTCTTCCTCTCTCTCTCTCTCCCTCTCTCTCTCTCTCTCCCCCCCCCACCCTTCCCTTTCTTTCCTTTCTTTTGACAAGCAGTCTCACCCTGTCACCCAGGCTGGAGTGCAGTGGTAAAATCATAGCGTACTGCAGCCTCAAACTCCTGGGCTCCAGTGATCTACCCACCTCAGCTTCCTGAGTAACTGTAACTTGATGTGCGTGTCACCATACCTAGCTAACTAAAATATGTCGTGTTTTTTTTTTTTTTTTCATAGAGACAGGGCCTCACTCTGTTGTCCAGGCTGGTCTTAAACTGCTGGCCTCAAGCAATCCTCCCAACTTGGCTTCCCAAAGTGCTGAGATTACAAGCGTGAGCCACTACGCCTTGCCTGGATGCAATTTCTAATTATGAAAATCAAAAAAATCTCTTAGGGTCACAAAAAGAAAAGTCAGATTTATTGAAATACTGTGTTAAGTTAGAGTTTACTATTTCTCTTAAAAATTTACATTTCTCCTCCCCATTCACCTCTTCTCATGCCATTGTACATCCTTCCTTGCACTTTCCAGGAAGCATTTAAAGTTTTTCAGCAGTCTGCAACCAGTAATCCTGTTTCTATTTATAGGATTTTAAATCCTGGCTTCAAAGGTACTCAGGCAGTAGACTGAGAAGATTGTGGGAGTGTGGAGGATTAGCCTTAGGCAGCTGTATGACAAAGCAGTCTATTCACTCCAGATAAGAGTGAAGGAGGTTGAGACTTATAATTCATTTCACTTACATCTGTCTTCTAGACCCCTCCTTAAACAAAAGGGGGAGAAAATTGTTCATTCCCGCTTTCTGCGTTTTAACAATCTCTTTTATTTCTGCTCTTGGGAGGTGGAGAAAGCCACTACTGAATGCTGTTATCCTGAAGTGAGGCTGAATTTTGCCCACTCCAAGCAACTGCACTGCTAGGACTTTATGTTGCATCATAACCCAGCCACACCCAGTGATGCATCGGTGATTGCACCCACACCCAGTGGGTGGGAGAATGACTTCCACATCCTTTAGCACCTTGGGAAAAGTCCTCAATTTCTTTAAACCACAGAGTGGAATGACTCACAGGAGACATTTCCATATCAGCAGCCTTCCAAGACCTAACCATAGCTCTCTGACTTTCTGCATTTGGTGTCAAAATGCAAGTCCCTGTGCTTTGATTGATTGAAATGCAAACCCTAGCTTGGGTGCTGGATTAGCTGTATATCTGATTTAAATTCGCACTAATCCTCTCCTGGGATTTCTTCTTTTCCTGGGCACTAATTTGGTAAGGATGACAAGTGGGCTTAATTATTTCCTGTCTAAGGAGACTCTAGGATATGTACCTGTATTAAGTAAAAGAGAATGGCTTTGTATTTAACCTCTTTAAAGGAGCAAATGAATGCGTAATGTCAACATTTTTGACACCAAAATTTCATCTGAGGAATAGAATAGAATATAACACATTTTCATGGCTTCACGTAGTGATGGCATAAATTAAGCTGACTAGTAACCTAAGTCTAAAATGAAGGTAATTATGAAAATGGCCTGTGCTCTCAGTTACTCAGGAGGCATAGGTGGGAGGACTGCCTGAGCCCAGGAAGTCAAGGCTGCAGTGAGCTGGGAAGGCACCAGCACACTCTAGCCTGGGCAACAGCGTGAGACCCTGTTTCAAAAATATATATATTATAATTTATACATGATATAATAATATATATAATATATAAAAATATATAATTATTATATAATAATATATGTAATATATAAAAATATATAATTATTATATAATATATATTACAATTATATATAATAAACAGTTTAGCCGTTTGTCTTTAAATATATATTATATATAAAATATATATTATATGTTATATATGTTGTATATAATATATAAAATATACATTATATATTATATATGTTGTATATAATATATAAAAACTATATAAATATATAATATATAGTATATATTATATATAAAATATTAAACTGTTTAGCCATTTGTCTTTATATATAAATATATTATATATAACATATATTATATTATATATCATATATGTTATATATGATATATATCATATATATGATATATGATAGATGATAGATTATATATTATATATGATATATAATAAATATTATATATCATATATAATATATATAATATTAATATATAATATAAATATATAATATTAATATATAATATAAATATATATTTATAATATATATTTATATTATATACAATTATATAAATATATAATTGTATATAATTATTTATATAATATGTAATATAATCTTATATATATAATTATATATTATATATGCATGTTATATATAATACATAACATATATAATATGTATATATAATATATATTTATATTATATATAATATAAATATAAATTTTATATATAATATGTATATAATATATGTATATAATATTTAATACATATAATATTAAACAGTTTAGCCATTTGTCTTTTTATATATATAATTTATATATTTATAGAAATTATATATATATAATTTACATATTTATGTAAATTATATATATAATTTACATGTTTATGTAAATTATATATATAATTTACATGTTTATGTAAATTATATATATAATTTACATGTTTATGTAAATTATATATAATTTACATGTTTATGTAAATTATATATATAATATACATATTTATATAAATTATATATATACTTCATATATATAAATTAGATATATATAATTCATATATATAAATTAGATATATATAATTCATATATTTATATAAATTAGATATATCTAATTTATATATATTTATAAATTATGTATATAATTTATATAATTATATTAAATATATATATAATTTATATATATTTATGTATATTAAATATATATATAATTATATATATTTGTATATAAATATATATAAAAATTATATATAAATATATATAATTTATATATTAATTTGTATATATATAATTATATATATAAAATATATAATTTGTATATATTATTTTATATATTTATATATATTATATAATTTATATATATTATATTATTATATATATTGTTATATATAATATAATTTAAATAATATATATTATATATATAAATTATATATAGAAATGATATATATAAATTATATATAGAAATATATATATAATTTATATATTATATATAAATTATATGTAATATATATGTATACATTTATATATAATATATAATTTATATATAAAGATATACATTTACATATAATATATATAATTTATATATATAAATATATACATTAATATATATAATTTATATATATAAATATATACATTTATATATATAATATATATAATTTATATATATTATATATAAAGACAAATGGCTAAACTGTTTAATATTATATAAGATATATATTATATATATAAAATATATATCTTATATATTATATGTATTATATATAAAATATATATTATATAGTATGTATTTTATATATTATATATAATATATATAATATATTATATAATATATATTATATATAATATATTGTATATTTTATAAGATATATTATATATAAAGTACATAATATATTATATATAAAGTATATAATATATAAAATATATATTATAGGTATAATATATATTATATAAAATATATATTATAGGTAAAATATATAATATATAAACTATATATTTTAGGTAAAATATATATTATATATAAAATATGTGTTATATATAAAATATATATTATATATAAAAATATTTAATATATATATTTATATAAAGACAAATGGCTAAACTGTTTAATATGGCCAGCATGGTCTTGTAGAGGATGAGCTATTTACAATTGAGTGAACCCTTAAGCTTAAGTACTCTAAAACCCTATATATTAATCTATCATAGTAGTTTTCACAGTATTATAAAGGTATATTTAGTTGTTCTCTCTTACCAGATTGTAAGCTAATGAAAGTGTGCATTTGTTATTATTACTATTATTTTATAGTCTAATTATATCACTGTGTTGTATTTAATAGACATTCGAACAGGGAATTACTCCTCCCAAGAATATTCTTCCAAGGTAAGAACCAGAGTCTTGTATATGCCCTTAGTCTTTGAAGTTTCTGGTTTATATCTTACATGTACATGCATAATTGAAAGACAATTTATCTGAAACTCATTCCTTAGATTATTACTAAAGTTTGTAGATCAAGATTGTAAAGTCCTTCTCAGATAACTTTTTGTTTCAGAAGTGAATCCTGGTCTAGTCTACTTTGAAGGTAAAACCTTATATAAAAATATGATCATACTAAAAACCTAGACAAATTTTTAGTATGATGAAATATTTCTAATCTCCAACAGATGGCCTGCTTATTTGAAGTGTTATTTGGTAATAACAATAGCTAACGTTTACTGAGTGCTTACTATTCCACATTTTAACTTATTTAACCCTCAAAACAACCCTATTGTGTAGATACTGCAGTTTCCCTCCTTTACAGATGGGAAAACTGAAGCAAGGAGAGATTGGCCATGGTCTCACAGCTGGTAATGGGTAGGTCAGGGATTAAAATCTAGCAGTCTGAATTCTGCTACACTTACAGTGTAGTCCCTCTTAACTTTTACATTATTACAGAACAATAGAAAAAATAACACTCCACACAGATCATTGGAGCTCATTAATATCATCATCTTTGATTTCACCCAGTAACATTTTAATTTAGATTTTTGAAGGTTAAGGCACTGAAATATTAGTTTGGGGCCTAAAGTAAGAACACAGATAAAGACATTTATATTATATTTTTATTTCTCTGAAGTAAAGCTCTTAGTAATTGGTGAAATTAGGTATGTTTTGGGGGTTAGAGAACTCTTGAAAATAATTTCATTGTGAGTATCTCTGCTGAATATCAAAATAGTAAGGAAAGTCCTGACATAAAATAGAGAAGTTTGAAGTTGATGATCTATGTTTCATAAGGACCGCTTGGTTTGTGCCTTGGCTTAGCTAGGAACTTCAATGCAAGGTTTTCAAATGTGTTGGGCACATTTTACATATGAGAATAATTGAGTTTTGGATTAACTGTGGTTTAAAATGTATAATCACATAGTTTCTATAATTTTTTAAAAAGTTAACAATTTACAAAGATCAAAATGTTGTAGCCAAAAAACTAATTCCTCAGGAATGCTGGAAAGAAATCTGCAAAGATTAGAGTGTTATGTTCAGGGTAAGGTGCTTTCAGTGCAGGGATAGGTTAGGCTGCTGTGAATTTCCAGAGTGTCCACTGGAGAATGGGGCTGAGATGCAGAAGATCACTGCAAAGAGCAGATATAGGTTCAGATTTTGTGAAGTCTGAAGCTTTTATTAATAGGAGAGGGACATCATTAAAAACAAAATATAAATTTTAAGTGCAAATGACAAGAGTAGTTCCTAAGGCCTTGGACAGGGCATATATGAGGGGAATGGATGCTCTTGAATCTTAAGGTAAATTCACCCCCTGCAGATTTAGAGCTTGGAAATGGATCATCATGGAGGATGAGAAAATCATCTATCATTGTTCCAGTCCTTGAAGTAGAAAGGAAGCCTCTAAACTATGTGTCAAAGCCCTCATTGAATGGCAGTGGCGGGGGTGGGGTGGGGTGGTGAATAAATGGTAGCTTTCTACGTGGAAAGAACAAGGAAGGGAAAGAGGACAATCATAGTAATGTCTATCATGTGTAGAGCATGTGTCAGGCATGATACTAAGCACTTTATTTATGTATTTATTCTTCCTAGCAGGCAATGAGCACTTTTATTTTACAGGTTAGAAAAAAACCACAGAGAAGAGATTTAGTTACTTGTCCATGACTACACAGCTAGGAAAAGGCTGGAGCATGGCTTCAAACCATAGCCTCTGGGGCCTGAGTCCACATCCTTAACAATCACACTCGCCAACCATAATATAAATTGAGCAGACAAGCCTAGGGGAAAGAGAATATTGACCAGGAAGGTAGGGGACTAAACTTCTGTAAATTGCAGTGGAAAGTGAGAGGACAATTACCTTAAAATATTTTAGAGGAACAGGATGAGGAGTCTCCTTAGTCAGCTCCCCTGTTTTCACACCACTTCACAGCACAGATTGGAAATTATTTATTTATTTGTTTCAGCATTGCATATTGTTTCAGCACTGCATAGACAACATTGCTCCTTTACTTGCTTTGCTTTGGTGAGAGAGAAGCTGGAGAGTCACCTTGGATATCCTTAGAGGAATTAACAATTCTCGAAGCACTGGAAAATCTTCCCATTTTACAAAGATAATGGTGCAGGCGGATGTAATCTTTCCTGAGATGTAAATATTGTGTCTGCAAGTAGTAGGACAGGCAGGCAGGTATATCATTGGAAAAGTGAATAATGATCTTATGCCTTCTGAGTTTGAGGGTCTGAGGCTTTCTGGAGGCAAAAAACTACACTGAACAAGCTGAATGATAGCTTTGTTCTTTTTCAGAAAGGGAGTATGATTTTAAAAAAAAATCTTGTTATATAAATCTTAAAAGGAAAACCTGCTGGGCCCTGATAGTGTGCAGATCACTGGGGGCAGAGAATAGGGTGCTGATTTAGGTCTTCAAGGTGAAGGTGCATAATCCATTAGTGTCAGGCTGGAAAATAGACCCCCAAAAGATATTCATGTCTCATCCTTGGAACCTGTGAATGTTAATTTATATGGGGGAAACAGGGGCTTCTTGAAGATGTGATTAAGAATCTTAAGATGGGGAGATTATCCTGGATCATCCAGATGGGTGTTAAATGCCATCACAGGTATCCTTCTAAGGGGGGGATCAGATGTAGAATACACACACACACACACTAGGAGAAGGTGATGTAAACAGAGGCAGATATTGGAGTGAAGCAGCCACAAGCCAAAGCTCTGGCAGCCATCAGAGCCTGGGAAAAGTGGGGAACGGAGTCTTCCTTAGAACCTCTGGAAGGAGCACAAGCCCACCAACACCTTGACTTCAGCCCAGTGAAACTGATTTCAGATTTCTGGCCTCCAGGACTGTGAGAGAATATATTTCTGTTGTTTTAAAACACCAAATTTATGGTAATGTGTTACAGCAGCCACAGAAAACAAATACACCATTTCTGTCAAAGAGACAGCCTTGGAGGGAGAGGAGTCATTCTCCTGAAGTTTTCATGGTGGCCTGTTTAGGGTCCTGTATCTGCAGAGACTTGCCTTATCTGTCAGATTATTAGGACTTGTCAATAGTCTTCTCTGTCCAGTTTATAAGGCTATGTGTCCGTAACTGTACTGTGTGGCAAAGAAAGGCGAACACAAGTGAATCAACCCAACCCCATGCTCTGACTGCTTAGACAATCCCATCTTAACTGTCATTGTGTGATCTTGGGAGTTAATCTTTTTAAGCTTCCCTACTTCATAGAACTGGTAAGTGAGGAGAGATATAGAGCAGCCAGTTTGGCCCCAGCATCTATGCATGTTCCTTCTATCCTATGCTGACTTTCTAGTGAGCTGCCCGTTAATATGACAGGTGAAGGCTTAGGTTGGTGAATTAAGAAATGAAAGTTATATGACCTATTTACAAGCCAAGTTTGTGAAGACATTCATAAATGTTCCATCTGTAATTCTAATTTTGAATCAAGAGGCAAAAGCCATTTCCTCGAAAAGATTATTTATGTGTGCAGGGCTGAATGAAGCTAGCAATTTTTTGCTTAGTGTCCTTCTTCTGTTTTTTGTTTTCCATTACAAATGAATGTTTAGAGACACTCTGTTTTCCTTCTTAAATTTCTCTGTGAGTTAGTCAAAGAAGAGTGTGTTAGAAGAGCTCCCTTCACTAGCAATCAACATCAATTGTGACTCCAAATAGTACTTTAAATCCTACTTGTTCTACCTGCCACTCAACCAAAGATTGTTTCTAGAGGTCACATGCCTCCACTTAATTACTTCCGTTCCTATTCATGCTACAGAATAGGAACTTACTGATCTGTCTGGTGGGCATTTTAGTTTGTATAAATTGAGATTCGAGAGTTCATTTGGATAAAATAAGATGCTGGCTAAAGTTCAAAGCAAACATTTGCTGATGCTTAAAACCACCTTGAGACCAAAAAAGTTTACACTCCCTGGTTTCTCTAGGGAGTAGGGTTTGAGAAAACCACAGACAGTAGTTATTCTTGGAAATCCTGCTACCAGGCAAATGCCATAGGGCAAGGGCCCAGAGAAGCTGAGCTTCTCTCCCATGGCTAAAGGCAGAGCTTATCCTGACTGGAATTGCTTGGTCAGGGTTTAGAATCCTTCCTGCTGATGGAGAGAGAGGAGGAAGCTGAGCAAAAAGAAAGATGACTAGACTGGCTCTTGGAATTATATCCTAGAATAGCTGCCCAGTTTAGGTCTTCTCCTGATACTACTGACTTCCTGGAAGCCCTCTTTACACATAGTCTCTGGTTATTCCTTTTTTTTTTTTTGAGATGAAGTCTCACCCTCTCACCCAGGCTGGAGTGCAGTGACATGATCTCGGCTCACTGCAACCTCCAGAAAACTCCGTCTTCTGGGTTCAAGCAATTATCTTGCCTCAGCCTCCCATGTAACTGGGATTACAGATGTGCACTACTGTGCCCAGCTAATTTTTGTATTTTTAGGAGAGACAGGGTTTCATCATGTTGGCCAGGCTTGTCTTGAACTCCTGACCTCAAGTGATCCACCTGCCTCGGTCTCTCAGTGTTGGGATTACAGGCGTGAGCCACTACACCTGGCTGATCCATGGTTATTCTTCTTGTGTACCCCTTTCTACCAGGA
This sequence comes from Homo sapiens, assembly GCF_000001405.40. Taxonomy (NCBI): domain Eukaryota; kingdom Metazoa; phylum Chordata; class Mammalia; order Primates; family Hominidae; genus Homo; species Homo sapiens. The sequence continues at coordinate 90,099,176 of NC_000012.12, forward strand.
TATATAAAGACAGTTGAAGAATGTATCTGCCCCGAAGTTTCTACTTAAAATAGGCTTTGGTGGTTTGGGATTAAAGACAATTTGTATCTCAGTTCACTTAGGATCTGGGATAAAAATTGAAGTGTTATAACTACCTGATAATATTGAGAATATTAAAGAAGTATAGTGTGATTCTTAATAAGTACCTTGACACCTTTCCTTCAGAGCTCAGGGTGATTCAGTGGCCATTTTTCTTTGTGTTTTCTTTCCTGTCTCAGTCTGATATTACAGAGCAAGTTTATGTTCTGATTAGGAAAAACTGCAGTTCACTAAGATGCTATATTTGCTATTCAGTGAGTCATACTAAAAAGCCTCATGTTCTTAAATGACATAAGGAAATGGAATCAGGAGAAAAATCATGATCACAAAATGCACCATTCCAAAAATCTAGAGTGGGACAGAAAGATCAAGCATCTAAATGCAAACCTCCTTTGAACCGGAACTGCTATAACCAGGGCAGCAGATTGCTTGAGAATGGACATTGATTTTCCCAGGCAGAGGGTAAAGTTGTAAACAGTGGATTGTCTACTATTGAAAAACTCTTTCAACATGTTCGGTGCAGATCGGCTATCCTTTAATATTCAATGTACAGCACCATATCCACACACACTATAAATGTACATGAGCGTCAGTCATTTATCTCTGAATTTTCATGTTCCAACTCCAATACCTAATGTTTTAGAGATGCTTGGATGATTACATCATAAGGTCCTCACTCAATATATATTTTCACCTTTTTTTTCTTTTAATATACTTGATTTGTTTGGAATCTCCTTTCGGTTTTTTTTTTTTTTTCCAATGTGGGCAAGTTTTTCAATAGGCTTTGGAATGGGGCTGCAGTGAATGGGAAATGGTTAAACTGTGGTTACATGCTAAGTGACTGGCTTAGGGAATGAAAAAGAGAAAAGGGAGTCACCGATGGAGCCATCAGTCAGCCAACAAAGGTAGGAGCATAGCAGTGGGGAATAAAAACAGATCCAGAGAAACAGAAAAAATAATAAGTTAAAAGCCAATCTGAGTGGCACCTAATAAGAAAAGGAGGCTCATCTATGCATCTCAAGGCAACAATCCAAATAGGGAAGAGCCCAGAAATAGTTGATTGGATTTATTTTAAATAGTAAGGAAATAAGGAAATAGTAATAATAGAATAGGCAAATGTGGGCAAAATAATGAGATAATATACATATTGGTGTGCTGCTGGTGGATATTGTTGAATATTTAATACTATGTGAGCTTTTTGGGGCATGATAGTAAAGGCATGCGGTTATTGCAGCCAATTGGAAGCAAAAACTATCATAAGAGAGTAATGATTGTTGTTGATAGGTTTCTTTTTAAGTAGAGATACTATGATCAGGTTTATGAAGTGAGAGAAGACATCTGTGCTGACTGTACCAGAGTCTCATGACTTTGTATGGTTTGCTGGGGGAAATGGAAAACAACAGCAACAACAAAAACCTAACTTCACTAGCTCCTTGCTCTCTATTGCAGGAAATCCCTGAAAAACCAGATGGCAGAAGTTACTCAGAAGAAATGAAAGGATTTTCCATTATTCAAATAGGAGGTGGAAGAGGAAGTGTGGGAGTAATTACTGGATTAAGATCACTGAAAGACAAGATTGTCTTTAAGGGTGAGTCCTTTGGTTGGTAAACTTCATATAGGAAAAATTCTCAAGTGGTTGCCAAGAGCTAACCTTCAAGATGAAGTACACAAACCTGCTGACAGGCAAATATGACTCTCAGGTTCATTTCAAACTGCCCATACTTATTAAAGCTCTTCATTGCTCTAGGTCAGGGAAAAGTTACATAGGGTCCCTGAATATACTTCATATTTCATTTCTAAATCTGAGTTCTGATGGGGTATGTGTGTATATGTGTGTGTGTGTGTGTGTGTGTGTGTGTGTGTGTGTGTGTGTGTAGAGAGAGTAGGAATTCTGAGACCTGATAGTGTTGACTCTGGAGTTTGATAGGGATAATACAAAGAGAGAGGCATATAAGGAGGAACATAAAAAAAAATTGAAGACTAAGGACACACCCCTAGCTAGGAATACACATGACCCTTTTGCCACCCAAACCGTACCATTGCCATTTGAATCACTACTTAACTAAATGGTAGAAAGCAATTACAGTAAGTGCTCAACTTAATCACTTTGCATCCATACAGAGACCCCTGGGGCTTCTCATAAATTTCATCACACAAAGTGTCCACAATTCTCTGCCTTGCAGAAATATGTTTCTTACAAGGATTTGTAGGTGGCTTTCCTACTAAATTTCTGGACTGTTAAACTCATTGTTCTATATTTCTGCTGTCTGCTGTTAAAAGGAGAGGCCAGCTCAGGTTTTGCATACTGTAGGAAGTTTGTTTTATCCATTTGGGAAATCAAGATCACATCTTTATGGGACTAGAAATTGTGGAGAACTCATTCCCTCCAACACCAACCCCTAGTGATCTCATTCTAGTGAGTAAAACCTCAGGTCAGTTGATTGTAAATGGATTTTTTTTTAAAAAGCTTAATTCAGGCTTTTATTGCTCTTGTGTTCAGTGGATTCATCTTGTGACTGGCTCCAGATTGTGCCCTTCTCCCATCCCACACCAAGCTGATTTGCAAATTCACACAATTGTTCCCAAGGAGAGAAAATTGATGACTCAGTATAAACCCATCACTACTCCTAGAAAATATAATTCATGAATGCATTCCTTATTCAAAAACATTTAGTAGCATTTCATAGGGAGGAGATCAGCATATTATCAGAGAAAAGATTCATGCCACATTTTGTTTAAAAATCTGTTTCATTACTTCACAGTCACACTTCAGTAGGCCATGCTATAATAGTTTCTTCTTGGCCTTTGAAATGCTTCCTTTGCTTCTTCTGCTTTATAGAGACTCAAAATGAATTATTCAGATACCTGTGAGCATTAAGAAAAAATGGCCTAATTTCTGAATAATGCCAGTATTACCTTCTTAGTTAGATTGTGGGAAGAATATGTGTTCCTTCCCCTCCCAGAAACACCTTTCCTAACCTTCTTTCCCCCTAATACATCCATTTAAAACTTCTCAGCCTTAGATTTTAAACTGAGATATAATTTTATCTGAGAGGGTTTTTCATCTCTCCTTTACATACCCAAATACGGTGTAAGTTGATCTTTCATCCTATAGAATTCTGTGCTCCTCCTCACAAATCCCACTTACCAAATTGCATTGTTAATAACGTGGTTACTTATCTGCATCTTTGCTTTAAAATGTACTTGGGGAGAGTTCCCTTTTAACCTGCATCCCCCAATCTAATGCTTAAACATAACAGGTGATCTAAGGATATCTTGGACAAATAGCTACCATGGAGAAATTCATGCCAGATACCATTCTAAATGTTTTACGTATTTAACTCACTTAAACTTTACAGTAACCACATAAGGTATGTACCATTAACATTCCCAATTTCAAATTGGAAAAATTAAGGCACAGTGAGCTTTCATAATATGTTGAAAGTCTTGTAGCTAGTAAATGGTATAGCAGGGTCAGTTCCCAACAGGAAGAAGTGAAGGGTAGGCAAAGTGTAGTAGGTACGCACTATATATTCAATAGATCACACTATGGATTACCCACATTATCTAATAATCAAGGTTTGGAAGTATTGGAAGGCTTGTTTTTATGAAATGCTCATTAATGCATTCTACTTCATAAACTGAATGTTGGCAGTGGAATTTTATTCCATCAGCACATTTGCATATAAAGTTCTTTAAATTTACTTTTTTTTAAATGCAAAAAAAAAAAAAAAAAAAAAAAAAAGCAAATCAACCAAACCATTTCCTCCCTAGTTTCGGCTGCAATCAGCAGTCATAAATCCTTAAGTGTTAAGTTATGTTATTTTTGAGAACTGATGTGACATGTCCTAGATTTCAAATGTAGATGCTGCAGAGGACCACATGAGTTTTTGAATAAAAATTGGTATAAAGGACATAAACATTAAGGAAGCAGGTAGAAAGACACAGCTATCTGAATAGAGTCAGATCTGAACTACTGCCACCTAGTGATTCAAGTCAACCATCAGCCCCCACACACTCACAGATATACACTAATTAGAATAAGTGACTTTTGTTGTGGCTTCTTCCTCACTCCAAATATCCTGGTAGCAAACTCTTCCTGCAACATTTTAAGGCCCCCCTCACATGCTTTAAAAATTATAGTAAAAAAGGAGGACAGAATGGTAGGATTGGGAAAGACAAGGGTTAAATGACAGAAGAGACATCAATATAAGGCAGAAACACCAGAACAGTCGTGTAAATTAGACGAAGAAAAGTAAAGATCAAAAGTAGTGGAAATTAAACATTATTGGTAATAGAAGAAAATAGAAAAATTGATGCAAAGATAAGAGAAGACAGCATGAAGGAAAGGGGGCTTTCTGATTTGTTTGTTTTTAAGCAAGTAACAGAAGATGATAAAACAACCATATGTGGAATTGTGAAATCACCTAACATAAAAAGACAGAGGGATAGCTAACACCAACAGAGATAAAGAAAAATGATGAATGAAAGAAAGTGAATGAACTGAGAGCTTAATCTTGGAGGAGGGACTTCGAGTTTTTTGTTGTTTTTTAAGTAATAAAACCAGAGTGGCATATTCCTTGTTCAATTTAATATAATTGGAACTATCCAACGTCCTAGATGTACAACTCGTTTTCCTTGCCATTTTTTCCCCTCCTATATCTCCAGTACCAATAGTCCTTCTTGATTTTTTTTCTTCATTAACAAAGTTTTAATTACCTTTTGGCTCCCTTGAGATACTTTTGAACTTGCACCTGGAATCATGGAAATGGGCTGTATCCCAAACTGAAAATTTATTTAGGGAATTTTATTATTATGGCACTCTTTGCAATCAATCATATTGAGCAGCCACCCCTTAGCAATGTGCATTCAGGTGACTACTGATACTCAGGTATTGTTATAGTTTGCTGCAGGGTCACCTACATCAGCAGCAAATAATGACACCTAACATGTACTTCATTTCATGTTTTGGAAGCATTTTAATGTATGTGATATTTTATTTCCCAAAATATGGTGTTTGGAAGACAGGGCTGGTAGCATCAGCTCCTTTGATAGATGTGGCATTTGGGTTCTGAAATGTGTCTGAACTTTTCCAAGTACTCGGCTAGTGAGCTCTTTGTCATCTGACTGTAAGTTTGGCAAATATGCTTTCATTAGCAGTATTTCTATTCTCTTTGAGAGAAGGGAAACTACTTTTCTTTGTTCCAAAGTAATATCGGAGTTTGAAGCCAGTGTGCACAAAGCTGGGAAGGAGGTGTTACTACCTCTTTTTTTTTTTTTTTACGGGAATCTCTTTGGAGAGAGATTGCTTTGCTTCCTCCTGAGGGACCTCGTACATTTGAAGGGTTTCTGGCCAGGTTGGAAATGAATTTGAGAAGCCTTTACCTTGTAGGTTTTCCAACATCTTTCTACGACTTCTTCCATTTTCAGATTCTATTGTGCATTGCCATACTGAGAGTATTACTTCCTTTGGTGATATACATGAGTGCATATATATATTTGTAAAAAATCGATCATTTAAATCTGTTCAAATGCCTTATCTGTGCAGAGAACTGTCCAGAACCCTACAGGGTGTAGAACAATATGCAAAATACTGCTTCTTATTTCATGAAGTTATAAATTATATAGAGCATTAGAATTGCAGTTTGGATAGATATCCATTGATTTATATTTTCAATAAATAATTATCTGGTATCAGCTATGTATCAGGTCCTAGATGCTATGTGCTGGGGATACAAGGCAAATACCACCCTGTTCTTACAGAGCTTATTGCTTCGGGAAGGATGGCATGAACATTACTCTTGCTCCTACACTACAGCAGCTACTCATAATTGCTTATGGATAATTCCAGGTGTTTATTAGACTTAACTTTTTTTCTAGTTAGGATAAAAGTAGTCCTGTAGCAACCCCTTCAATTGGTGTACTTCTTTGCAACTTCTACATTTGAAATCTAGGACATTTACTTTTGGTTTTCAAAGAAGAGTATAGCTTGGCTTTTAACAATTTGTTTTCAGTCTGAACTGGAAAAAAATGACCCAGTTCATCAGATTTACCTAAAATGGGAGGAAACAGTGATATAAATTGGTGCAAAAATATCTATTTAGTTCAACTTGATTTTCATGGATTTAGTAGCTTTTAGAGCTATAAGATTTCATCCAGTGTTCAAGTTTTGTAGACCAGAACACTGTTGAATGGATGAAAGGTAAGGGGATAGGAGGCAAAGGGACAAATTAAGAGAACTTAGCAATACAGGCAAGAGTAGTTAATGATTCACCTTGGTTGGCAGCTGTGAAAATTGAGAAAGATGTAAGTAGAAATAAGAGAGATTATGGAGGTAAAATCTGCAGAAATTAATATTGATTGTGAGAAAGGAAGGAAACGGAGAACATGCAACTACTGTGAGAATTTTTTTAGCCTGGTACTGTTACCAGAACTATGGACCACAGAAAGAGAAGTTATTTGAAAGAAATTATAGCTAGACAGAAGCTGCAGTGCTGTGTGACCTGACAACTTAAAAATAATATAAATAAGTCAGCAGGATGCCCCAGATGAATCTAAGCAGGGATTGAAATTTTGTAGCCAAGGAAACCTATTCTCTGACCACCAGAGGTCCGTGGGTATGTGTTCGTGAGTATGTGGGCTTTGGGGGTTTTGGCTGAAGAGGGAAGGAAAGGCTGGTGAAAATGCACTTGGAGAGAATAAATAGAGGACAGGATGGAGTTTCTTCTTTGGTTTTGATGCTACGACTAAGTTGATCTTTAACAGAAAGAGGGCAAGCAAAACCCATCAATAAAAGAAAGCAAGAAGGAAGAGAGGGAGGGAAACCCTTCACTGCAATTGGAATATTCATTTAGTCCATGTGAAACTCACCCTGGGGACTCTCAGTAATATTTTTGTGTGTGGGAGGGGAGCTCTTTTGGGAGCTGAAGCTCTTTCATTAGTGAATGGAGACAGGAATCAGGAAATGTAAATTACTATTATTATTACAGTAGTCCCTCCTTATCCATGGGGGGTAGGTTCCAGGACTTCCAGTGGATGCCTGAAACCATGGATAGTACCAAACCATATATATATACTATATTTTTTCCTATACATACATACCTGTGATAAAGTTTAGTTTATACATTAGGCATAATAAGGCACAGTAAGAGATTAGGCATAGTAAGAGATTATAAATTAATAGTATAATAGAATTATAACAATATACTATAATAAAAGTTATGTGAATATGGAGTATCTCGCTCTCAAAATATCTTATTGTACTGTACTCATCCTTCTTGTGGTGATGTGAAATGATGAAATGTCTCCATGATGATACGAAGTGAAGTGAAGTGAATGACATAGGCATTGTGATGCAGCGTTAGGCTACTACAGTATTGACCTTCTGACCATACATCAGAAAGAGGATCATCTGCTTCTGGTGATCTTGGATTATCAAGCTATGACAATGTTGATGGTTGCATGTCAGGAGCAGATAATATTAATGACTAACAGGTAAGTGGCACAGACAGCATAGATATCCTGGGCAAAGGGTGATTCACATCCTGGGTGGAATGGAGTGGGTTAGCACAAGAGTTCATCACACTACTCAGAATGACAAGCAATTTAAGAATTATGAATTGCTTATTTCTGGAATTTTCTATTTAATATTTTTGTACCACAGTTGGCCATGGAATAATGAAACTGTAAATAGAAAAACTATAGAGAAGGCGGAAATTTCTGTATTATTAATGTGACTTTTTTAAACAATAGGGTGATGATTACTGGAGACATCTGAGCTTTGGATAAGAAACTTTGAGAGTTAAACTATTAAATCAGCACACAATGAATCATAATAAAGATATAAAAATGGGTTTCCTGATCCATAGGACTGGGATATAACTTGACATATCTAATTGGATAAAGAAAATGTGGTACATATAGATGATGGAATACTAAAAAGCCATAAAAAGGAACAAGATCATGTCCTTTGCAGCAACATGCATGGAGCTGGAGGCCATTGTCCTAAGCACATTATTATAGGAACACAAAACCAACTACAGTTTGTTCTCACTTATAAGTGGGAGCTACATATTGAGTACACATGAACACAAAGAAGAGAACAATAGACCCTGGGAAAGTAGAGGGTGGGAGGAAGATAGAGATCGAAAAACTACCTATCAGGTACTATGGTTATTACCTTGGTGGTGAAATAATCTGTACACCAAAACCCGGGGATGTGCAATTTACCCATGTAACAAAGCTGCATATATACCCCCTGAACCTAAAATAAAAGTTGGAAGGACAAAAAATTTTAAATAACAAAAATAAATCTGTTAATTAAAAAACATTGATTATCTATGGAAGCCCGGAGGGTGGAAATAATATCCTTCATTGATTGAGTGCTCACGAAATGCCAGGAACTATGCTAAATATTTTACATAATTATCTTATTAATCCTTACAACCGGTGTTGATTTTTTTTTTCACATGAAGAAACAGAAGACTGAGAAGAAAAGAAGCTTGCTCAAGGTCACATAGAGCTGGAATTTAAATTCAGATCTATTATACTCTTAAGGACTGTGGAAGGGTGAGTAAGAATAAGTCACATATTTCCAGTGTTTTGCCCCTATGATCAAAATTACCCTTATTATGAAGATAGAAATGTCATCATATCTGGGCCCAACTACACTAAATTTTAAATCACCTGACTATGCCTTTTTATTCTGATTCTCTGATCTCCAATGAACTGTGTCTCTTGGAAAATTATTTGGTAGACATTGATCTTATGAATGTGGCAGTTGATTCCACCAATAAGCACAACCTCATTCTTAGTCTGCTTAAAAACTAAGATAATACATTGAGGACCAAGGTAATTTCACCCTATGACAACTCTGGAAAGGCAACTAAATGATATCTTCATTCATTTGCTTGTCCATTTGCTATTCTTCATGATTACTATGTGCAAAGCACTGTGCAAGTCATTGGAGATGCAGTGCTATAACAAGAGTCATATTTTTATTGTTCTCAAGACCTAGTATACTAGGAAATAGAGACATGGAAGAAATCTTTGTTCAAGTAGTTAACTTTAATAATTATTGTGGGACCCAAGAAGAATTGCAGGATGTGATGTAGGTATGGAATAAGCAAACTTATCTGATATAGGGAATCAGAGAAAGTTTACCTGTTGAAATTTCTCTGCATTACATTTTGAATATAAATGTGTTTCTGATACCTCAATAGATTTTTGGGAGATATTGGGCTTTTAATTAAAAATGACCAGTAAGTGATCTAAAATATCTTCCTGGAAGTTGGGGGAGAGAGAGAGAGAGAGAGAGGGAGCACAAGCTAGAAAATAATGCTGATAGTTTAAATGGTGGGAGTGGATGAAAGCAGACGCAAAGAGGAAATGACAGTCTTTGGGACACCTATCCTTAGAGGGCAGGAAGAAATTGAGAAACCAAGGAAAGTAAAGTTATAAAGTAACCAGAAAATAAAAAGTGCTGGCATAGTTCAGTATCACAATATTCCAAGGAAGATAAGATTTAAAAGAGGCAGGAAAGATTGTCACCAGGAACAAAAGCTATGGACAAGAGACATAGATTGAGGACAGGAACTGAAGGTTGTGGTAGAGATTACTGACCTATAATAGACCCATTCTGCTCTTTTCTTTTATAAGCAAATGGATTCCTGTTTCTTAGCTGAGCACAAGGTTGCCCAGTAAAAGAATTACATATATCCACCTATTTTGCATCTTTATGGGCCATATGAATAGTTCTGACAAATTACATAAACAAGAAATATTGAGTGGAGCCCCTGGTAAGTGCTACTCAAAAAAGGGGAACGTTTCTTTCTTACTCCCTTCATTTAGTTGGTTGCTTGGAATGTTGGTGTCATGCTAAGGGGTCCAGCAATCATGGTAGGCCCTAGAAGATGGATACTACATTCCTAACATTACAAGGACCTTGAAGAAGTTATACATCTTTCCCCTATTTTCTCCATCCTCAGTGAAGGGGTTAGATTGAATAAGAAAGAAGAGGGCTCCAATAGAAATTTTGAAGTGTGTATAATGGTGAAATATTGAAGAAGAAAATAAGAGCCTTTCTTCCATTTTTCTGACCAAATAATGATGGCACTTCCTGTCTTCTTTCACAGTGGGAAAGATAATATAAACTATTAAAAATATATAATTCTAGATCTTACTCTGTAACCTATTATTAAATTTTTGAAGGTAGCATTTTCACTTTTCTCACCTGTATGTTTCTCCATGGTGTCTAGCAGAGGCCATGTCAAATTGCAGAAACTTATCTATTCTCCGTGACCATGACTCCTGGCCATAACTGAGTGGATGGTGGATAGGACACCCGAGCCAAGTTGGTGCAATCATATTGGCTCTTTCAGGATCTTGGAATTGGGATTTAGAGACCTGTGACTTATATGAGTATACTCGGGAGTTATAAGGCAATGGCTGTCTTGTATGTACATAGGCAGAGACAACAGGTATGGAGAGAGAGAATGATAAAGCAGCCATATAGAAGAAAGACAGACCGTGTGTTCCTTGAGAGAGAGAGTGTGTAAGAGAGAAAGGTAGAGGTAGGTTGGGAGAGAGTAACAGAGAGAGAGAGAAAGAGAGAGAGAAAATGATAAAAGAGTAGCTACTTGGATTTTTGATCTGTCTCCAGGCCTTCTGAGGCCTGCTTCCATTTCCACATACCATCACTCAAGATAATCTCTGTGATGAGTCTTTGTAACTTGCACACCAAAAAAAAAAAAAAAAAAAAAAAAAAAAGTCTTCATGCATGATAAATTATTCCGTGCAGTTCCACAGAGATCTTCTAAGGGAAAGAAAATATAAGTCCACTTAACCCAATCTCAGAATGGCCTTATTTTAGTTTTGTGATGGTTGCTAGTGGTCCAGAGTATTTTTCAGGTTCCAAGGGAGACATGGAGATGTGGGACTATTCAAACAGCTGGAACTTGAGGATGTACTTGGGGCTATAGTTAGAGGTGATGATAGAAGTGAAAAAAGTGAATAAGATGCTCAACTTTTAATTTTACAAGCTCAAACACTCAAGAAACCAAAGCATCGTGAATGGAAAAGAAAAGATAGGGTACATTTCTAACTTTAAAATAATTATAATCTAGGTAGAGAAAAGTAAAATATACACATATGCACCCAGAACTAAATGAGTGCTACAGATTATAAGCATTATAAGATATAAAGAAGATAGCTATTATTGCTGGGCTATTGTTTTCAGGTATTAATAACGTCAGGTTTGGTTTAGGCTATAAAGGACAACTTTGCTCTCACAATGGAAAATGTAGTGACTTGAGGTCAGCTTTTCTACTGACTAGATATGTGACTGTGATCAGTCACTTTACCTTTCCAATTTCACAGCAGTTTCCTCCTCTGTAAAATGAGGGCTGTGTATTGGATTCATTAATTCATTCAAAACATAAACTTTCAGTGCCCACTGTAATGTATAGAACTAGGAATACTGCATAAATACCAGTCTTCTAAAAAGACTGTCACTCTGATGTGTCTATGAACAAAAGACAGTGGGAGGCAACTAAGCTGCCTACAGGTAAAGAAAAACTCCATTGAGACCATGTTTGGATGAATAGGAGTTGTTAGGTGAATCCGATAATGATGGAACCTTCCGGAGAAAGGGTTGCATAGATCATTGCAAATGTTTCTTGTAGCATTAATATTTTTATTTGCTTCTGCTTTGTTTAGAGGAGGAGGAAGGGAGTGAACAAATGTTGGGTAGGAGTTAAGCGTATGAATTGAAGAGAAGATAGAAGGAAATAATTTCCTGGGCTTCTTCAAACCCCTAAAATGTATTCAAAGTGAATTCCATGAAGGAAAATACATGAAAAAGCAGATAATTAAAACCTCCTTTGCCTCCTCTGTATTTCTGTCTTGTATAAGATCTTAGAGATACTGCAAAAATGATATAATAGGATTCATGTCCCTCATAGACGTTTAGGACTCCCATCCAGAGGCAGTGTGTGGAGTGCTTAAGAATTTGAGTTTTGAAGACAGATCACATGCTAGCTAACACCACCACCTACTAGTTGTAAGATCTTTAAAAAGTTTAAACTTTTTTGTGCCTTTGCCTTCTCATCTGTAAAATGGAGATGATAACAATAGCTACTTCCTATGGTGAGAATTAAATGTATTAAACATATAAAGTGCCTAGAACCAGCACATAAAAGCACACTGGCATTTAAAAATAATAGCATATTAGTTATTATTACCTATTATTCCATAGAGAGTTCACCACCGAGGTGAGGTAATGGCAATATGCCTCCCTACATTAGTGAGTAACCTGAGGGTGCTTCCCTGTGCCTGGTCTTCAATAGGGATGGCTTAGAATTTGCTTATTTAGTCATGATACAAAAGTATGTCCAATGAGGCCCTATTTCAGGCACGGTGAACTATATGAAAGGAGAAATAAATAAACCGTGAAGTACAATATTCCAACACAAGGCAGTACATTTTAAATATAAAACAAATATTTAGGAGCTCAGAGGAGGCAGATGTGACAGCTGCCTGAAACATCAGGGGACACTTCTTGGGTGGCATGGGAAGTGTACAATGACAGACATCATTTCAGGGATTTAAGTCAGGATTTGCCTCAGCTGGTTTGTGCACCCTCTTTGCATTCACAAGCCTTTCTTTCGTCTCGCCTGAGCTTTTAGAGCAAAATCTGATCCAGAGACTGTGGATGCTGGAGGAGCGTCAAGGCTGGGAAAGTAACATGCACTGTGTTCGCAATCAACAGAAAAGATATTTTTAAACAAAAACAATTTTCCAAGTTTCCAGGAAGAGAAACAAAAGGCTTTTCTAAAATGAAAGAAACTGTTCTTCTCATTCTGTGACTTTTATGTCACTTGGACAACAAGCCAGTGCTTAGGAACGGTTATTTTCCTGTCGACATCGCTGCATGGATACTTCTTAGAAGAACATAACAGCATTAGCACTCAGTCCCAGGTTCTGCTCACCCTCCAATGGCAGTCGTCTTCAAAAACAATAAAGATATCTGTGCTTGGTCTCTCTGTCTTGATTACACTGCAGGCACAACCTGTGTGGGGAAACAATATCCTGGATCATACTGAAGGTTCGCACAGATGGAACATTAGTGGGAGGGGTTGCCAGCTACTTCCCTGCCAACTTGTTAGTGCTGGAGACATTATCCTCTTATTTTGCCAGTTTAACAGAAGATCAGTCGTAAAGATTCACTGTAGGCTCAGCAACATAATTATTATCTATGGTCTCTGCATTAACTGTGAGAAAACATCATAGTCTGAATCTGCCTAATTTCAAATGCCAAGCTGTGCCCACATTCAGCCCACAACTGAACCTGAATACTCAATATATCCTTAGCATTGCTACTGTTGTCATCATGGTGGATGTTAAGTACAGGTTTGCCCAAGCTATGATGTTTAATTGTTGCCTTACTGCTTCTGTATTTCTTCTGTTTCCCTGACCCTTTTCAACACCAGCCCCATGCAATTTAAAACTATTAAAAAGGTAAAAATCGGTGTCACATTTAGTTCTGCTACTCAGTACAGAAGTGCCAAGCCCCTGCAAATCTGGAAAACAAACTCCTTAACAGATGGGCCACATAAAGTTTACAACATGTGCAATGTGGGAGGTAGTATGGCTCTGGGCAAGAAACAGAAGACTGGAAGTTTGGGAGCTCAGGGTTTTTGAATTTGCTTTTGCTTTTTGTTTGTAGGCAGATCACATAAGCTTATATCCTTCAATTCTCTCATATGACCTGATATCTACCTTATAAGTGAGTGAGTAATAAGAAATCAGGCAATTTTTTTCCTAATATGAAACAGTATCAAAATGCTATTGCTCCTGCTGGGATCATGTGTAACTGGTATCAAATTGTTAATAAAACGTGGCAGCAAGATTTGGAAAAATCCATGATGTAATCTTAGATCTAAAAGACAGTTCTCTTTTATTGAGGACAGGTATATAACTAATGGGATGTTGTTACTGATAGAAAGGATGTTGCTAGCCTTAGACAAATCTTTGAAAAAGGTTGGATTGTGATTTCTAAATCTACACAAGCAAAATACCTTTGGAGTGGCCTTTCAAACCTGACATGTTAGAACAATTTTAGAACCAAATTCTTTTGGACTGAATTTGATAATAGCCTAAAAACAGAGGTTCTCAAACATAAATGACCTATTTAAAATTATAAATATCTGAGACTCACCACCAGCCTGTGATTAAGAATCTTTGGAAGCACAGCTAAGAAATGTTTAGTTTGAAAAAGTCCCCTAAATTATTCCAATGACTAGTTGTACTTGGGCATTATCATAATTCATAAAAATATATAAATCAATATGAAAGTTTTTGAACAAATTAAAGTTGACTAAAATTCCAAAGCCAAAGAAAGAAATATGGAAATTGTCATTTAAGAGGACAGATAATTGGCATAGGAGAAAATAGAGAGAGAGGAATGCTAAGAAGAAAAATCTACAGTTCAGTCACAAGGAAGAGAAAAAAAGCAGTCTTTGACAGTATGTCTTAGTCCACTTTCTGTTGCTATAATTGAATACCACAGACTGGGTAATTGTTTAAAAAATACATTTATTTCTTACTGTTCTGTAGGGTGGGAAGTCCAAGTTCTAGGGACCATATCTGGTGAAGGCCTTCTTGCTTGTGGGGACTCTCTGCAGAGTCCTGAAGTGGTGCAGGGCATCCGTGGTGAGGGGGTACATGACAGGCAACCAAAATCTATTTTACAACAAACCCACTCTCATGATAACTAACCCACTCCCATGATAATCCATTAATACATGAGCCCTTTAGTCCATGAATCCATGAATGGATTAATCCATTCATGAGGGCAGAGCCTTCATGACCTAATCACCTCTTAAAGGCCTTACTTCTTAATACTGTTACATTGGGGATTAAGTTTCAATGTGAACTTCAAAGGAGACAAAAATTCAAACCATAACAGAATAATAGGGGTCCTGAAGGTGAAAGTGGAAAGAGAAATTTATCAGTGTGAATAGAGAAAAATCTCTGCAGAGACTCAAAATATGTGCCACCTTCCTTATAGAACTTCTCACATTTTGCTTCTATTTTTGCAGCATGTCCAATTTACAATCCATTTTCCAATCTGAATTCAGAGTTCACTTTTAAGAATTCAAATATGAATCATAGTTCTGGCTTGTTTAAAGCACCCGGTAGCACTCTTATGTCGTGCAGAATCAAATACGAAGCATTGTCCTGTATAAGCTGATTTTGCCATACCTGTCCAGCTAAACTTTGCTTCACTTATCTGATTGCTGTTTTCTTTGTAGGCACACTGACCTTTTGCCATTCTTGAGATACGCCAAATTTCTTTCCATCTGGGGCCTTCGAACATATTATTTTTCTAGTAAAATTTCATTCAGCACTCCTCCAGCTCTGCCCACTGCCACTAGTCAACTGCAGATTTCTGGCCATCTCTTACATCAGAAATGATATGTCATTACTCGGAGAGGACTTCTCTGACAATTTAATGTAACTTAGGTCCCTGCATTGTAATGACAAGTTACCATATATTTTCTTGATAAAGCTAATCATAAGGCCAGGTGCATGCCTATAATCCTAGCACTTTGGGAGGCCGAGGCAGGTGGGTCACATGAGCCCAGGAGTTTGAGACCAGCCTGGGCAACATGACACAACCCCATCTCTACAAAAAATACAAACAATTAGCCAGACATGGTGGTGCATGCCTGTAGAGTCCAGGAGGTCAACATTGCAGTGAGCCTTGATGGTGTCACTGCACTCCAGCTTGGGTGACAGAGCAAGACCCTGTCTCAAAAATCAAACAAAAAACCTAACCGTGATTTGTAACTTTATATTTACTTATGATTATTTATTATTTGGGGAATTATTATTTTATTGATTATATTTGTACACTGTCATGGTGTACATTTGGTATTTTGTTACATGCATATGATGTGTAATGATCAACTCAAGGTATTTAAGATATCCATCACCTCAAGTGTTTATCATTTCTATGTATTGGGAAGATTTCAAATCCTCTCTTCTAGCTATTTTGAAATATATAATACATTGTTGTTACTTATAGTCACCTGACTCTTCTGTTGAACATAGGAACTTACTACTTCTACTTAAGTATATATTTTTGCCCATTAACCAAAATCTCCTTATTTCCCTCTCCTGACTACCACAACACACACCCTTCCCAGCCTCTAGTATCTATCATTCTACTCTCTACCTCCATGAAGATCAACTATTTAAGCTCCCACATATGTGTGAGGACATGTGATATTTGTCTTTCTGTGCCTGGTGTATTTCACTTAATGACCTCCAGTTCCATTCATGTTACTGCAAATGACAGGATTTCATTCGTTTTTTTTTTTTGTTTTTTTTTTTGGCCAAGTAGTACTTCATTGTGTATGTACTACATTTTCTTTATTCAGTCATTTATTGTTTAACACTTAGGTTGATGCTGTATCTTGGCTATTATGAATAGTGCTGAAATAAACATGAGGATGAAGGTATCCCTTTGAAATAATAATTTATTATATAATATAGTATTTTATATATAATAATTGCATTGATATATATCCAGTAGTGGAATTGCTGGGTATGATAGTTCTACTTCTGGTTTTTAAAGAAATCTCCATACTATATTCCATAGTGGTGGTACTAATTTACATTCCCATCAACAGTACAAAGGAATTTCCTTTTCTCTATATCCTAACCAGTATCTGTTGTTTTGTGTTATTAATAACCATTCTTACTAGGGTAAGGTGATACCTCAATATAGTTCTAATTTGCATTTCCCTAATAACTACTGATGTTGAGCATTTTTTCATATACCTGTTGGCCATTTGTATGCCTTCTTTTGAGAATTTTTTATTCATATTCCTTTGCCCACTTTCTAATATGTTTATTAGTGTTTTTTGATGTCCATTTGTTAGTGTTTCTTGTATATAACGGAAATTAGTCTCCTGTCAGATGAATAGTTTGCAAATGTTTTCTCCCATTCAGTTAGCTGAGTCTTCATTTTGTTGATTGTTCTCTTTGCTGTGCAGAATCTTTTTAATTTAATATAGCCCAATTTGTCTATTTTTTGTTTTTGTGGCTTGTGCTTTTTAAATATTTCCCGTAAAATCTTTTACTTTTATTATTATTATTTATTTTAAATTTTTTATTTCCATAGATTTTTGGGGAACAGATGGCATTTGGTTACATGAGTAAGTTCTTTAGTGGTGATTTGTGAGATTTTGATGTACCCATTTTTACCTAAACCAATGACCTATAATTTTTCTCCTGTTTTGCTTTTCTAGTAGTTTTATAGTTTTAGATCTTACCTTTAGGCTTTTAATTCATTTTGGGTTGATTTTTGCATATGGTGAGAGGTAGGGGTCAAGCTTCATTCTTCTGCATATGGTTATCCAGTTTTCCTAGCACTATTTATTGAAGAGGATGTCCACTACTCAGGGTATATTCTTGGTGGCTGTGTTGAAGATCAGTTAGCTGTAACTGTGGATTTTTATCTGGGTTCTCTGTTCTGTTCCATTGGTCTCTGTGTCTAGTTTTATATCACTATTGTGCTGATATGGTTTAGCTCTGTGTTTCCACCCAAATCTTCTGTCAAATTGTAATCCCCACATATTGGAGGAGAGGACAGGTGTGAAGTGATTGAATCATGGGGGTGGACTTCCCCCTTGCTGTTCTTGTGATAGTAAATGAGTTCTCACAATATCTGGTTGTTTAAAAGTGTGTAGCAACTCCCACTTCACTCACTCCCTCTCTCTCCCTCTCTCCTGCTGCACCATGGTAAGACATACTTTCTTCCTCTTTGCCTTCTGCCATCATTGCAAGTTTCCTGAGTCCTCCCCAGCCATGTCTCCTGTGGAACTCTGAGTCAATTAAATCTCTTTTATTTATAAATTACCCATCTCAGGTGGTTCTTTATAGCAATGTGAGAACGGACATACACATACTGTTTTGCTTACTAGACTTTGTAAGATATTTTGAAGTGAGGTAGTGTGATGCCTCCAGCTTTGTTCTTTTTGCTCAGTATTTCTTTGGCTATTCAGACTCTCTTTTGGTTCCATACAGATTTAGGATTGTTTTTTCTATTTCTGTAAAGAGCGATGTGCGTGTTTGATAGGAATTACGTTGAATCTGTAAATTGCTTTGTGCAGTGTGGTTATTTCAGCGATATTCATTCTTTTTATCCACAAGCAAGGGATGTATTTCCATTTGTTTATGTTATTCTCAATTTTGTTTCTTTAGGGTTTTGTAGTTTTCCTTGTAGAGTTCTTTAACTTTCTGGATTAAATTTACTCGTAGGTGAATTTTGTAGCTATTGTAAATGTGATGGCTTTCTTTATTTATTTTTCAGCAATTTTACTTTTAGTATATAGAAGCCTTACTGATTCTTATATGTAAATATTGTATCCTGCAACTTTACTGAATTTATCAGATCTAAGAGTTTTGCTTGAGTATTTTTAGTTTTTTTCTAAATATAAGATCATGTCATCTAAAAATAGGAACAATTTGACTTCCTCTTTTGTAGTTGGGATGCCTTTTATGTCTTTTTCTTGCCTATTAGCTTGGGCTAAGATCTCTGGTACTATGTTGAACAGTAATGGTGAAAGTGGGCATTCTGTCTTGTTCCAGTCCTTAGAGGAAAACTTTTTAGCTTTTCCCCATTTAGTATGATGTTAGCTGTGAGTTTATTATATGTTACCTTTTTTTTTTATTTTTAAATTTTTTATTGTTTTTGGAGATGGAGTTTAGCTCTTGTTTCCTAGGCTGAAGTGCAGTGGTGCAGCCTCAGCTCACCGCAACCTCCACCTCGTGAGTTCAAGCAATTCTCCTGTCTCAGCCTCCCAAGTAACTGGGATTACAGGCATGTGCCACCATGCCTGGCTATTTTGAATTTTTAGTAGAGACGAGGTTTCTCCGTGTTGGTCAGACTGGTCTCAAATTCCCGACCTCAGGTGATCCACCCGCCTCAGCCTCCCAAAGTGCTGGGATTACAGGCGTGAGCCACCACTCCAGCCTATGTTACCTTTAGTATGTTGGGTTATGTTTGTTCTATACCTAGTTTGTTGAGAGTTTCTTTTTTTAATCAGGAAGTGACATTGGATTTTACCAAGTGCTTTTTCTGCATCTATTGAGATGATCATGTAGTTTTTGTCTTTCATTCTGTTGATACGAAGTAACACATTTATTGATTTGCATATGTTGAACCATCCTTGAATCAACAATGAAATCCAACTTGATCATGGAGTATTATCTTTTTGATGTGCTGTTGGATTTGGTTTGCTAATAATTTGTTGAGGATTTTTTGCATCTCTGTTCATCAGGGATACTGGTCTATAGTTTTTTTGTTGTTGTTGTGTCCTTTTCTGGTTTTGGTATCAGGATGATGTTAACCTCATAGAATGAGTTAGGGAGAATTTCCTCATCTTCAATTTTTTGGAAGAGTTTGAGGAGATTTGTTTTACTTCTTAAAGACATGGAAGAATTACGTGGTGAAGCCATCTGGTCCTGGTCTTTTCTTTGTTGAGAGACTTTTTATTACTGATTCAATCTTGCTACTAGTTGTTGGGCTGTTCAGGTTTTCTTTTTATTCCTGATCCAATCTTTGTAGGTTGTATGTGTTCAGGAACTCACTCATTTCCTCTAGGTTTTCCAATTGGCTGGAGTATAGTTTTTCATAATAGTCTCTAATGATCTTTTGTGTTTCTGTGGTATCAGTTTTTTTTTTTCTTTTTTTTTGAGACAGAGTCTCACTCTGTCACCCAGGCTGGAGTGCAGTGGCGCAATCTCGGCTCACTGCAAGCTCCACCTCCCGGGTTCATGCCGTTCTCCTGCCTCAGCCTCCCAAATAGCTGAGACTACAGGAGCCTGCCACCACACCCGGCTAATTTTTTGTATTTTTAGTAGAGATGGGGTTTCACCGTGTTAGCCAGGATGGTCTTCATCTCCAGACCTCGTGATCCACCCATCTCGGCCTCCCAAAGTGCTGGGATTACAGGCATCAGCCACTGAGCCTGGCCGGTATCAGTTTTTATATTACCTTTTTTGTTTCTGATTTTGTTTATTTGCGTCTTCTCTCTCTTTTACTTAAGACTTGTTTGTGGTCTAATGTATGATAAATCCTGGACAGTGTTCTATGTGCCGATAGGAGGAACACGTTTTTGTAGTTTTTGGATAAAATTTTCTGTAAATGTCTATTAGGTACATTTCATCTAAAGTCTAATTTAAGTCCAATGTTTCTTTGTTTATTTTCTGTTTAGATAATCTGTCTAATGCTGAGAATGTGGTGTGGAAGTCACTGACTGTTACTGTATTGAAATATATCTCTTTCTTTAGATCCAGTAATATTTGCTTTATGAATATGGGTGCTCCGTGTTGGGTGCATTATAAACTTAGAATAGTCACATCCTCTTAATGAATTGATTACTTTATCATTATTTAATGAGCTTTTGTCTTTTTTTTTTTACTGTTTTTGACTTAAAGTCTGTTTTATCTGATATAAGTATAGCTACTCCTGCTTGCTTTTAATTTCCATTTGTGTGGAGTATCTTTTTCCATCCTTTCACTTTGAGTCTTACGTGTCTTCACAGAGAAGTGAGTTTTTTATAGGCAGCATGTAGTTGGGTCATTAAAAAAAAAATCCATTTAGCCAGTCTGTATCTTTTAAGTGGAAAATTCATTTACATTCAAGGTTATTATTGGTAGATGAGTACTTATTCCCATTATTTTGTTGTTGGTTTTATGGTTGTTTTGTATATTCTTTGTTTCTTTATTTCTGTCTTATTTATCATTGTGGTTTGGTCATTTTCTGTGGTGGTAATATTTATGTCCTTTTCTTCTTTTGTATGTTTGCTTTGGCAGTACATTTTATGCTTTTGTGGATTTTCATGATAATTGATCTGTCATTTCACTTTCAGGTGTAGGACTCCCTGAAGCATATATTGTAGAGTTGGTCTAGGAGTAATGAATTACCTCAGTTTTTGCTTGTCTGAGAAAGACTTTATTTCTCCTTTATTTATGAACGATAAATGTTTCTGGGCATGGTATTCTTGGTTTGTAGGCCTTTTTTTCCAGCACTCCTGGCCTGTAAGGTTTCTGCTGAGATATCTGATGTTAGTCTGATGGGGTTTCCCTTATAAATGACTAGACACATTTCTGTTGCTATTTTCATAATTCTCTCTTTACCTGATTTTTGACAACTTGATTATAGTGTGTCTGGGAAAGGACAAAATGTAACTTTTTGGGTTGCATCTATTTGGAGATCTCTGAGCTTCCTGTATCTGAATGTTTAAATCTTTTGCTAGACTTGGGATGTTTTCAGTTATCATTTCATTAAATAGATTTTCCATGACTTTGGTCTCTTCACTTTCTGAAATATCCAAAATTTACATATTTAATTGCTTTATAGTGTCCCATATGTCACATAGGCTGTTTCATGCATTTTATTCTTTGTTTTTGTTTGTTTTGGGGTGTTTTTTGTTTGTTTGTTTTTAGTTTTACAGAGTTATTTCCAAAGACTGTCTTCAAGTTCTGAGATTCTTCTGCTTACTCTTGTCTATTGCTGAAACTCTCAAATGAATTTCTTGTTTCATTCACTGAATTCTTCAGCTCTAAGATATCTTATTTCTGGTTTCTTAAATGATATCTATCTCTCTGATAAATTTCTCACTCATGTCCTGAATTTTTAATCTGATTTCTTTGTATTGTTTATCTGTTTTGTTTTTCTGTATCTCACAGGGCTTTTTAAATATTATTATTTTGAATTCTTTTCCTGGGATTTCATAAAATTATTTTTTCTTTAGAATCTGTTGCTGAATAATTATTGTGTTCCTATGGAAGTGTAATTTTCTTTGTTTCTTTTTTGTGTTTCTTGAGTCCCTACATTGATATCTGGTGTCATAGTTGTTTCTACAAATTTTGAGGATTAGTTTTCATGGGAAATATTTTTCCTGGAGATGTATCTATGGTGTTGGTTGGGTAGGACATTTTATCTTTAATTCTGGATGCATGCAGTAGTGTAGTCTCTGTATGATTTCTTTGGCTGTAAACAATGTTAGTGGTGCTTGTGATTTTTTTTGTGGCTTATGCTGCAGTTGTTAGTGGAGGCTGTGTTGGGGTTTTGCTGAGGATGAAGATGCAAAGCGGGCTGGTCTTTGGGCCCCATTGGTGACAGTGGTGGGCTATGCAACCTTGGGCCCCTAGTCAGCATACAGAGTTTTAGTGGGTGCAAATGGGCGTACTCTTGGCCTTCTAGATTGCTGGGATGCTGGCAGTGGCAGTGGTGGGCTGGGCAGATGGTAGGTCTTTGTTCTCCTGCATAATGTGTATGGCATAAAGAGATGGAAGTAGTGGTGGTGAGTCAACCCTTGGGCTCTGAAGCAGCAGATGTTTGTGTTAGCAGCAGCTGCAGTTTGCTGAGTGTGCCAGTCTCTAGGTGGCACATATGGGTGACAGCATCTTGCTGTGACAGTAGTGGCAGGTTGGGTGAACACATTCTCAGGTCCCCAGGAGGAATGCACAGATGCTGGTGGTGGTGGACAGAGCAGTGCAATCCCTAAGCCTTTGTGCCATGTGCTTGGATACTGGATGGAGAGCAGTACCAGGCTGAGAAAGCCTGTCCTTAGGCCCACTGGTGGTGCATTTGGATGCTGGCTGTGGTGGGCTGATTGGGGTGATCTCAGGCTCCTCTGCAGAGTGCTTATGTGGCTGCAGCAGCATTGGTGGAATGTAGGGGGAGTCTGTTCTCAGATAGCATGCAAATTCCCTATAGTCCTGCTACTTGGGGAAGGGGAGCAGAGTTGCTAACCTTGACTGTAACCATGGGCAGATAATTCTCAGGCTCTTTGGGGTGTGCTCTTTAGCCCCCTGTGGAAGCATCAGCAGTGGGGTAAACTAGTCCTCAAGGTACATGCGAGTGGATGACAGCAGTCCTGCTAGTGGGGAGGGTGGGTCGCTGCTAGTGATGTGCACTTTGGTCCCCAGCAGCAGTAGTGGCATTTGAGTTGGGTGACAGTAGAGCCTGTCCTCAGAGTGTGTGTGCAGCATCACTGCTGCTGGGGTGGGTTTGGATTGCTTTCTGTGGTAGTAATCCCAGGTGGGTGGTTCTCTGAGTCCAGGGAGTATGTGATTTGGCTCCCTTTGTCCCAGAGGTAGCCTCCCAGCACACTGTACCATCCATTCCCCATGGTGCAGGACACTGTGTTTGCTAGAGTCCTGGGGATCCTGCTGCTCTGCTGGGTCTGACAGGTATTGTGCTGTGCAGACCTCTGGATGAACATAGAGGGGATGTTATTGAGGCTCCAGGAATATGGAGATGCAGGGATGTTGGGCTCCAGGGCAGGATGCAGTATAGTGGGGGCTGGGCTCTCAAAATAGTGCCATGCTGCAGCTGCCTATAACTTGGGGTGTGTGGAATCTGGCATAAGCTCCCTCTCTGGAGCAATGCCATCATGCAGGTTCCAGGAAGGTCCCTATGCTATTCTCAGAACCGTCAAGGGATTTTCTAGTGGCAACATTGCAGGAGTCCACAGTGGGAAGGCAGACCACTGGGAATCTCTCACTTACACTTTGCCTGCACGAGGGAGCCTCTGCTGGCTTCCAGGCAATCTTGGCTAAGCTGGCTGCCTTGACTCCTGCTCCTTCTGTGCGTCAGGTGTTTCCTGTCATTTCTCTCTTGAATTCCAGTGTTCTTTCTTAGATGCTTTATTTAAAGTGTGATTAGCTACTTGCTATTTTTGTTCTTCTTTGTGGAGGAGGCAAGTGTCAGATGCCTCTAGTAAGCTATCTTAAAGCCTTTTGATAGTTTAAACTTTACAGTAGAGAATGAACTTCATACAGGTGAACTGTTTTGTTCATTACTATGCATGTATATGGTATCTACCACAGGGTTTGGAACATAGTATATGCTCAATAAGTAATTATTAAAGTAATTAATGAATACATCATATGTGCTCAGAGACTCTTTCAGTGTGCAATTGATACTATGTCACACATACTATCTAATGGTATTGTTCTAAGTACTTTGGGGAATAAAAAGACAATTCAAATGGCTGGAAAAGATAGATATGTAGGCAAAAATATATAATAATTTGCAGAATGAATTGAATCTTATAACAGAGGCACAACAACCAGAAGTAACTAATTTTGTTTCCTAGATTCAGGCAAGACTGGTTACTAGGGATCATTTTAGGCACTTAAACTGGGCCTGAAAACGATATAGGATTTCAATAGTAAAATAGAGTAAACACAGAAGTTCTGACTTAGATCACAGCCTCCTCCTGTCAGACTGATACCTTTCCTATTCCGTTAGATGAGACACTTGCTTTGCATTTATGTGTGTGTTGACAGGTAGACAGAACAGATTGCCACATTAGCCCACCACCTACAGTTGATTGGATTTGAATTGACATCCTGATCCAAAATGATCTAATCAATTTTGTCCTCCTGAGATTTGTAGTTGCAATTTCAAAATCCCAGGCAGATAGTGGCAGGTCCTGATCCTTTTAGAAAATGTTAACTTGGAGTTCAGGACAACTTTGTTATTATTTTGTCATGAACATAGATAGGCAGGGCAGGCTGGTTAGATGTAAAGAGAAGAGTGAAGAATATGTAAGAAGTGTAGATGAAAAGAAAAGAGAAGAGACACACACACAGAGTGTTATGGTCTTTATATATTTTTCAGATTTTATTTTCACTGCATTATGAGACTTACTTTATCCCCATTAATTAAGCTAGAGTTAATGTCTGTCTATTATTTCAACTGTAGAGAGCCTTAATGAAGACAGATGAAAAGGTGTGGGAAGAATTACAAACAGAGGAAAAAGTGATAAGCCAATCTGTAGAGCAGAGCATAGAGTATGTAGGGACATGATCTGTATGTTTTCCTATTTCATGATCCCATTTTTGAATATCAAGAAGATGAATAAATTATTGATAGAAATCTGGCAACCTAAATCACCAATTATGGAGAAATAAAAATCTAAGTATAATATAGTGTGTGAATTTTATTTCCTAGTAGAAAGTATTATGAAAGGATGAAGAAACCATTGGAATTGAGGTCCTATCTGTCAATTGGGTTGCAGTCTTTACTTTGCCACTGACTAATTATATAATATTTTATAAGTTACTTGACCTCCCTGGGCCTTGGCTGATAAAGGACAAAAATATTTGAGATCTCTGGGTTCATCTAACTAAAAGGAGTGATGAATAGCAACTGAAACTATTTTTATTGTCTGGCAATTTCTAGTTCCTCTATTTTCTTTTGTATTGTGAAATTCATTGAGAGCTTGTTCTGATTTTGGATCTTATGTGAGAGGCTGTGACACCTAGACGCATAAGTCACAGTTCCTGTCCTTGAAAATCTCACAGAAAAAGTAAATAGTAGGAGAGAGTCACGTAAATGAATTTTGATTCAGTTTGCTTTAATGATATGGACAACATTCCAAAGAATTGTTTAATTTTGCTTGGGATCAGAGTGTGATGGTGGGAAAAGGCTTTAGCAAAGAGGGAGCACTTTAACTAGACAATAAGGGAAGGGTATTCCATGCTGAGAGAAAGATAAGCGCATATGCCAGTTACTGACTTATTGCCTCTTGGGTCTATGTTCATACTTGGCAGCCTTTTCACAATTCGTTGCTTATAGCAACGAAATGGGTGCTTTAATAATTTTCCATTGTCAGCTGGAAAGACGTTAAGCTTTGTCAATAGTAGATGCTAGAGAAACTGTGAAGGGGAAAAGATTTTGCTTTATAGTTCCAGGGGGTTGGCCGAACAGGTGCTCTTATGGCTTCTGCAGCTTTCAGCTTCTGTAGAGCACAGTAGCCAGCAGTACCCACAAACCTGCAGCTCCCCAAAGCAATACCTTGTGGTCATTTCACAGCACAGTGCCTCTGGCGAGACACGTTCTTATGAGTGGCTTACTCAGCAAGTCCCAGAGAGTGAATTTCCAGCAAATTTCTCTAGCACGATGACTTCTGTGCCATCCCTGATTCATTGCCATGCACTCTCCAACAAATTCTGGATCTCAGCGTTTGGCAGAGGTGGGCTTCCTAATTGCTCTATCTCAGTCCTGGAGGTGATGGCTTTTCCCTTTAGCTGCTATTTCTATATTCTCTAGAGTTTGCTTTTCTTTTTTCTAGCCAATCCACTATAACTCAAATCCTCTGTTATAGTTAATCATTCTTTATATTAAACTTTTCCTGTCCAAATTTTTCTTTCTTGGTAAGACTCTTCCTGTTACAAGGCAAAAACAGAGAGGCTTCAGAACACATAGCATATTCAGGAAAGAAATACTGCATCCTAATGAAGTGTAGTTGGTGGGTGGAAAGGTGAATATAACATTGGATAGGTTGCCTGGCTCTCGGAAATCAAGAGGTGTGAATATTGTGGTAAGGATTTCAAGCTGCAAGTGATGGGTGTGCTTCTGTGTTCTAGGAAAACTCACTCTGAAAGCAGTGTGGAAGATTAATTGTTGTA
Source organism: Homo sapiens (assembly GCF_000001405.40). NCBI lineage: Eukaryota > Metazoa > Chordata > Mammalia > Primates > Hominidae > Homo > Homo sapiens. The sequence goes on from NC_000012.12 coordinate 90,125,753, forward strand.
GATGGGAAGGATTGGAGGCAGTATGATGCTTTTTTCGGTGGGGGGTATTACTATAATCCAGGAGACATATGAGAAGGGCCTTTATTAAAGCACTGACAGCCACAGATAGAGAGGGATGAATGCAAAGGAGGCAGAATTGAAAAAACTTGATGACCTTTTTGATAGCGAGATGAAGAATTTTTGTTTGATGATTTTATAGATTTGAGATTTTCATACTGGATTACTGAGGGATGGTGATTTTATAACTTAGGTAGAAGTTAATAGAACAAACACGTTTGGGGAAATAGGGAATACTTTTATGTTTGTTTGAGGTATGTTGATTTTAAAGAAACAAGAAGAAAAATACTGGGTATTACTCTGTTTAAAATATACTGGACAAGAGCAATCAGGCAAGAGAAAGAAATGAAGGGCATCCAAATAGGAAGAGAGAAAGTCAAACTATCTCTGTTCGCAGATGACATGATCCTATACCTAGAAAACTCCATAGACTTGGCTCTAAAGCTCATCAAGTTGATAAACAACTTCAGTGAATTCTCAGGATACAAAATCAACATACAAAAATAACTAGCATTCCTATGCACCAAGAACAGTCAAGCTGAGAGCCAAATCAAGAATGCAATCCCATTCACAATTGCCACAAAACAAATAAAATACCTAGGAATACAGCTAACCAGGGAGGTGAAAGATCTCTACAAGGAGATCTACAAAACACTGCTCAGAGAAATCAGAGATGACACGAACAAATGGAAAAACATTACATGCTCATGGATAAGAGGAATCAATATTGTTAAAGTGGCCATATTGCCCAAGCAATATATACATTCAATGCTATTCCTATCCAACTACCAATGATATTTTTCACAGAACTAGAAAAAAACTATTTTAAAATTCATATGGAACAAAAAAAGAGCTTGAATAGCCAAGGCAATCCTAAGGAAAAAGAACAAAGTGGGAGGCATCATGCTACCCAACTTCAAACTATACTACAGGGCTACAATAACAAAAACAGCATAGCAGTCGTACAAAAACAGATACATAGACCAATGGAATAGAATAGAGAACCCAGACAGAAGGCCACCCACCTAGAACCATCTGATCTTTGACAAAGCTGCTGACAAAAACAAGCAATGGGAAAAGGACTTCCTATTCAATAAATGGTGCTGGGATAACTAGCTAGCCATACACAGGAGATTGAAACCTGACTGCTTCCTTATACCATATACAAAAATCAACTCAAAATGGATTAAAGACTTAAATGTTAAACCCAAAACTATAATATCCCTGGAAGACAACCTAGGCAATACCATTTGAGACTTAGAAATGGGCAAGATTTCATGATGAAGAAGACAAAAGCAATTGCAACAAAAGTAAAAATGGACAAATGGGATCTAATTGAACTAAAGAGTTTCTGCACAGCAAAAGAAACTATCAACAGAGTAAACAGACAACCTACAGAATGGGAGAAAATTTTTGCAAACTATGCTTCTCTTAAAGGTCTAATATCCAGCATCTATAAGGAACTTAAACAAATTTACAAGAGAAAAAAAAAGAACCCCATTAGAAAGTGGTAAAGGACATGAACAGACACTTTTCAAGATACATATACAGCCAACAAGCCCGTTTTACAAAGCCCAACATCACTGATCATTAGAGAAGTGCAAATCAAAACCACAATAAGATACCATCTCACACCAATCATAAAGGCTATTACTAAAAATTAAAAAAAAATTTTTTTAAAGTGATATCTAGGTTGTGGAGAAAAAGAAATGCTTATAATACACTGTTCGTGGAATTGTAAATTTGTTCGACCATTGTAGAAAACAGTGTGGTGATTCCTTAAAGACCTAAAAATATAACTACCATTCAGCCCAGCAATCCTATTACTGGGTAGATGCCCAAAAGAACATGAATCGTTCTATCATAAAGACACACATGAATGTGTATGTTCTGTATGTTCATTTACAGCACTGTTCACAATAGCACAGACTTAGAATCTACCTAAATTCCCATAAATGATAGACTGGATAAAGAAAATGTGGCACATATCATGGAATACTATGAAGCCATTAAAAAGAATGAGATCATGGCCTTTCCAGGAACATGGATGGAGCTGGAGGCCATTATCCTTAGCAAACTAATGCGGGAACAGAAAACCAAATACCACATGTTCTTACTTATAAGTGGGAGATAAATGAGGAGAACACATGGACACATAGAGGGAAACAAGAGACAATGGGGCCTATCAAAGAATGGAAGGTGGAAGGAGAGAGATGATCAGAAAAAATAACTGGTGGGTACTAGGTTTAATACCTGGATGATGAAATAATCTGTACCACAAACCCCCATGATACAAGTTTACCTATGTAACAAACTTGCACATGTACCCTTGAACTTATAATAAAAGTTAAAAAATATATACTGGACAATAGTTTTTCTGTTGAGCTAAACTAAATAATTATTTATCCAATTTCCAAAATTTAAAAAATTTTGAGTGAGGCTTTTGCTCCTAAAGTAAATAAATTCCTTGCATGTTTTCCCAATACATTTTCTTCTTGGATTCCTTCATAGGGTTTCTGAAATTTCTTCTTAAAACACCCTACAGATGGTAACTATAGAAGACAATGAATATTTTACTTTTAAAACAATGTTTATATTTTAGTAGTGCAGAATGAAAATTGGAGGCCCAGTGAATAAAGGGTCAGTATTTAGCTCTTTTTCAGCTAAATACTTAGAGTTTGGATTTTGTATCCCATTACTTCAAAAAGCCATTCTTTGGAGTTGTATTAATTCTGTGAGATATCTGCATTTCCAGAAGGCTCTGTTCACTCTCTGAGTATTTTGTCTGGTAATGATCGGAACTGTAGTTGCCTTCAAGGGACTGAAGACCCAGAGCAAAGCTCTCCAAAGAACAATGTGCATGCACAGGCTGTGGCAGAGAATGCCGAATGTGGCACTTGCTGGAGCTGACAAATCCACTTGTGCTGCCAGGGTGTGGGATGCTGCCTGTTCCCTGAGGTGGGCAGCTGACAGGCAAGCGAAGAAGCCTTTAAAGACTGGCTTAGGATATTAACATCAGGCGGTTATGGTTATGGAATTGCTAGCCTTCAGCTGCCTCAGGAACATACCAGTGTGGGGTGCATGGTACCTTCATCAGAATGCCATTTTCTGTGTTGCAACAGGAATTTAGAAACATGCGGATTGTGATACATTAATATGATTTAACTTCAGAAAAGGAACCAGTAGTAAGCTTTATGAGATAGCTTAACAAAGCTCTGTTCCTTTTCTCTCTATTATTTATTCAGCTGCTTACTTAGCTCTTTAATTATTATAGGAAGCACACATGTGCAAGCATGCACACACACACACACACACAAAATTGAAAAAAACAAACAAACAAAAAGAATTCTCCTTGAAATGGCAATTATCAAGGACAGGAAAAGATTCACTCCAGTGTAATGAAGTGAGCATAATCCTGATGTGTGTTATCTTCTCTGTGCAAATACAGTGAAAACAAATGATTTATATTGTACTTGAGCACACTGTTTATTAAGATGGGAGGATGTGTTACCAGTCTGATTACTTTTTTTGCTCATTGCTGTAGTGTTATCAACTCCATGCATGTATGTGCGTGTAACTAAAAGAGCAGCTCAATAAAATTTTCTGGTAGCCAAAGCAAAATATTTTAAGGCTTCTAAGAAAAAAAAAGAGTGCATAGGGTGGTTTCATTTAAGCTTTGCTTTTGCTAATCCTCTCTGTTTGTACATGAATTGCTGAATGCCACACCTAGAATTCTAATGAAAGGAATTTGAGGAAGAAGTCAAAGCCGGTCCATCTCACGTAAGTTGTCAGTTCCTGGGGAGGTACTTCCTTATTTTATATTGACAGTGTTGATTTCTTTGATCTATAATGATACCAAAGACATTTTTGTTATTTCTTCATACACTTCCTTTTAAAGGACATTTGTATGTTGGATTGAGGGCCCCCAGCATATATCCCAGTATATACCTCGGCTTCCTTTGGGGAACCACCCCACCTGCAGTTTGTGTTGCTTTTACAGAATGGTAAATCCAGATGTAAATAACTTAGCTCCTTTGGAAGTCCAAAGGCCAAAATTCTTTCTCCATCTGCCTGGTACAACTAGGAGAAGGAAAATGATTTACCTTTGCTCAGCTGGAAACTTTCTTCAAGACTGTGAATGCAGAGCAAGTGACACAGGGGCATAAAATGTCTGAAATATACTTATCTTAATGGCCAGGTATGAGCCAGGTGATTCTTGTTATGTGATGGTTTATGTGCTTTGTGCTGTCTGGCCTCCCAGAGCTGTCTAGGTCCCATCTACTCCCACATCTAATATTCACCAATTCTATGAAAATTTCAATTGTCAGCCTCCATTCCAATATATCCCCTCAAATTAGCCAGTGGTTTTGTGATAACTGCACATAATGTAAAGATGAAGACTGAGGATTGGAGGTCAAAAGATGTAGAAGCCTAGGCCCAGCCCTGATAAATTAAGTCTATAACTTTGGGTAAGTCACTTAACCTCTGTTGGTCTCAGTCCTTTTATTGGTAATTGAAGGGATCAAGCCAGAGAAAGTTCTATTCCAGCTCCTTGATTCTAAGGATCTTTGGGCTACTGGCCAAATTTGTCTTGATTTTCATCCAGAGAAGAATGCTAGTGTCAAGCTGATTGTGGAATAGAGTAATCAGAGATGAAACAGTGCCTCAAACGTTGTAAGTTAACTGTGGAGGACATCTAGTATTATTGTTGCCCTTATTCTGATAAGAGCAACAGGATTTTCCTTTGGTAAATCACCAGCCCCCAATCTTGGCACATGTTCTTCAAGAGGGTCTGAAGCCATTTGGTGTCAAAGGGACGATGGACCTGGTAAATGACAGAATCATAACCTTCAGCTACAGTAATTGTTTTGAGAGCACATGGGACCTAAGCGAGGCCACAGTTGCAGAAAGTATCAAGGAAAAAAGAATACTCTTGAGGGTATTACTAAACTGGCCAGATAGCACCCCTGGGCTGCTAAGTCGTTTTGCAGATGCACAGCCTGCCATGTGGAAAGCACGACCAAAGAAGAGGAGACACGTTTGAAATGCTGAATCCAGTCAGTCAAAGTCAAACCTGAACCAATAAGTGGCTTCTACCTGCCTGCCCCGCCTAGCGCCCATCCAGAGGACGGCTGACTTTCAGTCTTTTGCAGTCAAAATTGTCCTGATTAACACAGCATTCAATATATCTTTTCAATACATCACTTGCTTGAAAGCTTCAAAGGCAAATCTAAGACTCAAGGATCTTCTCCAAGTGGGGAAAGAGAGATTGTTTAAATAGAGTGCTGAATTATGTGGGCAGATGAGAAGTGCAGAAAAGAATTTCTCATGGATTGTAGCGATGACTATGAACCAATACGTTACTACATTCCATGCCCTCCCCTCAAAGGAAAAAGTAATCTATATGGGAATTATTTTTTAACATTCTTGAAGGTATATTAAAGTCGTAAAGGCTGTGAAGGCATGTTTTGGTCCAATGGAATGGCTCTGTTGCAACTTTGTGTATCTGGATTTGTTTTCGCTGTGTATATTCCTAGCTATGAATAGAACAACCAATATACACAGCTTATTACCCACCACTTCACTGCTTCTAGTGCTGCAAAAAAGTCATCTATCTCTTTCCTCATTTCTCTTGCCTCTATGACATGACACTTGGCTCTTTTATCCAATATTTAGACATAAAACATCTCTCAATAGTATGTAGACTGACATATCTGTTTGTTTTTCCAAGTAATTGAGGGTCAGTGCTTTTCTAGTTAGTTTCTTTTGAAGACCAATTTTTTAAAAAATATATGCTGGCATCTTTTCATATCTGTATTTCAGATAGTGCAGTAGAACAAGCACCTGATTACTATATGCAAATGAGAATAGGGTTTTCTTTTTAACCATAAACAAATTTATAAAAATTAAGCCCACCAATCCAAGCAAAATAATGATGATGATGATAATGATAGTAAGTTTTTGTTGCAACAGACATGAATGATAACTTTCTAACTTTTTAGGACTGTTGCATAGATATCAGTTGAAAGATGTGTGTGATTGCAGGCAGATAAGCTGTAACTCCACTATATTCTTTCCCACTGATCTGAACACAATAGATAGAGTTATCACATCTAGTTAGAGATCTGTTACTCTAGGTAGCTAGCTCTGAATCTTTTCACCTGAGTATAAATGCTGTCAGAGGGCAATATCATGGTAAGTGACAGATTAAAGATATATAATATGCTTTGCAGCATTTCATTCATAAAAGAAAAAACAAGAACAGTACTTTTTAAATTGGGGAGAGAGGAGAAGCTGGAGAAGAGGGATGCAATCTAAATGGCAATGTAGTAATCAAAAACTTAAGATGTACATGAAATTACATATACTTTATTTTTTGACAGAATTAGTACATATTCATTGTCTAATGTTTAGAAGATGAAATCAAGTCAGAAGAAGAAAAAAATTATTAATTTGTAATTTTCCCAGACATAAAGTCTAAATATACTGTAATCCACGATCAGTGTTTTCAAGCGTTACCATGATCCCCAGTAAGAGATACCCTTTACCTTGTAATGTCATATATACACACTTGTTCATATATGTACAATTAAAACAAAATTTCACAAAGTAGTATTTACTTATCCTTACTATAAGTGATATACTGTGTCATCCTCTGCCTTTCTCTTCTTTTCTCTTCTCTGCTTTCATTTAGAAAAGAAAATTGCCTATTTATTATGCTGCACAATTTAAAATCACTGGGAAAATTCCTGTGGAATGAGAGTAGGTCATTTCTTTTGAGACTCTTATATATAATTATGTTTATGTGGATATTTCTACTTTCTCATAAGGCAGCATTATTAAAATGGAAGTATTGCCATTTACATCATGGATTATATAACCATTGGTTTAATCTAGATTGTGCAGAAGTTATAAACAACCCAAATCTCTGTGATTTAACATAACATGGACTTATTCTTGCTTATGCTACATATCCATCATGGCTCCCCAGTTGCACTCTGATCCTAAGAAATCCAGGTGGGTGGAATGACTACTCTCTTCATATCAGTTAGTATACACTAAATTATGCTGCAGTAATAATCATCCTCAAAATCTCAGTAATTTACAGCAAACCAGTTTATTTCTTGTTCACATTAATGTCTTATTTTGGCCAACTATAATCTGCTTCATCTTGTCTTCATTCCAGCGCCCAATCTAAAGGAGCACCTTGAATCTGGGCATGCTAATATCCTGGAAGAAAAAGAAAGAACAGCTGAACAAAGTAGTTGATCTTAAAGCTATTTCTCAGAAGGGGCACACATCGCTTCCACTCACATTTCACTGATACATGGCTATTGTTCAGCTCAAGCTTGACGTCATTAGGGAGGACTTCTAATCCTCTAATAGGAAGGGACTTTAAGGAGGGACTCTGTAAGAGACAGACAATTATTTTCACAATAATACAATTTACCATGGTTTTATGTGTTGCTGGTTGCCATGACAGAGAAAAGAGAGCTATTACAATGACATATACTTATCCTGTAAGTGGCACTTTATTTCAATCTTCTACTTATTGGCTAAAAGAAGTCCAATGCTCCAATCCAAGAATAAGAAGACCAGAAAGTACACTATCCTGGTCTGGAAGTGGCAGAGAATGTGAAACCTTTGGCAACCAGCACTAATTAAATAGATAGAATGTTCTTCATCTTGGCAAGCTGCCTCCTGGTTGTCCATTTGGACAGTGTAAGCTTCAAATGATAGAGCTGAAATCATGTATACAAACAAAGAGTTTTCAAAACAGAAGTTAGAATGCAATCTGTTGTGTTGGAATTGAATATCTTCTATGTGACAGAACCATGTCTCCTTTAGCACTAGAAAATCTGAATCAGAGACTCATAGAATCTTGAGTGCAGAATAGAAATGCACGGTTCCGTGTTCAAAATACAAAGCGTTTTTCTTTCTTCCTAGGCCTGTCATTGTGTTTTTTACATGCTCTAGTATCACCCTTCCTGGAGCACAGGGATACTTGCATAGCAGACATAGACTGTCACACACATCATGTCTTATAATTTGCTGTTCAGGACATGAATATCTGACCTCAACCCTCTCTAACACCCCACAAAGGCAAAGACTCGCAGCAGTTGCTAGAGTGATATGTGGAAGTGGATTATTCAAAGCCTACTCCAGGAAGGTGGAAGGGACCAGAATGCCAAACTGTGTGTAGTCAAGGCTCCAAGCCCATCATGCATGTTCCATTGTCTCATTGGATTTCACTTACAAAACACAAATTCAACAGAAAATTGTTATTAGGAATTTCAAGATAGTGACCACAAAGTATTAAACTCCAAGTGCAGAGATTCTTTCTAGTTCTAGGCCATGTGTGGCTGCACTGGTTGCATGCCCATGACGCTGGCCCTGGGTGGAAGAGTCAGAAAAGGCCAAGTACATTTAATATCCAAGTCCACCCAGGAACCTTCCTACACTTGTTCTGCAGTTGTATAAAATGATGTCTCATGTTTCCAAAATTAAGGATAAACTATGATAGTAAAGGAGAAATGTCATGCTTCAGGCACCGTCAAGTTGAATATTGGTTCCGGGGTAGGGCTCCATGGGGACCTTTGGCTTTGATGAGTGATCTGAGCTGGAGTTCCAGTGACAGTGAATATGTTGCCTTGGCCAAATCCAGCTCTGAGCATGAGCATCTTCATCTATAATGTGTAGGCTAAGGATAACTGCCTTAGTCTGCTCAGGCCGCCATAACAAAATATCCCAGACTGTGTGGCTTAAACAATGGAAATTTTTGTTTCTTACAGTTCTAGAGGCTGGAAGTCGAAGATCAAATGCTGGCAAGGTAGGTTTTATTATGAGACCTCTCATCTTGGCTTGTTGGTGGCTCTCATCTTACTGTATCTTCAAATGGTGGGGGGAGGGCGGAGGGAGAGAGGGAGGGGGAGAAACTCTTTGGTGTCTCTTCTTATAAAAGCACTAATTCCATCAGACCAGGGTCCCGCCATCAGAACATCATCTAATCCTAATTGATTTCCCAAAGCCCCATTTCCAAATACTATCATGTTGGGGTTTAGGGCTTGAACACATGAATTTTGGGTAGTCACAAACATCGAGTCCATAAAAATAACTATTGGTTATTATCATCTTGGTAATCATTCCAGATATCATATTTAAAGGATCTGGAATTCAGTCAGGCTGGCACATTATGAATAAGAAATGGTGCCTAATTTCTGTGGTACTCAGAATCAATATGCAGTAACTAATTGAGATGTAGCAAGTTTTATTTTATAAACAAAGCAGGTGGCTAGAGAGGATTTGTTATTTTCTGTATTAAATTTTTTAATTTTTCTAAACAACATAGTTACATTTTTTTAAATTTAATATTGACATAATCAACATGATATTGATAAATATATCTATATTATAAAGCATAACATTAAGATGGACACCTTTGAACCCTGCAAAAATTTAAGAATTAGCATATCTCAAATATTTCATGTTCTCACTTTTACGTGGAAGCTTAAAAAGTAGATCTCATAGAAGTATAATAGAAGAATAGTGGTTACTAGAGGTGGGGAATGGTAGGGGGAGAGAGGATAGCCAAAGGTAAGTTAACAAATACAAAAGTACCACTAAATAGGAGGAATAGGTTATATTGTTCTACAGTTTATTAATAACAACTTATTGTATATTTTCAAATAGTGAGAAGAGTAAATTTTGAATGTCCCATACACAAAGAAATGATATGTGTTTGAGGTGCTGAATATTCTAATTCTCCTGATTTGATCATTACACATTGTATACATGTATTGAAATGTCACACTGTATCCCATAAATATGTATGATTATTATGTGTCAATTAAAAATAATACAAGCAAAAAAGAGCTATCATATCTTCACTATAGTTAAATATATTCCCCTCTATCTCATGTCTGCCTTCCTCCTACAAGTAAACACTACTTTGAAATTTGTGTATCATTCCCTTACCTTTTACTCTTAGAACTGTCACACATTTATATAGTTCAAAGCAATATGTGTATTAGTTATCTACTGCTGCATAACAATTTAGTCTAAAACTCAGCATAGCATCTTGAAACAGCAAACCTTTATTATCTTCACTTTTTGTGGGTCAGAAATAAGAACAAGGAAATTGATTTTTTGGAGCTGCCATAACAAAGTACCGCAAACTGGGTGGATTAAAACAATAGAAATTTGTTCTCTCACAATCTTGGAAAAATATATGCGGTATTTTTCTTTCTTTGCCTGGCTTATTTCACTTAACACAATGACCTCCAGTTCCATTCATATTTTTGCAAATGACATAATTTCATTTTTTTTATGGCTGAATAGTATTCCATTATGTATATATACCACATTTGTCTTATACCTTTGTCTGTTGTTGAGCACTTAGTTTAATGCCATACATTTTCTATTGCGAATAGTGCTGCAATAAACATCTAAGTACAGGCATCTCTTTGATATACTGTCTTTTCCTTTGGATAGATATCTAGCAGTGAGATTGCCGGATCACATGGTAGTTCTACTGTTAGCTTTTCGAGAAATGTCCATGCTGTTTTCCATAGGAATTGCGCTAACTTACACTTCCACCAACAGCTTATGAGAGTTCCATTTTTTCTTCATCCTTGCCAACATCTTCTTATTTTTTGTCTCTTTAATAATGGCCATTCTATCAGGGTGAGATGAAATCTCATTGTGGTTTTGATTTGTATTTCCCTCATTGTATTAGTCAGTTTTCACATTGCTATAAAGAACTACCTGAGACTAGGTAATTTATAAAGAAAAGAGGTTAATTAACTCAGTTGCACAGGCTATATAGGAAGTATAGTAGCTTCTGCTTCTGGGCAGGAATTAGGAAGCTTTTACTCATAATGGAAGGCAAAGCAGGAGCAGACATCTTACATGGCAGGAGCAGGAGCAGTAAAGAGAGAGAGGAGGTGCCACACACTTTTAAACAACCACATCTGATGAGAACTGTATCATGGGAACAGCACTATGGGATGGTGCTCAGCCATTCTTGAGAAACTGCTCCCATGGTCCAATCACCTCACCTCTCATCAGGCTCCACCGCCAACACTGGGGATTACAATTCAACATGAAATTTGGACAGACACAGATCCAAACCACATCACTTGTGATCAGCAGTGTTGAGCTTTTTTTTTTTCTTTAACATATCTATTGGCCATTTGTATGTCTTCTTTTGAGAATTCTCTGGTTATGTGGAAATTTATCTTTGCTCATTTATTAATGGGATTATCTTTTTTTTCTGTTGAGATATTTGAGTTCCTTGTATATTCTGGATATAATCTCCTGTCAGAGCAGCTACTTAAAAATATTTTCTCGTATTTGACAGATGGACTCTTCACTCTGTTGATTGCCACTTTTGCTGTGCAGAAGCTGTTTTAGTTTAATATAGTCCAATTTGTCTATGTTTTTTGCTCTTGTTGATTTTGCTCTTGAAGTCTTACCTGTACAATAATTGCCTAATGTCCTGAAGAGTTTTCTTTATAATTTTTCTAGTGTTTTTATAGTTTCAGGTCTTACATTTAAGTCTTTAATCCATCTTGAGTTGGTTTTTATATATGAGGAGAGATAGGGGTCCAGTTTCATTCTTCTTCATGAGGTTATCCAGTTTTTCCCTAATGTATGTTCTTGATTTGTTGAAGATCAGTTGACTGTAAATATATGGATTTATTTCTGGGTTTTCTATTCTGTTCCATTGGACTATGTGTCTGCTTCTTTTTGTTTGTTTCTTTGTGGACTATGAATAATCTTTTCAAACTGCTTCCTGAGGTATTTCTAAAACTGTTTTCTGCCTCATACATCAAGGAAATAGTGAGGTCTACAGGACTGTCCACATAAGATATTCATGTATGGTCCTTCTATGCATCGTTTATTGAGAGTTTTCTTCATGAAGGGTGTTGAATTTTGTCAAATGCTTTTTCTGCATGTATTGAGATGATCATGTGGTTTTTGTCTTTCATTCTGTTTATGTGATGTATCACACTTATTTATTTGTATATGTTGAACCATGCTTGTATCAACAATGAAATCCCAGTTGATCATGTGTTATCTTTTTGATGTACTTTTGAATATGGTTTGCTAGTATTTTGTTGTGGATTTTTGCATCTGTGTTTATCAAGGATATTGGCCTGTAGTTTTTGTTGTTATGTCCTTTTCTGGTTTTGGTATCATAATAATGGTGGTCTCATAGAATGAGTTAGGAAGAACTTTAATTTTTTTGAAATCGTTTGAGGCGGATTGATATTAGTTCTTTTATAAACATTTGGTAGAATTCTGTAGTGAATCCAATATCCTGGGCTTTTCTTTGTTGTGAGAATTTTTATTATGGGTTCAATCTCATTATTCACTATTGTTCTATTCTGATCTTCTATTTATGTCTGATTTAATCTTGGTAGATTGCATATTTTCAGGATCTTATGTATTCCCTCTTGATTTTCCAGGTTTTATTTTTTAGCATATAGTTGTTCCTAATGGAGTCTGAAAATCTTTTCTATTTCTGCAGTATTAGTTTTAATGTTTACTTTTTCATCTCAAAATTTATTTATCTGAGTCTTCTTTTATTTACTTAGTCTAGTTGTGATCTATCAATTTTTTATGTTTTTGAAGAATTAATTTTTAATTTTGTTCATCCTTTTAATTTTTGTAGTCTCTATTTTGTTTAATTCTGCTCTGGTCTTTTATTTTCTGCTTCTAATTTGGGCTCTTGCTTTTCTTGTTGCTTGAGGTGCATCATTCAATTATTTATTTGAAGTCTTTCTGTTTTTTCAGATGTAGGTACTTATTGCTAAAAACTTTTTTCTTAGCACTGCTTTTGCTGAGATACACACGTTTTGGTATGTTGGTTTTTAAATTTTAATTTATTCCAAGAAATTTTTTGATTTCCACTTTAATTTCTTCATTCAGTAGCATGTTAATTTCCATGCATTTGCATAGTTCCAAATTTCATTTTTTAAATTGATTTCTAGTTTTATTTTATTATGGTTTGAGAAGACACTTGACATGATTTTAATTTTTTAAAATTTGCTGAGACTTATTTTGTAGCTTACCATATGCTCAGTACTGGAGAATGTTTTATGTGCTTATGAGAAGAATATGTATTCTGCAGGTGTTGGATAAATGTTCTGTAAATGTCTGTTAGGTCCATAGGTAGAAATTTCACTTTTAGTCTAATTTTTTGTTAATTTTTTGTCTAGGTGATCTATTTAATGCTCAGAGCGGGGTGTTGCAGTCCCTTACATTATTGTATCGTAGTATATCTTTTTAGATCTAGTAATATTTCCTTTATAAATATGCATGTTCCAGTGTTGAGTGCCTATGTATTTAGAATTGTTATATTTTCTTGATAGATTGGTATTTTTATCATTATATTCATTACATTGTGAACTTTTTTGTCTTTTTTGGTTTTTACTGTTTTTGACTTAAAGTCCATTTTATCTGATATAAGTATAGCTACTGCTGCTTGCTTTTGGTTTCCATTTGTGTGGAGTATCTTTTTCTATCCCTTTATTTTGAGTCTATATGTGTTTTTACAGGCAAAGTGAGTTTCTTGTAGGCAGCATACCATTGGATTATTAAAAAAAATTTATCCAACCAGTTTATAACTTTTTAGTGAAGAATATAATTCATATATGTTTAGGGTTAATATTGATGCTTATGTTTTGTTCCTGTCATATGGTTTAATTATTTTCTGTTTGTTTTTTATACTCCTTTTTCCTGTCTTTTTCTCTTACTGTCTGTCCTTGTGGTTTGTTGATTTTCTGTGGTGGTACCATTTGAGTCTATTTGTTTCTAATTTGTGTGTTTGCTTTGTTTGTGAGTTTTGTATTGTTGTGTGTTTTTGTGATGGTAACTGGCATCGTTTCACGTTCAGGTTTAGGACTCCCTTGAGCATTTCTTGTAAGGTAGGTCTAGTGGTGGTGAATTATCTCAGCATTTGCCTTTCTGGGAAAGAAGTTATTTCTCCTTCATTTATTACAGATAATTTTCTTGAATATAGTATCTTTGGGTGGCAGTTTTCTTCTTTCAGCACTTTGATTATATCCTCCCATTCTCTCCAGGCCTATAAGTTTTCTACTAAGAAGTACACTGTTAATCTGATGGGTGCTCATTTATAGGTGAGTAGATGCTTTTCTCTTGCAGGTTTTAGAATTTTCTCATTGTCAATGACTTTATGCAGTTTGACTATAATGTGACATGGAGAAGCCCTTTTTGCATTGTACTGTTTAGGAATACTGGGTCTTCTGTATCTGGATGTCTCAGTCTCTTGCTAGACTTTGTACTTTTTAATCTATTATTTCACTGAACAGGTTTTGAAAAACTTCCATTCTCTCCTCACTTTTGGGGATGATGATAACACATATATTTGGTTGCTTTATGGTATTCCATATAGCATGAAGAATTTGTTCAGGTTTTAAATTCTTTTTTCTTTGTTTTTGTCTGGGTGGGTTATTTAAAAAGGTCTGTTTTCAAGTTCTGAGATTGTTTCTTTTGTTTGACCTAGTCTATTGTTGAAGCTTTTGTGTGTATTTTGTATGTCATTCAAGGAATGCCTCATTTCTAAAATTGTGTGTAGTTCCTTTGAAATGTGTGTCTTTGGCAAATTTCTCATTCTGAGTGTTCTGCAATTGTTTTCTTTGTATATTTAATTCTCTTGTTTCTCCCTGAGCTTCTTTAGTTTCACAATTTTGAATTTCTTTTTTAGGATTTCCTGAATTTCCTTAATTGGAATCTGTTTCTGGAGAATTATGGTATTCCTTTGGAGGTGTTATATTTCCTGATTTTCATGCTTCCTGTGTCCTTCTGTTGATGTCTACGCCTCTGGTGTAATAGTTGCTTCTTTCAGTTTTTTTAATTTGATTTTGTCAGGGATAATTTTCTCTTGAGGATGCCTCAATGGCGTTGGTAAGGTGTGGCACTTTGACTAACTTGGGGTGCAACTGGTAGTGTAATTTCTTATAATTCCTTTTTCTGTAAACAATATCAGTGGTATCTGTGATTTCCTCAATGGTTTAGGATGTAATTATTAGTGGAGGTCATGGTGAAGTTTTCCTTGGGACAGGGATGCCAGGTTTGCCCATCTTTATTGGGCTGAGAAGCAGTGGCAGCAATAGGCAGAGTTTGCCTGATCTTGGGCTCCAGGGTGGCATATGCTGGTGCTGGTGTTAGTGGGACCAGGTGGGCTAATTCTTGGGTCTCCAGATGGTATGCTTGGATACTGGTATCGGCAACTATGGGCTGGGCATGTAAGTGGATTCCCTGGTCCTTGGGAAGTCAGCATGGTGTGGTTAATGGCAGTAACAGTTGTGGAATGACCCTCTGGGTCCTAAGTGGCGTGCACTGGTGTTGGTGGTGGCTGTGGTGTGGGTTTGCCATCCATGGTCCTAGAACACAGCTTTGACTCTCTTGCTCTCTACAGCAGAGTTCAGGTGGGTAGAGGAGCCCACTCATGGTTTGGATTGCTTCAGTCTACAGTGGAAATGTGGACTGCTGAAATTCTCTCAATTATGCTTCCCCTAAAATGCCTAGCCCCTCTGAGCTCCTGGCTGATGTTGGAGGAGCTGGCTGCTTCCTTTTTCTCTTCCTGTGCTTTAGGTGTTTCCCAGACTTCTCTGTTGAACTATAGTGTTTTCTCCTAGATGTTCTAGTAATCCTCTGGTAATATTATGTATCTTAAAGCTTACATTGTCTGATATTATTTTGGACCAATCATCCATCTTAGGTTTATTTTCATAGTATATCTTTTGCCAGGTACCTACTCTAGACCTATCTGTCTTTATATTTAAAATGCATCTCTTATTGACAGTATTTGTTAATGCTTTTTAATCTATTCTAATAATCTCCACCTTTTAATTGAAGTGTTCATTTCTATTTGACTTTCTGTTATTGTCCAAGAGGGCACTAGAGCTTTCTAATTTTCTCTCTTTTTTTCTCTGCATTCTTCAGGTTGAATATTTTCTATTAATTTATTTTTCTATTTAGGAATTATTTCCTATGTCATCCTCATTATGTTATTAATCCCATCGAGCTAATATTTCTTTTATCTTTTGTGTTTTGCAATTCTAGAATTTCCACTTTTAATATAGTTTATATTTCTCTACAGAGGTTTCTTCATTTTAAGCATTTCTCATTTACCTCAATAAGTATAAGAAATTCTTAAAACTTCTTGCCTTGTAATTCTAAAATTTGAGTTATCTCATAGTAGTCTTGATTGTCTTTCCTCATGAAACAACTCAGATTTTGGAATTTGTCACATTTTTCTGGATCTTCATATGTCAAATAATTTTGGGTTGCATCATAGGTATTTTGATGCTATATTATGAAGACTATGGATTCTGTTATACTATGTGTTTCTTCAGAGTACTTTTGTTCTTGTCTTACTGGGCAAGTAACTTTTTAGGAATCAAACTACAAATTTTATTTTGTAGGTGGGAGCTCAGATCATAGTTCATTTTTAAAAATCTTTACCTGGACTGTTTTGAATCTGTTCTATGCATGCATGGCTTATTGGTCAGATAATTGGGAAGATTTACACACAAAATTTGAAATTCCAACTCTCTACGACTCTTCTTTCTGGGATTTCCTCATCATTTTCCTTTTGATAAATTGATTTATCTAAATCTTCAAGTCAGAAAAACTACAGATTTTCTATTGGCATTTTTATGGCATTTTAGTGCTGCATGTTATAAAAACCATCAGCTCATTTCTTGCAATCCATTCTTTCAACTTTCAAATTCCCTCCAGAATCTGCCTATTTTTTTATTCTCATGCATTCAAATAATGCTTTAAGAAATATTTTACTTAGAGTTTCACATGCTACCTTCAGTGGGGTCAAGTAAGATAGGAGCTTATTCAGGCATATCAGTATAACTATCATCTCATGTACTCTTAAACTGTTAAACAAGACTTTTGACTATATTCTAATACCATATTATACAATTCGGCAGAAGGTTGATGTTTCCATGAACTGAGAGGATCTGCAACACTTGGGTTATGCATTAAATGGACTCAAATTTCTTTTGCCTTTGTTGTTGTTGTTGTTGTTGTTGTTTGGGATTCCTTTTCTAGAGATTTCATCTTTTCTACAATCCTGGACAACAGGAAAACGGCACCCATCACCATTTGGATTCTTCATAGCCCAGATGACGTAACGCCACATGATTTGAGCTGTGTTTGAAAAACGTAGTTAAAAAAAAAAACAAAAAAAACCGTGAGAAAAGTCCGGAAATGGTGCCCTTTGACTATGTGTGATTAAGTAAAATAATTCTGTGACAACTAAAATACTTTATTTTTTTCCTTGTTAATTTCAGCTATATGCTCGCCTTTTGTGCTATTAGACAAAAGAACTCTGAGCAAGTCAGAAATGTTTAAATCAACAAGTCTTGACTTAATTGATAAGTGTGTATGTTTTTCTTTTAAGCTTGAGGCCAACTTTGTCTCCTTGGGAGAAACATTCCATTATTAAAATTTACCTACTTAATCTACCTACTGTATTCATCTGTTAGCTATACTCTTAGAAAGACAAAAGAAATACAAAAATAATGATGAAAAATAAACCTTTGCCACAAAATTCCCTTAGCCTATTATTATTGAAATACGTTTTTGAATAAATTTTCATCCAAGATTTAAGGTAATGACTTTACTGAACTTTGTAGTGGTAAATAATAATAAACCAAAAAAAAAAAAAAATCTTTACTTACTAGCAAGACTATTGTCAAAATTGTTCCATAATACCAGCAAGGTTTTAGGGGAAAATTTATTCCCAATGTGGGCTAGTATTTTCCACAGGAAACGGTGGTTCAAGACTCATACTAATTTTGTCCATGGGAATTTAAAACAAGACACATTTTCGTGGTTTAGGTTACACATAGTCATTTGGAAGCCAAAACCCGACTTTAATATCCCCCAAAGAACCGTGATTTGAAAGGATTCTTTTTCTCAGGGTAGATACAGTTGTAAAAAAAGTATTACTTTTTTTAAAGTGAACATTCTAATTAAAATGAACACCAACACACTGAGCTCCTTTAGAATTGTTCCAAAGGGAAATATTCTGTTCTAATTAATCTTTCATATAAATTCTTTTACTGCTGCTCTTTGATTCAACTGAGCATTTATATAATTTTGGAATAATAAATACCCAGGATAAATGAGAGCCATTATGCATTATTTTCTGAAGAAGTTGAAAGTCTTTGAATAGCACATTTTAAAAATGTAGGTTTTTAAAACAATTACAAGCTTTTATGTTTTTGGAATCCTGTCCATAATTTTCTTGACAATTGTAATAAAAATATCATTAATATTTCACTTTAATGATATAGTGCTCTGGAATAAAATTATAATAGAACAAAATTTCTTCTGAAGAGCTGTACCACACCCCATAATCATGCTAAATGAATTCATTATGATTAGTTTTATGAGCCTCAGACGGAAAATTAGAGTTTGGGTCATTCTAGAAAAGGAAATCATTTTTATTATTTTAAAAGTGATATATTAAAATTTTTCTTATATTGTTGTTACCTCTAGGTCAATTTGGAAAATCCTGGTTTGTTATCACAGTGCTTCTTATTAACATATTTCCGAGTTCCTTCTTGAATGAAGTTTGAGAATTAATCTTGTAAGTGATTTTGTACTGTGTTCTGTTATTCTAATGAAACTCCCAAATTCAGATGTCTCTGATTTCAGTACCTTCTACTTCTCTTGGTCCCTACTATTGTAATGAATAGAAAGGGTCTCCTTTATTGAGAAGTTAAAAGACAATTAACTATAGATAAATATCCACAGAAACCTAAATAATATGCCAGCAGGTATAGAATTGCTTGCCTATATCCAAGGCAATTATCTGTTTCAGTGGAGACCAATAACTATCACCCCCAGCATCCCTACTCAAGAGAGGAGCATGTTCCAGCCTTACCAAAACTGAGAATAAAGTAAGATGGTAATGGTGGAGGCAACAGAAGGGAACCATAGATAAAGAAATTGAAAGAAGACTGGTTGATAGCATCATCATAAAATTCTGCCATATATATGCCTCTGGCAGTTGCCTGGATTTTCACATTCACCTTCAGGCACTGGAAGAAGAGATTATTTATATATTTTTACTTTATTGTTTTTAGTTATTTTGTGCCAGATTGGCTTTTTATTCCATTGAGTCTGAGTTTATTTACAGGGTTGTCTAAAATACATTCTGAGTTTCCAAAACCTTTGTTTTGACTCAGAAACATTGACTGAGTGCCTGCTGTTGCCAGGCATGCTGGCTGGCAAGAGGAAGAAGTCAAATATATAGTTGAGTACTTATGTGACAGGCACTATTCTAAGTGCCTTGTAAAGATACTTTCCTAGGAATAGTATAATTATTAGCATCTCTCTTTAATAGATGAGAAAGCTGAGGCACAGAATACCAAAAGTCACATGGTGTTAAGTGGATTTGGGCCCATGTACTCTCTTTGAAGCAGGTGTACTGAACCTACTTACACTGTGGTGTAGCTCACAGATAAGCTGCAGTCCATGCAGCTAAAAACCTTCCAGGTCCATCTCCCAAGACGCCATCCTTGCAGCTAAAAACAACCTCAGACATGGGAGGTTTTTAGCTGCAAGGATTGCTTTGCTCATATATTGAGCAAAGTACATTTCCCACTATGCTTAAAAGGCTCAGTATGTGTCATAAAGGCTAAATATTTTATTCTGAGTGAGGGCTTTTGCTTATGTGATCCCATAGCACCCACACATCACTTACTCCATCTGTATTCCCCAAAGAACTGTCAGCTCCTTGAGGGCAGGAGTTCTATCATGCATGCAATTATACTTCTAGTGCCTGTGCAAGGAATAAGTCTTCCAATGTCTGTCTGGAGTTAGACCTGGCATCCAATGACTTTTTCTAGTTTAATGACTTGCTAATGGACATGCTACTGAATCTCTTGTGCTCTCTAAAATGAGAAAAGTATTATTTTTTTTTAAATGAGGGCAATGCAAATCTACCTCTGGTTTGTAGTGAACAATGAACAAGATGAGATATGTAGAAAGCATGTCACATATATAATGTTCAATAAAATGTTCAATGCGATGTTCCATAAAAAAACATTGGTTGCCTCTTTTGCAACATTTATTCAATAAATACTTATTTACTGAATAATCCCACACAATATTTATTTTTCCCATGGTCTCCAGAGAGAACTAGTATGCACAATAGTGACATTTTGTTTCTCTTTTGTTTTTCTCTTCCCCAGTTATGGGAGGAGGTCTGTTTCAAGGAGGGCAGGTCTATGCAAACCTTACACCAAAGTTTGAGGAAGCTGAAAGGCTGAAGAAAGAGGCTGACAAACCCAGTTTCTTAGGAGAAAACACTTAACAGAGACTTACAAACAAGAGCTATGTTTGTGTCTCCAGCAGTGGTGAGACAAGATGGTGGATCTCCATGCCATTACCCCTCAGAACCAGGACTTATCTACCACAGAGAAGGGGTTGTTCAGAAGGGATGTATAGGACAACTGAAGTATGATAACTTCGAGGTTGTTTGACCTAAGAACAGGATTTGTAGTAAGTACCTGGTATTACACAGGAACCATAGATAAACTGGAAATCCTAGAGGCCCTCCCAGAACTAGGGTTAATCAGAAGCCAACATGGTGGATTAGCATCCAAAGTGGACTTGCTTTAGCCTCTACAGAGTCTCAAAAATAATGAAATTCTCTTAAACTTTTGCAATCTCTTTACGCATATGAAGAGATAATAAGCCAGGAATATCTCCTGTGCATTGCAGAGACATAAAGCCCTAGCAAAAGCTGCTCTACCCTTCCATATATGTCCTTGACTTTGCAGCATCACCATCATTGCCTAGTCAATGTCTGGTCTTTTCTCTAATTTCTCGTTTTGTTCTAATTCCCAGTCTTTGGAATATCTAGACCTTGACAGAGATTTATATACATTTCATGTGTTTCACCTAAGGTGGTTTGCATTCTCTGCCACACATGGGTTCATAGGAGGTCACAGCCCTAAAAACAATAACCTTTGATGGGGTTCAGGACACACTACCCTAAAATATGCCACCTTGGCTTTGGAGCAAACAGCAGAAACAGGGAGATCACTCTCACCTTCCCCTTACCCTTCTCCCTTTGTTACAGTAGGTAATAGGCAGATATGAGCAGGGCAAGAAAGGGCTCCCCTCCACAACCAGGAATGTCAAGCAACCATCAGGTGATGGTCAGGCGGTTGTTACACTGTCTCTCCAAAATAAAAGTTGGTCACAGCTGGCACTAAGGAATGGCAGTCTCCCAATAGATAGAAAAAAACCTGAAACTAGTGAACAGCAGCTTTCTGATAAGATCTCAGGAGTTGGGCAAGTGGGCTCAAGCAGGTGCACTAAGAGGCAAAAGGGCAAGGTTTAACTGGTACATGAAGTTTTAGGGACATTCAACTGGTAAGGGAAGGGCGCCTCAAGTGAGCATGTGCACAACTCCAGTGAACACACCATGCATGCAGTCCCTCCCAAGTGCTGGCAGGCCGCTGTGCATGCAGACAGCCCACCTCAAGGGAAGAATCAGGGGAGACATAACACAAGACCCTGGATGCATGCCACCATATAAAACCCCAAGCCAAAGGTCAAACCAGGCACTTAACTCTTTCAAGTCACCCACTTGGCCCTCTTCCAAGTGTACTTTACTTCCTTTTAAGAGGTGAAGCCAGCTGGGCTTCTGGGTCGGGTGGGGACTTGGAGAACTTTTGTGTCTAACTAAAGGATTGTAAATGCACCAATCAGCGCTCTGTATCTAGCTAAAGGATTATAAATGCACCAATCAGCACTCTGTAAAATAGAACAATCAGGAGGATGTGGGTGGGGCCAAATAAGGGAATAAAAGCTGGCCACCCGAGCCAGCAGCGGCAACCTGCTCAGGTCCCCTTCCATGCTGTGGAAGCTTTGTTCTTTTGCTCTTCACAATAAATCTTGCTGCTGCTCACTCTTTGGGTCCACACTACCTTTATGAGCTGTAACACTCACTGCGAGGGTCTGCGGCTTCATTCCTGAAGTCAGTGAGATCACGAACCTGCCGGAAGGAACAAACAACTCCGTATGCACCACCTTTGAGAGCTGTAACCCTCACTGCGAAGGTCTGCAGCTTCACTCCTGAAGTCAGCGAGACCAAAAACCCACCAGAAGGAAGAAACTCCAGACTCATCTGAACATCTGAAGGAACAAACTCTGGACACACCATCTTTAAGAACTGTAACACTCACCGCAAGGGTCCGCAGCTTCATTCTTGAAGTCAGTGCGACCAAGAACCCACCGGAAGGAACAAATTCCAGACACACTTTCATTCCTGCCCTGAAACTTTTTAATAAACTTTCACTCCTGCTCTAAAACTTGCCTCAGTCTCTCACTCTGCCTTATGTCCCATTGGTCAAATTATTTCTTCTGAGGAGGCAAGAATTGAGGTTGCTGCAGAACCGTACAGATTCACTGCCACTAACACCCTGAAGCAGGTCATAAAACCTTCATTCTAGAGTTGCCCCCTGTACCCAATGAAAAGAAGTATTCTTATCCTTGAAGCCACAGAGGTGCCAAGAAGAATCTGAAAAAAAGACATTGTTAAAGTCCCCGGTTTATTACCATTAGATCATACCTCCTTTGTCCAATCATACTTCCCACAACTGTCGACCTCATTAACCTTAGCATAAAAATACCCAGGTTTCCCTGTTTCTTTGGGTCTTTGTTTCCTAGTGAAGGCTATTGTGTTGCCTAAAATTTACATTAAATAAATTTGTATACTTTTCCTTGTTAATCT
Source organism: Homo sapiens (assembly GCF_000001405.40). Taxonomy (NCBI): domain Eukaryota; kingdom Metazoa; phylum Chordata; class Mammalia; order Primates; family Hominidae; genus Homo; species Homo sapiens. Next base: position 90,148,611 of record NC_000012.12, read on the forward strand.
GCCATTTGTTATAGGGGGCTCAGCCTGAACCTTGTGATGGGTGAGAACAAGATAGTACTTCTTTTCTCCCTCTACTACCATTTACTATGACCTTATTATGTGGTAGGTCCTATGCTAGGCATTTTAAATGTAGTATTTAATTTAATCATTATAACACACAATGTGTTAGTTACTACTATTATTTCTGCTTTAGAGGAAATATAGAGGAAACTAAATTGCAGAGCTTGTCCAAGGTCAAAAAGCTACTAAGGGAGGGAGCATCTATTTTTCCTAAGTCTACCATAAGGTCCTTTATCAACATTGCTGAAGATGAGGGCATTATCTTCTTTCTACAAGTGTTTAGATGATAGAAAATGGGTCAGCTAAGAATATACATTTTGGAGATATAGAAAGGAAACATAATGAAACCTTTACAAAGTGGTCAAGATCTTTGCTTGGCTCATATAAATCAATATACAAAAGAAAGAATCAGTAGCTTTAGGAATAAATAATTAACAAAAATGGTTTTTGGTGTTCTCCTTTTAACTCCAAATGAGACCAATTGTAATATTTATACATAACCTGACCTTAAATAACCTCATCAAAATGCTCAGGAAAAAAGAAATCTTTCTATTTCTTAAAAAGAAAAGAGGGAGTTAAATTTAATTTAAAAATTAAGTTCATGAAATTCATGGCAAGGAGTATAATTTCTGGAATAAAGAAAAATATAGAATCATTGTCAATTGTGTTGTTTATTTTTAATAACAATTTTAAAACAGTTTTATATTTATAGCATTTTTGCAAAGCTAGTACAATTTCTATATATCACACCTAGTTTTCCTACTACTTACATGTTATATTAGTATATTTGTCATAATTAATGAACAAATATTGGTAATTGTTCTTGAACTCCACACTTTATTCAGATCGCCCCAGTTTTTTTTTCTTAATGTCCTTCTTCTGGTCCAGGATCCCATCCAAGATACCACATTATGTTATTTGTCATGTCTTCTGAGGCTCCTCTTAGTTGTGTCCAATTTCTGAGATTTTCTTTATTTTTGATGATCTAGACAGTTTTGAGAAGTACCAGTATTTTGTACAATGTCCCTCAATTAGTTTTGTCTAATTTTTTTTCTTATGGTTAGATAATAGTTTTATTTTTAAGTATGCCAAATAAAGTAGTTACCAAAAATAAAGTCTGTGATATCTAAAAGTCCCAAACCACCAGGAAATGGAATGAGTTCTGGGTTAAAGAGAAAAGGATTTGAACTTCTTTAGTACTTAATTCTCTAAAGGTATCAGCTTAATGTAATGGACTGAGGGGCATTGCTGTTTAAAATGCTTGGACTTAACAGTTAGCTCATGGGGAGAGAGGAAATGGTGGGAATATTTACAGGAACATAAGGCTGTATAAAGAGGTTGATTTGGGGTTAAAGAGTACAAAGTAATGTGTGCTACGGTCTGAATGTTTGTCCCCTTGAAACTCATGTGTTGAAACCTAATTTCCAAATTGAGAGTATTTGGAAGTGGGGTTTTTGGAAAATTATTAGGTACTGAGGGCTCTGCCCACATGGATGGGATTAAAGAGGCCACAGGGAGAAAGATAGCCCCTTCCACCATGTGAGGTTCCAGCAAGTAGGCATCATCTATGAACCAGGAAACAGGCAGTCACCAGACATTAAATTTGTTAGTGCCTTTAGCCTACAGAATTGTGAGAAACAAATTTCTTTTGCTTAGAAGCTACCCAGTTTATGGTATTTTGTAATAACATCCTGAATGGACTAAGACACAAAGTACGTAGACAGTGAAGAGATACTTGGAATCAGAGATAGCACTGTGATTTCACAATGGGTTTTGATACAGGGCTTTAGACAAAAGGAGGATTTTTATCTGCAGAATTCAGACCTCAGAGAGGAAATTCAGGGCCAGAGTCCTTTCTCCTTTTCTGAAGTTTGTGACAAGACTTATATCCCAGTGGAGGAAGCAAATATAATTGAGAAATCAAGATAGAGGCCTTATCATATTGCCTTTGCAAACATGGCAAGGATTGGGAATGAGCCTGAAATTCTATATGCACGAGGGTATGAAGTTTGCCTCAGAAAAGCCAAACTTTCAGTTTAAGGGCAGCCAGGTACATGACACACCCCATCTACCCTTAACATCCTGTCAGGCTAGCTCAGGATTAGATGGTTCTCTGAATGGAGAAGACCTGCTCATCTACTTACTGTTTTGGGTGACTTTAGAAATTCTGGACCAGGGGTGGCAATGTCCAATTTATAAGGAATTGGCTTCAGGGTAGCTCTGGGTATCTAAATATATGACCTATATGTTGCTATATGTTTTTATTTTCTCTGTCCCTTTATAAGAGCTATATTTGACTTCATAAGTGAGAAACTTTTACTTTTCTTTTAAATATCAATGGGCCTCCATTGTTCTTAGATCAGGCTCCTTATCAAAGCATGGGTCACATTTGGATGGATGCTGATCAATTTCTCAGCCTTTCCACTAGTCACTCCCCAGCATGCACCCAATAATTTAGCCATTCCATAGGGCTTGTGTCTCTTTCAGTTCTCCGTGCTTATTTCTTGGCTTTTTGCCTCTGAATGTTGCATTTATTCTGCCTAACATGAGCATCCTCCTTTTTCTCCTTCCTGGGCAATTTCATTGATGTCCCTACAATAAATTTTTTTATATTTCATCAATTTCCTCACAGCAGTCAATGTAATCTTGTTATAAATAGAAATTATGTCTTGACACTCCCTATTTAAACTTACCAGTGACTTTCTATTGCACTTAGAATAAAATCAAACTCCTTACCATGTTCTTCAAGGCCCTCTGTAATCCCAGGATCTCCCATCTTTCCTTCCCATATCATGTGCTCCCAGGCTGCAGTCTCACCCACCAGCTTCTGTTTCTAGAGTACACCAGGCTCATTCTAGCTTTAGAGCCTTTTGTACTTCCCTTCGCCTGGAACATTCTTCTTCCATATGTTCCCAGTCTCAGTTACTTCATGTTGCTCACATCTTAGCTAAAATGTCCCATCCTGAGAGAGCCATTCTTTGGCCACTATCTGTAATGCTGCTCACTTTTTTCTGTTACACTTTCTACATGGCACCCATCACTCTTGGAATGACCAAATGTTGGTGGAACATAACTATTAAGTATGTGCGTCCTGGAGCTTGACTTTTTGGCTTTATGCCCTGGCTCGGCCTCTTGTTACAGGCTGAAAGAATGAGGGTCCTGGAGCTTGACTTTTTGGCTTTATGCCCTGGCTCAAATAAAAGACTTCTGCCATGTGATGAACATAGGAGCTGGGGATTAAGGAAGAGAGAGGGAAGGACTAGGAAAGGGAAAGTACTGAATACTGAGTCAGAGTGGGGAAATGTGTCTTCAAGCCTCCCCAAATAAGCAGAGACACCTGGGAAAGGCCATGGCCTCTGAATGGAGGCTCCTTGTTAGCAATGTGATGTGCGTTAAGAGCATTGCCAGCTGGAGGAGCCTGAATCCCTGACTGCAACTCCTTCCAGAGACGGAAAGATGATGACTGTGCATGAAGTCTGGAGTTGGGAGGCAGCTCTCCCTCTCAAGGCCTGCCAGGTAAAGTCTTTGTAATTGCCTATGGTTGAGCCTCAAAGATCACACATAGGATTATGGCCTGGAGCTAGACTCCTCAATTATGTAGATATTAGCTCTAGTTTTTATAGTTTTAACTGTTTTCTAACTATCTCATGCCACCCTTTGGTATTAATTCCATGAAAGCTGTAACTATGTTGATTACATTCACGCTTTTATCTTTAGGGTCTGGTTTAATGTCTAAGGCTGGTTAAGACTACCAGAAATATACATTGAAAACATAGGTGTACTTATGTATATTTATATGAAATATTTCCTTTTAATGTAAAAAAAGAAAGTAAACTTTAAAAAACTGAGCGGCAAAGGCATATCTATTTCCAAAGTGCTAAAATACATTATAAAATATCTAGAGGGGCTGCTTGGGCTGGAGGCGGCTTGCGTCCTGATATCAAGCATCGTTCCCTCCTGGACCTCGAGTGCGGGGCTGCACACTGACTGACTGCCTTGGTTAGGCCCAACAAATCCCCAGTTCCCTGCAGTACCCCAGACTCCTGAGCCCCTGTTGTGGAGCCCTGTGAATTGCAGGCAACTGGGTAAATCTCAAGACAATCCTGATAGAAAACAGGGAATCAAGGCAGAGGTTGGCAAACAATGCAATGGAATTGAAGCTTGGCATCAAAGAAGGCTTAACAAGGAGACCTTTAATTGTAAATGTTTAGTGGGGGCAGGGCCAAGATGGCCAACTAGAAACAGCTGTGATCAGAGGCACCCATGGAAAAGAACTATAATAAGTGTATGACTGCTTCACCGGCAAGCAAGGTATCCAGGTTCTCTCATCAGAACTGATTAGGAGGCTGGCGTGATCCACAGAGAGGAAGGAAGAGCAGTGTGGTGAGGCAGCCCATCTGAGAACCACACGGGGCAGGGGGGCCCCCACCCCTAAACCAAGGGAGGCGGTGAGTGAGCAGGCTATCAAGTCGGGGAAACTGTGCTTTTTCCACATAACTGTGCAAACCACAGATCAGAAAATCCCATTTGTGAGCCCATGCCCCTGTGGCCTAGCTTCCCAACCCCAGAGCCATGCAGATTCTCAACAGTCTCTCAGCTGGAATCTGCTTAAGCCTACTGAGCTCACGTGGGGAGTGTCAACCAGCACCACAGCTGCAGCTGCGTGCTGTCTAGGCCCTTTGAACTCCTTGAGGGAAGGGCAGCAGCCAGCACTGGGACTCACAACTGCCTAATTTGCTAAGCTTCCTGGGTGGGGGAAGGGCAGCATTCATCTTTATAGCTCCAGGCCATGCTTTTCCCCTGCTGGAGCCAGGGAGGCTGTACGACTTGGTCTCCAGACGTGTCCCCCACAGCACAACACACCAGCAGTGGCAGACTGTGGCCAGAGTGTCTTCAGGCCTGACCCTGACTCATCCCTCCTCACTGGGTGTGGCGTCCCTGAAGGAACTTCAATAACTCCAGCCAGAGGCTCAGGGACAGAACCTGGATCTCCCTTGGCCTGAGCCCCTAGGGGAAGTGGTGGCTGCAGTCTATGCGGACCAGCAGACTTAGCCTTTCCTCCTGGTAGTTCTGAGGAATCTGGGCAGCCCAGAGAAGTGGGTTTCCCACCAGTGAAACACATCCCCTCCACCAAGGGGCAAAGTGCTGTTCCCTATGACGAATCCTGTTCCCTATGCCACCCAACTCGGTGAGACCCTCCAACAGGGGTTGTCAGGCACCCTATATAGGAGCGATCCTACTGGCATCAGGTTGGTGCACCTCAAGGTCAGTGATACCAGAATAAGGAGCAGGCACCCATCTTTGCTGTTCTCCAGCCTTCTTGAATGACATCTCCAGGTGTGGGAGTGAAGCAGATGAATAGGGCCTGAAGTGAATCCCCAGAAAACCACAGCAGCACTACGGCAGAGGGACCTGACCATTGAAAGAAAAACAAACAGAAAGCAACAACAATAGCATCATCAACAACAAAAAAAGCCCCTACAAAAATCCCATCCAAGGGTCAGCAGCCTCAAAGATGGAAACTAGACAAACTCACGAAGATGAGAAAGAATCAATGAAGAAACGCTGAAAACCCAAAAGGCCAGACTGCCTCTTCTCCTCCAAATTATCACAACATCTCTCCAGCAAGGGCACAGAACTTGATGGAGGATGAGATGGACGAATTGACAGAAGCAGGCTTCAGAAGATGGGTAATAAAAAACTATGTTGAGCTAAAAGAGCATGTTCTATCCAATGCAAAGAAGCTAAGAACCTTGATAAAACGTTAGAGGAGCTGCTAACTAGAATAACCAGTTTATAGAGGAAAATAAATGACATGATGGAGCTGAAAAACACAGCATGAGAACTTCATGAAGCATACACAAGTATCAATAGCTGAATTGACCAAACAGAGAAAGGTTGTAAGAGTTTGAAGACCACCTTGCTGAAATAAGGCATGCAGACAAGACTAGAGAAAAAAGAATGAAAATGAATGAACAAAACCTCCAAAAAATATGGGACTTTGTAAAAAGAACAAATGAACCTGTGATTGATTGGAATACCTAAAGGAGACAAGGAGAATGGGAACAAGCTGGAAAACACACTTCAGGATATTATCCAGGAGAACTTCCCCAACCTAGCAAGACAAGCCAACATGCAAATTCAGGAAATACAGAGAAAACCACTAAGATTCTCCTCAAGAAGATCAGTCCTAAGACACATCATCATCAGATTCTCCAAGGTCAAAAATGAAGTAAAAACTGTTAAGGGCAGCTAGAGAGAAAGGCCAGGTCGCCTACAAAGGGAAGCCCATTAGACTACCAGTGGACCTCTCAGAAGAAACTCTACAGCCTGAAGAGATTGAGGGCCAATATTCCACATTCTTAAAGAAAAGAATTTTCAACTCAGAATTTCATATCCAGCCAAACTAAGCTTCATAAGTGAAGGAGAAATAAAATTCTTTCCAGACAAGCAAATGCTGAGAGATTTCATTACCAGCAGGCCTGCCCTGCAAGAGCTCCTGAAAGAAGCACTAAATATGAAGAGAAATTGTTTACTTTCCTGATTAGCTTTACCCCTGCATTCTGAGTGCTTGTGGAATATTTATTATGTTTGTTCATCATCAGTAAATATCAAAGACTGATAATGCAATTCATAAAGAAATATTTTCTCAAAGTAATGCTAATAATAGTCTTTACCATTTATAAGATAACCTAGTATGTGCCAGGCATTGCATTGGGTAGATACATATTATACATATACCTTTGTTGATGTGTTTTTTAAAATCAATTCTAGATAATTCTCGCAAAATCCCTCAGGGTAGGTGGGTAGGTGTAACAGGTTTCAGACAAGAACACCAAAGCTCTGCCACTTTACCATGTGACTCAGTGAAAGACAGCTTCAATAAATGGTGTAGACCTTCTTGGCCCCTCAGGGATTTTAGGCCTATCTCTTAACCTTTATCGATCTAGTCATAATTTAAACATTTATGATGTGTTTTATGAAATAAAATCTATACTTTCTAAATTTAATATAAAATTTATGGCTTTTTATTCAAAACTTTTTTTTCTAGGTTAAAGCCCTTGTTACATTTCACTAGCTAATTCTTGAATTTGACTTGAAATATATATATATACATACACATATACATATATACATAGTTTTCAAGAAAGCTATTTGTATACATTATATATATATAACACATGCACACACATACACATATATATGGAATTATACATATATAGACTGTGCAAGTATATATGGAATTATAAATACAGTGGATCAGCAGCCTCTATTTCCTCTTTCCTTTTGGTAATAGAATCCTTCAAGTTAAAACAGACACATGGCCACTTAGCTATGGATATTTCCTAGTCTGCTTTGCAGCTAGGTGAGGCCTTGGGATCACATTTAGTATATGCATGTATAAGTGATACCAACAACTTCTAATTAATCTGCTGAAAGAAGATGTTCCTCTATTCCTGGACCTTCTCTCTTATCTTTCCATATGGTAGAATGGGAATGTGAGGGTGGCAAGCTTCCACCTTGCAGATAAGGACAATGTTCATGATGATGGTGGAGGCACAAGATAGTGCGATTGTATCCCTGAATAACCTTACGGAACTAAACTACCTTGCCAAATCTACACAGTTCTGAACTACCATGTGAGAGAAACATAAGTATCATATTTAAGACACTGCATTTTGGGGTATCTTATGTTATAAAATTTTATATATATATATATAACATATTATATAGTTATTTAATTATATTACATGTATATATCTCTAAATATATAACATAACTTTTATGTATTAAATATAATATATAATTGTCAATCATTAAAACAACGCTTTATTTATTGACTATATAAAATGAAATGTAACTCCTCTTTACATTTCCAACCAGAAACAAAAAAGTTGTATCGTTCCCGCTGAGGAAGAGTTAGAAATACTTGGTTTGATTTATATCTGTAGTACATGGTCCAAGACACTCTATCTTCATCCCTAGTTATTTGTCACAACTCCTTTGAAATATTGGTTATATTAGATTTCAATGCTTGTCTACCAAGATAAAATTTGTAAGTGTGCCATTACTATTCATGACAATAATGTATATTGTAATATGGAAATTTACTTTAAGTGCAAAGAGAACATTTTCATGGAGATTTGTTGTAAATGACTAAAGCTAGGAGTAAGTTTTATTCTTAGAATTAATTTTAGTTCAGGGAGTTAATGAAGATTTAGTAATTATATTCTACTATGAACTATGCTTCTTTCCATGTATCTCTTCTCTTTTTCCCCAGATGCCATTTTACAATTCATGTTTGCAGTTTTTAATGCATTAGAATTACAGCAAAAACTACAGAAAATTAAAGTCTATGCTTATACACTAGAAGTCATAAACCCATTTTGTTCTAAATAATTAAAGGGTCCTGATGTCTTTGACTAATTGGTAATTATTTCAGAATCAGCTAATCAAAGATTTTGATTGCAGAAAACATATGAGAAATAATAACATTTAACTGTCCATCACCAGCTGCAAAATATTTTTGTGCTCTTAGAAGAATATTTTCTATTTTTCTAGAAACTTTCTGAAAGAGTCTTTATTCTGCATATTTTTTCTTGTAATTTAAACCATGGAAAGGGTTACATTTATCTGGAAAAAAAAGACTCTGGTCCAATTTGTGACAGTTATAAAATTGTGAAAATGTAGTTTTTATGTTTTGAGATATATTGGATATAAAAATATGCTATGCAGCAACTTATTTGTCAGATATTGTCTAACTTTTGTTTATATTATTTTTAACTACATTAAAATTTCTCCCACTATTATATAAGAAATAAAGAATGAATTTTATGCTATTTCAAATAGCCTTTTTTTAATATTCTTTTTAGATAAACCTAGAAGCAATGAATTCAACATGAAAGCAACTGACTAGTTGACTAAGAAATAGAATTGATAACCTTAGGATAAATGCTACAAAGTAAAAATATCTGAGCATACTGACAGCATTTCTGGCTTTATTTAATTATTTTAGTCACAGACTTGCAATCATTGAGGTAAAATAGCCAGCCTTTCCTAAAATATGGTCTATGATCAATTGAAATGTAAACGTATATTATGATATGTGTGTGTGTGTGTGGGGGGGGGGAATTTATAGGGAATAAAGCCAAGGACTCATATTTATTGTTCACTTACTATGTTCCAATCACTTGCTTTCTTATTCTTCATGAAAACTCTGAAAGATAGTATTTTAAAAACTGAGATGTGATATATTCTTGTCGGGAAGTTAAGAGGAGGGGATCCATAAGTCATTGATGAACACTTTACAATTATGTGTTTTCATGTTGATATTAAAAATTAATTTAAGTACATCCTACTTTATATAGATACCTATCATATTCAGGTACATTTGTATTTATGACTCTAAGTTTATTTTTATTTTATTTCCACTTTCTATGTTAATGAGTCAAGAACTGATGTCAATTTAGAGCATAGATGACGTATTTGCAATAATTGAAAGCTAAATCACTTCACAGATAGCTTTATAGATCAGTTAGCTAAAGTTTACAAAGAAAAATGTGTTAGCAGAACTGGGTCCTCACCCCTAAAATAACATGGGGGTGCCTCCCATGAAAGAATTATACAAATACCTATCACATAATATCAAGTGATAGTGATGATTTATCTAAAAGAAAAATGTAGCAGCACAATGTAAAAAAAAAATGACTATGGTATGTTATTTTTATGTAAGATGGTGAGAAGTCTTTGAGAAGTAACATTTACAGAGACTAATGAGTTAGGAGAGTATCTGGGGAAAGAGATTTCCTGAACAATAGCAGCAACTGTGCAGGCCCTAAGAGGCGAGTAGGTTTGGAGTGTTCAAGGAACAAGAGAAAGGAAAGTGTAGACACAGCAGAGTCAAGAAGAAGGAAAGGTAGAAGAAGGTGGTGGGAATTTGTGCATCTGTGCTGTGCAAACAAGCATCAGTCTTAGAGCCAAATGGTACTGAAATCCAACCTGTGTGCTACTAACCAGGCCATATTTCTTAGAGAAGGGCTGGATCAGCCAGGAGAAAAGGGACACCTTTCTCTTTTCACGAAAGTGTTTTCTACTCCTAGGGCTGTTACCGCCCACTGGATACACCTTTTTCCACCTGGGCCACCCAGAAGGTACTTCTTGCAAATCACACCAAAATGCCATATAGACTAGCAGAAGCCTTGAGAAAAGAAAAGGCACATAAAGAACATCACTTAGACCTGTAGGACAGAATACAGCGTTTATATGATTGTATTTGTATTTACTTAAAATGGAATTTAATTCCGTTATAAGTGCAAAAAGCAAAAGGTTAGAGTCAGCCAGAACTGGGCTGAGATCCTTGAGTGACCTTGATCAACTGAATCATCTCTCCATGGCTGTGTTTTCTACTGTATACAATGGAAATATTTATTAATACCCCCTTTCACAGGCTTGTAGGGAGTGAGATGTTTGCAAAGTGCTTCACCCAGTTCTTCACCCATAGCAAGACCTTAATAAGGGTAAGCTAACTATCTTTGTTATAATCATCAAGGCATTAAATTTGATCTTTGGAAAATACAAAGGCTGAAACAGATTAAAATAATAATGAGATCATGTGAACAATTTTCAGCAAATATTTATTGAAGGACTTCTTAGGGTTAGGCACTATTTCACGTTCTAGGAATAAAACAATTGACTAAACAAAAAAGCTCTTACCCTCTTAGAACTTTCATTTTAGGGTGAAGAGAAAGACAATGAATAAACAAACCTATGGCATGCGTTAGGTAGTGATAAGACATATGAAGAAAACTTTAACAAGTGATACAATGAAGAATAATGGGAGGAGTGTAGGAGTGGGGCAACTATTTTACATAGGATAATAATGCAAGCACTATGTATAAAAGTGACATTTACATAAAGATCTGAATCTACATGTGCTCCAGACATCTTACAACAGATGCAAAGGCCATGAGGCAAGGGTCTGCTAGATGTGTCTGAGAGAGTGCATTGTACCCTAACCATTAGATCACCATGCTAGATGTATTTGGAAAAAGAAGGGAAGCTACTATGGCTGAGGATGATTAATTCTTCTTGGGGAAAAGAGTAGGCAATGATGCGGGAGGGGGGCAAGATCAGAGAAGCACTAAAATAATCTTTGATTTCTAACAATCTGCACTAGGAAGCTGGGATTTTAATCACATTATCAGTGGCTGATTGTACTGTTGACTTTGCTTCCAGTGGTTTTCTTTCAAATCAGTCATCTAAAGATGCGTTTTAGTTCCACAGCACTTGTCCCTGGCAAGGCAGGTTAAATAATTGGAGGTCACATTGCTACCTTAAAAAACTATCTCTTCTTCACTCTAGTAGAAGATTAAATAGATATAAATTTATGAATTTCTTCTTGATCATATCTAAAAATTCTTAAGAATGGGAATTCATTAATCTCCAGGTGAAAGTGACATCATCATGATATGCACAATTTTTAAGTTTAATACCTAGAATTAGAAGTAGGCTCTCCAAAGCTTTTCTGTAGTTTCACACTTTTATTGTAGGTTGTTTAAGCATGTAATTTAAAAATTGACTAAGTAGAAATGTTAAAAGGTGGTACTCTTCCCTGGATATTATTCCATGTCTCTCCATTTTCTGCTCATACCTTTGTCTACTTTGGTTGTATTCTATAAGTATATTAACCTCTGTAAATCACAATTTGTGTGAACTTCAAAAACTATTGCTTTAAACTGTTACATAAAATAACAAAATTAAAGGCAATTTGTCATTCCCTTAAAAAGTGTGCTCCATTACCTTGTAATGAATTTGGGAATTAAGATTTCTTTCTGCTTCTAGTTTGGCTTTTAATCTTTGTCCCAACTTTTTATATTCTTCTTCAGTTTTGTTCTGATCATTTAAAAGACTTCTGTGTTATTCGAGCCTCTCACATAAGAACATAAACAGATTATCCTTCTACCTTGAAGTTATGTAGGAAATCTAAAGAAAACATTCTAAACTATTTTCATTTTATAATGATAATTAGGGTTACTTTGGATCATTATAGCAATAGAAAAATAAACTAACATGTCTAAACTAATTAGTCTGTTTCTGCATTGCTATAAAGACATACCTGAGACTAGGTAATTTATATAGAAAATAGGTTTAATTGGCTCATGGTTCTGTTGGCTGTACAGGGTTCTGCTTCTGGGGAGGCCTGAGGAAACTAACAATCATGGTGGAAGACGAAGGGGAAGCAAACATGTCTTACGTAGCGGGAGCAGGAGGAAGAGACTGAAAAGGGAGGTGCTACACACTTTTAAATAACCGGATGTCATGAGAACTCTATTATGAGACAGGACTGTGGGGATGGTGCTAAACCATTAGAAACAGCTCCTCATGGTCCAGTCACCTCACAACTGGCCCAATCACCTAGCACCTGGTCCACCTACAACATTGGGGATTATAATTCAACATGAGATTTGGGTAGGGGCACAGAGCCAAATCATATCATTCTGCCCCTGGCCTCTCCCAAATCTTATGTCTTTCTCACGTTTTAAAACACAGTCGAGCCTTCTCAACAGTCCCACAAACTCTTAACTCATTCCAGCATTAACTCAAAAGTCCAAGTCCAAAGTCTCGTTTGAGACAAGGCAAGTCCCTTCTGCCTATGTGCCTGTAAAATGAAAAACAAGCTAGTTACTTTCAGGATACCATGGGGATATAGCATTGGGTAAATGCTCCCATTCCAAAAGGGAGAAATTGACCAAAACAAAGGGGCTACAGGATGCCTGCCAGCCCCAAATTTCAAACTTCAAAATAATCTCCTTTGAATTCATGTCTCACATCCAGGTCACACTGATGAAAGGGGTGGGCTCCCAAGGCCTTGGGCAGCTCCATCCCTGTGGCTCTGCAGGGTACCACTCCTGCAGCTGCTTTCACAGACTGGCATTGAGTGACTGCGGCTTTTCCAGGCACATGGTGCAAACTGTTGGTGGATTTACCGTTCTGGGGTCTGGAGGATGGTGGCCCTCTTCTCATAGCTCCATTAGGAAGTGCCCCAGTGGGGACTCTGTGTGGGGGCTCCAACCCCACATTTCCTCTCTGTACTACCCTAGGAGAGGTTCTCCATGAGGGCTCTGCTCCACAGCAGACTTCTGCCTGGTCATCCAGGCATTTTCATACATCCTCTGAAATCTAGGCAAGGCTCCCAAGCCTCATCTCTTGCCATCTGTGCACCTGCAGGCTTAACAGTATGTGGAAGCTGTCAAAGCTTATGGCTGGCACCCTCTGGAGAAGTGGTCTGAGATGTATCTGGGGCTCTTTTAGCCATGGCTGGAGCTGTAGTGGCTGGGACACAGAGAACAGTGTCACAAGGTTGCATAGGGCAGTGGGGGCCTGGGTCTGGCCCATAAAACCATTCTTCCCTCTTAGGCCTCCAAGCCTGTGATAGAAGGGGCTTCAACAAAGTTTTCTGAAATGACTTAAAGGCATTTTACCAATTGTCTTGGCTATTAACATTTGATTCCTCTTTACTTATGCAAATTTCTGCAGTTGGCTTGAATTCTTCCCCTGAAAATGAGTTTTTCTTTTCTACCACATGATCAGGCTGCAAGTTTTCCAAACGTTGATGCTCTGCTTTCCTTTTAATGTAAGTTTCAGTTTCAGATCATCTCTTCACTCACACATAAGAGAATAAGTTGCTAGAAGCAGCCTGGTCCCTTCTTGAATGCTTTGCTGCCTAGAAATTTCTTCTGCTCGTTACCCTAAATCACCTCTCTCAAGTTAAAATTTCCACAGATTCCCCAGAGCAGGGGCACAATGCTACCCATCTCTTTGCTAAAGCATAGCAAGAGTGACCTATACTCCAGTTCCCAATAAGTCCTCATCTTCACCTGAGACCACCTCAGCCTGGACTTCACTGTTCATATCACTATCAGCATTTTGGTCAAAACCATTCAACAAGTCTCTAGGATTTTCCAAAGTTTCTTTCATCCTCCTGTCTTCTTCTGAGCCCTCCAAACTCTTCCAATCTCTGCCCATTACCCAGTGGCAAAGTTGCTTCCATATTTTTCAGATATCTTTATAGCAATAACTCACTTCTGGTACCAATTTTCTGTATTAGTCCATTCTTGTGCTGTTATGAAGGTGTACTGGGGACTAGGTAATTTATTTTAAAACGAGGCTTAATTGGCTCACAATTCTGTGGTATATATAGGCTTCTGATTCTTGGGAGGCCTCAGGAAAATTACAATCATGGTGGAAAGCAAAGGGGAAGCAAACACATCATACATAGTGGAAGCAGGAAGAGAGTGAAGGGGGAGGTTCTACACACTTTTAAACAACCAGATCTCTTGAGAACTCTATTATGACACAGCACTAGGGGGTATGGTACTAAACCATTAGAAACAACCCCCATGTTAAAATCACCTCCCATCAGGCCCCACCTCCAACATAGGGGATTACAATTCAACATAGGATTTGGGTGCAGATACAGAGCCAAACCATATTTGTGTGCAAATCAACAGAATTTTCTGATTATGTTGAGGAAATAATGATTCTGCCAATCATCTTGCATCCTGTCTTCTCTGTCTCATACTCTCTCTCCAACCTCACCAACAATGCTTGTGTTCCCTTGCATACTATCTGGGGTAGTTATAAACTATTTTCTCTCAGCTTCACACCCCTGCTGCTGTAGCCTGTTTGGTAAGGCTGGGATCAGGACATTGCAAACCACATTTCTGCTTTGCCAGAAAATTCATGGTAGGCTCTGCCACCAGTGGGGGGACTAGGGAAGACTGGAAGGCTAAAGGATGGGGAAGGGACTTGCTTCTTACTGTTTGATACATAAATTTCTGGCCTCTGATGTAAACATACTTTTTCTTAGTTGGTTAAGTGAACAATAATATAGATGTCACTGTGAAGGGATTTTGCAAATGTAATTAAGGTCCCAAATCAGCTGTCCTTAAGATAGAGGGATTACACTTGGTGAACCTGGCCTAGTCAAATGAGCTTTTAAGAAGAATGTGATCCTTTCTTGCAAGAAAGAGTCGAAACTTAAAAGGGATTTATGCAAGGGAGATTCTCTGTTGATGGTTTTGAAGATGAAAGGGGCTACATGGCAAAGAATAATGACAGTCTCTAGGAGCTGAGATGATCCTCAGTTGACCACCAGCAAGGTGACAACCTCAGTCCTATGACTATAAGAAAGTGAACTCTGCCTATAATCAAGTAACTTGAAAAGCAACACCCAGCTTCAGATGAGATAGTAGCTCTGGTCAATACTTCAATCTTAGCCTTTTGAGCAGACTCTTCCATTCTGACCTACAGAACTTTAAGCTAATAAATGGGTGCTGTTTTAAGCTGCTATGTTTGTAGTCATTTTGTTATACAGCAATAAAAAACTAACACACTAGCTTAACCATTCCCTTTTTGGATCTCAGCACCAACTGATTGTTGCTGTCTCCCCAGAGGCCTGGGGCTCTGAGTTCAAGATACTAGCAGTAGCCACGCAGTACCCCCTTGTGGCAAAAGGGGTTTATTCTGCCCTCTAGGCCCATGGAAGCTTCCCTCGCCAATGGCAGTCCTGCCTCTGTGTTATTCTTCTGTTTTATTGAAGGATAACCCACGTTTGAAACTGAGGAGGACTGTCAGCCTATTTCCTGCCTATAGAATTCCAGATATCCAACAGCCCTCCTTCTTTTCATCCTGTCTCTGTCCCCTTCATTCTAAGCTGAAAGTGTTTTTGGTGGGATAGCATTCTCAAACCCTTGCGGCTTTCCCATACATGCCACGAGGATCCACACATTAGACAATATTAGAACAAAGGTTCCTTCACGGATCATTCCTGGATAATCCCATCTTTATTCCTGGATTCTTCTCAGTTGATTGATAGGATCCAATCAACCTTATATGATCCAACTAATTTGGAGCCACACATCTACTATCTTTTAGCCTTGTGTCCTCCACACCCTTGGCCCTGCCTCCAGAGTGTGATATTATCTTGAGATTCTTAATTATATATGCAAAGCCCTTATTTCAGAATCACACACAGGCACTAACAGGTTAAGACTTGGATATAACTTTTAGGGAGGTGGGGGCCAACTCACTAAATAAAAACCCTGTACACATGGCTAAGGTAAGCTTCTTTGGTTGTCAATATCTCACATGTGTCATCACATATTGTTGCTAGGAGAATCAAGTGGATCTGTGTGACTCCACTCAGAGAAGACTCTTGCAAACTTGTACCTAGTTGTTGAGAATTTTGCACATATACCTTTTCCCTTTGCTGATTTTCATCCGTATTGTCTCATTTTAATACATGATATCCATGAGTATAAGAACTTTTCTTAGTCTTGTGAGTCCTTCTAGCTAATTATTGATTGTGAGGGTAGTCTTGGAGATACCCAGCATGATCTTCTTCAGAGGTCTAAATTATATTTCCTCAGGATCCATTCTTTAAGCTTCTATGTTTTAATAACCTCCAATTCTCCTGCCCTCTAAGCTCTAGTGCTGGCAGCTGTTTGTGCTATTGCTACCTCTATATTTACCACAGTGTTCCATTTTGACATTTTCAGCACTTCAATACTAATTTAAGAATCTTTATGTTAACTTTTATATGCTCGAAAGGACACAAAAAACCCACAAAACTGATTTGGTTTTCTGATATATATACAACCATCTTTACTGTTATTCTCTTCTCATTTTGTCTTCTTTTCCCTGGGCAATGTTATTCTGTGTGGTGGTGACACTCAAGTCTATACCTATAGCACAGGCCATTTTGCTGTTCCGTATATTGAACATTCAACTATATGGGGCATTTCCGCTTAGCTGTTCCATGATAACCTCTATTCAGTTTATTGTCTCAATGATGAATCAACTGGCCCATCCCTCATCTTCTTCCCTCTACCACATTTAATTAGTTTCTTTTGTCTCAATATTGATTTTTTTATTCTCTCTGGTGTATAAGACAGTTCATTGTAAAAAGAGAGTAAGAATTGAAATAAGACAGATATGGCTTCCAATTCTAGCTCTCTTATTTTATGGCTATTGAGACTTTGAGGTAAGTACCGTGCAATCTCTCAGTCTCAACATTTTCACAGGGTTATTTTGGGGAAATAGAAGTAAATGGCTATGAAATACCTAGAACAGTGGTATCTATCTCAAAGGCACTCAAATATTTACTTCATTCTTTCCTCCTTTGCCACTGCTTTCCTTTGTCTGCATTATTTCATTGTCTCCTAGCTGCTGTCATAATCCTAGTGATTATCCATTCTACTTCCAAAGACACCTTTCAATGATACTGATATTTTATGTCGTTCTTTTGTTTAAATTTCTTCTATTGCATTTGACAGTCTACAGAATACAATCCAATCATATTAGCATGATCACCAAGCTTTCCTGACCTGGACCCAGTCCTATGCAGCCTTGCCATCTTTTATTCTCCTCCATGTACCCTATCTATGTTGCAGTTGTATCACAGTTTTGCTGATGCTGTTTGCTCTGCTCTCAAATGCTCTCCTTATGCTGCCTGTTTCAGATACCTCCTACCCCCACCTCCTACCCCTCACTTAGAAAATCCTGCTTATCATTTAAGACTCAGCTCAAGCTGTTTTTGATGATGAAGTTTTGAAAATGCAGTTTTCGTCCCTGAATCCAAACACCCACTCATCCTCCTCCTTGAAGTTCCCTATTAGAAAGTAAGGGAGCTTTATAACCAAGGAATTATAGCCAAATGGGGAATTATAATTATTTTACATGCCAGAAAAGCACTTTCTGTTGTTCCATTGTCTATAATCTCTGGTGAGCTATGATATAGTATATGATTTAGGACCAGCATAAGAGGTGCTTCCTACTCCTCTTATGTAATCTAGAATATCCGAAGTATCAGAATAGTTGCATGGATGAGAGTGGCTACATTCTTATGCTTATCTCACAGGAGCAGGAAGTGAAAGCAAGAAATAGAAGAGTAGACTATGAGCATGGCCTTATGCCTTTTACAACTCAGGAACTGCCCCACTATAAAGTAGGTTCCAGTGAATATTCTGAGATTTGACTAATAAGATTAACAATATTTCCTTAGAAAATTGCTAAGACACGGCTAAAGGAAAACAGAAGCTTGGGCAGAAGCTTCTCTCCTCACTTATGGGCAGAAGGGAAACACTCAATTATTATCTCTTCTGAAAAAAATATTTGGTTACCTAGTAGCCTCACGGTATCTTGCTCCAATGTTCATACTTGTCCCTGCTTGTCACAGTTTGTTCATAGCTCTGATCTTGTACCTGTCTGTTTACAGTTCTCTCTTTACTAGATTGAGAGCTCATTATATGGTTGATCATTTATTTATGTTTTTTAGTAAGAATGGATGTTTTTCCATTTTTCTAATTTTCATAATTCCAGTTCTATTGAAGTAAGTGTTCAAGAAATATTTGCTAGATTCGTAAATTGATTGTGAAGCTTCAGGCAGGATCATCTGAAATTGCTCTCTCCTGTGTATGTGTTATTTTTTCTTTCTCTTTGGCAAGAGTAAAGCAAACATAAGACCTATCATTTGCAGCTCCTTTAGGGGCTGGGTTTAAATATTCTGCATGTTCTTTACATGTACACATATAATAATAATATTATTATAACACATATAATAAGAACATGTTAAATGTTCTTGGAATGTTCACTGTGAGGTTACCTGAAAATGATGCTACACTTAACTATCAAGGAGAAGGTCTAATACCTTGGAAATTAGATAATTCATACTCCATGATCAAGTTGTCTTCCAGTCAAAATTTATTATAATTTCAAAAAAGTTAAGGGATCAAAATTTCTGTATTCAAAAGTCTGTTCTTTCATATGCTGAGAGGAGATTCCTAATAACTTGGAGAGGAGCATATTTTATTACAAGTGACAAGTCTGGAACGACGTATCCACTTTCTTTATGAGAACTGCGGATGAAAGGCCTGTTTTTGCTACATACTACAGGGTTTCAGTTAGTTCACTTTTCTGAGCTGAGGAATACCACAGAGTTGATTGATTTCTCTATGCGGGCAAGTATTCAGTCATTCAAGGCAGGCATGCCTAAGGAGGAGCAGGACACAATAGAAAGCCTTGTAGCTGAGGAAATATTTATATCTAGCCAGGGAGACTGGGAGAGAATGTAAATGAGAGTGAGACTGTGCTATGTGCTGAATTATGTTCCCTTAAATTTTATCTTGAAGCCTTAGCCCACAATGTGACTGTATATGAAGATGGGGCTTTCAGGTGGTAATTAACTTTTAGTGAGGTCACAAAGGGTAGGGCCCTGATTTGATAGAATTGGTGGCCTTATAAGAAGAGGAAGAGATACCAGAGATTTCCCTCTCTCTCTCCACGCAGACACACTGAGGAAAGGCCATGTGGAGTGCAGAGAGAGAAGACAGCCACCTACAAGCCAGGAAGAGAGGCCTCACGAGAACTGACTATGCTGGCATCCTGATCTTAGACTTCCAGACTCCAGAACTGCGGGGAAAAGAAATTTCTGTTGTTTAAACTACCTGGTCTATGGTATTTTGTTAGGGCAACCGAAGCAGACCGAGACAGCCTGAATGACTGAACATACATCTGGGAAGCTATGTGAGAGGTGGTAGGTAGTTTTGTTTAGAGAATAGCAAGCTTACTGGGTTCTATCTTAAGAATGTTGTATTAGTCCGTTCTCACACTACCATGAAGAAATACCTGAGACTAGGTAATTTATAAAGAAAAGAGGTTTAATTGACTCACAGTTCTGCATGGTTGAAGAGGCCTCTGGAAACTTATAATCATGGCAGAAGACACCTCCTGACAGGGCAGCAGGAGAGAGAATGGGTGCCAGAAAGGGAAATGTCAGATGCCTTTAAATTCATCAGATCTCGTGAGAACTCACTCACTATCATGAGAACAGCATGGGGTTAACTGCCCCCAGGATTCAATTAACTCTCACTGGGAACCTCCCAGGACACATGGAGATTATGGGAACTACAATTGAAGACAAGATTTGGGTGGAGAGGACACAGCCAAACCATATTCAATGTGGTACTCAATTGGTGGACTCCATAGTATGGGACTATTGCTTTTGCAGATTTCTTAGTTGTGACTGCTTCTTTTCTATTTCAGAATCTTTTCAATTACATTGGGCCCACTCAGATAATCCAAGATAATCTCCTTGTTTTAAAGTCATTCTTTGCCATATAATCTAACTTATTTATAGATTCCAGGCATTAAAACCTATCCCTCGGTGGGCATTATTCTGCCTACCACAACTATTCTGAGTCCTGCTCAGCTTAAAAAAGACTTTTTGAGCACTTCTGAATTACCAGGTACAATGCTGGGTTCTGCAGTAAAAACAATAATCAGACACAACCCCTTCTTCCCACATCAAGTTCAGTCTACTGTTTTAAGTGAACATACTGACTCACTACCAGAGACATGTTCTTTGGTTTTTTTTGAAAGTATAAGGTGACTTCCCAGATAAACACACGGCCATCATACTTGATGGCATTTGTTTCCATTAGTACCTCCAAAATCAATTCCTAGAATGCTAAACTTTATGACAAATCAAGGACATGCTTCAATGTGTTGTCCCATTATTTAAACTAATGCATTAGAGAAAGACTGAAAAGAAATCAGTGCCTTCAGTGCACCACTACTTACTTTCAGCATTTTATTTCATATTTCACATTTGTTTTTAGTCCCTAGTGTCAGTAAAGAGGTAAGGGAAATAATATTTTGCCTGAAGATAATAGGATGACCATAGAAAATTGTATGTCATGGAAAATGTAATTCTATTACAAAGCTGTATATATTTATGCATTGAAAGTAAGATATTTCGACCATTATATGAATCATTCACATCCCCAAATACACTTCTGACTTAGTTATTCATAATCGTAGGAAGGAGTTGTTGGTTTAAATTACAGAGAAAATTTATTTTCATTGCTTTTGTGAGTACCAGGTAAACATTTGTTTAATTTGCATGTGTTTTGCACAGTTCTGCTGTCTCTCCACTTAGACTATATGCCGCTTGTATATCTAGGAATGGCAGTTCATATTATTCATATTACCTTGCAGAACATACTACAACTGTTTATTCAATGTTAATTGCTATCAGATTTCCAGAATCTTCCCAAATCTACTTTCCCCAATTCTGCCAATGCAGAACCTGAAATGTCAGATCCAATTCTCCTGAAGGACAGGGCAGAGTAGAAGAAAGATGGTTAGGTGGGAAGTAGTCTGACAAATCAGATGCCTTCAGGCCTAGGCCTTGTAAAGTCACCCACAGTGTGCCAGAGATAAAAGTCTACAAAGACTAAACCAAGAACAAGGGACAGAGGCAGATGATAAGCACGGAGAATAGCACCAAGCAATGGAGATGCTAGTATGAGTAGTGGGTCCAGAAATTAAGCTAAAGGCTGGTCTTAATACATGCATACAATATATGTGACTCTTGGATTTCAGGTGCTCACTACCATTGTGAGTGGAAATAGTGGCTACAGTTAAAGGCCCAGGGCCACAGTTGGCAGAGTACAAGTATGAGATCATGGATATTATTAGAAATTAAAACTAGAGGGTTGAGTAAATAGGGTTCCCTAGGTGGATGGCCTCAGACTATTCCTATCAAGTTTTTGCACTGTTCTTGGTAGAACTAGCCAGGGTAAACAAGATTGAACTTATAGTCATTCTCTCTCTTCAAAAATATTTAGCCATTTGCCCAACTAGCTTTCTCCCTTCCCTTTAGAAGACCATCTCTTATTCCTCTGAGATATTCAAAAATTTTATTTCCTATTAACTTTAGTGTGACAGTTTTCTTGTGTAGCATGTTTAGTTTTCCACATCTGTCTAACTTATATTTGTAGGCACTAAACCTCCTTTAATTCTTTGAATTGAATCTAGAACTCTCAGTTCTCAGCAGATAATAAGAGCAAGCAAGCCCACTGAGCTCTACAAGATGAAAATTTGACCATTGAGCAAGAAATCTCTGTCATTTTTTCCAGCCAAATAACTTGATAGCACTTGATACACTGGTACTAGAAATATTTCTGTTGGTTTAGCAAATGCAGAATGAGAAAGGAACAATAATAGTACCAAGATTTATGGTTTACCTTCTTGTGAACAATTTCCTTCGTTCCTTCCTTCTTTCCCTCCCTTCTTTTTTTCTTTTTCTTTCTCTCTTTTCTTTTTTCTTTCTTTGCTTTCTTTCTTCTTTCTCTTTCATCTTTCTCTTTTTCTTTCCTTCCTTCCCTCCCTCCCTCCCTTCTTTCTTTCTCTTTCTTTCTTCTTTTCTTTCTTTCTTTTCTTTCTTTCTTCTTTCTCTTTCTTTCTTTTTCTTTCTTCTTTCTCTTTCTTCTTTCTCTCTCTCTCTTCTTTCTTTCTTTCTCTCTCTTTCTTTCCTTCCTTCCTTCCTTCCTTTTTTATTCTTTCATGGAGGTACTCTCTAATTTTCTCCTCAATAAGAAAAACTAACAAAATAACCTGCCTCTACTATTAGTAATTCTTGGTGGGCAAAGTTAAAAATAAATGAACCATACGATTTGTAACCCTTGAGTGTGAAAACTCTTGTTTCCAAGCAATCTGTTCTCTCTTTCTTTCTGGGCACATAACTGTCCTGTGAGGCTATTTAACATTTAACCTAAGTTAAATTAGTGGTTACCTAAGTGGTTAACCTAACTGGTTTAACCTAAGTGGTATTAACCTAAGTGGTTAGCTGTAGCCACTTAGGTTAAATGTTATTATTAATGAATAACAAATAAAAAATAAATAAAATAAAAATAAACTTATTAACAAATATTCATTAGTGAGGAGTCAACATAAGTGATGTACATAAATTTTATCTCATTCCTAAGGAAAATCACGAGACTTAGACCCTTTCTCTTTCCCTCATTTGCAATGGACAAACAGGAGTAGGTTCATATTGATCTTAATGGTGGAAAGACCATGAACAGAGCAACCTTGGAGGCCCCTTGGAGATGGCAGAACTGCTGCATCAGCCTGTGTGCCTGAATAACTCTGTGGAACAGACCCTCTTAACCCCTTTTAACTGTTACAACATGGCAAAATAACTGTCCATTTATTTGAACTACTTTATTTTGAGGAGTTTTTGTTACAGTAGCTTAGACCTTATCCTATTAATAGATTGAGTGAAAATTAAGTGGAAACCATTTTCCCTGACTGCAAAGCTCATCTTGAAAGAAATGGAAATGAACCGAAGGTACCAAACTTTGAGAATTAGAACCAAGAGAATCTGACTTCTTTCTGAATGGGTAAGGAACAAAGTTTCTGGAAATTTCAAGAGGAGCTATAAGAAGTATTCATTATAAAACTTGATGTGTGTTTTGTGGAAATAGAAGAATCAAAAGTAAGTTGGGCTCTCTTTTATCAGCTGGATTTTCATTTCAGAGAAGAGTGGAAAAGACATTCTTAGAATTTAAGTTTATAAAATGTTTCAAGGCAGTGAAGGGGAAGATACCAATTCCAAGTGTATTTTTGAAATGTATTTTTGTATAAGTTTTCCAACTGCAGTCTAGTGACCTAATATTTTCTAGGTGTTGTCTATGGAGATGAGTTTGTTTGGTTCAGGGTATGGAGTACTAAAAAGAATTCAAAGAAATACATAAACTATTTGCCCTTCAGCTGTCATTTTCCATTTATTTGCACACAGTTTGAAAGTGCTCAAATAGATCTCAGAAGTCTTAAGAGATGAAATATCAGAATGACTTTAAACAAGCTCAGTAGATGTTTTGTTGTGGTGTTATTTGCCATTTGTGCTTACCTTTCCTGATTAAATTGTGCCTTTCTTTAGGTCAGAAATGTATCACATCCTTAACAGTTCTAAGAGTTGCAGTCTCTTCCTCCCATAAAACATTTTTCTAAACATCAAATTTCCTATAATCATTGGGCACATATACTAGGTACATGCCTAGAAATATTAAATGCTATATATATCCACTTAGATATCTTTGGAAAAAATTGACTTGTTAAAATGGTCTAATAGAAAAACATCAAGGGAAAGTTCTTAGTGTACAGTCCTGCTTCCCAAAATAAGTTTTTAATAGCGTTGATTACGCAATTGCATGTTCAAATTGACAGCTTTGCTGTATTTTTTCAAGATGTAGATTTCTTTCTGTGTGTAGGTGCTATAAAGTATTCCGGGAGCTATTTTGCTAAAAATAAGCCATCTGTGTCAATAGTGAGTGCTCAATGTACAATCTGATATCATTTGCACCTGCAAAAGTTCAAGAAAGGTAAATGCAGGTGAGATGAAAAACCTTTTTACATAATTGAATGACATATCTTCCCAAGTCTTATTTATTAAGCTAGCTTGGTTCCCCTTAATAAGCTGCTGCCCACCAAATCACAGATTCCTCAAATATTAGATACAATGGCAGAATGCAGAAGTGGTACCAGGTAGAATTCATAGCCAAGGTGTTGATAAGATTGGTTTCTTCTGGAGGTTGAAGGAGAATCTGCTCCTTCCCTCTCTCCTGTTCTTTCCTCTCTTTTCTGTTGGTTGCTGGAACTCATTGACATCTCTTGACCTGCAGTTGCATCACTCCATTCTCTGCATGCACCATCATGTGGCATTCTCCCTGGGTGTGTCTGTGTCCCAGTGTATTCACATGGATACCAATTATTGAATTTAAGGCTCACCCCAATCCAACATGACTTCATCTTAACTTGATTACTGCCAAAACACGATTGCCAAATTAGGTAAGATTTACAAGTATTGGGAGTTAGGATTTCATATCTTTTTTTTAGGGGACACAATTCAACCACAACACTTTTATTTCCTATTCCACTTTAAACAGTTCACTATAAATTTTTTTTTCAGAAAATCAGTTGTAGGAAATAAAAGTGTCTGTAGGTAACCTCTGCTATCAGCCTGGTAATACCAATGTCCTTTGAAGCAACGGTGTGCAAAAGAGGCTCCAATTCTTTCTTAAAATGGAAAAGAGAGCAAGACACAAATCAGCATCTCAAAAAATTATCCTGTCACTGTGATGGAATGGTATCTTGAGTGATTGCTTTGCATTTTCTTCACTGTAGCTCAGGAACTGGTGCCTCTCTTTCCAACCGTACAACAGAGACAACATAAAAGTCCATGTCAGATGTTTCTTTCTCTGCTTGTTGACAAAACCACATTAGTTATGAGCATGTCACCTTTCCTTGGAGAATGAGTTCTGCTCAAACTACCCATCTATAAATTTGCTTGTGTATGATGAATGAGAGACAGAGTAGAATTGCCTGGAATCAGATGTCCTAATCAACTCAGAGCAGAGAGGGCAATAAGTAACAGGGTGCAGAGGGAAAAAAATCAGAGAAAAAATGGGAATGCTAAGGTTATCAGCTGAGAAAAAAACAGAAATAAAGAAATGTCACTTCTAATTGCTCCTAATGCAGTAAAACATGGTCACTGATTAGGGAATCCAAGCAGAAAAGTCTCTTTTGGGTCCAGATGGTGAGAGTTAAGGCTATTATGTGTATTAAAACACCATCTGTATTTTTGAGAACACTAACAGTATATTCCAATATCCAAGGAGAACCGGTGTGGATTTCTGCTTGCTCTAATTGCTGCAGTACCTGAAATGTATTCACAGCTTCTCCATCTGCACCACATTTCTGATGCCTGCCATGCACCATTTGACAATCTGCAGTGCTATGCTCTTTCTGTGACCCCATCTTTCCCACTGCATCATTTAGCTCAAATACATTCAGCCACAAAGGCTTTCCAAATCATTCACTTAGTGACCAAGGACAGAGTTACCTACCACCCACCGGGGAATGAGTCATCATATCATGAAGGCTGTGGAAAAAACAGACATTTGTCAACAGGTTCTGTGTGTTGTAGAAGATGAGTTCAAATGTAGGACACCACACAGATTTAGTGGTGCATAATAGATGAATAAATTTTTGACAACAAATGTCAGGCATCTTCAGAATCTTAAACAATAAGAAAATGGAAACTTAAATGTTTGTTATTAAATAGTCACTGTGGGATCCCCATTTAATAATCAAGGTTCAAAAAAAATCAAAGCTCTTTGCTCTGCCAGCATTACACTCTAAAAAATAAGCAAAGGGAAGAAGCTCTTGAGCCATTGAGAAATATTCTGGGTTTATCCTATCACCTCACAGTGTTTCTGGGATCAAGACTGGCTTATAAACAAATTGTGAGTTAGGTAAAGTTTGTTTCTTGCATTCTCACCTTTTGTGCTTCCACTAATTGGAAATTGATTTTCTTTTTACCCTTCTATCTCCCAAGCTTCATCAGGACTGCAGTGAATGAATTATCTTAAAAGTGATTCTTCAAGCAATTGCAATTGTTAAAAAAAAAAAAAAACAGGAAAATGCAGATAAGCAAAGGAAAATAAATTATCTGTGATCCAATTGCCAGCAATATCTACTCTTAACATTTTGGCATATAATATTCTGGGCTTTTTGTGTATATGTAGTCACAAACATTTTGCTTTGCACTCACTTTTGTAGCCTATATTGCTCACTTAAGTAGCTTTCTAAATCCATATATGCCCATTTTCATTTTTAATCAAGGCATTGGCTAACATTGCACAATTTAGTTAAGCTTTTTCCATGTTTTCGGTATTATAAATGAGGTGGAAGTATTTAACTTTATTGGATATTTTCCTCAGATAAATTGTAAACTGTGGCCCATTGGGTCATGGTCCTTCTGATATAAGTTGCTCAAATTCATTTGAAAAAGTTTGTATTAATTGACACATCCATGCAGAGTATCCGTTTCCATAGTAGGGATTATTATGTTCTTATGTTCTTGTTTAATCTGATAGGTGATAAATGATAAATTATTATTGTTTTTAATATGAGTCTCTCTTTTAGAGACTGGGTCTCTCTCTGTGGCCCAGGCTGGAGTGCAGTGGCAAGATCATAACTCACTGCAATAGTAAACTCCCAGGCTCAAGCGATCCTCCGTCCTCAGCCTCCCTAGTAGCTGGGACTATAGGCATGCACAACCATCCCTGGATAATTAATCAATCTTTCTTTTTCTTTCTTTCTTTCTTTCTTTCTTTCTTTCTTTCTTTCTTTCTTTCTTTCTTTCTTTCTTTCTTTCTTTCTGGATAATTAATCTTTCTCTTTCTTTCTTTCTTTTCTTTCTTTTTCTTTTTTTTAGATAGGGTCTCATTATGTTGCCCACGCTGGTCTCAAACTCCTGGCCTCAAGTGATCCTCTTGCCTCATCCCCCCCAAAGCAGCACTGGGATTACAGGCATGAGCCACCAGGCCTAGCCTTTACTTTTCTTCTTTCATGAACTGGCTACTCACAGGCATTTCCAAGTTTTGAATTTGTGGTATTATCTTTCTGATCCATTTGCAAGACCTTTTTATGTGTTAGTAATATAATTCATTGATGTATCATACACAATTTATATATTTTTCTCAGTTTGTTTCTTGTCTTTAACTTTGTGGGTCTTTTTTGATGGATATTTTATATTTTTTCAAGGCTAGATCAATTAATTTTTCATTTTTGGCTTACCTTTTAGCTTTCCTTAACACAGAGATATATAATATTTATCTTTTTTTTCAATCTGGGACTTTTACCCTTCTACTTTTTCCATTTAAATCATTAATTCATTTGGAATTTAATTTGACTTAAGGTGCAAGGTCAGCCAGATGTGTTGGCTCACACTTGTAATCCCAGTACTTCGGGAGGCTGAAGCAGGAAGACTGCATGAGCCCAGGAGTTTAAGACCAGCCTGAGCAACATAGCAAAATGCAGTCTCTACCTAACAGCAACAACAGAAGTACAAGCTAAGAATCTAAATTTGTCACATTGTAGTTAGCCAAAATTTTTCGCTACTTTTTTTTCTGATTTAAAAATGCTTCACTTATCATTCACTAAACTCTTATCAGTTGTATGATTTATGTGTTGATTTCTATTTGTATTTTATTTCTATTTTGGCACTGGTGTCTCACCCTTCTGATCATTGTTACTTCATAATACAATCTGCTATCTAATAAGTTATAATTTTTCCATTATTATATACTTCCAATTATTACTTTTTGCTTTTATAAATAGAGCAGATAAAATTATTCATCATAATGTAGAAATGATTAATATAACCTAAAGTATTATCCCTTCTGAGAATATTTGCATTAACTCAAAATATGCTTCAAATTCTCTGGTGGGAGGTATATTCTGGTTACAAAGCAATTTCTGAGTGTTTCTATTGTCACCATATGTAGCTTATGCTTTTTCTAAAGACTAACCATGTTGTGAAGATGAAATGAGAAAATATAATTGAAACAGAACAAAGAATATAGTAGGAACTTAATTATTGAAATTTTGGCCTTGAAATCTCAAATAAAGGGATTTTACATTAGTTACTACCTTATTTTGTACATATGCCATAGACATAGTGAGTTTTCCATTTTCTTTTCTTTGAGATAAGAAATGGGAAAATAAAACAAGGGAAAATATAAGATATCTCTGCTTTCAGGGTGCTTTTTTTCTGTAACAGTTCTTGGGTTTCCACTAACTTGCTTAATAGAACGTGTAGTAATAAATATAAACTACCATTTGTAAAATGTATACATGCTCTAAACTCTTTCTATATATAATTTCTAATCCAGACAAATACCTTGTTTGTTGGTTGTGAATCCTGAGGTCCAGATATTTAGTAATTTCAGATTCCCTTCTAACAAATCAAGTCTGTCAGACACTGGAAGCCAAGTCATGCTTCTTTCACTATGTGGTAATGTGTCTCATGGAAGTGTTTTAAACTCGGAGGAACTTGGTATATTTTGGACTTCCATACTTTGTTATTTTAATACAATGTTTTCTGAATTGTAACACAGTTATTGTATTGGACAGTTTTTACTGCAATAATGCTGCATAACAAACAATCCCCAATTCCAGTGGTTTGCCATAACCATTTTTATTCCTTGTGAAAATATCTGTAGGTCAGCTGAAGTTTTTCTGAGCTTGGTTGAACTTGATTGGATTCAGCTGGGGGCTTATCTGCAGTTCAGGTTGGGCTTTCCTCCACGTATCCCATTGTAGAACAAGCACAAGTTAGAGCATGCTCTTCTAACTGTAATGGTGGAAGCACAAAAATTCAAGTCAAATTACATAACAGCACTTAAAGTGCTCATGTCACATTTGCTACTATTCCACTGGCCAAAGCAAGTCACATGGTTAATGTTGACAGCAACAAGGAGAGAAAATATACTTTGCCTGTTTTAAAGGAGACATACCTAAGCATCCTGGCAATTGCATGGGTTACATTTCCATAGGAAAGAGAGATAGGAGAATGGATACAATAATTCAGTCTATCACTGACACCTTTCAATTATCCAATAAAATATTGTAAATTTTCTAAATATGTTTAGTAGAACCCCTGGGAAGTCTATGTAGGTAAATCTTTATCTTTGTTCTAACCAGAGCAGTTTTGCTTTTATCAGTCTTATATATTAGGCTTCAGTAAACATTTATTATGAACAAAAGGTAAATAAATTCATGCTTAGAAACCACTGGCATAAGGGATTAATACTAGCAAAAAATCAGGTATGTGAATTTGAGATAGTCCATTTTATAGTTAATTTACTTTCTTTTTCTGCTGTAAGTGGATGAGACTAACTTGTGCTTCACAGAGAAGAGGTTTGTCAGAATTGTTAAAATTCTGATTAGGGCACTTTCTAGCTGTGTCACGTTGCTATACTTAACCTCTTTCTGCGCTTTACTTTTTTTCAACAATAAATTGAGAATAAAAATATCTAAAGCATAGGGTTATCGTAACTAATAAGACAATGAATCCATAAAGAATATTTCGGACAATGCTAGTATGGAGGAAAATAACAAACTAGTGATACTTACAGGAGACCCATCATTAAGTAGAATGGTAGAGAAAGGTAGATCTGATCTTGCTGTTAGAAGTAGCCATTCATGTGAGACAACCTAATTATTATATTGTATTCTTTCAAAAATATTTTTATACAACTTGAAAACACAAAATAATGTGTATTTTATATATGTGTGTGTGTGTGTAGAAAGTATCAAAATGAACACCTATAACTCATCACTGAACCTAAGAGCTTAAATGGTACCAGTGCCTTTGCATCAATCTGTGTGCTCCTTTTCATCCTAACTCTCTGCCTTAACACACGCCTCCCAATTATAATTTCTATGTAGTGTACCATAATGGTTAAGAATGCAGTCTGAGCCAGACTAATTGCAATAAGCATGTTTTTTGAATCCTCTTTGCCTCAGTTTCTAAATTGGTATTTTGATGATCATTATATTTTCCTCATGTAAGAATTGTATTGTTTAATATATTTGTAGCATACATAAGGAGGCCTTATAAATAGTAGGCAGTGTGTAAGTTTTAATTGTTAACTATTATTATCATCATTGTTATTAGTGACATACATATGTCACTAAGCAATCTATTGTATGGCTTTGCTTGCTTTTGAGCATTACAAAAATGGAATAATAATCTTAATGTCCTCTTTTGTGACTGACTTTAGAACTCAACATTATGTTTCTAAATGTCGTCTTACATGTCGCATAATTTTCCTCATCAGGATTTATTCATTTTCTTGTTGATGGATATTTGTGTTGCTTCCATTCAAATAGTTATTTTTATTATGAATGATGTTATTATAACCATTGTTGTACATGCCTACTAGTGTGTACATGCAAGGATTTCCCTAAGATCATCCCTTGAAGTAAAATGGGTGGGCTATGGGAACTTTGAAATGTTCATCTATGTAAGATGGGACCAAATTGTTTCCAATGCAGTTATGTCAAATTATACTTCAACCAGTGATCCACTGTGGTATTAATTTACAATTCTGTAATTACACGACAATATATTTGTATTTGTATTGGCTCTTCATGCTTCTTATTTTGTGATATTCCTACTCTTGGTTTTTATGCCAGTTTTTCCTTGGGTTATTTTATTCTGTTTATTGAGTTGTAGAAGTTATTTATTCTTTGAATGCTAATCCATTATTGGCTATGTATGTTACAGATACTGTCTCTCACAATGGGTTGATTTTCACTTTCATCACAGTGCCTTTTTATACATAAAATTTCTTAATTTTAATACAAATTTATCAATCTTATCTCTAATGGTTAGCATTTAAAAAAATTCCCTAACCCAAATTTAAAATTTGTTCTCACGTAATTTCTATCAAAATTTTAAAGTTTTCCCTCTTACATTTAAGGATTTATCTATCTTGCATATATTTTTGTCTATGGTATGTGGTAGGAATCTTATTTGATTTTATCCATATGTATAAATGAATTGTATTAAATTTTTCTTCTTTCCGTCATAATCTTCAAGGTAATTTTTGTAATATCCTGAGTTTGCATATATACGTGGTCCTATTTGGGGCTCTGTCTGTTTTTTTTTTTTCTTTTTCTGTTTCACAGGTTATTTGTTTTTTTACTCCGGCACAACTAATCCTCTGTATTATTTACAATAGCATTGTAATAAGATGGTATCTGGTAAAGCAAGTAGCTCCTCTTTATACTTCATCTTGAACAACATCTTAACAACTAATAGGATTTTGCTCATCCACATACATTTGAAAATCAGCTTGATATTCCAAAGTTTAACTACAGTAGATAGCAGTATGAATTTCTTTTTGTTTATTCTATTTAGAATTAATTTGGTCTCTTAAATGTAGATTGATATTTCTTAGTTCTGCAAAACCTCAGCCATTACTTATTCAAATTCACTTATCCCTCATATGATCTATCTTTTCTTCTTGAGACTCTGGTAAAATGTATTTTTAAAATTCTCATTCTGTTTTCTATATCATTTAAGCTATTTGTTGACATTTTCATCTTCTCTTTATGTAGGAGTCTGTGTTTCTTCTTTCAATCTATCTTCCAATGTACTAATTATCTCTTCAGCGTTTCTAATCTGCTTTTTAACTTCATTAATTCTGATTTCAACAATTTCATTTATATTTGAAACATTTACTTTCTTATTTTTAAAATTTTGTTTGTTATTTTTAATGTCACTTTGAATATTTTTAAAATGAAATCTCATTTTTTAACTTTTCAGACATTTAATTCATAACTTACAATTTCTGATAACTGTAATATCTGAATGCCTTGAGGCCATAATGCTGCTGTTTGTTACTTTTTCAGACTCTCATTTATTTTTATTTCCTTGTGTGTTTGATTTTTTAAATGGTAAATTTAAATTTTATTGGTCTTAGTATATACTAAGTCTAGAAACCTAAATGGAGAATGCTATCATCCAGAGATGACTTTCAAATACAAGCTGGTTTGAAATATATATAGATTTGAAATATATCTGGAGGCTGGGTGTGGCAGCTCATGCCTGTAATTCCAGAACTTTGGGAGGCTGAGGTAGGAGGATTGCTCAAGGCCTGGAGCTTGAGACCAGCCTGGGCAACAAAGTGAGACCCTGTTTCTACCAAAAAAAAAAAATATATATATATATATATATATATATATATATATATATATATCCAGGCATGGTGGTACATGCCTGCAGTTCCAGCTACTTGGGAGGGTGAGGCAGGAGGATGGCTTTAGCCCATGAGGTCAAGGCTGCAGTGAGCAGTGATTGTACCACTGCATGCTAGCCTGGGTGAAACAGCAAGATTCTGTCTCATAAGAAAAGAAAGAAATGAAATGTATTTGGAAATAACATGGAAACATAAGTTTTATGTAGGTAAACATCTGAAAGACTTGCTTATCTCTTGTAAGAAGCCAGATGGTGCTATAAACAGTGAGTAACCTCTTTAGGCCCCTTCGAGATGTCGCCTAAACAAAGCAATCTGAAGTTTCACTCTCTTTCATTTCATTGTCCTTAGTTTTGGTCTATATTAGTCTTGTTATAGACACACTTTAAGATGGCCACTATAAGTCTTGCCTCCTGCTGTTAACAAACTTATATAATTCCCTCTCGATGAGAATGTATAGGACCTGCAACTTGGTTCTAACTACTAGGATGTGGCAAGGGTGATTGGATGGTATTTTTATCATTGTGCTTCAATGTATGAGACTCCATCTTACTAGCAGACTTGTTCTAAAGTCTTGACCTCATTGCTGGCTTTGAAGAAAGAAGCTTCAATGAGTCTTATAAGTGTATAAAAAGAAATAAGTTCATTCAACACTAGTGAGCTTGGAAACAAACCTTTCCCAGTCAAGCTTCTAGATAAGAACCCAGCTTTTGTTGACAGCTTGACTGCAGTCATGCAGAGGACCTAGCTAAACTAAGACTCGTAAATAATGGAAACTCTGATGTCATAAATGTATTTTGCTTTAAGTCACTAGGTTTGTGATAATTTGTTATGTAGCATAGAAAAGAAAATCGAAGCCTGATATTATCATTTTTTTTGTCTATAAAAAGCCTACCTTTTGATGGCTTACTTTTCACTCCTCTCTGCCCTTGTTTCAGCTGTTATTTTTTTTCTCTCAAAAGGATTAGGAAAGACATAAAAGGTTGGTGGTGTTTAAGATGAGAAACTTGAGAGGTGATAAAAATTTTCTATTAATTGCTTTATAACCAAAGTGCATTAATTTTTTTTTATCAAAAGCCTAGTTGTCTTGAGCAAGATGGTCTTTCAGAGTGTCTAGACTGCCTTACTTTTATAAGAAGAAGTTCTCATATTCAATTCTTATAATTGAAATGAGAAAAAAATGTGTTTTGTGGTTGACATGTAGAGTCTAAAGAACATATTACTTTCTCTTGGAAGAAAAGACTTTGACTAAAAAAATGCAGTTTTGGATGAGAAAAAGATGTTTGGTAAGTTATATTGACTTTATGTTGTTAACATATTGACTTTATATTGATTCAATATTCAAAAAGAGAAATTGAAAAAAGGAAAAAGACAATTCATTTTTTAGCTCTAAAGAAATTACATATAATCAAACACTAACTGGAAAGAGCTAAAAAAATTTGTTCATAATGACTACCGTAAGAATTTACTCTCCATATATTCTTTGAATTCTATTCTTTTTCTTTTTACTCCTCCGTCTTTCCAGAGCTAACGTCCACCTGCTTCAATAAGGATAGGTTCTCGTGACCGAGTCATATAAATAAGTCTTTTGTAAGTTTGCATAAATCTGCTAAGCAACCATTAACCACTTACCATCAGCACTTTGAAATTCACCTTTGTATCTCAACTTACTATGTTTTTCCTTTCTACTTATTATTCCCTTTGAAAGTAATACTAATATGTTTACTTTTCAAAATATCCTCATCTTTTTCTTTTGGAGAGTTATGTAAACAACAACATTCAATGGTTAATTTCTATGTGCTAGAAACAATGTTAATTGATTTACATAACTTATCCTAGCTATCCTCAAAATATTATCATTATTTATAGTTTCTCATTATTTATATTTATATTTATCATTATTTATTATCATTATATTATGAAGAAAATTATTAAAATATTCATTGTAACATATTTTAAAAGTCAAATGCTAATAAAAGATATAGTGACAAATAGCAGATTCTCTCATCAGCTCTTGTTAACTCCTTCATTCCATGATACAGAGGCAAACTATTAAATTCTTTTAGTTTTATTTGATTTTAAACTCTCAATTTTAAAATAACTCACTTAGATGTCTATTTATTGCCTTTAAAAATATTACATATTATATTCTGACTGCCTACTATTAAAAGGAATGCTTTCCTCGTAAAATGAAAAAAGAGGCAAGAATATTGTATCTCACCATTCCTTTTCAACATTGTACTGGAAGGCCTGGCCAATGCAATAAGACAAGAAAAAGAAATAAAGGGTGTACATATTGGGAAGGCATAGATAGAACTATATTTGTTTGGTGATGACATGATTGCATATTTTGCATGATTTATATGCAGAAAATCCCATAGTTGGCAAAAAGTCCCTGAAACTAATAAGCTGTTATAGCAAGGTTGTAGGATAAAAAGTTAATATACAAAAGTCAATTGATTACATAAAATATTTAAGTATAGATCAAACAAAATATGTACAGGATCTATGTGGCTAAAACTACAAAAGTCTGATGAAGGAGATCAAAGAAGATCTAGATAGATATTCTATGTATAGGGACAGGAAAGACTCTATATTGCTAAGATGTCAATTCTTCTCAACTTAATTTCCACATTCATTGCAACTCCCATTAAAATCCAAGCAAGTTATTTTCTGTGTATCAACAAATTGACAAGAAAGTTTATATTAAAATACAAAAAGACTCAGAATAGGCAACATAATACACAAGAAGAAGAACAAAGAAGAATATGACACAATTCAAATGGAAAATTTACTATAAAGCTGCAATAGTCAAAACAGCATGTTATGGAAGAATTAACACATAGACCAATAGAACAGAATAGAGAGCCTAGAAATAGACCCACACAAATATAGTAAACTGATCTTAGACAAAGAAACAAATGCAATTCACTGTAGAAAAGATAATCTTTTCAACAAGTGATGCTGGAACAACTGGATATCTACATTGGAAAAAAAAAGAATCCAGACATAGACTTTACACAGTTCACAAAAATTAGCTCAAAATGGATCATAGAGCTAAATAAAAAACCCACAGTCTAAAACTTCTGTAACAGGAGAAAATATAGGTGACCTTGTGTTTTTAGATACAACTTCTTAAGCACACCATAAAAGTGAAATTTGTTCAAATTAAAAACTTCTGCAAAGATATTATTAAGAGAATTAAAATACAAGCCACAGAGTGGGAAAATATGCACAAAATACATATCTGATAAAGGGCTTGCACTTAAAATATAAAAAGAACACTTAAAACTCAAAAATAAGAAAACAATCCAATTTAAAATGGGAAAAAGATCTGAACAGACACCTCACCAAAGAGGATATACAGATAGCAAATATACATATAAAAAGATGTTAAACATTGTATGTCATAAGAGAATTGAAAATTAAGCAACTATCTACCACTACACATCTATTAGACGGATTAAAATCTGAAATATGACAATATCATATAGTGGTAAGGATGCAGATCAACAGGTGTTTTCATTCATTGCTGGTAGGAATACAAAATGGTACAGCCACTTTGGCAGTTCCATACAAGGCTAAACATAATCTTACCATACTATACAGCAATTGCTCTTTTAAATATTATCTGAATAAGTTGAAAACTTACATCCACACAAGTAAATGTTTATAGCAAGTTTATTCATAATCACCAACAACCGAAACAATCAAGACATCATTCAGTAGTAGACGAACAAATTGTGGTACATGCACAGAATAAAATGATCAGTAATGAAAAGGAATGACCTATTAAGCCACGAAAACACATGGAGCAATGTTACATGAATATTACTAAGTTAAAGAAGCCAATCTGAAGAGGCTACTTGCTGTATAAGTCCAGCTACATGACGCTCTGAAAAAGACAGAAATATAGAGACAATAAAATGATAAGTGGTTTCCAGGGCTTTAGAGAGTGGAGAGAAGAACAAATAATTGAAATGAAGGAAATTTTTAAGACAGTAAAACTATTCCCCATGATATTTTAATGGTGAATGCATAAAATTATGCATTTTAGCCCCTTCCCTCATCCATAGAACTATTCAACACAAAGTGTAAGCCTTAATGTAAACTATGACTTCAGTTAATAATTATATACTACCTTCCATTCATTAATGTAACAAATGTACTACACTAATGCAAGATAAGAAAAACTAAGTATGTGAGGGTTACTTGAAAACTCTCTGTAATGTACACTCAATATTTCTGTAAATCTAAAACTGTTTAAAAATAAATTCTATTATTAATGGTTAAAATAACCTCACATTCTGTTTTGACTTCCCACTATGAATAAGGTTGTTTCAGTTTTCTCATACTACCTTTCCTCCTGTCTCCATGTATTTCTTCTTCATTTTTGTTAAATCACTGTTCAATGTAGAGATGATTATAATGATGCAAATATCATTATCAACTGAGCAGTGTAGCATATTTTGATTACTCTTTATTTTTTATACAGCTATTCATTTTTTTCTGTAGTTTTAATTACTCTCCAGCAGGAACTGAAAAACACCTCTAATTATAATCAAACACCCCAATTAATCTATTAGTTCACTTTTTTTTTGAATTCATATTTCTTAGAGCTCTCTGTCCTCTTTCTCCAATTGGATTGATTTCTTTCTAGGCATTTTGCTTGGTTGAGTTTTGTCTTGTATTTGCTTGCTTTCATTATCATTCTCAGAGTACTCTTCCTTTTCTCCTTACTTGGATTCCCTATTTCCTGAATTCTAAATCTTTCTTGATGGTGGTTTTGTATTGCGTTGAGTTAGACAAAGTGGAGCTGCATTTCCCAGAATGCTCCTCCCAATGTGGTTCAAAGTTAGCATTGGCTTCATGGGATATTTTGGTGAACGTTTGGAGGATGGAAGTGAAACAGGAGCCATTATTTCTTATTTTGAGAGAATTAGTGCAAGATACCAGGCACTGTGGAATCTTTTCATATTATTGCTAATGCTGGCTCACCTGAGTGGCATGGAACAATGCCTGGTGCCACAAATTCTCCCCCCAGGCTTCTCCTTCAACATCTTTGAGTTCTGGGCTAGCATGAGTGGAGTTCCATAGCAAAACACACCAACTTCTCCTGCAGGTCATCTAAGGCATAGAGGTTGGAGGTGCTAAGTGCCAGGTGTGGGTTCTGGTTTCACTTTGCAAGCTCGTTTGTCTTCATAGGTTCCAGCTGTCCTCATGGCTTCCAATTTATCCTCATTGGCTCCATTGTCCTCCTTTTCCACATAAGCTTTCCTTCCTAGCCACTGGTTTGGTTAACTTATACAACTTCAGGCTCAACATTAGATGCCTCAAAGATTACTTCAACAGTTCCTAAAATGTTATGTTCTAATATTTACAATGAATCCTCTATTCTATATCACACAGAACATTTCTGACTTTTTGATCATATCCTAAATGATATATGCATTTTGGTGGAGTACTCTTCAAGTAGTTTACAGGGAGATGATGCAGCAGGTAAATTTTTAGAGTTTTGCATGTCCAAAAATATCTATGCCCCAGTATCTTGATATTGAAGCCTGGGCATACAATATTAGTTTAGAAATAGATTTTTTCCCACAGAATTTGAAAACACTACACATTATCTTCTAGTTTTAAATTTTTCTATCAAGAATCTCTTGCCATTCTGACTTGTGATTGGCATTCTGGTTTCTGAATGTCTGTCACATTTTTTTCATCTTTAAAAGTTTTTAGGGTATGTACTTTTTCTCTGAAATTTATCCCTGATATGGTATAATTGGTTGTGCTTCTTTTATTTTTCATTGTAATAGACATTTGGCGATCCTTTGTAATCAGGAAACTCAATTTTTCAATTATGCAAAGTTTTTATTTTATTTTATTTTTTTTCATCTTTTCTACTGGTCTGTTCTGCACTTCTTAATGAAAAGTTACAACTCCTAAACTGATTCTGTAATTCTTTCTACCTTCTTGTTCAGCCTACTAAGAGGTTTAAGTACTTTCTTTGTTTCTTCCCTCTTTCTCTGAATTTTATATTTATACAATTATATCTTTAATGTCTAAGTGTTTTTCCTTATTCTTTAAATATGTTTCAGGCATTTGTTCTTTTCTTAAAAGACACAGTATCTTCTCACATTTCTGGTAAGACAACATTGATTATGTCTTTTAGTATTTCTGTTTTTCTCAATTTTTTTCTCTTCTGCTTTTAAAAAATATCTTTGTGAGAGAGTCTTTTTCTGAAAGCACATTGTTTCTCAACTGTCCCTTCACATTTAAGAAGACATTACAATTGATTGGAATCCAAGTATATAGATAATGCATGTTGGTGCATACGTAATTATTTCATAGGAAGTTCCCTCACATCCTCAATGTCTTGAAATGTACTCAGCTTCTCAAAAGAAGCACAGCTTCTGTGGTCTGTCTCTTCAATCAGAGAAAGACAGCTAGGGGAGGATGAGTATCTTAGTCTGCTAGGGCTGCCATAACAAAATCGCATAGACTGGGTGGCTTAAATAACAGGTATCTATTTTCTCAGTTATGGAGGCTGGAAGTCTGAAATCTGGGTGCCAGCATGCTGGAATTCTGGCCAGGACTCTTATCTTTGTTTGTAGATGGCTTCTTATCCCATGGTATAACCACAAGACCTCTCACTGTGACTGTGCAGAGAGAAAATGAAAGATCTCTCTAGTGTCTCTTCTTATGAGGACACCAATTCCATCATGGGGCCCCACCCTCATGAGACCTTATTGAAAATCACCTCACAGATGCCTCATCACAATGTGGGTTAAGATTTCAACATATGGATTTGGGGAGTGGGGACACAATTCATTCATAACTGTGAGTGTCCCAGTTTAATGTGTGATCATTTAATTCCTCTGCTTTCAGTAGGGCATCTCATTTCTCTCCTCCACTCTTGTTTTGTTCAGTTTCTTCAGAGAGTAAATTACATTGTTCTCAGGTGAGGGAGGAGCAGTCATGGGTGTGCTGGATAGGAGAAGGGATGTACCAGTCTGATTGCCCCTTAAACGGATTTTTACTTTCTCCTTTTTATTTTTAGCACCTTTCCTCACTTACACTTTCAGAGCTACCATATGCCTTTAATTTGTTTTCAGCTTCTCTGTGTCACAAACTAAATTTCTTCTGATTGGATTCTTCTATTTAAGCTCCATGAGGACACAGTTTTTGTGTTTTGTTCACTGCTCTCTTGCTTCTTTCTAGAACAGTGCCTGGCACATACTAGGTGCTCAGTGAATATTTGGTGAATGATAAATACAAGTACTTAGTTTCAGCTTTGGTCACCCTGCTGTCAATTACTATTTCAATACTTAAAATTTTGTTGTCATCTTTCTTCTTCTGTTTTCTCCTCTCATGTTTTTTTGATTATGTAGGCAGTATCCCACTTTAAAAATTATTTGTATTTATCTATACATTTATTTTCATGGGGTTTTAAAGCACAGTGAAACAAATATGTGCTTTCGTATCACTGCGCTTACCTAAATATCAAGCATTATTTTTCAACTGTTTGAATATTTTAAAAACATTTTTCTTTTGACTCTTTAAACATTCTTTCAGCAAAATTGTAAGTCCTACAGATGGGAACATGTGTCTTTTGTTTTGAGAATCTTGTAGTTTCTCCAACTTTTATTTATTATACTATTATGTTTATTTTGATTTTTTAAATTCAGCAGCAGGAGGTATCTGTCCATTTAGTTTTTTTTTTAATGAAGTAAGTACACTAGACTTCAGGAACTCTTGGGCTTTCTCCTTTCCCTGAACTTTAAATAAATTATGACACATTTATTTTACAGCAGACTTAGATGCCAGGAAAGATCAGAAAAATCTATCTTCCATTTCTCAGATAAAGGACGATTATCCCAGCAGTATTTGTGTAATGACTCACTCATTATTGATCAAGAGCCTGGAAAGTCTGGGGATTTTGCATTTGGAGAATTTGGGAGTAATTTATGATAACAAGCAATAATGGGAAGATAGTGATTCTGTATGTTTGTTGCTAAATGCACCTGTCAAACCCAGATGCCAACAGGCATAAATGCGATAAAAAAGAACATTCTCAAAACATCTAGTGTTTCTGGAAGTAAAATAACCCAGTCACATACTGCTGGATAGCCAAGTGATTATTTGGCTTATTTTCTCTTGGCTTATTACTGATAAGTAGCTTCTGTTATAAATTATAAATGTGAAAATTATAAAATATTACATATGTAAGACTATGTTCTGTATCTGTTATTAGTGCTGGAGATTGAGGTTTTTTGTCTCCTCAGATTCATTTTTCAGTTGGTTAAGCATCTCACCAGTAATATAAGGCTGCTACTGACCTGTTAAAAATTAAATTTTTTAAATTGACATCTTTGGATGAGCTCCCCCTAACAAAAGAAGTTTGCTGAGTTTCTAATACTGCCTCTACA
This sequence comes from Homo sapiens, assembly GCF_000001405.40. Taxonomy (NCBI): domain Eukaryota; kingdom Metazoa; phylum Chordata; class Mammalia; order Primates; family Hominidae; genus Homo; species Homo sapiens. The sequence goes on from NC_000012.12 coordinate 90,189,553, forward strand.
AGCAGTAATGGTTTTATTGTTCTAAAAAGAGATAAAAATCATGTTATCTCAGTTTTAAATCTAAGTATTCTGTTGAATTCAATAAAGCATTTATTAAGTAAAGAAATAACTTGGAGTAGTAAAAAGCACTTGCTGCAGTCATACCCAAGGGTGAGAATAAAAATATTTAACGATTAGATGGTGCACACCATACAATCTGAAAGGATAATAGCTAGAACACCAGCATCCTGCTCTGTAACAAGCATTGCCTTTTAGTTTCTACATGGTGACAAAGTCCACTGGGCCCTAAGGGAAAAGCCATCAACATCTAGGGGACTCATGGCCACAGCAACTTATCATCCATGTAGAAATATTTCAAGATTTTAATAATTACTGATATAGTTTGGCTGTGTCCCCACCCAAATCTCATCTTGAATTGTAACTCCCACAATTCCCACATATCGTAGGAAGAACCTGGTGAGAAGTGATTGAATTATGGCGGCAGGTCTTTCCTGCACTGTTCTCGTGATAGTGAATGAGTCTCATGAGATCTGATGGTTTTATAAAGAGGGATTCCTCTGCACAAGCTCTTTCTTTGCCTGCCACCATTCATGTAAGATGTGACTTGCTCCTCCTTGGCTTCCACCATGATTGTGAGGCCCCCCCAGCCATGTGGAACTATGAGTCCATTAAATCTCTTTCTTTTGTAAATTGCCCAGTCTTGGGTTTGTCTTTAGCAGCAGCATGAAAACAGACTAATATAACTATTATTGATGTACTAGTGCTTTTTGGCTGAATATTGGCCTAGTCACACTGAATTTGAATTTCTCTCACAGCAATTCTTCACAGTGTGATCCAGGGGCAGGTCCCTAGCCTTTCTGAGCTTAGTTTCTTTATCTCTTTTAAAAGGATGCCTTGGCTGGGCTGTAGCTCCCATGTGTCCTTTTGCAATTCTTGTTCAGATTTTCTAGATGTATCTTGGGCAGACAGAGACTCTTTCATCCTATGTTTCCTGGGAAAGAAGACTCTGCAGTAGAAACTCTGTACTACCGAACTGTATCACAAAGGGAGCTGGAACTCTGCCATGAGGGGGTCCTGCTTGTGGAATTAAGGAGCCACCTCTACAACTGTCAGTTCCAGAATCTTGCTGCCATTGCTAGTTCAGGAAGGCTCCTTTGCCAAATCTGACAGTTGTTGATAATGTTGTTATAAACTCCTACCTATGCTATGATCTTATGTGAAAATGGATGCCTGACCTTTTATCCCAATTAACTCAGTCTGAATTCTTTTCAAGTCTTGCGTAAGTCCATCTGAATGTAAGAAGCTAAATCCCATTTGGAGTTCTAGATATAAGGGACTGAGAAACATTTTTAGCTTTTTTGCCTCTGCAGTAGAAGAAGGCAAACTGAAGGCCTTAAGTAAATTTTGAAAAATCCAGTCTACAGTGACTGTGATACAAACTCAGGTCTCTTTGACACCAAAGGCAAAGCTCATATCTAATATATCATTTTAAATGTCACTTCTACCTTAAAGGTTCTGTGATTGACTGTAAGGTATCTAAATTCAAATTTGCATGATGATGTCCAATGTTTTCACAACTTTGGGCATAGTAGTGTGCAAAACACTACTACTGTGCTTATGCTGCTAATTTACCAACTGATAGTACTTTGACAGATGAAAAATACAAATGCATAGGATTAAAAGGAAAGTGCCCAAAAATATATAACTAGGATTTATACCCAGGTCTCTGAATCCAAAGCATTTATTGTTCAGATTTTATGATACCAAAATACTTGAATTTATTTTTAAAACGTTTTAGCTTATATACTATTTCACCAATGGGATGAGTTAGCATTAACTTTGGTTAGTGAGTCAACTTGATTTCAAAGAATGTTGTCTGTAATAGCTTTGATATAAATTGGTAGTTTGTGTACCCTTTTAAAGATAATGAGTGTCATGGTTAATTGTATGTGTTAATTTGATTGGGATAAAGGATACCCAGATAGCTGGTAAAACAGTATTTCTTGGTGTGTCTGTAGGGTGTTTCTGGAAGAGTTTAACATTTGGATTGGTAGACTGAATAAAGCAGATTGCCCTCTCCTATATGTGTGGGCCCCATCCAATCTCTTGAAGGCCTAAATAAAATTTAAAAGCTGAGTAAGGGGAAATTTATCTTCTCTCTGCTTGACTCTCTTTAAGCTGGGGCATTTGTTTTCTTCTGCCTTCAAACTTGAACTCAAACTGGTACTTATACCATCAGATCTCCTGCTTTTCAGGCCTTAGAACTCAGATTGGAACTATACTGTCAATGCTCCTGGGTCTCCAACTTGCTAACTGCATGTCTTGAGACTTCTCATCCACCGTAATTATATAAGCCAATTCCTTATAATAAATCTCTCTCTATATATACACACACATATGTGTATATAAAATATATATGCATATAAAATATGTTAGATACTTTATTAAAAAATATATATGATATACAAATCCTATTGGCTCTATTGTATATATCTCTCCTATAAATTCTGTTTATCTGGAGAATCCTTATATAATGAGTTATATAGGAACCTCGAATGACCATGTATGTAAAGTAAATATTTAATAACAATTGAATTCACCTCCCTGTGTATGAAAAGACAAAAATATGTTCTAAAAAAGAGTTCTAAAAAAGTATTCTAAATTACTCTTTTCTTTTACTTACGCAGGATTATATAAACTATGTATAATTGAGCCTCTTTTACTATAGACATGTGAATTGCCAATGATTTCCTGCTAAATGAATTCTATTCTTTGTTGACATAATACAAGCTATAATCAATGGGAGGCATATATCAGCTGAACAGCTGGGATTTTGCAATATTAATTGCATTACTAATGTATTCAATTCACAGACTTACATTACATTTATGATATAACTCTCATTTTATATTTTACATTAATGTACAATATAATAATTTTACTGCTTTAAACTAAAGTACCAGAAAACTCTGTATGGTTAGGAAAGGCCACAGAAAATGGGACTAGGAAATACTTTTTCTGTTATTTAGAAATATTAATCTTATATATCAAGAAAAGATTTGGGGTCATTTGTACACAGTCACATCCTGAAGTTACTGACATGCTCTCAAGGAAAATAATACTGAATTTGCAAATGTCTTGAGAATCATGAGGGTGATATTAATCAGTCACAATTTGCAAACCCAGGATATACCTCAGAAGGAAAATGAACGTGAATGGTACAGGGGCTGTGGGGGTAGGTGGGGGACTGTACTGTTGAAAGGAGTGATGAGTTGTCTGAGTGAATATTTTACAGGTTTTGTGAGTATGTGGAAAATAATTATAAAAACAAAATCCTTGAGAGAAAAAGGAAAAGTAGTTCTTAGACATTTCACTTGTTCTGTCTCCCCCTCTTTCCCTTTTATTAGTGTTTTATATTATATTTTGCTTTTCTATCATTCCAGACAAGGCACAGGTGCTTTAAAACAACTCTAATGCTGGCCCCTCCTCAAATTCTTTTACAACTAGTCCAACATACAGCATGTTCAGAGACTCTTTGCAAGAGCAAGATAAATTATAAGGCAATTTAGAAATTATTTATAATTTATCAGATTATGTAAGAAATATGAAGAGGACTTGTAGGCATGAAATTATGGAAATGAAAAGAAAACAACTGTCCTTTTAGTTCCCACATCATGGGGAATTTGAATGATGGGATTGAGCACTCTGGCAAAGCTAGCTTAGTGCTCCATGAATTAAACCTCTGGTGCACTTCTAGACTATAAATTATAGGAATGAACCTAGAAATGAAATGATAGTTGATTCCCAGGCAATTAAAACAAAAGGAAAAGCCTAATCTTACACAAATTGAAAAAGCTTTCTTCCCCTTATCAACAGCATTCACAGCAAAAATTTATTTTTGGTTAAATCTAGTGGGGCGACAGTAGTAACAATGAAAGGCATTTTCTTTGGTAAGCCTGATTGGCTGGTAAATTATTTTTATACCATTTTCCCGTTTGATGATTGTGAAGGCCCAGTTTTTGTCAGATTGTGAATAATTGTTTCTTAATATGAGTTCATGAAGCCATTTTCTCACACTGCTCTTTCATAAGGAATGTCTAGTTTTATTCTGATCTCCATCAAAATGTCAAATTCCTCTAGTATATCTGCAACAGAGTTTTTTCTCAAGCCTGAGAACAGTAGAGAATTTTTTTTTATGAGTATGACTTAAAAGCTGAGATCGCAGTCAGGAAAGCAGATTAGCTAAGTGTTGTCATGCTTTGTAAGAAGTTGGAAAGTACTTCGAGGAAAAAATCATGCTGTAAATAATCTTTTTTTTTTCCTCCTCTGTGACAGGCCCATTTGAACCACTGACCCCATCAAATACATTGTCCTAACTCTTTTTTATTCTCTGTGAAATGTTAGTTTCTTTTTAATATAAAATGCGCAGAAAAAAAGAACTACCTAATACCTGTAACTATATTTTCCCTGAACCTGTGATAGACTAATTAAATATGGTTGTTCAGTCTATCTTTTTTCAATTTTTATGTAGTTAACAGACCAGATTAGAAGAGGCATGAAGTATGGTCAATGAGAACCTGCACAAAGGGGCAGGATGTTTATATTTGTCAGCATACTTACCTTACAAGACATCTAAAATGTAGAGAATCACACAGGACTCCTGGTAATAAAGAGACATAGATGGAAACCTAAGTTTCTGGCTGTCAATTCTTTTTTTCCTTTAGATGAGAGGGTTTTGAATTACAAAAATACAAATACCTTTCAACATGTGGCCAGCTTTTCACATGATACTTCTGAAATTCACTTTGATTTTTATTAGTGCTTCTTTATAGAATGAAGAGCCTTATAAAGAGCCCCTGAGTTTCCTATGTTTGTGCAGTTGGGTCAAATGTATTGCACTTGCTTGCAGGAGAAACAGCAGTAGGAAAGAATTAATTCAAATCATGCTGCTGTGTGAAATAAGACATATTTCTTATCATATCTCAGCGAAGGTGTTTGAAGACTTAGGCTGCACAAATGAGCCAATTCTCATAGTTTTTTGGTGTGTCTATAAGGAAAATTTAATCTTCACCATCACCTCATTCCTGGATCTGATTTTATACCTCACTTCCAACACATTCTAGATCGAATTCAAGACATAAAACAGAATATATGTATATGTGTGACACACTGCTGGATACTATCTAAGCAGATATAAAATTATTAAACTGTTGGATGAATAATTTTGTTTACATGTAGGATTCTTCTATAAGCAGAGACACATTATTTCCAAACTGAAAAAAAAAACTGACCCTATAATTTTGAGGTTCTTCTGTTTCTTTTTCGTTTTTTATTATGAGAAGAACATTTAACTTGAGACACTTTTAACAAATTTAGTGCCCAGTAAAATATTGTTAAGTATAGGCATAATGCTGTATAGCAGACCTCTATAACTTATTCATCTTACTCATTGAAATTTTATACCTGTCAAACAGCAAACCTTCATTTTATCCTTCCCACCCCCCACTCCCACTCCCTGGTAACCATTATTCTACTGTATGTTTCTATGAATGTGACTATTTTAGATACCTCATGTAAGTGGAAGCATGCAGAATTTGTCTTTCTGTGACTGGAGTATTTCACTTAGCATAATGAGTTATCACCTCACACCTGTTAAGATGGGTATTATTAACAAAACAAAATGAAAGATAACAACTATTGGCAAGGATGTTAAGAAATTGAAATCCCTGTGCACTGTTGGTGGGAATGTAAATTGGTACAGCCAGTGTGAAAAATAGTATGAAAGTTTCTCAAAAGACTAAAAATAAAACTAACATATGATCCAGCAATCCCACTTCTGAGTGTATATCCAAAAGAATTGAAATTAGGATCTGGAAGAAATATCTTCACTCCTATGTTTACTGTAGCATTATTCATAATACCCCAAATATGGAAACAACCTGAATATCCATGAATGGATGAAGAGCTAAAGAAAATGTGGTACATGCATGCAATGGAATATCATAGGGCCTTAAAAAAGGAAATTCTGCCATATGCAACAACATGGATGAACCTGGAGAATATCACACTAAGTAATCTCATATCTTTGAGTCGGATTTTGAAATAATTCACTTTTCTTCAGTGTATCTCATAGTGACCATTGCCTGGATCTTATTTCTTCTTGTTTTCTCTTGGTAGGGAGATCATCTTTTATAATCTTTTAAATATATACTAAGGTATGAGTTGTAGCTAATGTTTAATCCAGTTCCCTAATTAAATTACCTCTTCATGACCCAAAAACTTAGTGCTTTCGAGACTAATTTTTGGATTTTTTTTTTATGAAGTAGAAAATCCAGCAGATAGTCAATGTGTGAAGAAATCTGTTAATATTTAATACACAATTTTTGTGTTAAATGATTTAATTCTATATTATTTATGGTTCAGAATAATAGTCTGGTCTCCTTTTTTAAGGAGTCAGTCATTCACCGGAATTTCCTCAATTGAGTTAGATGTGATGCTGTGATTGTATGATGATACAATTCATAGTAGCAAGACAGGACTGTGAGGACCTCAAACAAGATGTTGATTGGGCTTGGAGGCAGAGAGGACCATTTGCAGAAGAAAATAGTATTTGATGGGTTTGTGGACTACAAAAAGAGGTATTGCTATGAAATCTATTTGAAATATATCACAAAGGTAAGCAGAGTATGAAATTAGGATAAAGAAAACAAAACTCCTCTTTAAGTAAATAGGAGCTAAATAGCAATTGTAAGCCCACCTCCAAATCTAAGAGGAACAGGGTACTAGGAGATACCTCAGACAGAGATCAATGCATCAGAGAAAGGGTAGAGATACAATGAACTTGCATGAGGAAAAGTCTGTAATCTTGGGAAGAAGGTAGAAATTCACTAAGGGTTAATTGGGACCCAGAATCAGGATCAGCCCAAACTCTTTGGGGCAATAACTTGATGCTACCTGCCCACCTATTGAATAAATCTTGCTTTGCGTTGCCTTAAATAGAGACTAATATAGATCTGGACCTAAAACAAGAGTTACAAAGTACCAGCTGTGGGAGAAGAAGGAAATGAGGGGGTCAGAATTAGGACCCAACAATATAATGGAACTCATGATACTCACATTTGACTTAGAGAAAGTGCTCATGCTCAGCTAAAAGATTGTGTGGAAAATCCTGTTGTAGCTATAGTTTTTGCTTTCATTGCCCTAATGAAAGAAATATGACAAAAGAGAAGCAAAGGGCTACTTTTGACATTTTTCAAAGACAATTTTGACTCTCTGTGATTTTTATTTCACGTTTTTGTTTATGTTCTTGAACATAAACTCCATGTAATGTGTAACTTTAGTTGCTACATTAAAGGTAATTGGAAAGCCAGGAAACGAGAGTTTCTTTAGTTGCTTGGAGGATACTGCTTCAGGAAACCTAGAGAGACAAAGAACTCTTAGTAGATATTCTTGGAACTAAGATATAACTATTCATCTTTTCAGCAAATACTTATTGAAACCAAATATGTGCCATGGGCACTGGAACACAAAGAAGAATAATTTAAACTGCTTGCCTTAAAGGAAGGGTGGTGGAATGGAAAGCTATATGAGTAGATAATTGTAACACAAAGTCAAACAGGCTGCAATATAGGTGTTAACAAAATACAGAGGGAGTTTTAGGAGATAATGGCTGCTTCTGTCTGAGGTCCAGAAGGCAACAGACTAGTGGTTTCTTGGAGTTCACTGAATGAATACAGAAGATACAGGCATTCCTGACAATAAAAACACCTTTGATTCAAATAGGAAATTAGAGTTTTCAAGGCACTTTCAATATATTATCTTATATGCTACGAAGAGTTCATTAATTCAGGGTTGGTCCGCACTTTATAGATGAGGAAACTGGCCCTGAGCAGAAAAGTGATTTACCTAAGCTACCAAAGTAAATAAATAAATATAATAATAATAATAAGTGGAAAGGCTGGATTTCATAAAATCAGAAAGCTCCCTGGTATACTGTACATTGTTGGTTTTACAAACATACAAATTGAGTCCAAGAGACTCTGACTTTTAATAATTTAGCAGTGCAGCTTCAATATAGTAACAAAGACTCTCTTTCTAGACCAAACTTTAGACACTTTCCTCTGAGTCCTCTGTTTAACTAGGCCTTGACCTTGGGCCTTATCTTTGGTCTATCTTGTCCACTTGTAGCAAAACTCTCGCTACCTCAGTTAGCCAGAATCCTCTCACCCTCAGTATCTGATGAAATTCCTCATCCTCCACGCTTACTATCTGATCCCCCTGGCCTGCCTTCAGCAACACTCGTGCTAAGTCAATTTTACAAGAATCTCCCTACCCCGGTGTCTCCTCTTAGTAATTGTCCAGCCACTAAACCCCTCGCTCAGTTCATTGGCTATAAATCCTCAGCTGTCTTTGCTGTGTTTGAAGTTGAACCAGATCTCTCTCCTATTGCAGTAGTCTTGATACCTATTGTAATAATCCCAAATAAAGTCTCTCTTGCAGTTTTAAAATGTGTCACAATTATATATTTTTCTTGAACAGTAGTGTCTAAAATTGAAATTTTGGTTATAAGCCAGTTGAAACCAGGATAATATAGAAGGGGCAATCCTTCCATGAAAACATGTTGGTGCATTTTAAGCTTCTTGAGAGTAAAAATGTTGTATTTGTCTTTAACTTTATATACCTACTACACATAACATGGCACATTCATATAAATGTTTAATAAACATTTGGTGAATCCATGTGTTTGACAAGTGTATTAATTAATGTATATTTGTTCTTAAAATTCGTCATATTACTAAGAATTTGTTTTCTTTTCATAATCAGTATGTCTTTAACCTATAGTCTTTGTTAATGATTTAATATTAATTTTAGTAAACCCTTAAATATAGTAAAAGTTATTCATGCCTAATCCATTTTGTTTGTTCTGATACAGAAATGAAAAGCAACCCAGCTCTTTCATAAACCGGGCAACAAAGCTAGTGTAGATACTGGAGGAGGGAGTGGCAATTCCCTTTCAATCAGCCTCCAAATGCACTTCCCAGAACGAAATAAAAACACTTTTCTTTCTGCAGTCTCTTTCTTAGATGTGGGTATTTACCTGCGGGGGAAAAAATCTGAGACCTGAGTTTATTTTAACAAATCAAAAAAAGTCAATTCACAATTTCCAAATTTACTCTTTTATCTTACATGTAATAACAGCTGAAAAGAATTATTTATCTCTCACTATGGGTTTAGACCTGTCTAATTTCTATAGGGAATTATATAGAAAATTATAGATCTAGTGCCTGCCCTGGAGGAACTTATAATCTAGAAGTAGGAAGAGAGTAAACAAAAATCAAACATACTTAGAGGCAAAAACAATTTACACTATTTTACTTTTAGGGGCTCCAGAAGGAGAAGAAATTGCATTCCATGCTGCATTGGTAACTTTTGGAGAAAAAAAAATCAGTGCCTTCTTATATATTGCCAGCTTAGTGGATTCTGTGATGTGAGCATTAAAAAAATGAATTTACAAGTTGAATAACAAGGAAACCACAAGAGTACAGGAGATTTTTGGTTAAGATTTCCAAAAAGGAAAAGAAAAGAGACAGACACAAACATCACATTGGTACATTTTTGAGAACCAGGAAGTGTGCAAGTATGGTTCCCCTGGTAACCTTTGTGTAGAGCATATGAGTTAACACAGCAGTTTCCCCGTTTTAATACTGCAATCAAGAACTTGATTGTTTTGTTAATGTGATCATTTGGCATTTCTCCTCATTTTTCTTTTCCCTTGTGCTTACTTTACATTAAGGTCTAAAATCTGGTGGCTCTTAATTTGTCAAAGATGCAAATTTTTGGAAGCAAAAAGAAGAATTCAGGAGAAATTGAGATGAAGTTTTAAAAATTTAAATTTTAGAAAGTAAAACATGTTTGTAAAATCAAATTTTCAAAGGGAGCCCAAGATTTCAGAACAATAACAAGAATATTATCCAAATCTTATGTTATCTGAAAAGATAGCTTAAAATAGGAAGCCTAATTTTTGGCACATAAACTGTACTGCAAGTAAGCAAAGCCATTTCTTGTTGTAAATTAAAAATAAAAACAATCAGTATCTTTTGCTGTTAGTAATGTTGAACAATTAGTCTGATCACTGTTTCCCTTAAAAGTGAAAATTGCCCACTAACCTCTTCTTGGCCTCACTTGTCTCCCTTCAGACTTCTATTTGGGTCCTGTTCATGACCCTTCTTAGCACCTTTGGATCCAAGGACTTCTTAGTCTCCTATCATTCCCAATGTAGTTAAACTCTATCACTCGCATTTTGTTTTGCTTTGCTTTGTTTTAACAACCCTCTTGATCTTGTTCTGCTAAGCACTGCTGGAGAAATTCAGGCTAGTTTGACAATCAAATTCTGTGCAATTAGGCCCCTCATGTTGTTCTGCTATCTTTTTATTTATCATTAACTAACTTCCTAAGGCATTTCCTTCAGCAGTTGTTCTCATCCTTTTTTCAATTTCCTCCAGCTTACTACCATTCTATTGTCCTCTTCAATCTAAGCAAAGACTTCTTTTTACTTGATTCAAAAGACAGAACTTAAGGAGTTACTTTCCCAAATCCTCTCCTCTTTATCTAAAATCTCTGAGAATTTTGAGCAGATGGTCCCAACAAGAAAAAAAATGGCATACTCAAATTCGGATAATTCAAGGATGGAGGGTTATTAAAGGGAGTCTTTCCTCCCATCCTCTCACCTCTTGCCTGTTCCTCTCCAGTGCTTGGTGATAAGGCCTATAGATCAGCTTGCCAGCATAGACAGCAGGATGGAGTGTGTGGAGAAATAAATGGAAGATATGTAGCATAAACCTTAACCAATGTTTTTTTTGTGTGTGCCTAGTATAGTAAAATAATCTTTTTAAGCATTAACAAATAAAGAATTGGCCCTGCTCCCAACTTCTGTGGAAGTTCAGAACCTAGGAATAAAGCTGTATGTATCTATAAGTATATAAACCATGTGTATAAAACATGCAAACAAATGTGTATAAAAATAGAATTTAAGATAAAGCAAAGTGTTATAAGGTGGCAATATATAAGATGCTTTGGCATGAGGGAGGTGAGCAAATACTACTAGATGTGAAATCTCAGAATATGTTCATGTAATTGATACCTATAAGAGTGAGGAGAATTTACAAGTATGGACGTAGAGATGGCAGGAAAGGCATTCTCTAGTCAGAGCAGCATGGGCTAAGACAGTAAGATGTGAACACATGGAGCATATGTAGAAATACATAATAGGCAAGACATTGGAAAGTTTGTCAGGCTGCAGAGGTAGTTTTTGGTACAATTGAGGACTCATGATGATGGAAGCTAAGATACCTGTGCTTAACTGTGTGGCAGGATCATACCAATTAATATTCATTAAGACACTTCATGCAACAGATGCACAAAGCAGATACTATTATCCCCATTTGACAGATGAGGAAATGGACTCTTCAGGCAATATTAAATAATTTTATTAAAGTCACAAAACCAAAAGATGGCTTTCTGTGAAAATGTAATGACATAACAATGTATGTTCAAAGGAAACATAGTGCTTGGCCTGTAGCAGATATGCAGTATCTGTTAGTGACAGTGAAGGTGAATTTTATGTGTCAACTTGACTGGGCTGAGGGTTGCCCGGATAGCTTGTAAAACATTATTTGTGGGTGTGTGCCTGAGGGTTTCTGGAAGACATTAGAATTTGAGTCAGTAGACTGAGTAAAGAAGGTCTGTCCTCACCAATAAGGATGAGCATCATCCAACCTTCGAGAGGCTGAATAGAACAAAAACGGAGGAAGAAGGGTGAATTCGCTCTCTCTATCTGAGCTGGGCATCTAACTTTTCCCACCCTTCAACAGTGATGCTCCTGGTTCTTGGGCCTTCAGACTCAGACCAGGATTTAAACCATTGGACTCCCAGTTTTCAGATCCTCATTCTTGGACTGAACTACACCACTGGCTTTCCTGGTATTTCAGTTTGCACATGACAGGTTGTGCAACTTCTTAGACTACATAATCACATAAGCCAATTCCTATCATAAAAAAGTTTTTTTCTATATATTGCTACCTTTATTTCCATCATCTCTCTATATATATCCTATTGGTTCTGTTTCTCTGGAGAACTCTGACTAACACAGTGAACTTTAGCCACCTGAACTATCTTGACTTTTGGCCTTGTAGTAAAATTAATCTGAGAGCAATTTTGGGTGAATTAGAAGTGAGAGACCAGTGCTGTGAGGGAGATGATAAGGGCATGAATGAGGATAGTGATGAATGGAATAGACAAAATGGTACAGATTTGGAAATATTGTTGTGATCAGGTTGACATACTTGAAAAGTGATAGGATGCTGGGGGAACTAAGAAAACTCAGGGTGAACAGTAGGAGAATCGCCAGATAAACTATTTTGTGTTGCTCAGTTGCCTTTCTCTAGAGATAGCTTCCTGATATCCCTAATCATCCATAGTTGGCCTTTCATCTCATTGCTCTTTTTGTTCTCATATGGTAAACTAGGATAATTATAAACTGTTTTTATTACATTATCTGAAACGTTTCTTACAGTTAGTCTTAATCCAAGCTCTCATTATTATAGTTTATCTACACTATTGTAATAATCTTTTAAGTATTTTCTTTCTCTTTTCTTTTTGAAACAGGGTCCCACTCCATCACTGGGGCTGGAGTGTAGTGGCGTGATCATGGCTCACTGCAGCCATGACCTCCTGGGGTCAAGAGATCCTCCCACCTCAATGTCCCAATTAGTTGGGGCTGCAGGTATAAGCCACCACACCTGGCTGATTCTCTATTTTATTTGTTTACAGATGGGATCTCACTATGTTGCACAGGCTGGTCTTGAACTCCTGGACTCATGTGATCCTCCCATCTCAGCTTCCCAAAGTAATGGAAAGCATGAGCCACGTAAGTTTTTTTTTTTTAAATTTCCTATTTCTCCTGTAAACATTTACCCTTTTGATTAGCAGATTTTAAAACATTTACAATTTCCTTTTTCCTACAGAACATTTTCAATGGTTCCCAATTAGCTAAAGGATAGGTCAATAATAGATGATACATTGAATTGTTATGTTCCAGTTTTAAAAGATGACATAAATTTCTGTGTACTTTCATGAAAAGATGTTGAGATAAAAAAGTAAGCTGTAGAACTATCCCTGTAATGGCAACCTACTTTTAGACTGAAATAATTTATATGCAGTACCTTTTGCACCTATTTGTATATGTATACATATAAGTTAGGAGAATGTACACTAATTTATTTCTGCTTTAGAGTAATGTTTTACTTTTCTATACATACTTTTTGGTTTTATACAACCTCTTACAACAAATATTTTACTACTCATGTAAAGTTCAAAAGGAGTGACAGGGTTTGGACCTCGCTGAAGTAGGCCATAAGACCCTTATGTGAGAAGCACCCTCCCTATACACAGAGGAAATGAACATCTTTATCTCCAAAAATGGAGAAATGCTAATAGGATCAGAATGAATAGGTCTTGTAAAGTTTCCCTCGGTTCACTACTCTTAGCTCATAGCTGTTTTTGTCTTATCACCTTTTGCAAAACTTTCTGTACTTCATCAAACCTAGCATAAAAATACTCATCTAACTATTTCCTTGGGTCATCAATTTCCTTATGAAGGCTGTTGAGTCTATGAAAAATAAATGTGTATGGTTTTCTCCCGTTAATCTATCTTTTGTTACAGAGTCCCGACAGAGAACCAAAAAGGGTAGAAGGAAAAAGATATTTTTTCTCCCCTACAGTTTCTGGTGATCACAAAGATTGGGGTGTCTAAGATTGGGGTACTCTACTCACTCCAGAAACTACAGTTGAGATCTGACACAACTGAAAAAAAGCTGTCAGAAATATAAATTCTTACCCTGTTTCCTGGATCTCGTTTTTAGTGCCCAGACACATAAGGAAGGTAAAATGTTTGCTTGTCCCTTCCTTTCCGAATTTAGATTTAAAAAAATTTGTAAAAATTAGCTCTTTGAATTGTGACTCAGGTCAATTTGGTTAATTTTTGCAGGGGATACCACTTGGTTATTGATCTTTCTCTCCCAGGGACAGCTATTGCTTTCCAGTTTGTCTTGTTTTGTGTCCTGAGATCTTGGCTTGGCTTTCCACCTGCTGGGGTGCACAGGTTGTTGGACCTGTGTTAGCAGGCAGCCAACTGTCTGGTTGGGGGCCAAAGAGTATGGCCAGACAGCAATGTGCGTCACACTTCATTTGTGGCTAATGTCCTACCAGCCTTTGCCAACCCTCAGGGTGTTGTCTAAATCTTTCTTTACTTTGGTTATCTTTGGGAGTGGCTTAGGATTTTGGGAGGGTTACATCTTTTGCACCCTCTTTGGGGATGCTACTTGCTCTCCATGGTTATGTCATAAAAGACTTACTGGTTTTGATTTTAAGTATCTAGAAATAGGTATACCGTTGGTAAAAGAAAAAAAAGTAAAGAGTTCAATACTGCTGGGAATATTTAGTTTGTTCTGGCTGAAACCTGATAATGCGATATCTGAAAGGATTTTTACTTTCTTGTAAAGAGCTCTATGGTCAGAAGCTGGCCTAACTGGGAGCTGATATTCAAAGCTTGATGGGAGCTATTTTTCTAAAACGTCTGTTCTCTCTAGTTGAGTCTGTTCTTCCCATGGAAACTTCTCAGTCAACTGAAACCCCCTTTTCCACTGCAGTCAACCACTGTTGACTATATGCTTTATGAACTCTGTTCACCTCCTTCTTGTTGGCATAATTTTGCTGAGGATAATTTGGAGCGTCACTGGCTTTCTTTGTGAAACTTAAGATCTCCTGAAAGTGTTTCCTCTAAGACCTCTTCCTTCCCACTGATTTTACTCCTTCTTCTTCCTCGACTAACTGGCTAAACTAAGAAAGTCACTCAAATGTTTTTTTTTTTTCTTAAGCTATTGTATCTTAGATAATAATTCGTTTTTTAAAAAGCTAGCCATAAGATTGTTGGTAAAATAAAACAGGCATGTCTTCAGGGTTGTCAACATTAAATGTAATACAGACATAGTTTTCTTTCTACCTAGGCTTAAACTCAGACAAGCTGACATTATCATTACTAGGTATTATGAATTACAATACTATAAATCCAACTTAAGAATGAAAGGTACAATAAAAATGAATGGCTTTATGTATGCTTTATGTATGTCAAGCACAGCCATAAAAGAAGGAAAAACAGAAAAAAAGATTAAAACCACATGTTTAACTTTTTAGATTCTTTGCTTCTGTGATTTTTGATATGTGTCTGATTTGTCAACAACAACAAAAATAACTTAATGTGATGGCTAGCTTTGTTTAATGGCTAATGAAGTTTTCATGAGCCATTCAAGCATAATTAAGAAAAAGTGAATTAAATAGATGTAAGTGGAAAAATTGTATAAATGAACTTTTCAACAATAATTATGTTTTATAATGTCTTTTTAAAAATGATTTTAAAATCCTTTTGATAACTCAAAATCTTAAAGCTATACTAAGTGACATTAAATAATGAATATTCATTGAATATTTATATTATTTCTTAATAAAATAATGAAACATTAATTGCTTAATAAAAGTTAAGGTTTATTTACTTTTGGCCTCTTGATTTTTATTGAAGGTGAAAGATATTTGGGTTTTTTAATAAACAACGCCTTCATCACTTTGAAAATTGTATGAGAATACATGCCTCTAGAAATTGTGAAATTGTGTATTCATAAATTTTCTTTTTTTTGTTTTCACCTGCACAAAAGTTTTCTAAACTACTACTAAATGTTAGTATGTGATAGTGTATAATTGCTGACTTCGTAGTTCTCACCAGAAATTAGGATTACTAAGGGTTAAAACTTGTTAAAACTTTAGTCAATCTATATAAATGAAACTATAGAAATAGTAAAGGTAAAAAAAAAAAACCCTTTGTATGTAAAGAATACAAGAACAATAAGATGTGTTTGTGGTAAGGAAAAGTACTCAAAGTATAAAAGATGTGATCTTTGTTAAATAAACAAGAAATTAATGTTGTCCTAAAATAAGATGACTAGTTGTTTCAGAATGAGAAAGAATAAAAGAGTAAGACAGAAACAGAATTAATATTAAGAAGAAAGAAGGTTGTAGAAGGTCTGTGGAAAAGGAATTTTGGAAAAATAGCATCTGTGTAGTCAAAGCCAGTAAGATTGGATGGATTTATTTATAAGATTTCGTAAAAGTTAGTTTCAGTAAGAATAGTACACTGATGTAAAACTAGAATTTGGTTTTCCTTTTTTTAAAAGGACAAAGTGTTCTTGGATTATTGGTCTGCTCTTAATACAAGATTGTAGAAAGATTTTTCTTCACCTTTCAAGTAATATGCCTAGGAAATAAAAATTCTGTCTTATTAAAATAATTTCCTGTGCTTCATGTTGTCTTTATCAGGTCTATGTTTACTTAAGGAAATCAAGTCCTTTCAATATTAAAAGGGTTAATTTTTTCACATCTGTGTAATTTTCTGTATTTGCCTTTAGAATCTTTTATTGCTATTTTGGTTAAATAGATCACCAAGGTCATATTTAATTGTATTCGAATCTTTTGACATTTTTTGATAAACTTCCTCAAATCAAATTCTAAATAGTCTTTTTAACCTCAAAGTAACTGAGATTTTTCAGAAGGCCTTTGGAAAATTCAAAGAAATTGTCCCTCATCTTGTAAAAGAGATCTCAAACTAACAAAATTTATTTGATATGTTAAATTATATGGGAAGCATTGTCAAATAAGAAGTGATGATAGGATTTCTTTAGGTTACATTTACCATGTTATTAATATAACTGTTTCAGAAATTGTATAAAATTCCCAAAACTTTGTCAATACCCTCACTGCTCATCATATATCTGGTATAATGTTATCTGCCATAATGCCAATTGTTATCTTAAAATATGATATGCCACAGAAATAAACAAATTTCCTTGTCAATTACATTATGACGAACTCTCACCAAATCTTTAACCATGGCTATCTTTGAGACTTTTGTCATGCACAGAGAGTTATTGTTTTAATTTGATTCTTATATAAAAGCATTCACTATCAACTATAGGCCAAAATTCTTCATGGAAAAGATTCAGTTTCTAGTAACATTAAGACCATACAAATGGGCTGTCTAAGAATTTCCAGACACTAATCCCTTACTAAAGAAACTGAGGGATTCATAAAACTGTTAACCTGAGATCAAGCAGAACCAGAATTAATTACGTGGAACTGAATGAACTGGTAAGGATGATTATAATTTTTATGATTTTTGTTTGAATCATTAATGGATCTTTAATGTTTTGTTTGCCAGATTTATGGAACTCCCTTCCCTTTTCTCTTAAACTGTGTCTTAACAATTTGATAAATTACACCTTTGTCAGAAAACATGAACATTTATTTTTCTCCTTAACTTATGTCTCCAGAATTTGGAAACTCTTATTGACTATTCTAATTTTCATGGCAATATATTTATTTGCTAAGTTCAATAAGAATTTATTCTCCCATAATGTAACAGGACTTAATTAGAAACATTGTTTATATTACTAAGATTTTGATGGGACTGTCTGCTTCTAAGAAACTAGGATTGACTTTATGGAGCCAATACTTACAACGCAATCTTGAATGACCTAGTTCCTGGCTTATAGGAGTCTTAGCCTTACAGATGAGTAAAGAACTGGTAGGCCCAACAATTTTAAAATATAATAAGAACCTTGAGAAGAGAGGTTCATCTTTACATCATTACATGTTCCAGGTACAGTCTGGGATCCAATTGCTGCCTTGGTTTCTTAGTCTTGAGAGGCTTTTAAAAGTCTAAGTCTAACCTATTATTCCTCATGAAAACTTCCAGCAAAGCAAAATAAAAAGATGAGAGAAAGGGAAAAAAAAGCCAGTAATTAATGTTTCCAGTATATTCATCCTCCTTACTAGGTGTCATTGAGATAATAAAACCTGATGGTACTATCTAAAAAGTTCCTGCAAATCTACAACGCTTGATTAAATGTGACCTTGGATATTGATTTAACCAAAATGACAATAAAAGATTCTAAAGGCAAACACAGACACTTCCATACTTTGCTGTGAGAAGTAACCATGATTATGATACCATAACCAGAGATTAATTCAAAGTGCAAATGAAGAAATGAATTGAATTGCAACTGCTATCCTCATTGCACATCTAAAGCTATTTCAAGCTCAAGTCTAGAAATCTTGACTGGCTGCCCTTGGGAGTCAGAAACTGGTTAAATAGTTAACCAATTATTAATCTTTGTTTTTCTTTTGTTCCCATAGAAATGCATCTTATTAAATACCTGATTGCTCTTACCATATAGCAGCCGAACTTATGTTGGCAGCTATTCCCACTTACATCACTGCCTCTCAAAATGAGGCATAAATGTTTAACTAGACTGACATGGTTTACCTATGTCGTCATCCAAATCTCATCTTTAATTTTAGTTCCCATAATCTCCACATGTCATTGGTGGAACCCAGTGGGAGGTAACTGAATCACTGGGGCAGTTTTCACCACGCTATTTTTGTGATAGTGAATAAGTTCTCATGAGATCTGATGGTTTTATAAGGGGCTTCCCCCTTTGCTTGGCTCTCATTCTCCATCCTGGCACTTCATGAAGAAGAAAATGATTGCTTCCCCTACCTCCATGATTATAAGATTCCTCCACAGCCATGTGGAATGGTGAATAAATTAAACCACTTTTCTTTATAAATTAGCCAGTCTCAGGTATTTCTTCATAGCAGTGTGATAACAGATTTACACAGTAAATTGGTACTGGTTGTAATGGGGCACTGCAGTAAAGATACTTGAAAATGTGGAGGCAACTTTTGAACTAGGTTATGGGCAGAGGTTGGAAGAGTTTGGAGGGCTCAGAAGAAGACAGGAAGATGTGGGAAAGTTTGGAACTTACTAGAGACTTGTTGAATGGCTTTGACTAAAATGCTAATAGTGATATGGACAATGAAGTCCAGGCTGAGGTTGTCTCAGATGGAAATGAGGAACTTGTGGGGAACTGAAACAAAGGTGACTTTGTTATGCTTATCAAAGAGATTGGCTGCATTTTGCCCCTGCCCTAGAGATCTGTGGAACTTTGAACTTGAGAGAGATGATTCAGGGTATCTGGTGGAAGAAATTTTTAAGCAGCAAAGCATTTTAGAAGAAGCAGAGCATAAAAGTTTGGAAAATTTGCAGCCTGATGATGGGGTAGAAAAGAAAAACCCATTTTCTGGGGAGAAATTCAAGCCAGCTGCAGAAATTTGCATAAGTAACAAGGAGCTAAATGTTAATCACCAAGACAATGGGGAAAATGTCTCCACGGCATGTCAGAGACCTTCACTTTCACCAGCAGTCCCTCTCATAACAGGTGCAGAGGCCTAGGAGGGAAAAATGGTTTCATGGGCGGGGCTCAGGGCTCCCCTGCTCTGTGCAGCCTCAGGACATGGTGCCCTATATCTCAGCTGCTTCAGCTCTAGCTGGGGCTAAAAGAAACCAACGTACAATTTGGGCCTTTACTTTAGAGGGTGGAATCTTGGCAGCTTCCATGTGGTGTTGAGCTGATGGGTGCACAGAAACCAAGAATTGAGGTTTGGGAACCTTTGCCTAGATTTCAGAGGATGTATGGAAATGGCTGGAGGTCCAGGCAGAAGTCTGCTGCAGAGGTGGAGCCCTAATGGAGAACCTCTACTAGGACCCACACAGAGTCCTCAATGGGGTACTGCCTAGTGAGCTGTGGGAAGAGGGCTATCATATTCCAGACCCCAGAATGGTAGATCCATACATAGTTTGTATCATGGGCCTGGAAAGCCATAGATACTCAATATCAGCTGAGAAAGTAATCAGAAGGGGGGCTGTACCCTGCAAAGCCACAGGGGCAGAGCTGCCCAAGGCCATGGGAGCTCACCTGTTGCATCAGTGTGACCTGGATGTGAAACAAGGAGTCAAATGAGATCATTTCAAATTTCTCCCATTTGGAATGGGTGTATTTCCTCAATGCCTGTACTCCCATTGTATCTATGAAGTAACTAACTTGCATTTGATTTTACAGGCTCATAGGCAGAAGGGACTTGCCTTATCTCAGATGAGACTTTGGACTTGGACTTTTGGGTTAATGCTGAATGAGCTAAGACTTTGGGGGACTGTTGGAAAGGCATGATTGTGTTTTGAAATGTGAGGACATGACATTTGGGAGGGGCCAGAGCAGAATGATATGTTTTGGCTGTGTCACCACCCAAATCTTATCTTGCATTGAAGTTCCCATAATCCCCACCTGTCATGGGAGGGACCCAGTAGGAGGTAATTGAATCATGGGTGTGGTTTCCTCCATGCTATTCTTGTGATACTGAAGAAGTTCTCATGAGATCTAATAGTATTATAAGGGGCTTATAAGGACTGTCTGAACTTCCCCTGAAAAGGATGCATATCAAGCAGGTCTTATGACTGTCATGTGAGAGCTGTCCTCCTATTCTAGAGGAAAGGAGCATTCTAGTTTCTTCAGATGGAGAGATGCTAAGAGGAATATGAATGAACAGGACCTATAAGCTTTCCCCAGTTCACCTTTCTTAGTTCAGACTCCATCTCCCATCACATTTTTCTACAACTCTTCATTCTTCATCAAATCTAGCATAAAATCCCTCAGGTTTAACCATTTATTTAGCTTGTCATTTCCTTATGAAGGTTTCTATGTCATGTAGAACTCATATTAAATAAATTTTTGATTTGTATGCTTTCCTCTTGTTGATCTTTTTTTTTTTTTTTTTTTTTGGAGACAGGGTCTCACTCTGTTATCCAGGCTTGAGTCTAGCGGCAGTATCACAGCTCACTGCAGCCTGAAACTCCTGGGCTCAAGAAATCTTCCTGCCTCAGCCTCCTGAGTAGCTGAGGCTACAGGTGAGTGGCACCACGCCCACTGATATGGTTTGGCTCTGTGTCCTCACCCAAATCTCATCTCAAATTATAATCCCCATATGCAGAGGGAGGGTCCTGGTGGGAGGTGATTGGATCTTGGGGGTGGTTTCCCCCATGTTGGTCTCGAAATAGTGAGTGAGTTCTCACGAGATCTAATGATTTTATAAGTGTTTGGCAGTTCCTCCTTTGTTCTCTCTCTCTTTCCTGCCACCGTGTGAATAATGTACTTGCTTCTCCTTTGTTTTTTGCCATGACTGTAAGTTTCCTGAGGCCTCCCAGTTTAATTGACTGTGAATCAATTAAACCTCTTTCCTTTATGAATTACCCAGTCTCAGGTATTTCTTTATAGCAGTGTGAAAACAGACTAGTATATCCGCCTGTTTTTCTTTTAATTTTTGTGGAGACAATGTCTCTGTATGTTGCTTGGGTTGGTCTTGAACTCCTGGGTTCAAGCTATCCTCTCACCTTCACCTCTAACTTTTGTTACAGAGACCTTGCTGAGATCCCGAAAGTGTAGAAGTTAAAAGAACTTTCTGTTCCACTACTGGAGAATAAAACATAAACCTGTTGGCATCTTGGAATATAAAGCCCTTCAAATTCTGAGCCTGAGTTATTTTAGCTGTCTATGCTTACCTCTCTCTATGACTCAGATATCTTATTCTCTGCTTAGCAAATACATGGGCCATTGGCTACAACTACTTTATCCTCACTCACAGATGCCATGACTAATTGCTTATGGCAGTTTTTCCTACTGAGACCGGATATAGCCATATAATCTTTTATGACTTCAGACATCCATTACAGTTAGTCATGGGAGATGGGAATGTTGACAACTCAGATTTATAATTTGATCAAATTGAACTCTTTAATATGTTCTGTGCACTTGCTGCTCTTTCTTAACTCAAAGCCTTTACTTATGCAGTCCCTTCTACCTGAAAGACACTTCTCCCACTATCTCTCTATTGGACCAGATGCTAAAATCTGCCCCACTATGAGGCTTTATTCTCCATGTTAAACATAAGCTTTTCCTCTTTTCTACTTTGTCGGCATTTTTTGTTCTATTAATACATTCACACTTTGTTGCATTATCTTTGATATTGGGGTACACATTTCAAGGAGCAGTCACAGCTTGCTAATGATTTTATCATGCATGACACCTTGCTTGTAATGGATGATCATTAAACACTTGTCAAATTCAAATGTATTTGGGTTTTTGTGTAAAAATATAAAGAAAAAAGTTAATATATAGGTCCTTAAATTGAGCATGCCTGTCATCGGTATTTTAAACAAAGCTTATGTAATCTAGACTTCATAATCACTGTCTGAGTTTATAATTGCTGTTATATTCAACCATTCCATAGTTCTATTGTCAATATTTATATCTGAAGAAGTAGGATACTATTTATAAATACTCTTTTGAAAATTGTTTTAAACTTTCCATAGTTACCTTTGTTAAGAAAGGATATATTTGTTTTTAAGAAGCAATAGAGTCTAGCAAATCTTTAGATTTTAAGAAATAGCACAGTTTCACACAAACTACTTAAAACAATCTGAAAAGAAGAAGAAAGTGACACGTTTGGGAAAAAGATAAAGATGAAGATATTTCCAAAAATACACATGGAATTATAATTAGATTTTGGTGATGCTGAGGTGGTTGAATATATGAACATAGTAAATGTAAGTATTACCCCCAAATTATATGAATTAATATAGGCCAAAGCTTTTTTGAGAAATTCTGAAGTCCCACATATAATCTTTGGAAAGCATTTCTTAATTCCTTCTAGGCAGACAAAATTATGTGGTACTTTGTTCAATCATGTGTATAAAAATTACTGAGCTATAATTTAATCTTACTATTACTTATTTATGGGTCAATTTCCCAACTCTTGATGTCAGAAACTGTTTTTGTTGGGTTTTTATTTTTTTAAAAACATTCTGAGTACCTAACAGAGTGTTTAGCACCATAAAGGTGCTTGATAGGTGTTTGTTGAGTCAAAGAATGGAGACTCCCTAGATCTGGTTCAACCAAGTTTCATCTTTCTTTCCAGGTCAAATTCACATATCTAATCTGTGAAATCTCCCTTGCTTTATATTGCAGTATGTAACTCACTAAATTCTAATTATTTGCAAGTTTCATCTCCTTCCTACTCTAATCTCCATGGAGGTAAAAACTTGCTTATATATCTCCAGATTCTACCATCATAACTCATAATTAGTAAGTGTTTGAATAAATAAATGAGTAAAATAACAAATTAGTCTGATTTTACATACTGAGCACTCAAAAAGTCTCTTTTAACCTCAATAACCTTCTTATATTATCAATATCTGTCTTTTAAAGTTACCAATATCTATCTTTCTTTCTATCTTATCTGTCTCTATCATCTATCTATCTATCTATCTATCTATCTATCTATCTATCTATCTATCTATCATCTCTGTGTCTATGCATTCTTTTATCCATTCTCTCTCATTGCTTAAGAGTATGCAGGAGTATCTAAAGCATGAATTGTGCCTTGGGCAGCTCAGATTCTGGTAGGATTCTTGGGAGCCACTGCTGGCCTGAAGGCCATATGAGGATGCTAAGCACAGAAGAGAGGTCACTCAGTAGATTAGGCTGGAAGAACAACTTCCCACATCACTGAGCTCTCACATTTTATACAATTGAAAATAACTTACTAGCATATTGAAGCTGGCAGTTATGCAAATTTGTGAAAAGATTGCTAGTTGAATTACAAATGTGAGAACAATGCAAGTTAATGATGTATTTGGTGTTTATAATAATGTGAAATACAGAGGTCTAGCCACTTGCTCAGAGGTAAACAGTCAGCTAGAGTAATAAAGTAGAAGATTGCTCCTGAGGATTAATTTCCGCTTGTCCTTTTCTTTAATAATGAGATCACCTTATATCAAATACATGACATCCCTGTCTACATAATTCAAGAAAA
Organism: Homo sapiens; assembly: GCF_000001405.40. Lineage (NCBI taxonomy): Eukaryota > Metazoa > Chordata > Mammalia > Primates > Hominidae > Homo > Homo sapiens. The sequence continues at coordinate 90,213,421 of NC_000012.12, forward strand.
CTAGAAGAATTTTTTGGAGTGTGTCTTGTCATCCAGATTCATAGATAGTTAAACTGCAAAGGTACAAGTATAAATATCTTATTTCTTACCATAATAAAATAGGACTTATTTCCATGTACCCCACTTGGTTCTTATGAAGGGATCACAGTTTTTATTTGTTTGTTTTTTTGAGATGAAGTCTCACATTGTCTCCCGGGCTGGGGTGCAATGGGGCTATCTCAGCTCACTTCAGCCTCCACCTCCCGGGTTCAAGCGATTCTCCTGCCTCAGCCTCCTGAGTAGCTGGGACTACAGGCACGCACCACCATGCCAGGCTAATTTTTGTATTTTTAATAGAGATGGGGTTTCACTATGCTGGCCAGACTAGTCTCAAGGGATCACAGTTTTGACATAAAAGTTATTTTAAAGTGAAAACAGTTAAAATCTTATCTGCATTTCTCTTATCTTTGGATCATGGTGGCTGCATCCACTATTTGGACCTAAGCAGGTAGAGGAAAAGCTGCATCCAAACAGAAACTTTTGGAAATAGAGCTGTCATTAACTTCTCTGCTTCCCACCTCCTACCTCACCCCAGGAGTTTCCTGAGAATTCTAGGAAGAAGACTGATTGACCTTTCCCAGTGGCGTTAAAAAATTACTCTTCCATATTTTCTTATTGAAACATCCCCTTCCCCTACTCCTGCTTTTATCAAGTTGTAATTGTGAAGTTGGTATGTAAACCTTTACTTCTGAGTATCCAGTGGGTGAGTGAATACTCCTGAGTAACTTTTGTGTACATGTATAGCAAACCTTTTCTATGTTCCTGGTAATCTATCTGATATTAGCTAATTTTCAGATCCTTGATAATTTGAACCTAAGCAGGTAGAGGAAAAGTTGTCCTCCAACTTTTTTGATGATGAGAATGGGACAGTCAAAACTCCCTGTTCACTCTGGGGACTACAGGTGAGAACTTGGGACATCTGATTAAGCCAATAAGGGCAAATTTTCCTACCAGGCAGACTACTGGGTGTCTGCTTCAGGTCCAGTTGAGCGAGATTGGTATTAGCCTTTTTTTGTCTTTCCTTTCCAAAATTTAGATTGGCAGGAGAAAACACTTGTAGAGACTAGTTCTTTAGAGTATTGTTTCTCTTCTTTTGCATTTTCTTGTTATGGGTCCTTCCCTTTCAAGTGATAGTAACTGTGTCTGCCCATTTGTCTCTGTTTTTTCTTGTTGTGTGCCATAAGGAAGAGAATCATAGGCCAGAATACAGGCATATAAGGCTGTTGTTTGAGATGGCCTCACTGACTTGTGAGTTTGTGAGATACCTATTAAATTGGATGATGTTGTCCTTCTATATCAATTTTGTGTCCAGAAAGAGCTTAATTTGGATACAAAGAGAGCATTCTCTCAGGTTCTATGCCCTCCAGCAGCACATATTGTCAGTTCTGCACGCATAGGTGGCCCACCATCAGGTTAGGGTCCAAGAGTTACAGTCAGCCAGGTAGAAATGTGGGTAGTCTGGGTACCCCATTTGCAACTGGCATCCTATTGAACATTGGCCAGCTTTCGGGGGTTTCATCTAAGTCTACATCAAAAAGGGTCTCAACTCATAAGCACCCTTCCTTCTTTCCCTTTCTTTTTCTCACTGTCTATTAAAACATGAGTCCTTGCTTTATTTCTGCTCAGCTATTTTTGGGGAGTGACTTTAGATCATGGTGGCTGCATCCACTATTTGGAACTAAGCGGGTAGAGGAAAAGCTGTATCCAACTTTACCTGCTTAGGTGCAAATAATCAAGGATCTGAAAATTAGCTAACATCAGACAAATTACCAGGAACATAGAAAAGCTTTACTTATACATGAGATCATTATATTCCGCACCTTCTCTGGGGACACCTCTTCTGTGCATGGATAAGCCATAAAAAGGCTTATTGATTTGAGTCACATTTGGAATGAGTATACTTTCTGAAGCTGGGTTAGAATCCAGGCTGCTTTGTTTGGGAGAAGGTACCTCTTACATTAAAATTTTTCTTCTTGACTTTTTGTTTTCAGCCTTCTTTGTTCTCCGTACCCTACCCTGCTCTCTCATGGGAACTTCTCAGTAAAGTGAAACCTGCCAACAGCCTTCATAAAACCCCTATGACTATGTGCTCCACCATTACAGTGCTGCCACTGTCTGCTTCCTTTCTTTTCGGCATGACTTTTCCAAGGATCATTTAAAAGTTCAATGGCTTCTTTGAGAAAACTTATTCCTCTAAGACCTTTCTTTTCTTTCTCCAGTCTCTCAACTCCCTAGAGTCATTGGTACTTTAGGGCACTGGGGTCTTTCAAGAGACCCCAGAAGAAAAGATCTGGTGCTAAAGAGGATAAATAAAATAGACTGGATATTATCCACTCAGATGGACTTTGGAGGCATGCAGGTGACCGCTTACTGCATCCTTAGCCCCTTCACCTTAAATTTATTAAGTTGTTCACAGTCTCCATAATATTACATATGAAAATTTAAAAATCTCCTTTACAAATATTCATAAAAAAGCTTTAGCCCTTATATTGAGCAAGTAACAACTTGTTCCATTTGTCAGAAATGTAATTTGGATAAAAATACACAGTGAAGCAAAGACGAAAACCAACCCAAATACATACTAGTGAGTTTTATATTAGTATACTTACGCTTGATGCATAGCTAAGTTTTTGGAATGAAAGCCATAAAGATCTCTACTTGCAACTGTCTCTCTGTCTGTACGTATGTTAAGTGTATGTGTACTTTCCAACCTCTGAGTGTCATGACCAAATTAGTAAAAGAGCTCTATTCTGATTGGCTTGGAGAAAAATAAGTGCTTTAATAAATCGACTATTCCTAAAATTGTCAGAAATGTTGGAACATTATAGTTGACACATAAAATCAACTATAATAAGTCCACCCCTTGTCAACTTGGCATCCATCTACATTTCCTTAAAGCATACTTATTTTCCAAATAAAGAAAATAACAAAGTCATAATTTTACCTAACATGATACAGCTGTCCTGCTTACAACCAAAAATGCACTAATTCCTTTCCAAGAAGAGGAGATAAAATTCTTGAGTGTGTTTACTCTTCTACTTGCTATCCAACAACTTAAAAACTACAATACATAATTAATAATACTTAAACATGATGATGTAAAGTTACATCTTTTGTTACATGGTAAGAAAATACAAGAGAGAAGAAAATGAAACCACCTTTGCAAAATTATAACAGTAAGATAAATCTGGCTTGCTTCTAACCCCCAAGCTCCAAGCTCCTCTAAGTCTACCTTGCTTTTAACCTACAAGCTGTCCTTACTCAATCCTGGGCATGGGCCAAGCTAACTTTTGGAGGAATTTAGTTTATAGTTTAACTTTAAAGCAAGAATGATAATAGCCCTTCCAAAAACTAAACCACCTTTGAAAAATGAATGAGAGACCACGAGGTTAGATTATAAGAGAGGACTGTATTCTGTTAAGACATAGGCATAATTTCTGTAATGTTTTACTGCTCAGGTCTCATGTGGCCAGAGATGACAGAATTTGTGACTTCCTCAATTTCTCCTATAAATAACATCACTATTGTGGAACCTCAATGGTCTTTTGAGAATCTTTTCAAACTTCCTGGCAAGTGACTGACCCTGCCAAGACCTGTGACTCATGACTCAACTGGTCCTGTGGCCCCCACTCAGAGGAGAACTCAGCACACAAGAATTGTTTTCCACACTCCTATGATTTCATCTTCAACCAATCAGCAGCACTCATTTCCTAGCCACCTGCCCACAAAATGCTTCATAAAAACCTTAACTTTCAAGCTTTCAGGAAGACCAATTTGAGTGATAACTCTAGTTCTCCCATGTGGCTGGCCTCTAATCAATTAAACTGTTTCTCTACTGCAATGCTGCAGTCTCAGTGAATTGATTTTTTTTTGTGCAGTGGGCAAGAAAAGCCCATTGGGCAATTAAAAAAATACTTAAAATATATACTATATATAATTACATATATCTGACATATGTGAATATATATAATATATATTTCTATTTTATTTATATATTTATATTTGTGTATATATAACATTTATGATATAAATGATGATTCATGAGGCCATTCTTTAAAATAATAATAATAACATTTATAATATGATGTTATAAATATGTAACAATTATATATTATACTTATATTTATAATATATATTTTATTATATATATATATTCTTTTTTGAGACGGAGTCTTGCTCTGTCGTCCAGGCTGGAGTGCAGTGGCACGATCTTGGCTCACTGCAAGCTCCATCTCCTGGGTTCACGCCATTCTCCTGCCTCAGCCTCCTGAGTAGCTGGGACTACAGGTGCCCGCCACCACGCCCAGTTAATTTTTTGTATTTTTAGTAGAGACGGGGTTTCACCGTGTTAGCCAGGATGATCTTGATCTCCTGACCTCGTGATCCGCCCGCCTCAGCCTCCCAAAGTGCTGGGATTACAGACGTGAGCCACTGCGCCCAGCCTATTATATATTAAATAATAATTTATATCTGGCACATATATAATTTTATATATAATATAATATATGTAATTTGATATATATATGCCTAAAAATAGTGTCCAAAATCTTTTTAGTAACTTCCAATCTTAAAGTTATGCTAAACTAAGCTAAACAATAAATATCTATAATACATCCAGATTATTTCTAAGTAAGAAAAAATACTGACATAGTTATAAATTTAAGTTTACATATTTTTTACTTTTTTTCTTCCGGAGACTAAGAATATTTGGATCCGTTGATAAGCATGGTCATTTGCAGATGGAAAAAAATTTACTATAAAGAAAAATATATCTTTAAAAGTTGTATGATGGTATATTCATAAAATTTGATTACTACAAAGTGCTGCTATGTGACAAGCAATTGATAATTGTTTATTTCCTAGTTTTCCCTGTAAAATAAATGTTATTAATGGTTAATCATTATAGTCTATGTATGTAAATAAAACTACCAGAAACAATAAGAATGAAGGGAAACTTTTATATGTAAGGTATGCAAGGAATATAGAATGTGCTTTGTTAAGAGAAAAAGAGTAACTTGATTGTATAATAAAATGACTGGTTTTGTGTGGAGAGAGAGAGAGGAAAAAATGTAGGAAAAAACCTGAATGGCTCTAGAAAGCTGTAAAAGGTTTGTGGAGAAGAGAGCTCCTGATCACCATGAGCTCCTCAGGTTAGTTCATCTACAGACAATTGGGTTGCCTCCAAAAATTGGGCAAGAAAGAATCAAGAGAGTGCCTGGGTTCCACATGTGCCTCACCTTGTCTGCACTGTGGGACAGCAGCCTACTTTCTCCTGATTATCGGAGTCGATTTCCCCTCATCAGGAAAGCTTACCCTTTTAATCCTCATTTCTGGAAGCAAGAAATCCAAAATACCTGGGCAAGAGACATAGCTGAAAGTTAAATGTGGGAATCTTCCGTTTCCCTGGTGAAATCTGTCTTGCTTTAGGAACCAGAACTTTTAAACCTGCAAAGCCCAGAACTGTGGGGATGGGGAGCACAAATTTCTCCTGAGTGGGTCACCGAGAATGACGGTGCATGAGGCCATTCTTTAAAAATAATAATAATAATAAATATTATTGTGTATACTCTAGATATGTAACATGATATTATGGGATACATCTAGACAATAAAATGATTAGTGAAGAAAATTAACATATCCATTATCTAACAGTTACTCATTTTTTTTGTTTCTGTGGCAAGAGCAGCTAAAATCTAGTCATTTAGCAGAAATCCCAGATACAGTACATTTTTATTACCTAGAATCTTTACATTAGATCTCTAGACTTAGTTCATCCTATGTATCTGCTATTTTGTATGCTTTGACCTACATCTCCTTATTATTTCCCCTCCACCACCTCGCCCCTAGATACTTCTCTGAGATGCTATCTCAGCTGTGCCCTCAACAGCCATTTGATCACTTCGGCCATTTCTGGAAGATGCAGTATTTGATCACACCAGTAACATAATTCAAACTCAATAGGATATATGAGTAAACAAAAGAAAAGGAAGTATGCCCTGTCTTTACACATCTTACATTCTATGGTGGAAGATAACATCTTTTAACCAGAAACCTGTAAACAATCTAAACTTGAATCTTTCTAACAACACAGCATTACAAATAAAAACAAAACAAAAAACAGTAAGAGAAGTACAAAGAGAAACAGACAAATTTACTATCATAGATCACAGTGGGAGATGTTAATATCCACTACTATCTGAGTAATGGATGGACCTAATAACAGCAGCAGCAACAACAAAACAGTAAAAGTATAGAATATTTCAACAACATAAATAATAGCCTGATATGTAGCCATTATAAAGAACATCACTGTAAACAACTATGGAATATATCATCTTTTCTTGCTAACCCAGAACATTTCTTTATTATTATTATTATTATTATTATTATACTTTAAGTTTTAGCGTACATGTGCACAACGTGCAGGTTTGTTACATATGTATACATGTGCCATGTTGGTGTGCTGCACCCATTAACTCATCATTTAGCATTAGGTATATCTCCTAATGCTGTCCCTACCCCCTCACCCACCCCACAACAGGCCCCAGTGTGTGATGTTCCCCTTCCTGTGTCCATGTGTTCTCACTGTTCAATTCCCACCTATGACTGAGAACATGCGGTGTTTGGTTTTTTGTCCTTGCGATAGTTTGCTGAGAATGATGGTTCCAGCTTCATCCATGTCCCTACAAAGGACATGAACTCATCATTTTTTATCACTGCATCGTATTCCATGGTGTATATGTGCCACATTTTCTTAATCCAGTCTATCATTATTGGACTTTTGGGTTGGTTCCAAGTCTTTGCTATTGTGAATAGTGCCGCAATAAACATATTTGTGCATGTGTCTTTATAGCAGCATGATTTACGATCCTTTGGGTAAATAAATCCCCAGTAATGGGATGGCTGGGCCAAATGGTATTTCTAGTTCTAGATCCCTGAGGAATCGCCACACTGACTTCCACAATCGTTGAACTAGTTTACAGTCCCACCAACAGTGTAAAAGTGTTCCTATTTCTCCACATCCTCTCCAGCACCTGTTGTTTCCTGACTTTTTAATGATTGCCATTGTAACTGGGATGAGATGGTATCTCATTGTGGTTTTGATTTGCATTTCTCTGATGGCCAGTGATGATGAGCATTTTGTCATGTGTTTTTTGGCTGCATAAATGTCTTCTTTTGAGAAGTGTCTGTTCATATCCTTCGCACACTTTTTGATGGAGTTGTTTGTTTTTTTCTTGTAAATTTGTTTGAGTTCATTGTAGATTCTGGATATTAGCCCTTTGTCAAATGAGTAGGTTGCAAAAATTTTCTCCCATTCTGTAGGTTGCCTATTCACTCTGATGGTAGTTTCTTTTGCTGTGCAGAAGCTCTTTAGTTTAATTAGATCCCATTTGTCAATTTTGGCTTTTGTTGCCATTGCTTTTGGTGTTTTAGACATGAAGTCCTTGCCCTTGCCTATGTCCTCAATGGTATTGCCTAGATTTTCTTCTAGGGTTTTTATGGTTTTAGGTCTAACATGTAAGTCTTTAATCCATCTTGAATTGATTTTTGTATAAGGTGTAAGGAAGGGATCCAGTTTCAGCTTTCTACATATGGCTAGCCAGTTTTCCCAGCACCATTTATTAAATAGGGAATCCTTTCCCCATTGCTTGTTTTTGTAAGGTTTGTCAAAGATCAGATAGTTGTAGATATGCGGCATTATTTCTGAGGGCTCTGTTCTGTTCCATTGGTCTGTATCTCTGTTTGGTACCAGTACCATGCTGTTTTGGTTATGGCCTTGTAGTTTAGTTTGAATCAGGTAGCATGGTGCCTCCAGCTTTGTTCTTTTGGCTTAGGATTGACTTGGCAATGCGGGCTCTTTTTTGGTTCCATATGAACTTTAAAGTAGTTTTTTCCAATTCTGTGAAGAAAGTCATTGGTAGCTTGATGGGGATGGCATTGAATCTATAAATTACCTTGGGCAGTATGGCCATTTTCACGATATTGATTCTTCCTACCCATGAGAATGGAATGTTCTTCCATTTGTTTGTATCCTCTTTTGTTGAGCAGTGATTTGTAGTTCTCCTTGAAGAGATCCTTCACATCCCTTGTAAGTTGGATTCCTAGGTATTTTATTCTCTTTGAAGCAATTGTGAATGGGAGTTCACTCATGATTTGGCTCTCTGTTTGTCTGTTATTGATGTATAAGAATGCTTGTGATTTTTGTACATTGATTTTGTATCCTGAGACTTTGCTGAAGTTGCTTATCAGCTTAAGGTGATTTTGGGCTGAGACGATGGGGTTTTCTAGATATAAAATCATGTCATCTGCAAACAGGGACAATTTGACCTCTTCTTTTCCTAATTGAATACCCTTCATTTCCTTCCCTTGCCTGATTGCCCTGACCAGAACTTCCAACACTATGTTGAATAGGAGTGGTGAGAGAGGGCATCCCTGTCTTGTGCCAGTTTTCAAAGGGAATGCTTCCGGTTTTTGTCCATTCAGTATGATATTGGCTGTGGGTTTGTCATAGATAGCTCTTATTATTTTGAGATACGTCCCATCAATACCTAATTTTTTGAGAGTTTTTAGCATGAAGTGTTGTTCAGTTTTGTCAAAGTCCTTTTCTGCATCTATTGGGATAATCATGTGGTTTTTGTCTTTGGTTCTGTTTATATGCTGCATTACATTTATTGATTTTCATATGTTGAACAAGGCTTGCATCCCAGGGATGAAGCCCACTTGATCATGGTGGATAAGGTTTTTGATGTGTTGCTGTATTCGGTTTGCCAGTATTTTATTGAGGATTTTTGCATCAATGTTCATCAAGGATATTGGTCTAAAATTCTCTTTTTTTGTTGTGTCTCTTCCAGGCTTTGGTATCAGGATGATGCTGGCCTCATAAAATGAGTTAGGGAGGATTCCTTTTTTTATTGATTGGAATAGTTTCAGAAGGAATGGTACCAGCTCCTCCTTGTACCTCTGGTAGAATTCGGCTGTGAATGCATCTGGTCCTGGACTTTTTTTGGTTGGTAAGATATTAATTATTGCCTCAATTTCAGAGCCTGTTATTGGTCTATTCAGAGATTCAACTTCTTCCTGGTTTAGTCTTGGGAGGGTGTATGTGTCGAGGAATTTATCCATTTCTTCTAGATTTTCTAGTTTATTTGCATAGAGGTGTTTATAGTATTCTCTGATGGTAGTTTCTATTTCTGTGGGATTGGTGGTGATATCCCCTTTGTCATTTTTTATTGTATCTATTTGATTCTTCTCTCTTTCTTCTTTATTAGTCTTGATAGCAGTCTATCAATTTTGTTGATCTTTTCAAAAAACCAGCTCCTGGATTCATTGATTTTTTAAACTAACCCAGAAGATTTCTAAATATTTTCCACATACTGGCCCATAAAGCTTACCTTAACGAATGTCGAAAGATTGGAATCAAAGGAACTATTCTGTTTCTGCAAATGCAATTATCTCAGAAATCAACATCCAAAGACTGATTAGAAAAATCACATGTGTTTGGAAATTAGACATTCCTGAATAACTGAGGGACCCAAGGAAGAACACAATGAAAATGAGAAAATATACAGAACTGACTGATAATGGCAAGGAAATCACCACTTCCTAAATATACCTGCACTAGCATGTTCATTGCAACATTATTTACAGTAGCCAAGATACAGAAATAAGTGTCTGTCGACGAACAAATGGATATATATATATAATGAAATAGTATTCAGCTTTTTATATATAAACAGTGGAATGGTATATATATATATACACACACACTATATATCCTATAGTGTGTGTGTGTGTATATATATATATATACACACACTACATATCCTATAGTTCATATACATATACACTACATATGCTATAGTGTATATACATATACACCACATATGCTATAGTGCATATACATATACACCACATATGCTATAGTGCATATACATATACACCACATATGCTATAGTGCATATACATATACACCACATATGCTATAGTGCATATACATATACACCACATATGCTATGGTGCATATACATATACACTACATATCCTATGGTGCATATACATATACACTATATATCCTATATATACTATATATAGTGTGTGTGTGTATATATCCTATATATATACATATATACTATAGTATATATATCCTATATATATACATATATACTATAGTATATATATCCTATATATATACATATATACTATAGTGTATATAGGATATATATACTATAGTGTATATAGGATATATATACTATAGTGTATATAGGATATATATACTATAGTGTATATAGGATATATATACTATAGTGTATATAGGATATATATACTATAGGATATATAGGATATATATACTATAGGATATATAGTATATATGTATATAAACAATGGAATCATTTATATATATATACACGGTGGAATATACACATTATATATATATATTGTTTCTCTTTACTTTGTTGTTTTTGTTATATATATAAACAGTGGAATAGTATTCAGCCTTACAAAAGGAGATCTTGCCATGTCTGGACCTGGAGGACATTAAGTTAAATGAAACAGAAGTGTTGCATGATCTCACTTATATGTGGAATCTAAAAAAAAGTTAAATATATAGAGCTAGAAAATAAAACAGTAGTTATCAAGGGCAAAGGGTGGAGGGGAGATCATGAGGAGATATAGGTCAAAGCATACAAAATAGCAGATATGTATGATGAAGAAGTCTAGAGATCTACTGTGAGGATTATAAGTAATAAAATTATACTATATTTGGGATTTCTGCAAAATGACTAGATTTTAGCTGCTCCTGCCATAAAAACTAATGTAACTATGTTAGATGATGAATATGTTAATTTTCTTCATGACAGAAACCATTTTATTATCTAGGTGTATCGCATAATATCATGTTACATACCTGAATATACACAATAACATTTATTATTATTATTTTTCAAAGAACGGCCTCATGCACCATCATTCCCAGTGACTCACTCAGGAGAAATCTGTGCTTCCCATCCCCATAGTTCTGGGCTTTGCAGGTTTAAAAGTCGTGGTTCCCAAAGCCAGACAGATTTCACCAGGGGGAAATAACAAAATTCAAATTAACTTTCAGCTATGCCTCCTGCCCAGGCATTTTGGATTTCTTGTTTCAAGATATTAGAAGATAAAAAGAATAAACTTTCTCAATGAGGGCAATGGACTCTCATAATCAGGAGAAAGTAGACTGCTGTCCCACAGTGCAGGCAACAGATACTCCAGCACTCCCATGGGGTATCTTTTGATTCTTCCTTGCCCAATTTTTGGAAACAATACAGGTGTCTGTGGAGGAACCAACCTGAGAAGGGCATGGTCATCAGGACTTCAGATTCCTCAGAGATGAGGGTCTGGATCACACCACTAGGTAAGCCACCAAGACCAGCAGAAGTGTTAGCTGTGAGTGAGAGGAATCCCAAATCAATAATATAGGGAGAGATGAGTACCAGCTGCAGGGGTAAGGACTTCCTCTTGCAGGTTTTCCCAACAAATAGACCCATCAGAATTCTGGAGGAGTGTTCCAGAATTTTTATATATAAATGTAGACCCAAACAGTGCATAGATGGACTGACTGTAGGAGACACTATGCTGTGCCACCCAACTCCTACCTTCAGGATGAAGGATCTAGTTCCTTTGGTGCTGACAGTGCCTCTGAATGACAGTCCTCAATTTCAGCAGTTTCTAGGAATTGCCCTTGACTGTAGAGAGCTGTCTTCCTCTACATCATGCAGCTTTTCAATTCACATACCTCTTCTCTATAAATTTTACATAGGTCACATTTTATTTTTTCTTCTATTTCTTGCTTATCTTTTACTTGGCAGAGTTTACATCTGAGACTTCTAAAATAGAATATGTAATAATTCTAAAATAGAATATATAATAATAGAATATACTCTCTTTGCCCCTTCAACTTGTTTTAGGGTTTGTATTAGATTTTTTTTTTCACAACACAAATTTAGGGGATTGGTGTTTAGAGCTTACTATCCCGCCAATTATTTAGCTCCAGATGTTAGGATAGGGGCAGGGTCCTGAGCAACTATCATTTGGATGACTATTTTCATTCTATTTTTTTTTCCAAAATGATAAACCAAGTCAGAGTTTGAAAATGTAAAGTTCTTACCCAGTACCTTCACTTCTAGTCATCATGTTATCAAATTTGTGGATATTAGCCAGGTCCACTTTTTAGAATCTTGTCTATGTTTTTCCTTTCCCACTGTACACTACTTTCTCTGGAGGAAAAGTTCCATGTCAGTTTCCCACATCTTTCAGATGTATCTGGAATCCAGACATGTTTTTCAAAATGTTTGTTTGGAATCATGCTATCATGTGCTGGTGTCAGTGTTGATGTAACTTTTTCATTATTGTAATAGGACCAGTCATTGATAAACTAATGTTACTCTTTCAAGCAAATGAACCAAACTTGTTATTCAGAAAATAACTAATAATTGACTGGTTCTTGTGTTTCACTGATGGAATAGAAGAGCTGGGAGTGGAGTTAATCCCTAGTGTGAGCTACTTTTTTTTTCTAGCACTGTTAAATTATGTTCACAGAATTTGTTTAAATTAAGTCCTATTTACAGCATACATATTCCTCTGTTATCTATAGTAATGAAAAACAACATTTAATAAGCAAATAAGTGTGTTGTGTTAGAGTTCTCTGGAGAAATGGAACTAATAAGATATGTAGATAGATAGGTAGGTAGATAGATAGATGATAGATAGATAGATAGATAGATAGATAGATAGATAGATAGATAGACAGATAGACAGACAGATAGATGAGAGGGGATTTATTAGGGAAATTGGCTCATGCAGTTAGAGAAGCTGAGAAATCCCACAATAGGTCATCAGCAAGCTGGATGACTAAGGAGGCTGGTACATGGCTCAGTCCAAGTCTGAAGTCCTCACAACCAGGGAAGCAGAGAAGGCAATGGTATAACTTTTGGTCTGAGGCCAAAAACCTGACAATCCTTGGGAACTCCTAGTGCAAGTCCTGAAGTCCAAAGGCTGGAGAACCTGGAGTTCTGATGTCCAAGGACAGAAGAAGAAGGTGTTCCAGCTCCACCATATGGGGCAAATTCACCCTTCCTCTGCCTTTTTGTTCTATCTGAGCTGTTAGCCCATTAGATGGTATCCACCCACATTGGGAATAGATCTTCCTTACTCAGTCTACTGATTCAAATGTCAGTATCTTCTGGAAACATCCTTACAGATATACCCAGAAATAATGCTTTAATGGGTATCTACACATCCCTTGATCCAGTCACATTGACACCTAAAAATTAACCACTACAGCATATAATGTTATGTCAAGACCAATAAGTAAAGGCATATGGCTTTACATAAATTTGATTTATCTCTTCTAGTAGAGTTTAATTATTTCTGCATATTCTGACATCTGAGTTGAAAATTCTGCTATTTATATTGGTTTTTCTTACTTCTAAAGAAATCCTTGACAAATAGCATATTTCTGAAGCATGATCTAGTGGGATATGGCTACACATTATTTCCAGCATATTTAAATGAAAACCTCTTGACTTTCAAAATAAGATTATGGAGAGGCTACTTCTTAAAACATTTAGTAGGCTGAGTGAGTTTGCAGTGTTAAACACAGTATTGATGGATGGGGGGTTATTTGTAGAAATAATGGGATGTGGTTGTGCACAAGGGGAATAGTTAGAATCAATAAATTTCTGTTTTATTTAGAATATATAATCTTATTTACAACTGAAAAAAAAGTACATAGATTTGTATTCTATACTTTTACTTATGGCATTCAATACTCTAGTATCTTCATTTAATGAAATCCTACCCAGCCTTCAGGGGTAGGAGTTTTACCTAACACTCATTTTTATTGTGCATGCAAAAGAAATGTTAACTTAATTGATAAATAGAAATGTATTAGTTAAAATTAAGTTTAGCTGTGAGTGACTGAAAGCTCAAAATAACCATGTTTTAAACAAGACAAAAGTTGATTATCCCTCCTACAAAAGTCTAGGTACTTGATCAAGAGTCAATATAATATCTTCACAATTATCAGGAATTCTATCTTCTTGTCTATTTTTGCTCTGCTATCCTCAACATGAACCTCCATCTTGTGATCAAAGTTGGTTGCTCTAGCTTTATTCATCATGTCTTAATTATAACCAGCATAAAAGAAAAAGGAGAGATGAAAGAAAGGCCTATTTTCTTTAAGGATACTTTGCAGAAATTGGGTGTACCTTCCTTTATCTCTCACAGAGAGAATAAAAAAAAAACCTTATTGACCATTCCAGCAGCAAATAAATTTGAGAAAGTCACTCCTTATTTTAAATCTTTTCAGCCAAAGGCCAAGAAAGGAGAGAACAAATATTGGGGACAAATAGCATTCTGTGACATAACAAATCATCTTCACAATAACATATCTGTATTAGTTCTCTATTTCTGCTGTAACAAATTACTATAGTTTAGTGGCTTAAAACAAAGGAAACTTATTATCTGACGGTTCTGGAGGCCAGAAGTCCAAAATGGGTTTCACTGGGCAAAAATCAAGGCATTAGCCGGGCCATGTTTCCTCCAGAAGCTTTAGACGAGACTCCATTTCTTTGCCTTTTCTAGCTTCTAGGAGCCATCCATAATACTTAGCTCGTTGCTCCTTCGAGCCAGCAATCACATCACCTAATCTCAGCTTCTGTCATACAGCTCCATTTCTTCTTCTGCTTCCATCTTCACATCACTTTGTCTCTGTCTCTGATGCTCTGCCTCCCTCTTTTAAGAACCCTGGTAATCACATTAGACTCACGTGGATTATTTGGAATAACTTCCTTATCTTAAGATCCTTAATTTTAATTGCATCTGCAAAGTCTCTTTTGCCATTTAGAGTAACATATGCACTGATTGTGGCAATTAGAACGTGGACATCTTTGGAAAGCATTATTTTGTCTACTTGCCACCTATCAAAATTTAGAGAAAACATCAAATGACATTAGTATTGTAAGGTATTTTATAATTTAATGTTTTCACATATTTTCATATCTCATTTTTGAGAATAGTTGGGAGTTAGACAGGACATGCACAAGACTCCCATTTAAAAGAATCATATTGAGATTCAGAGAGGTTAAATGTTTTTGAGAGTCACATAGTTATTAGTGAAGATAGCATTGAATCTAATCCCCTCCTGATAGATCCTGCTGCACAAATCCCATCATCATCTTAAGATTTCTCATCCTGTGATTTATAAGCCATCTTTCCTTCCTAAATTTTCCTCAGAGCACTCCAGTTAAAATTTCCTTGAGGAAGCAATCACATTCTGTCTGGTGGGATAGCTTATTATTATTATTACTGAATTTCCTGAACAAAAAGAAAGAAGCACAACTTATCATCTTTGCCTTCCCCTAAACAAACTACCACATTACAGTGGACAGATTTATATGTCAACTGGGCTATAGTATAGGTTACAGCTTTTCAATTCAAACTAATGTATATACTTTTGTGAAGATATTTTATAGATGTGATTAAAATCCATATCAGTTTACTTTAACTGAGGGAGATTATCCTAGATAACATGAATAGCTCTGATTCAATTGGTGGAAAAACCTTAAGTAAAGAACTGAGGCTTTCCTGAAAAAGACGAAATTTGCAGATAGCAGTTTTGGCTGGCGATTCAGCCCGCTCTTTGGATTTCAGACTTGTCTTGCCAGCCCACACAATCATGTAAGTCATTTCCTTGTAATAAATCTCTTAATGTATATCTCCTACTAAATTTGTTTTTCTCTGTGAACCTGACTGATACATATAGATAACCTACATTTTCTAGGTCCCCTATTCATGTTTGTTGATTCAAAAAGATCTGAGAATTTTGGTACTACTTAGTCCTACATATTAAGACTAAATTGATCAAACAAACCCACATAACGATGAAATGACTATAACAACTTACTATTAGACTCCTTGACATGTTCATAAAGATCTTAAACTTACTTCTTTAATGAAAATTTACATTAAGATCATATTTATTTTGAATATGGGTCAGTGTTTTATCTTCGAAGACAACAATTTTACTTTGTACATGGCTATCGGCATTCCAGGAGTTGCTATAATCATTGCAGTATCTAAGTACTCGTCCATTCATTCGACAAATATGCATTTATTGTTTGTTTTAAAACTATAGAACTACAATAGTGAGAAGACAGGAAAAGATTATCCTCCCTCACTGCTTATGGCAGTAAGAATACAGAAATAAATAGGCAGATATTTTCCCCGTTCTTTCTAAAGTAGCCCAAGAGCCAAGATTTCTTGCTAAATACAACATTCTGCTTTCTTAGAATTCATAGTTGAACACTGAAAGGGCCTTTATGATGTTTTTATTGCCTTTTCCTGATGGGAGGGACTTAAAAGCTGTAAGATAAGTCATTTTCCTTGTTTCTACTTCCACTGTGGAAGAAATGCTCTGTTTTAGCCAAGAAAATACAGGATCAAAAGAAGATGGAAGACCTCTGCATACTAGGTCAGGAAATTCCTGGAATACCAGGCTGTTTCCAATAACAGCAGGTCATTGCTTGTATCAGCCTGTATTGCTGACACGCAGTCAGCACTGATGGCACCGTAAGTACTAAATGGCAAGCAATGCTCATAAATCTTGGTAGGATCGTGGGCCACAGGACTCATGTCTCAGATTTTCTTTTTGCCTTGGTTCTGATTGAAAGGAAAGGTTTTTTGAGCTTGGGACATCTATCTTTAAGAAGACAATCTCTTAATTCTGTACTTGCAGGCTGCCCAGTGGCTTACAGCAGCCATCATCCTTGCCATTGTCTTCCACATTCTATTCATTCCTCCACTTGTACCTGTGTTCAGTTATTAGCCATGCCATGGAAAATTAGCCACTTAATTAGCCATGCCATGGAAAAAATAATAGTCATGCAATGGAAAAATAATAGTTGGAGGCCAGCTTCATCCCTACAGCAGACATTGATTAAGTTATTGACTTTTATTTTAGAAAAGAGAAATTTAAATGACTTTTTGGTTACATTCATAGCAGCAGATCTAGTGTGATACCCAGTGTAGGTCAAAAGAAACAGCTTAGAATAGCCAAACCATCTTGCTGAACAATTTTTTCTCTTCCTATGAATAAAACCAGAAGATAAACTGATCTTCTTAATTCAAATATTAACCTTTCTCCTTTGCATCCAAGAAATATCTTTGCTTCTCCGTGATAGAAATTTTGGCTTACCTATCTGGATATCTATAGAAGAACACTCACAGAGGATTTTTCTATAGACTACTAACTGGTAATGATCTAGAAACAGCTTCTGTCAAGCCAACAAGACTGTGCCTGAGAGAGAAGCAGTGTTACAAAGATAATCATCAAAATGGCAACCATTTCCAGGCACAGACTAAGATACTACTTTGATCCCTTTAGAAATTTGCAGTCTGCAAGGAAGTGGGTTTTTTAACAAGAAAATGCAGATAAACCATGAAAAGTATACTAAATTCTTAACTTTTCAATTATAAAAGTAAATCACGTTTATAATAAATGAAATCTGAACTGCACATAAAGGTATGACGTCAAAAGGAAAAATGCTCTAGTCCCTCACTGCTTTCTCACTTCCCAGAAGTAACCACTGTTGAAGATTATTTGTGTATCTTTCCGCCAATTTTCTCTGCATACATAAGCATAATGTTTATATATTTTTTCCTCAAAGGTATTATATATGTAGAATTCTGTAAGTTACACTTTTCAATTAGCAATAGATTTTGAACATCTTTCCCTGCAAAATTTACAGCTCTCCTATTTTCTTCTCGAGGCTTGCATGATAGTCCATTGTCCCTCTTGAATGAATAATCACACTATCAATAGCGTTAGCAATAATTTTAATTTGTGTAATATTTTTATAGGAGATCTAGTGTGGGTTCGAGAAGGCAGAAAAATACACGAGGGGCAGAAACACAAGACAGCCTGTCATAAAATCTGTAACTAAGGTATATTTTGTACCTGGAAGACAGGCCTATTTTAACAAGGGAATTTGAAGGAAGCCTTAGAAATGAGGTATCATTTGAAACAGATCTTCAATGAGTAAGATGCTGCCATGAAGCAATGTGGGGAAACATTGTTCCAGTGATGAGGAAAAACATAGGGATGAATAATGAAGACAGACTTGATGTAACTGTTTTATAAGAGGTTGTTGAAGAAAGAGTGGGAATAGAGGGTGATTAGTGAGCAAAGTTGTACAAGATAAAGTTACAAATATGGATTTTAAAACATAAAATTAGAAATATAAGTTGAATTCAGATATTAGAAGATTTTAATTTGGGTTTAAGAGTTTGAAAGTTAAGCTTAGAGACTGGTGGTTTTCAGTGGAAAATGACTTTGCCTTTCAGGGGATAAGTGGTGATGTCTGAAAACATTTTGCATTGTAACTGTATGGTTGGTTGCTACTAGTACCTAGTGCATAGAGAACAGGGATGTTGCTAAACATCCTGCTAGGCACAGAAAAACTCCCTTCCCACAGCAGAGACTTACTGGGTCCAAAAATGTCGATACTGCCAAGATTGTGAAACCCAAATGACACCCCAAGTTATTAAACTTTGTACCCCATCAGTAAAGAAACAAACAAAAATATTAAGCACTCATCTGTGTGTGTGTGTGTGTGTGTGTGTGTGTCTGTGTGTAGTTGACCCTTGAGCACGCCGTTTGAACTGTGCAGGTACACTTATAAATGGATTTTTTTTCAAGTAAATGCAGATAGAAAATATAGTATGCATGGGATGGGAAACCTGTGTATACAGAGGGGTGCCTTTTCACACATGGAGACACAATGGTATATGTGCGTGCATATACATGTATTTATATATGTACCTATCATTATATAACATAAATGAAATATTGTAAATACTTTAATGCATATTTCATTTTATTTATTAGTCATAAGACTGATTTTTCTTTGTCCAGAATATTAATTTTTTTTTATAATTAAACTTTTACTATATCATTTAGACTGAGAACAATATGGGTGAATTTGCTTCATTGTTTATGAAAACTCAGTTTAATTCTATGTTATATGGCAACCCAAAATTCTGTTTCTCTGTTAAGTTTACTCTTTTCTTTTTTTTTTTTTTGAGACGGAGTCTTACTCTATCGCCCAGGCTGGAGTGCAGTGGCGCCATCTGGGCTCACTGCAAGCTCCGCCTCCCGGGTTCACGCCATTCTCCTGCCTCAGCCTCCCGAGTAGCTGGGACTACAGGCACCCGCCACCACGCCCGGCTAATTTTTTTGTATTTTTAGTAGAGACGGGGTTTCACGTGTTAGCCAGGATGGTCTCGATCTCCTGCCCTCGTGATCCGTCCGCCTCGGCCTCCCAAAGTGCTGGGATTACAGGCTTGAGCCACTGTGCCCGGCCTAATTTTGCTCTTGTTTAGTTTTATCCACTGTTGAAGATGAAAATAATGTCACAAAGTAACATAGATACAAATGAAACAAATGCACCATTTTCTAGGCTTAATCAATCATAATATTTACTTTTAAATCCTATCCATTCATCTTACAGAGATTTATGTTGAAATTTGAGTAGCAAATTTCCGTCTGTATTAATGTCAACCATTTATTCTCCCCAGTTCATCAGATGGTGTTGAGTTTTTATTCTATTAATAAGTGGCTTATAAACCTAGTAAAATCTTGGACTTGGAAGGTATTTTAACACATTTGAAAATCTCTTTTTCACCTTTTAAAGTTTGCAAATACGAGAGATTTTAACAATAAAATCACATATGGACAGATATAGTTCCAAATATCCATTTTACAAATGCCTTCTACATAGCATAAGTTCTTTTGAATAGGAGTTACTTTCTCACTCATTGCTAATTTATAATCTTTACCTCGAGGTTAGAGATTAAGTGTACTCATTCTTTCAACATCTGCTGAGCAACATATTTCTGAAAACCATTCATCACTGCAGAAAGGAGTAGCATATTTGCAATCTAGTCTTTTTTATAAAAGAAAACTGCATATTTCTTCATTAAATATTATGCTTATTTTAAATATTCTGCCATGAAATAGCTAGCAAACCTCTGTATTATATATGTAATTTGCATAGTCACCTTACTCTCATTATGAAGTGTTTTAAAAATCCTAATCAGTCATTTAAAAGAGAATGACTATATGCTGCATACACTCTTACACTTTGCCATACTAAAGTAAATGAAGGAGTAAGGGGGTCATGCGTATGGACTCTATCACATCATCTCTCAGGATACCAGCAGTGTCTCTGACCATGGGCAGTGTTGGGAATTGTGAGTAATGGAATTTAATATTTGAAATGCCAACTATTTCTAAATGTTTTAGGATAATCATAAACAGACATTTGAATAGTTTCTTGCCGAATCTCAGTAAATTGCTTTATGCACCCTCTTTGGGTACAATAGAAAACTGAAAGTCATCTAAGGCTTCTGAGGAGGAGAGTGGTAAGATTAGTTCGGTATTTTAGGGAGTCAACACAGGTTTGGTTTGTTAGTCACCAAATATTTCTCAAGACCAATGGGATGGATTTTAGGAAAGGCAGATTAAGGTTAGGAGGCATGTAAGATAACACCGTCTGGAGACATTGAGGAACAGAACCAAGACATGGTTTATTTTGAGAGGCCTTACGGATATTGAATCAATAATTATGTAACAATAGGAGTAAAATGAGAATGAGGCTAGAAAGAGGGCTAGAAAGAGAGACAGAGAGAGAACAGAACACCTTGGAGGAAAATAACACTGTCAATGAAAAAGGAAATGAAGGATAAGGACAAGGGTTTTGGTACATTGGGGGCAGAAAAAGATGGTGAACCTGTTAACTATTTTTTTTTTGCCCTTCCCTCCCTCCCTCCCTTCCTCCCTCCCTCCCTTCCCTCCTTCCCTCCTTCCTTCCTTCCTTCCTTCCTTCCTTCCTTCCTTCCTTCCTTCCTTCCTTCCTTCCTTCTTTCTTCCCTCTCTCTCTCCCTTTCTGTCTGTCCTTCTGACAGGATCTGGTTCTATCACCCAAACTGGAGAACAGTGGTGCAATGATAGCTCACCGCAGCCTCAACCTCCTGGACTCAGGCAATCCTCCTGATAGAGGCAGGAGACAGCCAAATGCCTAGGCAGATAGCAGAAGGTCCCCAGAGAACTTCCAACTCACTCAGCTGGTTGTGCACAGGGGACTTGCCTAAACATGCCCACGGTGAAAAATTCCATCCCTTAACACATGCACAGTAAAAGAAATAAGTCATTATGGAGTGGCTCAGACTGAGGGCCCACATGCTCACTGCAAGGACAGGGTGGAGCCACAAGGAATTCACACCTTATGCAGGGGAGAAGCCTGGCCTCTTCAGCTCCTGTGTGGTGGCCCTGGTATACAGTTGTGAGAGGAAAACCTACTTGAAGAACCCCTCTCTTTGCTGAGAGCCTTCCTTTCACTTAATAAATCCCACCCCACCCCCCAAATCACCCTTCAATGAGTCCACGTGCCTAATTTTTCCTGATTGTGAGATAGGAAACTGGATTTAGCTGAACTAAGGAGCAAAAAATACTACACCACTCCCATGTTAGCCTCCTGAGTAGCTAGGACTACAGGCTCGTGCGACCACACATACCTAATTTTTGTATTATTATTATTATTATTTGTAGGGACAAAGTCTTACTATGTTGGCCAGGCTTGTTTCAAATTCCTGGCCTCATGTAATTCTCCTGCTTTAGCCTCCCAAAGTGCTGGGATTATTGGCGTGAGCCACCATGTTTGGCCCCTGTCAACTCTTGACAATGTTATCACTAGTCGTCTTCATTCCTGCAATAGCAAAAAACTTTTCATTTTGATTTGGACTTAAAATTAGAATTGTTTCAGTATTCTTTCCTAGGTTAAAGAAAAAATCAGTACAGTAACAATGTCTACCAATAAATTCTAGTTGCTCTTCCTTAGTCATTATTGTGCAATGTTATAGGTGATGATATTAATTAATTTTGTGGAAAAGCTTCAAGAGTCTTTTGACAAAAGAAAACAAGTATTTTATTCTAATGATGATAGTAATTTGTGACATCTGTATCCTTCTTTGTAATTAAAGGAATAAACATTAACTCTAATTTCTAGCATCCCTCTTTTAATGGATGATTAGTATTGTAAATCTATCCCACACACAAAAAAACATACACTAGAGTTTCTTCATAGCTCAACGTCAATGATACTTTCTGGAAAATAATCACCCATCAGGGCTCCCTCCCCCAAGCATGCTGTAATATAGATTTTTAATAATGCTGTCTTGACCCAGTTTTGAGGCCCTGGCTAGAGGCCAGTCAGTTCATGTTCTTGAGCAGCTGATTGAGGCAACACTCCTAACCTTCTCTTTTACTGGGCTCTCATACTCTGAGTCACTATATACCCACCCTAATTGCCTCAGGACCATAATGGTTAGTTTTAGGTGTCAACTTGACTTGGATAAAGAATTCCCAGAGAGCTAGTAACACACTAAGTCTGGGTGTGTCTGTGAGTGTTTCTGGAAGAGATTGGCAATTGAATAAATGGAATGAGTAAGGAAGATCCACCCCCTCACCAGTGTGGATGGCCATCCTCTAATCCCTTGAAGGGCCAAATAGAAGAAAAAAGAGAGCAGAGGCTAATTTCATCTCTATTCTGGAGCTAGAGTGCTCATCTTCTTCTACCCTCTGACATGAGAATTCTAGATTCTCCAGCCCTTGGATTCTGGGACTTATACAAGCAGCAAACACCATTTCAGTTCTTAGACCTTCAGCCTTGAGTTGAGAATTATACCATCAACTTCCCTGGTTTTCACACTTTGGGTCTGGGACTGAATTACACCCCTGGCTTCTCTGGTTGTCCAAATTACAGATGGCAGATTCCAAGACTTCTCAGCCTCCATAGTTGTGTGAGACAATTTCCATAATAAAGCCCTTCTTATATATCTATACTTATATATACCCTATTGGTTCTGTTTCTTTGGGTAAGGCTGACTAATACACAAGGACAAACTCAATGTCCCAGAGCCCACTGAACATTTAAAAATAAGCCAATTTTGGCCGGGCATAGTGGCTCACGCCTGTAATCCCAGCACTCTGGCAGGCTGAGGCAGGTGGATCACGAGGTCAGGAGATCGAGACCATCCTGGCTAACACGGTGACACCCCATCTCTACTAAAAATACAAAAATAAATTAGCTGGGCATGGTGGCAGTCACCTGTAGTCCCACCTACTCGGGAGGCTGAGGCAGGAGAAAGCGTGAACCCGGGAGGCGGAGCTTGCGGTGAGCCAAGATAGCTCCACTGGACTCCAGCCTGGGCGGCAGAGTGAGACTCCATCTCAAAAAAAAAAAAAAAAAAAAAAAAATAAGCCGATGCTAATCTTGCTTGCCCTCCTTCCCCTTTTGTTCCTGCAGAAACCACAAAAAAATAAAAGGGACTTGCTTACGATTCCCTCCCACTTTCTGCCTGTTGACTAGCTCTGGCTTCAGCATCTCTCATCCAAGGTAATATGATTAAAACACAGCCTAGTCTAGTCTGTGTGGTCCTCCTCAACCTGAGCACCATAGGACACCTCTATCAAAGCACTTGTCATGTCGGCTTGCAATTTTCTGTTCAATTGTATTTTGTTCCACTAGACAGTGAACTCCAGAAAAAAAAGCTTTTCTTTGTCTCTCTAATTCTCATTTCTAGCATTATTCCTGGCATTCTGTTAAGTGCTCAATAAAGGTAATAGAAATCTTTGAAATCAAACCTTGGCCAAGTAAATAGACAATGCTTTAGGTATAAAAGAGTAGCACAAAGCTATTCTCTGATTCTTATGCTATATAGTTCCCCTATTGATAACATTGAACATTATTTTGGGCAAAAAACAAAAGAAAATACCAATCATATTTCTCTTTAAGTCCATAATTTTAAAGTATATAATCCTTAAAGTACTATCTTTGATATGTTTTGGCTGTGTCCCCACCCAAATCTCATCTTGAATTGTAGCTGTCATAATTCCCATGTATTGCAGGAGAGGGACAATTGAATAACGGGGGCAGTTTCCCCCATACTGTTCTCATGGTAGTGAATAAGTCTCACGAGATCTGATGGTTTTATAAGGGGTTTCCCCTTTCACTTGGCTCTCATTCTCTCTTGCCTGCTGCCATGTAAGCTGTGCTTTTTGCCTTCTACCATGATTGTGAGGCTTCCCCAGCCATGTGGAACTGTGAGTCCATTAAAACTTTTTTCTTTATAAATTACCCAGTCTTGGGTATGTCTTTATCAGCAGCATGAAAACAGACTAATAGAAACTTCCTCATTAGCATCAAAATTTGCTTAGAATTATGGCATTTAGAAAATGAAGCAAATTATCCCACCCCTTATTAGTCATTACCTTTCATTGTAATGGATAGGGGATGGATGGTATAGAGCTTTTCCCCTGAAACCCCTCTCACTGGTGAGCGATTCATTCTCTCAGCAGCCTAGAGTGTTGATTATTGACAGGTAGTTCCCAGCTGAGACCCCTTTTGGAACTGACCTTAGCCAAAAGGAACCATCTCTCATAAGGGGATGTCCACTTTTGGGGACAGCCTGCTTCCAGTGACTGTTTAGTGTGGAAACATCTCTTTCTCACCACTCAGTGAGATTGACTGAAGTCTCTGTGGCAACTCCTCACGGTTCAACTTCTTACTCTGCCTAATCCTGCTTCCCTCACTCCTTGGCAGGTATTGTTCCTGACTCCCCCCGCCATGAACTCCTGCATGCACATGTCTGTCTCAGAGTCTTGATATGTTTCCCAGGAAAACCAACTTAAGGCATTCATTTATGAAATACAGAGATGCACAGTTAATTTTAAATGTGAAATTAACATTGAAATAAACTGCTTGCCCCAATGTATTGATTGACTTCACACTTTTGTGGAAAACTAGATTTTGTAATTTGTATTGACAAAGAATAGACAAATCAGGTATTATAAGGAGATTGATTTTTTTTATTTCCCTTTTTCTCACATTACCCCAATTTTGTTGGCATTTCATAAAAGTTATTTAGAATAATTAATATTATTATTAGAATTATTAGAATTATTAGAATTATAGAATTATTAATATTAGAATAATTTTCAAGAGAAAATTTTTTATATTAGTTACTTTATGCAGCATAAGAAACTTTAAAAAATGTGCCATATTTTCTTTTGAAAAAATTCCAAACATTTTTTAATTTATAGAAAACATTCCAAATAATTGAAAATGTATTTTTTTCTCTTTTGAAACAGGCAGAAAAACAAATATCTAATGATGCTTATAAAACGTTTGCAATCTAAGAGTACTGAATGAAAAAAACATTCCCAGAAATATTTTTAGCTCTTAATGAGAGCCCCATATTACTAAATAGTGATTGTAATAGTATTATCTAATGTTGTTCCAGTTTCCCTGTGACTATTTTAATCATGCTTAAGTATACATCATTTCCTAAGGAAATCACATACATACACGGTTTCTTTTTCATCTGTTTCAACTCAACTCATCCTTACTTCTAAAGTTTGCAATGTCAGTGTGATCAGCAACAACAAAAATTGGAGAATTATTTTGAGTAAACTGAAACTCCATTAACATCAAATGGACTTTTACCCCCCCATCTATCTCTGTTCTTATTTAATATGCCCACAAAATTATTGAAAAATGATCAAGAAAAGACAGTGGTAGGAGGTGGAAGAAGTCTCCCCCTCCTTTTTTTTCTAATAATAGGTAATTAGGGAAAGGATATTCTAGAGTATCTGAGATAAACTAAGCAGGTGGAAAGGAAAGAAGATAAGTAAAATGGCATCACCTTATTTTGAGAACTGAAATAGTTCAAATTTACTATTTCTTGCCAGACACATTTTTGTTTGCTTAAGGTAAAGCTAAGCTAGTGTTGTGTCATTTTTGTAGATGACAGAACAGTACAGGTATTAGGTCATCCTAGTTGGAAATCAGATCTCTTTATCTGATTAGAATACATTTTATAAAAAAAGAAGAATAGGCAAAATAACTTATAGGTGATATAATGTCACTCACCTGACTGCAATGTATTAAAGATAATTTTATTTCTGCTTTCTACCTCCTCTGTGCTTTAGGGCTTACAAAATAGATGACATTTTTGAACTTGCTTGTTTCAAGTCTAGTACAAGCAGCCAGCTTTCTGAATTTTGACCAAGAGGTAGAACAAAATGGTCACCATTATAATCAAAGTAGCTATCAGTCATTCTCCTTGAGCTTCATTCTTTGTTGTGTTGGGCCTCTTTAATAATGCCATCTATTCTTTCATGAATCCTGGCACAGGATGGACTGGTGTGTATTCATTCCCTGGTTCTCCTGAGATTTCAGCTAATTTTATTCTAGTGAGGATTTCAGTATATCCATGTAGCATAGTGGTTAACATTTATGGTCCCAGGATTGGATATGGGTTTAAAGGTCAACTCTCTCACTGCAATCTTGGCAAGTGTGTTAATCTATCTAAACTTGAATTTCTTCTTCTCCAACATTGGAATAATTATTGCATCACCCTTATAGTGCTATTGTGAGGAATAAATGAGGATCACGCATAGAGCACACTTGGCCCAGTGTCTGGCATCAGATTCTCAATCTACTTTGACCCCAGCTGGGGAAGACAGGTGTTTTTTAGCACTGGGCTCAGCAACCTCCTATTTGGTGTCTTGGCTGAGAGAATCAAGTATATAAAAAAGGAATAAAGAGAGAGGTCAAAATAGTACCTATATTAATTATAGAAATCAGGCTGGAAGGCATATGTAAAAGTCAAATAAACATTCTTTTATATATATATATATTTTATTATACTTTAAGTTCTAGGGTACATGTGCACAACATGCAGGTTTGTTACCTATGTATACATGTTCCATGTCAACAAGTGGGTGAACAAACACTTCTCAAAAGAAGACATTTATGCAGTCAACAGACACATGAAAAAATGCTGATCATCACTGGCCATCAGAGAAATGCAAATCAAAACCACAATGAGATACCATCTCACAACAGTTAGAATGGTGATCATTAAAAAGTCAGGAAACAACAGGCGCTGGAGAGGATGTGGAGAAATAGGAACACTTTTACACTGTTGGTGGGACTGTAAACTAGTTCAACCATTGTGGAAGACTGCATGGCGATTCCTCAGGGATCCAGAACTAGAAATACCATTTGACCCAGCCATCGCATTACTGAGGACATACCCAAAGGATTATAAATCATGCTGCTATAAAGACAATGCACACATATGTTTACTGCAGCACTATTCACAATAGCAAAGACTTGGAACCAACTCAAATGTCCATCAATGATAGACTGAATTAAGAAAATGTGGCACATATACACCATGGAATACTATGCAGCCATAAAAAAGGATGAGTTCATGTCCTTTGTAGGGACATGGACGAAGCTGGCAACCATCATTCTCAGCAAACTATCACAAGGACAAAAACCAAGCACTGCATGTTCTCACTCATAGGTGAGAATTGAACAACGAGAACACTTGGACACCGGAAGGGCAACATCACACACCAGGGCCTGTTGTGGGGTGGGGGGAGAGGGGAGGGATAGTATTAGGAGATATACCTAATGTAAATGACAAGTTAATGGGTGCAGCACACCAACAAAGTCAAATAAACATTCTAAGGAAACTCCAGAATGAGGCAGATTTATCTATACGGCCTCAGGCTATCCTAGTGGTCTCAGCAGAGTGGTCACTTGCTGTCTACCTGGAGCTCAGACCTCAGAGAAAGAGGGTGGATCTGGGTGTCTCAATGATTCTTTCCAAGTCAGCAATCTCAGAAGTGACTCTCCCTTCCCAGGCATTACATTCATCAGCTCCCTTCACAGAAAGGAAGCATCAGACTTTGGAGGAAGCAACATGGATGAAGCGCTCAATAGATAACTTCTATTATTATGAACTGATGGTGATGTATTTCTCTCTTTACGTGGCCTAAAACATTAACCATCTATGGGAATTACTTGCCCTCCCATCTTTGTTTTTTCTAAAGTGAATATAATTATGTTTAACAGAAGTCAAATGTAAATTTAAAATACACACACAAATATGCATGAGAGAAAAAAATGACTCAGAAAAATTAAACTGTAAAAAATAAATTTACCTTAATATACCCAAAGTACACATAATATAGGATTAAGAATTCCTGGCTGGGCATGGTGGCTCATGCCTGTAATCCCAGCACTTTGGGAGGCCGACGGGTGGATCACAAGGTCAGGAGATCGAGACCATCCTGGCTAACACGGTGAAACCCCATCTCTACTAAAAGTACAGAAAAATTAGCCAGGCATGGTGGCAGGCGCCTGTAGTCCCAGCTACTCAGGAGGCTGAGGCAGGAGAATGGTGTGAACCCGGGAGGCGAAGCTTGCAGTGAGCCGAGATCCTGCCACTGCACTCCAGCCTGGGTGACAGAGCTAGACTGCGTCTCAAAAAAAAGAAAAAAAAAAAAAAGAAGAAGAGTTCCTTATTCTATTATGGTTAAAATAATAAACTGTAGACATGAATAAAGGACAACACAGTTAAAAAGAATACATTTTACATTTTAAATCTCTGATGATGTATCTAGACAGATAAATTAGAACTTGATTTGAAACAAAGACGCTAATATGTGCTATATATTAATTTGAAAATGTAAATTTCATTCATAAATGTGATATTGCTTGATGCTGTAAATATCTCTATTTGATTATCAACATATAGTCTAGGAGATAAACTGTATGCTTATTAGTTTGTGACATTCATGGATATTTTCTTCACTCCTCTCTATGCCCTATATACCATGTTAATACCTTTCTCTTCCTTATTGTCACTATTCATAGATAAGGAGTACATGCTAATGGGAATAGTATTTTAAAGTATTCTAAAATTTTGTTTCTATAACGGAGGAAGTAGCCTCTGGGAGACAAAAACACATGCAAAGCAGAAAAAATTTACCAAATATCAGCTGATGAAAACGTAACGATTTTCTCAAACTAAAGTTTGTTCAAATTTAACTCATTAGAGACTCATGGAATTCAAGAACAGGATATATGAACAATTGATTTTGAGAATTATATGAAAAGAAACTATGAATTATTTCACCAAATTTTTAAAACTGTAGGTAAACAATATCTGTGATACTATATTCTATTAAGTTGTATACATGAGTCTCTCCCATAGATGAAGCCATCTCAAGGACGAGAGACTATCTTTCACTCTTGCATAGTGTCTGCCACATGGTAATTTCACAGATTTTTGTTGAATGCATATTTGCTGGAGATACTAGGTATTGGTTAAATGAATAACCTCAGGTTGAGAACATTTGTGTCAGTAGAGAGACATTTTTTTTCTGATTTATTAATGGTTATTTATCCATTAGACATTATTGATATATAATAATATATATGTTTGAAGACATGTCCTTCAAGCAGTCTTTTAAATACCATTAAAAAAAATCCTACCTAAGTCCTATAGTCCTATGCGTATGGTACATCAGCTTTGATACCTCAGAAAAGTACATTCATTTTTTTTCATTAATTTTCAAGATAGCCCTCTGGATTTCACTCAAATTCAGGTAATTTGAAGGAGGAGAGATTTGAAAAACCTATCAAATATAATGATGGAGTGCAGTAGTCCTCCCAGTAATGGGATTGGTTCAGTGGCTATTTTTGAAATGTGCCTACATTAATGTACAATGCTTGAGTTCTTCAAGTACTTAAAGATATTTGCTTTTTATGAACATTGTTGAAATTTTTGACACGTTTTATATCAGACGAGTACAAAGTTATTGACTAAAAGCCAGAAAGATGTGAGATTCTAATTATGATCCAAAGTCACTCTATATGCATTTAAATGGATGCCGTGACCCTTCCTCTATTGCTTACTACAGTTGTTTTCCCAAGTTCCCCCTGAAAAATAGTGCTGTCGGACCCAAGCTTTGCCAACTTCTCTTGCAAAATGGGAAAAGGCTTCAGTTGCAAATTGTGATTATTTCATGATGTGTTCACTAATGTTTTAGT
Organism: Homo sapiens; assembly: GCF_000001405.40. Taxonomy (NCBI): domain Eukaryota; kingdom Metazoa; phylum Chordata; class Mammalia; order Primates; family Hominidae; genus Homo; species Homo sapiens. The sequence continues at coordinate 90,243,468 of NC_000012.12, forward strand.
GTCATATGATGATGATTTCATGATGTTATAACAATATTTCCAGTTCCAACTTAAGTGTTTATTATCTGACACAAATCTCAGGACATACCGTAACACTAATGGCTTTTGCAATGACAACATGGTGTGCACAATAGTCCATATTGGAAGAGGTATTCGAAAATAGCTTTACATTTTTTCTGTTCTTAAATTTCTGACTTTCCCCTTCTCTTCTCTTTTCTTTGTTTTTATGTTGTGTTTGTTGGCCCAAGTTACAGTTATAAGCTTGAAAGGAAGCTTGCTTCCTGATGGGACCACGCCTAATTCATTTAAATGAGAGACCTACTGATACTATTTTTAAATACCCTTCAGATCCTCAGGAGAGAGTTCATAATTATATATTTTTTAATCACAGAAGCTATTTGACATAAGACACATTATCTTCATATGCCTTTCTTTTCATTCCCATATGGCCTGGAAAATTTGATACAGTATGAGAACTTTTAGCTAATATCAGCATGTATTCCTGATAGAATGCTGCTTTTTTCTATATGGAGCTTATAGCTTTTTAAGTTTTGAAACCAACTTCACTTGTGCAAATATTAAGTTATTAGAATTCAGGGAGAATTAGAAGGAAGTTTTAAATTACTCTAGAAACAAAAGAGGTTCTAGAAACAAATAAGCTCAAGTACCCTATTTCATATTTAATGCTATGGTTGAGTCATTAAACATATAGAGAGAAGAAAAAAACTGGAGAATTCTAAAATCAACAATTGTAAGGAAGTTTTGGTGACTTGTCCAAAAGGTTAATGATTTTCACAAGTAGAATATCTCTTAACATAAAAAGGTATAGATTTGAAGGGTAGTGAAATATCTCCTGGGTGAGAATTGCTCTGCAACGCATCCCGATTCTGGAGTTTCTCATGTTACTCAGCCCATGAGATTAAGGCCCTGGTGATTTCTAATAAAACATACATGAGACAGGAAAGGATACATATCAAGTAGTTATGAGTCATTTATACCATTTTCTTTTATTTATTTATCAGATTAGCTAGTCAGTCTGCACAGAAAGAGCAAAACAGGCAATTTTCCGTGAGGAGAGAAAGAATTCACAGCATAGTTGAGTAGTCAGTTCTTAAGCTCTTTCCATTATGCTCTTTCTATCCAACATATTGGTGGGTAATGTTCAAAACCAAACACACTCCTGTGTGCACAACCATGGTTATGTGCAGTTCCTTGTATTTTAGCAGTGACTCCACCTCTTCCTTGAAAATGTGGCACAATATAGCATTTCTGATCCAGTCTCAGGAATTAGATGACTTAGGCTCAAATCTCAGCTCTGCCATTAACTAGCTTTGAGTTCTTGGATAAATCACTAATCTGTGTAGGTTGTAGATTCCTTATGGATAACTAGGCATAGTACTTGCACCTCCCCCATTCATTTATGGAGAGAATTAAATGAGTTAATCCATGTAACACACATAACACAATTCAGTAAGCACTTCACCAGTAGTTGCTATTATTATTATCCTATTCCATGGAAGAATGAAAATTGGAATGTAGGTCAGAGAGATTAATATTATGTTCATGTCATATCAATATAATATGGTGTCAGCTAAAATGCAATTGCTTTGTAAGTAGTAAATGTGGTGCCAGAATTTAGCAGAAGTAAAGTCTAGTGTAAAATCACTTTCATTGCCCTAAGCATCACTGGGTTTTCTATCGGAATTTCTGAATGAGTATTTCTTGCTCCTAAAATTCTCTTGGTTTTAAAATTTTGCTTTTGGGCATAATGTGTTTATATTCATGACATTAAGTCTTTTGAAAAAGAAAAGATCAAGCAACAGGAAAATGTTCTCCTTTCCCCATCCTGCCCTGAAAAGTCAGTCTCTTTAATTCAAGGTACAGGGTTTGAAGAGGCAGGAGATCTGATTTTTTATATTTGCCCAGTTTGGTGAAATTCTATGAAAGAGTGATAGGAGATCTTTAGCCTATATGAATTCTAGTCCCTCAACCTGCACGTCTAAAACCATTTACTCCCAAATTTTCCAAAATAATAACAACATAAAAAAAGAAAGACTGTTCAAACACTGAATTATCTGTGAGACTCAGCCAAGTTTCACCAGCTGCACTGGCTTGGTTCCTACATCTGGGCTCCAAGGCGGGTAACAAAAAAATCTCCATGAACAGTATTTTAAGAATTTTGGCAGAACACAGGACAGGAGAATTAAAAAGAATTCTTTGCTGAAAACAGAATTGGTGAAAAACAATTCTGTTTGCTCACCACAGTTCACCAAGCAGTCTAATGGGCCAGCCCTTAGGATACAAAAAAGTATGTTCAGAGTTCTGTCCAAAGCAACCATGTACCCCTAGTAAAGGCCAGTGGGATCAGTGAGTGAGTCCCAGGAATACAAAGTGGCAGTGAATTTAAAAACTACAAAGTATAAAATTGATTTCTCTTATTACTATTTGTTTTAACCGAATGGGTGTCATTTTCCAACAGCCAGTGTGAAGTAAGATGTACATGTCTCTGTAGGGAAGTTTTGTCTTGTTTCATTCTTAATTTTCTTGTCCATTCCTTTAAATCATTAAGTATAGATGATTAGTTTTCTTTTGTGGTTCTCTATAGACTCTGATTTATTCCTATATTGCTGCATTAATTTGGTAGGAAAAGCCAAAGGAGGACCAATTTAGCAGAGCTACCATGTCTCATGTAGAAAAGACTCCCTTTAGAAAAAGCGTTATAGGACTCAAAATTAATTGGTGAAATTTAAATACTGAAGAGCGGAGAGATTGTAAAACAGTATGAGAAAGACTTCAATATAGTGATTGAATTTTTTAATTAGAAAGGACAGATAGGCATTATTATTCCCAAATAATTATTATTAAAGCATGATTTTAATAGGGTTTCATATCACTCCATTTCAAGAACAAATTTAACAGACTTTGACCTTGCCATCTAGAGGTTTATAATCTAAAATATATCAAATAACAGAAAATAGAAGCGAAGAAACACATTATGTCATTGCTGCATAGATTTAAGACATTTAGAAAACACAAAACAATAAAATTTAGATGTTGGGTGTAAGTCATCTGAGGAGATAATGATTTATGGTTAATTTTATGTAGCTGGAAAAGGCATGTGGGGGAATATGAGAGGGGAGAGGTCTTTCTGACTCAGAAGGACACATGTGTTAAAAGGCCTGTCAAAAGGTACAGTTACTTTCCAGTTGATAAGAGTGCTGGAGTCTTGTCTAGGATGAGCATGGAAACTATCAGAGAAAGATGTGATTGGTTGTGGAGAGATGGCTTTACTGAAGCCTCTATCTAGTCAGCCCAGTGGTGCAATGAGTAGGGAAACTTTAAAGTATCTTTTTTTTTTTTTTTTTTGCATAAGATGATTTATAAGTGTTATATAATTGGATTATGTAACTGTGGCAAAACAAGAAATCATAAATCTGGCATCCAGTCTTGATTCCAGGCAACATAGCTTAAGTAAAACTTGATCATGATAATAATGAAGTTGCTCAAGTATTAACCTTTTCCTCATTTACTGTTCCCCTGATTAAAGGGGAATGAAAAGCAGCAGCCTGCAGTTATGGGCTCCTGTTACCTGGTGCATTCCTTACTTTCTGAAGGGTGCTTATACTAGTAAACTTAAAGTGTACCATCAGAAAGAGGAAGAGAAGCAAGAAAAACTGTGACTTCTACACTACTGTGTTTCATTGATTGCCAAATACCTTTTCTGTTGTTTGTGGACTTTGGTAGCAAAATGAGATGAAAGAACTATTCTGAGATGCTATCCTTGATAGTCTTCAAACTTGGAATTGACCTTTGGGGTATGACCTATCTCAAAATATTAGTCTTGTGGTTAGGCCAGGAATCTGTTTTCTCAATAAAAAGTCATAGAGGCCATTCAAGTAGCTCTTCTAATCTCGTCTTTTCTATAAACATTTTTTTAGGACAGTCAGAAAGTAACTTTTGCTGTTTGAACCTATTTCTTTGCTGGCAGAATAAACGCACTGTTACCTATTCATTATTCATTAACATGTAACAAACCAACTTAAACTTACTGGCATTAAACAATATTTACAGTCATTGATAGTTCTAGGATTTGACTAGGTTCAGCCAGGTTGTTCTCCCTCACAATTCCCCACATGATTGTCATAAGATAGTAGCTGAGGCTTCCTCTCTCGCATGTCTGGAACATCGTCTGGGTACAATTGTGGTTCCTTGGTTATCTCTCTCTCTTTAGGTGCTCTCCATGTGGTCCCTCCATCATGGCAGCTATAGGATAGACATTTCACATCAGTGTTCAAAGTGTGAGTCCTGAGAAAGCACGACGAGAGAGAGAGAGAGAGAGAGAGAGAGAGAGACTGAGCCAGGCAGAAGCCATATTATCTTTTATGATCTAGTCTTGGAAGTCAAGCAGAGATACTGCCTCTGCAATTTACTAATATCAACCCACATTCAAAGGGAAGGGAATTGGACTCCACCTCTTGAGAGAAGAGTGTTAAAGAATTTGTGACCATTTGTTAAAACCTCTCCTGACTTCATCAATCTGCTCTCCTGCTTATTCTTCATGGAAGAATGCTAATTCTTTCTGTAATTCAGAACTAAACCACCATATTTCTTCACCTTTATTATAGACACTTTATTAAACATCTAATAGAGGGGGTAAACATTCTAGGAATGTATAAGACAGATGCACATGGTGCCATGTCTGCCTTTTAGAGGTGTGCCATCTGTGAAGGAAAACACAAGGCACTTGGGGGTAGGGTGTGAAATAAGTATTGATCAGGACCAATATTCAATGTTCAACAAGTATTTATTGAGGATCTGTTATGTGTCAGACACAGTGCTAAGCTCTAGGAATACAGTGATGAGTAAGATTGATGTTCTATATTCTGTGTATCCATGATCTAATCTGTAGGATGACCATAAGGAAGCAGTTTAATTAAGAGGTGTACATCACCCTCACTGAAAACACTTCCACAAACTCTCCAGCAAATACCTCTTGTCCAATCCAATGATATCCAGTGGTCATGTCTGTGCCCTATTCTTCGTCTACCACACAGCCATCAGTATTTGTCACAGTTAACCTTCTTGATGTATTTTGTTCAACTGATTTTTGGGACAACACTTGCCTGATTATCTTTTTACTTTATAACCACCACTTTCTTGTTCTCTACCGCTGCCTTTTTTTTCTCTTAACGTTGTGTCCTAGGGCTCAATTCTAGATCCTCCTCACTTTCCTTTGTAAACTCTCACCTTGTATGATCTTATCTCATTTCATGGCTTTTAACACTATCTATAGGCAAAGGATTCCCAAATTTATCTTTCTAACCCTGAATATCCCATAAGCACGTTAGTCGTTTATCCAACTGCCTACTAGACATACAAGCCTATTTACCTAACAGGTCAAGTTTAGCAGGTACAAAACAGAACTTTTGTTTTCCCAAACACTCAAGCCCACTCCCTTCTGGTGATATTCTACATTTGAAGTAATGATACTGCTAGCTATCCCTCATGCAAAATGTGTAGAGATCATTCTTGATAACTCTCTTCCCTCTTAATCAGCATGTAAAATCCATTAGCAAATTCTACTAGTATTTTAATCAAAATAAGTCATCATCACTACACTGTTTTATTATTATTCCCATAGCTACAACAACCATCTACTTAATATGCACAGTTCCTGGAACATAGTAGATGCTTAGTAAGACTGGTTGAGTAAATGAGTACATGCATGAAATAGTGGTGTAACATAAGGATAGTGATCATTCCTACCATATAAGGACACAGTATTGTGTAGTAGGGAACACCATAGGACAACAGTTCTAGCTAAAGCAGGATTAAGAAAGACATATAGTCTCCTTTGGTCAATACCTGAGACTTTGTGAGGTATATTGTATTTGGGGAGCTGTCTGAATCCCAAAAGGAAACTCTCTCAGTACAAACCTTCAATTTGAAATAGTAGTAAAGAGACATTCTATGAAATAGGTCTTTTCAAAAACTTATAGGAAGATGAGGGAAGTTGATGTTAACAGCTGAAGTTGGTTGTCTTCCCCCTCTTTGACAAATTCAAAATGACAGGAAGATGTAAATTCTTGCCCTACCCCTCCGTATTGTGAATTTCATTTCTTCTGTGAGGGTAAAACTTATTTGCCTTTCTTCTCGGGTTTTTTTGGGAATATCCTTTTTACTCACTTGTCAGAGAAAGTGCATTTTTTTAAAATCCAAAAAATAAGTATAGCTTTTTTGGTTTAAAATATTTCTTTTTAGAAAACTTCCCTGGAAGCATAGTATACTGATATCAAAAAAGCAAATATCTTGTTGTATCTTGTCAATTTCATAGGAAATAATAAAACTCCCCCAATTCTCAGAAGCATGTGACTTTGTGTCCAATATGCAAAATTTTATTTTGGAAGGAAATTGTGTATCCAGGTTATTTTTATTTTCTATGTTGTGCTATAATTAATTTTCAAGTTGCACTGTTAAGAACTTGTTTTTTTTCTCTGTTTATGTTACTTTTATTTATTTATTTGGTATGATGTGTTTAAGCTGCACTTATCTTCGTTCTGATGAACTGGTTAGAGCTTTTAAGAGCTCTTTACAAAGGTGTATTAAAACTAGCTCGAGAGCAAGGATTGCCTTAGTTAAAAAAGGTTTTTTAAAAATGTGTCTCCCCCGAGGAACCTACTCAAATTACTTTAAGAAATAAAAACGTTCGGGGCATGCCTGGCAACTATCTGATGGGAAACAGTTCATCTATGGGAGTGCCTGTTGGGAAGATTAGTCCTAGGGCAGATTGCTCAACCTTTCCTGTGCTGAATAGCTCCTTTGCTTTTTACCTGAAGGATCCAAATTAAAATTGGGGAGGGTTGATTGAGGTGAATACTGGTGGTTTAGAGGCGGCACACACACAAACACACAATGGCATGTTTGAAGCCTCCCGAGAAACAGCATTTTATCCCTGTTCCCCCTACTGTAGATGACATAACAAAAGCAATAATAACAGCATTAACAAAAACGACGATTTATTGAGTGTTTCCTCTCTGCCAGGTACTGAAAACCACTTTCTAAAGTAGTGACTGCTGTATACACTTTCCGCAACTAAAAACTTGAAGTTCAGACTGGGCATGCAATTTAACTAGAAGTAAACCACTAGTAAACAGAAGAGCTGGAGTTTTAATTCTGGTCTATTTGATTCCTAATCCCATAGACATAAATAAGGCCTCTCTTCCTTCCTCTCTCTCTTCCCCTCTTCATCCCTCTTTGTGTTGGCTCCATAGCCAACACCCTGCCCCAATGTTATTTTTTTTTTTCTTTTCGGAAGTCTGTAGGGGCATAGGGCAGGGTCATATTGCTGCTAATGGGTTTAAGTAAGCCATCTAAATACAGAATGTGCTAAGGACAGGCCTGGCTACCCAGTTATAGCCTCCTTTTAGCTTTGGCTAGAAAGAAATCCCCAGAGCAAGTGTTGAACGTGGTCACCCACGCTACTTCCTTTCTTGGCTGAAGGTCAGAGAGAGTGAATTCTGGACCCAGCACAAAGTCTTATTCAGGAAATCATAACTGCCACAACCCAAGCACTCAGAATCTCAGCTTTGAAACTGAGTTTGTGGTCATTGCCCAATTTTATTGGCTTTGATAGTGTGTGGTTCTGGCTTCCAAATAAACATACTCATTTTTTTTTTTGCTGTAATTTTTGACATGCTGCCTTTTGAAACAATAATAGTAACTCTATAAATAAGTAGCTTTTAAATGGAAATATTTCCCAATTTAATCCCCTCTACTAAATATTTAATGAATATGTAATAAATAAACATATCATTCATGGAATAAAATTCTACCATTATCTCTACATGATAATTTTTTTAAAGAGTGAGATTCTCTTCTGGAAAAATCTTTAACAGTAGTTTATTTAGAAACAATATGATTCTGTTAATTTTACTTTCCTTCCTGCAGTCTATTTTGTGGTTGCTTTTATTTCTGCAGTTTTAAAAAGAGATATAAAATTAATTTCTTAAAGAAATTTTGACTCTTGATTCTTCTTAAGCATCCAAAGTATAATCTATGCTATATTGAATGGTTGCAAAAATGAACATGACATAATGTAAATATATTTAATTAGAAAAATAACAAATTTTAAAAAGTAAAATTTAAAAATTGAAAGACCTAATGCTCAAGTTATTTGAAAACGATACATCTTGAGAATTACAACATTCAACTGTTCGCCTATTAACTTCAAGCACCATTAAATGCCTCTGTGCTTGTACATAATTGTGCTGTGAAGGACAAGAGGAATTAACACCCAAAACCAGCTCTACTTCTCTGTGAAACTTGGATGAAACACATGTTGTTTCTTCTCAGTTGGTCTCTTATTCCTAAAAATCATAATTTCCTTGCTTATTTACATGCATGTATTCCTTCTCCATTCCCTAATCCCTAAGAGTATGTCAAATCTCCGTTATTATTTTAGTCCTTAATACCATTACATTTTACAAATTATATGTTTACCTATAATTATGTACTTTTAGAGTCTGATTAATAATGATCTTCTCCACTGTGAGATCCACGTGGCAAGTAGTTTTATGCATTTTATTCATAATATATATCTATATCACTAAAGGCAAGATTGACATAGCATCTGCTCAACAAACTTGTTGAATAAATAAATAAGTCAGTGAAGGAGGGGAAGTTACTATAATCTGTTTAAGTTTTATTATATCCCACTAGACCATGAATATGGTGTATTTCAAAAATTGTTTCACCAAATATAGAACACTCACCATATTTCAGCCACTGTTTAAGGCAATAGAATTAAGCAATGAATACAATCCTATATAGTACCTATCCTCAAGAAGCTAGGAATGAGTGTGAGGTAGGGACACATATATTCAGAGAAACTAGAAATAAATACTATATAGACAGTGGTTGAAGCTATGAAGGGGAAATATAAGGTACCCTGTGAAAGAATATTGGGGGCCTACTTTAGATTGCAGAGTCAGGGTGCCTTTTCTTTGGCACATTTCACATAATTTGGTATTTTTGTCATATTTTTATGCATAGTTTTTATATCTTATTTATCTAACTAGATATAAACACAAGGCATTACACTGTATATCTCCTTGCTTTTTCAAAACTTTAAATTTAATGGTAAACATATAATCACTCATTATGAATTTAGGAATTGGCTGAGGACATATTCTCTTCAAATTACTAAAAATTTAAGGCATAAGCAGAGGCTAGAGAAATTTCTGCTCCCAGATATTGCCAGTAACAGAGGTTAGTCAATAATCCAGCTCAGGGAAGGTCATTTTAAAACTTGACTCTCTTGGGACCTAAGGATAGCTTCACTAGATTTATTTCAAGCCAGCACATTATAGTTTGTCTAAATGAACTGTGTTATTTCCTGTTATTGATACCCATAACTCTTAAAAGCAGTAACTTCTCTTGTAATTTAATTTAGATTGACTCTTGGAAATAGAAACTTTCAAAGAGCATTCTTTAAGAAAGCTGTATTTCCGTTAAGTGCTAACATAAAGAACTAAAAGTAATAATTTATTCTATTTTCTTTCCTGTATCGTCTTTCCATCTGAAATTCACTACTACACCAGTACTGACCGGGACCAATACTAGACTGAAAAATATGAGAACAGAATAAGAGGGGTTGATTGGAAGGTGAGATACTGAGTAGGGAGATCAGAGGCAGGTTTTTCTGTGCAGAAATGGAATTAGAGCTTTTTTGCACCACTCTTTTGAAGAAAAAAATATTTTTACCACTCCTTCAGTCATTTCCAAGATTTAGTTGCCACAGTCCTATCATCTTTTAGTAAACAGCAGCAAAATGTTTCATAGCTCTTTACTTCTCCTTTTTAGTCTGAATGCCTGGAAGCCAAGAAATTTGCATCTCGTTAGCTCGTCAACAAAGACTGAAGGCCACGCAGAGTTTGCACATTCTTCTTGAAATTAAATTTATTATACATTTTTCCTTGTAGAAAGGATTCAGTTGGATAGCAATTTTTAATATTAATTGCTTACAAATATAATAATGTAGGGGCTAGAAAATCCTTTATTCGTTGGTAACACGTAAATTGTTATCAATATATTATCTATTTACTTTCTCCGCTAGGAGGATTAGAGTGAAAATATTTATCTGGGTAATTTGAATGATGTAAGAAGGGGAAAAGTTTCCATCCTCAAGGTTGGGAATAGATGTCAACAATTCCAGATAGGCTTCCAAATCCAGATGACCTAGTTAATTTTATTTCAGGGCAATGAACAGATGGTGTGTGTTCTCAGTCTATCTGGCATTAACGTGCACTCTGTCACCATAAGACTTAACGGTGGCAGATGGCAGTTGCGTTAGCAAACATTCAGTTCTCTCTCTTTGATTCTTCCCTTAGGATTGAGGAAGGCCTGGCCGTGGCTCACAGCTGAGTCACACCTCTCCAGTAAAGCCTGAGGAGAGCATGTCAAACCACCGGAAGACCTCAGTCATGTGGGTTTTCCGGTTCACCCGTGGCAACAGGTACAGCTGGGGCCTGTTCAAAGGCTTGTGGTGGCTATTCTGGTCTCATTGCTAAATCCATCTGGGGTCCAGTGCCACCCCAAGGCCAAGTTAAGCATTTCTATGAGATGGGTGGAGTTTTCTCACCCTCTCGTGGAAAAGTGCCTGGATATATCAGAGCAGCCTTTCATGGCCTCTGTGGACTTTTCTGGATAGAAAAGCAGCCAGCCATATTTAGCAGAGTTTTTTTCCAGCAACATGAATCATTTAATTGTCTTGGTTGATCAATAGAGCATCAAGGCAACAATGTGAGAAAAAAAATGTTTTTCTTTTTAAAGAAGATTCTAGACTTTTCAGGAATCCAGACAAGAATATGTTACAGATGTACTCATGCACTTGCATCTCCATAAAGCGGTCCTTGGCATCCTAATTGCTGTGCACTTCAGATGAGACTAGTGCTTAATTAATGAACTAACTCTAAAATCAACATATAAGAGTCAGCTGGGACTGTGAAGATGCTGTCCTGGGAGATGTTGCAAGTTTCAGAGAATCTAAAAGATAATTTTCATCTTTTAGGAATTACAGAATAAGGGAAATAATGCAAGTGAAAAAATATGGATGGGGGATTTATTAAATCATTTGTCCCTGCTTTATGGGCATGTACTTTTCAATATGCAGGATTTTAAACTCTATACATTTTAAAATTCTCTTTCAATTTTGATGGTTCTTATTCTTGAACTAATCATAGATGTGCAAGGCCCAATAAAGAAAAATGTGATTGATAATTTAAATTGCACATGTTCCATAATGCAGATTTGCTAATCGCCAGAGCTGTGAAACATGCCAGAAAATATATTTTATAATTTATTTCTGGGTTAGCAATTGGAGATAACAAGCAATGTTGGGGGCTTATTACTTATTGCCATCTGAAATATATGCAAGTATAAAATTCCTTTGATCCTGGTCATGGATATTTCACCAGCTGGTATAAAATACTTAATAGTAAGCTGCAATCTCTTTCTGGATTCAAGCCCTGCTTTGCTGAAGAGAGATATAAAACCACTATAGCAGTTCAAATACCACTGGCCTATTGGTTACACTGCACAGGGAACATTATACCCTGCATATTCCCTTTCAGGAACTAACTTACAGCTTCTCTAACTAAATGTGTTGGCAATATATAGAGATAATTTAGAACATTGCAATGTCAATCTTTGAGTTAAAAATATTGGGGTACATTGGATGCATACTTTAAGGCAGGCACTTGTATGAGGTTTTAGATTCATAAATACACTGATTAGAATACAATACATTTTTAACAGTTTATTTATTTTATTTTTTAAATTTTTGTAGAGACAGGGTCTTACTTTGTTGTCCAGGCTGGTCTTGAATTCTTGTCCTCAAGTGATCCTCCTGCCTCAGCCTCCCAAAGTACTAGGATTACAGGCATGAGTCACCATACCTGGCCAAGGGCAGAATACATTTAAAGGAATGATAGAATACAGTCATCTGATCTGATGGATTTATTTCTAGTATTCTTAAATATCTTTCAAAATTTGACTAGTAAATTAACAAGTAGACCTGGATTGCTTTTATACACATTTGACTTGATATTGTCCTATTTCTGTAAGCAAGATTTTGATATAGGATCTCCCCTAAAAACCTGAATTTAAAGGAAAATGCCACTTTGATGATTTCCTAAACATGAGTACAGAACACACTGTAGTTCTAGTGATTTCTAAAGAAGACTATAAATTACATGAATTCTGATACCTTTAGAAATGCAAGCTCTTGTTTTGCTTTATTTTAATTTGCTTTTTAATTATTCATACAATTGCCTCAATACTCTCCTTTGATTTGCTGTAGAGGCCTCAGTTTATAGTAATCTCACAAGAATAGTGCCAAATGTATTTTTTCCTGTTGGCTTTGGAGGTGTTTTCGGGGTTTATAAATATTTTAAAATATATAACCATTGAATTTTAGAGCAGATATAGACTCTGAATTCATTCCAATGTGGGAAGTCTCAGAGAGTTTGGAAGTTAAACAAGGTCACAAAGATAGAATAAAGCTGTCATGAGAACCAACACCTTTAGTTGTCAACGAATGAAGCTATTTTTTCATGGTAATACAACTAAACATTAAGATGAAGTGTCTATAGGATTCCAGTGAATAAAAACCAACAGGAGGAGGCTAAGACTTAGTTACTTAGCTCAAGTGGTTGCTTGTAAGAAAAAAAAAAATCACAAAATTTTTTATAGCAGGATAGCAGGATAAAATCCAGTGGCAAGAAATGTCTACTGCTGGAGTCATAAAGTCTTTCATCAAAAAACTCTATTATAAAATAAATGCTCATACTTTAAGCCATTATTTACCTTATGTAATATATCAAATTTATCTTATATAATATATCAAATATATCTTCTATCATTTAGTAATTATTTTCCACACGAAAGGCAAAGATTCTTGTGTGGATCCCAGAAGGCATCATAGAGGTATCTCTGTCTCAGGCAGGAGTCCTACTTCTTGAAAGACAGGCTACCAAAAGGTAAACTTTACAAACTTCACAGCTTTCCCCAACTCCTAATAGAAGTGAGTAGATGAGTAAAATAAGGTTCTTATGAAGTACATAAAATAATATCTCAAGTACTCTGCTGAATGCTTCTTAAATATTATTTGATTCTTGTGTAACAACACCCTGAAGTAGGAACTGTTACCACTCCTATATTATAAATGGGATAACAGAGGTTTAGAGAGTTAGGGCCTTTTCCTAAGATCACATGACTGATTTACAAAGCTGAAGTTCGAATCCATGTCCATCTGAATCCAAAGATTCTGTTTTTATAACCATCAGCTCTATAATGGCTAGGTTTTGCAGGCAAAAAACACAGGATACTGAAAGGCATGTCATGTAAAGACCTGTTGAGCTTCAGAAGGTCAAGATATTTGGGTTGAGTCCTGCTGAAATGGACTCTCAAGAGCTGATTGTTAAATATTCAGGAATTTTGCAAGTTAGCTGTTAAATTGTTGATAGCTTGAAATGAGCTATCGTGGAAGTATTTACACCACCGAAATTGGCTACAGCTACAAAACAGGGTTTTGTTTCCACAGAGTTGGTTTTCCAGCACAACACTAGGTACTGGAATACTGGAGTTACAAGACAAAATGTATGAAGGAAAAAAAACAATAGAGGAATCTAGAAATGTACATTAAGGTCAGTTTATAAAGGGCCCAGGTAAATGTGGTTACAAAGTTTTTGGAATGCAAATCCAATTATGGCACCCTTCAATCTATAACCCTCCAGTGGCTCCCAAATGAAATAAAGTCTAAGCTTCATTTCCTTACATGAGAAGCCCAGAGAGAATGTGGCCTATGCTTTCCTCTTCAATGTCATTTTGTAATTCTAACCCTCTCACCCTCCCATCAAGCTACAGCCATGCTGGTCACCAGGTCCCTAACAAGCCAAGCTCTTTCCAACTTTAGTCCTTTACATTAGTTTTTCCCTTTGCCTACTATGTTATTCTAGTTTTTGCATAGTTGTGTCCTTTAGATCTCAGCTTAAATATCACCTCCAGAGAAAGGCTTTTCTTGATCTACAAATCTAAAGTAGCTGTCTGGTAAGTCCCTCTCTTTTATATCAGTCCATTTTAACACTCTGCTTGATACTTAATGATGTGGCACGGGGGTTAAATGCCTTGCTTCTGAAGCCAGACTGCTGGGACCCATTATTACTCCACCACGGAGTAGTTGTATGACTTTATCAAAGTTGCTTGTCTCCACTATTCAATTTCCTATTTGTAAATAGGATGTAATTAATTATCTTTCATGAGGTTTCTGCGGGAATTCATATGTGTAAAAGAACACAAACCACATAAGAGAGAGAATGGTGACTGGCTCATTACAGCATTAGAAATATATTAGATATTATTGTCCCTGATATCTGATATTTATTGATTTATTATCCAGTTTTCTCAACTAGAATATATGTTCAATAGAAGCAGGCACCTCATCTTTTCTGATTGCTTTAGATTCTTCCTGCTGCTGATTCCTAGGGCAGTGCCTGGCACATGGCAGCAATGATGTCAGGGAGAGGAGGTATGAGAATGACCTGCTCATCCTTGGTTTCTTTTTGCCTTCCTGACCTCTCTCAGCTTTCTGTGTTGCTGCTCTGTGAGTCTAGAGCAATGGAAACAAGCATAGCTGCGTGCAGCAGTCCTTGCAGGGACGCAATGACAATGACAGCCTCTGCCCTCCTTGTTTAGGAAGCACAAAACTTGTCCTCAGCCCATGATGGCTATTCAGGAATGTGGGTACAATGCTTTCAGATCTGTCTTTTATAAAGAAAAGCCATAAATGTAAACATTTTCTGTATAAAATCACCCAAGTTGCAAATGCTTACAACCAGTTCAAAATTTTAAAAAAGACCTATGACCTATGACCAAACAAATCATGTTTACAGGCTGGACTTGGCCTGGGGTTCACCTGTCTACAATCTGTGCTCTTTACAACCTGTGATCTTGAACTTGAGCTCTTGGTTTTTTCTCTTTTTTTTGAGACAGGATCTCACTTTGTTGTCCAGCCAGAGTGAAGTGGCATGAACACGACTCACTGCAGCCTCAACCTTCCAGGTTCATGTGATCCTCCAGCCTCAGCCCCGCCAAGTAGCTGGGACTACAGGCACATGCCATCACAGCAGCTAATTTTTGTATGTTTTGGTATAGACAGGGTTTCACCATGTTGCCAAGGCTGGTCTTGAACTCCTGAGGTCAAGAGATCCACACACCTTAGCTTCCCAAAGTGTTGGGATTACAGGTGTGAGCCACTGTGCCTGGCCTTGTTTTTCTTTATTTCCTTTTTTTTTTTTTTTTTTTTTTTTGTGACAGAGTCTCACTCTGTTGCCCAGGCTGGAGTGCAATGGCAGCATCTCGGCTCACTGCAACCTCTGCCACCCAGGTTCAAGTAATTCTCCTGCCTCAGCTTCCCGAGTAGCTGGGATTACAGGCATCCACCATCACACCCGGCTAATTTTTGTATTTTTTGTAGAGACAGGGTTTCACCATGTTGGCCAAGCTGGTCTTGAACTCCTGACGTCAGGTGATCTGCCCCAAAGTGCTGGGATTACAGGTGTGAGCCACCATGCCTGGCCCTGGCCTTGTTTTTCAATTTTGAGGTCAGTGTCCTCTGCTCATGGACACCTTTCAGACAAACTACCTGAGGACCACACTCTGCAGCTGCATGTTCCTGAATCTTGCCATTGCATTTTCCTGAGTATATTTGGTCTCTTTGACTCACTACACACACCCTCCCAAGATGGCACCCTTTACCCTGGATCTTGTTCCTGGGTTTAACAGATATTAGATGAGAGTTACCGTGGTTCACACCAAATTAGGTGGGGTATGTCAGAGAGTCGAGGATGAGGAAGGTGGATAGTTTGGGCTCTGGTTTAAAGGTTTATTATTGGAGAAAGATGTCATCTGAAGAAAGGGACTTCCATTTCCCATTTCTCCCTTCCTTCCTTTTTCCTTCCCTCTGCCCTATGGTAACCTTAGTCTAATCTCTGTCCTCAATCAGCAGGTTTGCTGACATTTAGAGGGCTGTTATGGCAGTCATGTCTTTCTGAGGCCTTGCCTTTTTAATGAACATTTGGCTGGGGAAAGGGGGCAATCTAGAACAGCTGTGTCCAAACTTTTTAGATTGCATGTCTTCTTACCAATAAAAAATTAAGCATTCTTCCCTATATGTATATTTACTTATTATTTGATATGCAATCTAGTGTTCCAGTGTATTATGCACATTTTCAAACACACGTAAAATATTGATTTAAAATAATGTGATGAAATATAAACATATTTGGGAGGCTGAGGCGGGAGGATCATGAAGTCAGGAGATTGAGATCATCCTGGCTAACATGGTGAAACCCCGTCTCTACTAAAAATAAAAAAAATTAGCCGGGCATGGTGGCGGGCGCCTGTAGTCCCAGCTACTTGGGAGGCTGAGGCAGGAGAATGGCGTGAACCTGGGAGGCGGAACTTGCAGTGAGCTCAGATCTCGCCACTGCACTCCAGCCTGGGCGACAGAGCAAGACTCCATCTCAAAATAAATAAATAAATAAATAAAAATTAAAAAATATAAACATAAGCTTCATTCTCTCTTTCCAGTCCGTGGGGAATTGTCAGGTACACTTCATGGGGTGGAGATACCCAGGTCTAGAGACACATCAGACTCTAGGGTGGATGCTTTACCAGATGGGCTGTGTGAGTGCCTGCCTTACCTGATTTTTTGGTCAATTTTGCACTGGAGTGCTGTCCAGGATGTAAGTGCCCTGACAAATATGCAAGCCTAGAGCCTCATCCTCAGGACGACTGCTGGGAATCTCTGCAGGGCCCTTGGGGTTGAACAGCTGCTTGCTGAGCCTTTGACCTGAGAACCAGAGACTTATGTGTCTCTTCACTCATATTTTCTTTCTTCATTGTTTAAGAGTTGTGCAGATCACCAAAAACATAATAAAAATAATGGGAGCTGTGTACAAGCCTCACTTGGGCAGAAAAGTTGGATATCAATCCCAAAATACAGATCTGCTTGCTGCATGGAATCTGAAGATTTAATGTGCTCATGTCCCATCTAACCACAGCACCCTTCTCAGGGTGATCTCACTCCTTATGGAAATAATGGAGTTGGATTGGTTTTTTTCAAGATTATTAGGGTGTGTTTATCATATTCTCTGGATTACTGAGTTTATAACCTCTGTTCCATGATGCCAGAAACAAAGTCAGAAGCTTCAGTGTGCAAGGCCTCATCATCCTCCCTAAACCTGGAGGGCAGATTTATTTTAACAGCTGTACATTACCTGATTGGAATAACGAGACTTGTGAAAAGGTCAAGGAGAAAGAGCTAAACAGCACATCTGTTCCAATCACAGAACCATATTTCTAGGAAGCTGGAAAAGCAAACATTCTAACATTCTATTTGTAGAAAATCCCAACAGTCATTTTAAGCATAATTTCACTGTGACTGTAAAAGAAAGTATTTGTCTTCTTCCTTCTTAATATTCCTTTTTCAAGAGATGGAGTTACATAGTGAAGTATTGCATCTGTCAGATGTTCTTTTGAACCCTGACAAAAAGTTTATGTGACTTTTTATTTTACCAAGCATTATTTTTTCTTCCACTAGTCCTATGTTTATCCTCAAAAACTTTATTGCAATCCTGGGCGTTCTGATTGAAAAGGAGTCACCAAGAATTCTGAATGTTTTCCTGGTGTGCTGTCACTCAAGATATCTTCTATAGTTCTTTTATCCACAACTCTTTTCAAATTAAATTTTATTAACTGAAATCATCCTCTTTCTAAAATAGGAAGGCATCCTGACTTGGACAAAGCTAAACTGTGCATTCCTTTTACTAAACTGTCAAGATTAATCCTTACTGTCCCTGCTGTTACAGTCTTAATTCTTCACTGACAACTGTGAGCACATGTGCTATGAGAAGAGACAGCTGGTTGAAGTGTCTCATTTTGACAAACATTATCTGTGGTTCAGTGTCAACCTGGGGAGATACAGCAAATGGCATTCCATTGAGATTGCTTCTTGGGCAGTGAACATTTTAACCAGTGACTTAGATCCTGGAGTAAAAAATATGCTTAGAATGTCTGTGATAGGGACTAAAGTTTGTAATGGGAGCAGATCTACTCCCTGACCTACTCTTCTCTACTTTAAAAACTCACTATGGCTTGGAGAAGTTATGGATGATTTTATATAAAGAAGTAGAAATCCCAGTAACAATTACATGTGCCACCTCTTTTGAATAAACTGTTATAAGGCAGGCAAAGACTTTCTACTGGGCTCTACCTTCATCCTAGACTGACTCCTTTATCTTTTCTTTGCTTCCATGAAGCTGAAGATTGTTTACTCTAATTCCTGTTTGCCACTGCCTGAGACCCAGCCTGGGTTTTCATCATCTCCACCGCTGTATTTTCTGGAAGAAAGAACCCTATTGGGGGTTGTTAAGGGTTTAGCTGCACACATACAAGGAAATAGATTTTTCTAAAATTCCAAATAATAAGGATGATGAAAATCTACAAAAACTTTTTAAAATAATACTAATAATAGGTTTTCTGGTCAAAAATACAAATAGAGGAAAGTCTAAGAATTCCTATCTTGATTCATTCACTTTGTTTCAGTCTAAAAGTGAGACATGCCAAATCCATTCAAATTCTGCTAAAACCAAGCTCTTCAGATTCTAAACTCGTAGATTCCCACTGGTCCAATGGGATTGCTTATGCTTTTCGGATTAGGCTTCCTGGTCTTCTCAGTGTATCTTCTATATTTTTCTCTCTGGATCTCAGGCTTATTACCAGTGTTCCAGAATTACTCATGGCTCTCTTGGGTCCTTTCCTTCCTCCTGGCAACTTGAAAGAGAATGACTATCAAAGAAGCCTCTTCTGATCCTCAAGTAATCCTGTACTGACATAAAAATTATCTATTTTTGCCCTTTGGAATTCCTACCTTCTCCTCTCTCATTATTTGGTTTGTCTGAATAGCAATGAGTCATGAAGGCTCACTCCTTCAGCATGTTCTGCTCTCAACTTGTGACCAAGGCTTAATTCTTTATTGGGCATGTGGCCTCAATAGAGTGCTCCCTCTAGACATTAACTTCTCTATGGTCTCACTAGTTTTCTGAAAGCACAATCTCACCTACTTTGTTTTTAAAAATCTTACCTTTCATAGGTTCAATCATTAATTTTTTTTTCTGAAATTGAGGAAAATCTCATATGTGCAGTAACTGCACTTTATGAAGTAATTGAAACACCCTCATTTCAAACTACTTTTTTTCTTTTCTTCCTTTTTTTTCAGACAAGATAACATTTTGATTTATTAAATGTAGACTGATTCAGAGACCTAATTTATTTTTAGCATTCGAAGATGCAAATTCCTTTTCTATTTGCAAATTATATTTTTTCATAGGATTTTTTTGTGAAACTATGGTTTTATTCCTACTTTTTTATTCCTACTTTTATTCCTCCATGGCACACATTTACCTATGTAACAAACCTGTACTTCCTGCATATGTACTCCTGAGCTTAAAAATTAAAAACAAACCTGTGTCTCCCCAGGTTGACACAGAACCACAGATAATGTTTGTCAAAATGGAACACTTCAACCAGCTGTCTCTTCTCATGGCTGTCTCTTCTCCTACTTTGTTTTCTAAAATTTTCATACGTAAGGAGGTAATTGAATCCTTACCACAAAAGAACAGCTCAGCTTCACGGTTCCCACCCCAACCATGGGCTCAACTGTGGCACAGAGCAAAGGGCTCCAGTGCTGTGCATCTCATTATGTCTGGAAATGTCTGCTTTACCTCCCAAATCTATCTTCCTTAATATCTAGTCTCCATCTTCTGTTTACACTTAATGTTTCCACTCTACTTTCTTTCCACAGTCTCATCTGGGACCTGGATATCAATCCCACTTTGTTCTTTGATCAAACGTTTGTTTCCCTCCCACCTTTCCACACTCAATCTCAGATGCTAGAATTGCAGCCCAGGCTCACATATTCCTAGGAAAAGGGGTCAGCAATAAGAGGTCAGACAAAAAAGTATGATTCTCATGTGTGTAGTAACAGAAATTGTTTTTGTCTGTGATTTTAGGAAATCTATCTTATTCGTTCATACTTTTTTTCCACGATTTTAATTATTTCTGTGCTCACTAGTTAGTGTACTTCTTAAGGATGTTGTAATCTATAAACGTATAACTGTTTTGATATTCCAATGGTGAGATATGAAAAGATGTAGAAGGGTCAAGCTACAAAATGCCCTGTAAAGAATAACTTTTTTTTTTTTTAATCCAGATAGGTCAGGGAGGCACAGCTGAAAAGAGAATCTTGGTTTTTACCTAAATCCTGTGACTTCATTTGTCTTAGCAGCTGCATTCTGAAGATTGTGAATTATCGAGGAGGTAATTCTCAGTATTATCTGAGCTGAGTTTTTCAAGGTAGTACTTCAACAGTAGAACTATAAATGTCTTATAGACACCTATAACACTGTCTAGTTTATTCAAACTTCTCCATAATTCCTATGAACAAAAGGGACACTTCCTATAAAATGTAGTTCAATATTTTTTACACATCCATTTCAATCAGTATAATTTTGCTGAATTGAATTATTTCTCTCTCATGTTCAGAGCTCACATGATTATGGCTGCCTATATTACCATAGGAGGAAAATAATACATTTAGATAATAAATAATAAGTAATTTCTCCAAATACATAATGACTTGTTCTCTCACCTTTCCTACCTCAAGTATTCCAAGTCCCCCTTTGAAAGAAAAATGAAAAACCAAAAACCAAGACTTGGCCCCTTTGTTATGTGCCACAGTTGGGCCCATGAGTAGGGTGGAAACCATAAAGCTGGGCTGTTCTTGTAGCTCTAGCTATTTGACTGACTCCTTAGATATGAAAGTTTTAGAAAAGGAAGTAGATTAAAACCATAGTTTAACAGGAAACAGTCCTATGAAAGGGAATCTAATTTGCAAAGAAAAAAGTAATTTGCACTGTTGGATGCCAAATTTCGAGGCTATTATTTTATTATTTCTTTGTTATTATTATTAATCCTTGATCCTTTACAATCCTTTATAATGATGACTTCTAGCAGAGCCTCCTGATGAATTCCAAAGGTTTAATCAGTTTCATGGCTTAATTCATAGCTCTTTTACATTAAAGAACTTCTTCAATTAGGGAATAATTATTTCATGAAGTACAAAAGGTTGAAAGTGATGAAGTTAAAAAAGTGGCATACACATGCATGTGTCTTTAAAATAGAATGATTTATGTTCCTTTGGGTATATATCCAGTAATGGAATTGCTGGGTCAAATGGTATTTTGGTCTTTAGGTCTTTGAGGAATCGCCAAATTGCCTTCCACAGTGGTTGAACTAATTTACACTCCCACCAACAGTGTATGAGCATTCCTTTGTCTCTACAATCTTGCCAGCATCTGTTATTTTTTTATTTTAATAATAGTCATTCTGACTGGTATGAGATGGTATCTCATTGTGATTTTGATATGCAGTTCTCTAATGATCAGTGATGTTGAGCTATTTTTCACATGCTTGTTGGCTGCATGTATGTCTTCTTCTGAGAATTATCTGTTCATAGTATTTGCCTAAAAACTTCCTAATAAGGATTTTTTTTTCTTGTAAGTTTGCTTAAGTACCTTATAGATGCTGGATAGACCTTTGTCAGATACATAGTTTGCAAAAATTTTCTCCCATACTGTAAGTTGTCTGTGATAGACCGGATTAAAAAAATGTGGTACTCACACACCATGGAAAACCATGCAGCCATAAAAAAGAATGAGATCATGTCCTTTGCAGGGACATGGATGGAACTGGAGGCCATTATACTTAGCAAACTAATGCAGGAACAGAAAACCAAATACCACATGTTCTCACTTATAAGTGGGAGCTAAATGATGAGAACACATGGACACATAGAGGGGAACAACACACACTGGGGCTTTTTGAGGGTGGAGCGTGGGAGGAGGAAGAGAATTAGAAAAAATAACTAGTGTACTAGGCTTAATACCTGGGTGATGAAATAATCTGTACAACAAACCTCCATGGCACACATTTACCTATGTAACAAACCTGTACTTCCTGCATGTGTATCCCTGAACTTAAAATAAAAGTAAAAAAAAAGATAAAAATATTGGGCCAAAAGAAAAAAAAAGCAACATACCACATCTAGATTTTGCTGCACATATAAAGTTTGTTTGGATTGGAAAAGGGATGTCTTCCCTTCTTGATCTCTATCTATCTTTTCTCTCTTTTATTCCTGTCATTTTCTTTTCCAGCCCTTTTTTTCTATCCCCTGTGAGCTACTTCACTGGCATGATCTATTCACTCTGGGAAGGCAGTGTTATCTCCTTGGTATGGTTTGAAATAATAATGCGTGTATGTTTTTAATATAGCACATAAAGTTGGGACTGCAGGATTCATGCAATTGCTTGGTATTGAGACCAAGGATATTAAAAGTTAAAACTAAATTTTGAAAGGAGAGGAAAAATTTAAAACCATCTTTCAATAGTACTGTCAATGAGTTATCTTTATGTATTCTCTCTTTCTTTTACATACGTATTGGTATAACAAAGCAGGACTATATTTCTGTTTTGGTTACTCAGATGACTTTTTTCTTTTAAAATAATTGAGATACTCCGCATAATGGATTTCCAGAAAACAAGAAGCTATACCCATGTCCTTGAAGCTGTTGGCATATCTCAGTGAGATGATATAGATTTATGTACTACTCTAAACAATTTTGCACACTTAGGGAATCCCCCATGTTCACTTTTCTCCCTACCCAATATTGAAGGTGTCTTTTTTTCCTGGTGAAGACCTGTACATAAAATTTAATTAAGAATGACATCTGACACTATGAAATAGACTATATGTACTTTGTTAAATAATTCAGAGGTATAACAACAACAATTAAAAAACAAATGTGGAAGCAAAAAACATGTCTATCTGTTTTATTTTTGTATTGTCAACACCCAACACATTGTTTGGAATATGTCAAACACTGAGTAGATATTTATGAATTTAGAAATTAATTGATAAGGGATGATTGACATATGAGATGGCTCTGGTTTAACTTCCAGTTTCTGCTCACTGGATTCCATCATTCAAATTTGTCCTAAGATGATGAAGGAAATGACTGCAATTGACCTCAGGGTTACCATCTCTTTTGTTTTTCTGGTTCTGTATTGCCATACTGGTTCTTTCTAGTCCATTCTTCTACTTCTGCATTCATTTCTGGTCCCTGGCACAGCTTGAGCTTGAGCTTGGCAAAGCTGTATCTTTCTAGATGAGATATTTTCATATATCGACCCAGCTCTACTAACTGCAGAAAGAAAGCTGTCTTTTTGTATGTTACGATAGTTCAGTCTCTGGTCCTGCATTCAATTTTTCCTTATCAAAGCCAGTGGAGAGAGGAGAAAAATACATGAGAGACAAGAATACCTCTATAAGAGAAGGAATACATCTCATGAGAGAAAGAATACATCTTTCTCCACTGGCTTTTCTTCCACCAACATATATTTGATATTTAGACATACTCAAGAAATACTAATTTTAAGAATGAACAAATGAAGTACATAGACTTCCTTGACATCCTCATGTTTTTATGTAGAATTCCTTCCTTTCTTTCTTGGAAAGTTTACTTGAAATACAAGTCCATCTGGAATATTTCTATTTCCTCTCCTCCCACTCTCTCATTAATTCATAGTAATCTCTCTTCTACCTGTAACATTTCACAGAAGTATATTTCATAAGGCCATGATTCTTAAGCTGATTCACGATGATATGGAAAGAAAATGCTGTAATTTCTAAATACATTTTCACTGGTATTTATATTCTCATTGACACTGGAACCTCACTTGGTCCATATGTCAGAAGTTTGCATGTTAAGTCACATGATGATTCCTATGGGAAGAGTGAGATCCATAAAAAGATGATGTTCCTGTTTTCGTTGAGCTTATTGCTGTACATTGTGGTCTTCAGTTATATATATTCCTGTTTGTGCTCATAATCAGGCCTATTATGAGTTAAAAACACTAACAGTCTAATAGGATCTAACAAGAAATAGGCTGAAAAAGTTGAATTTAAGATCTACTAAAAGATACATATTTACATCAACTACCATCATGATGAACTTTACCCTAAGTGTACACTGCCCTTTGAAATAATAGTTAATAATATTAGCAAAACATTAATGATAGCTATTTATATTAGCAAGACCTTTAAAATATGTTTTTGTTAATTTCTGTTTTTTCTTTTTTTAACAGCTTTATTGAGGTGTAATCAATATAGGAAAACTGCACATATTTAATGTATACAAGTTGATAAATTTGGACATATATGCATATACCCATGAAACTATCACCACAAGAAGGTAATATATACATCCATCACTTCCAAGAGTTTTTGTGTGCTCCCCTTTTCCCCCTGTGGTAAGAACACTAAACATGGGATGTACCCTGTTAGCAATTTTTTAAGTGCACAAGACTGTATTGTTAACTATAGGTACTATGTTTTACATCAAATCTCTAGAACTTATTCATCTTGTGTAACTGAAATTTCATACCCATTGAACAACAACTCCACATTTTCTTGTCCCTCCAACCTTGGCAACTATTCACTTTGGTTTTGTTTATCTTTTCATTTTGGTTTAGGTTCTGGCAGCACAACTCTTAACATTTTGTGGAATACGGTTTCACAGATTACTAATCAGATACCAATATGGGACCTGCTGATTGCTGATTTTGAATAATGTTTACGATGCATTGTTAAGAGAGGAAAGAATATTGCAAGACAAAATGAATAATATACTCTTACTTTTAAAAACTTATGTGTACATCTAGGCTTAAATATATACAAAGATGTAAGAAAAAAACTTGGTGATGAATTTACTGGTGATTCTTATCTACATTTTTCTATTTTGATTTGCATAGTAATGTTTAGATCCTGGCTCTTCCCTTCACTCTATAAGAACCTTTGGGCAAATTACATAAACTCTGTGCTTTAGTTTGCTCACCTATAAAATGTCAGTTTTAAATGTTTTCGTCAGAGTAACTTATCTGTATTAATATTTTTCATACTTGTGGAACATATGCATATTTAGTGTGCATCTACTGTGAACTACAGAAAATAAACTAGGCTGGTTTATGTTATTTAGAACATCAAAAGCCCTTTCACAATTTGTATGTGTCAAAAGTTGAAATGAAACTGACCACACAATTCAGAACCACGATATTTTTCAGTCTAACAATGTCCCTCAACTGGCCCACAATGGGTTAGGCAGCAGCAGGGTGAAAGTGCTGTCTGTGGTTCTTGTTAACATCAAAGGTCAAAAACATGGCCCGAATGTCTGTTTTTCATTAATAACCCATTATTCATAATCATAATCTACTTTTTCCCCCTTTAATCTTGTTTTAATTTCTTTATCTACTGTTTAATTTTGGTAAACCGTATTCAAAGCTATTTATATTTTTCCTTTGTACCACCTCTTAATTTTTATTTATTCCAACTATGTCTTACTCAAGCTTTACTCTGTGAGCACCCAAGAGGACTAGTGGTCAGGGATTTTGCTGCTGTATTCACAAAGTGACATATCAGTTGAAGGGCCCTAGAGCATCCTTTAGGTGTAATCCATGGAAAAGTCAGTCTCAGGAGAATCTTTTTGGAACTATTTCAAATCAGATTTGTCAGAATTGGCTTCTATAGTGGTCTGTACTCTCAAGTGACTGACAGACTAGTTTGCCTTGAAAGCCTGCATACTGTGGGATGATGTCGAGTAACATGAGAAAAGGGGAATAAAAATGCAATGAAGCCTTTAATTTGCTTTATAAAATTTTTAAACATACACTTTCACTATCATAAGCACTAAATCCAAAATCCCTAAGTAAAAGAATAAAAAGAGAGAAAAAATCCCCATTAGTTTAGAAACATGTTTTCCAGTCTGGTTTCTTACTCTGTAGCTAACTATATTAAAGAGAATGGGGTTCACCTATGAACTCATCCTTGGTTCATCCTTTTAATCAGGGTTTTTCAATCTTAATACTACTGATATTTGGGACTGTATAATTCTTTGCTGTGGGGGAGCTGTCCTGAATTTAGCAGCATCCCTGGCCTCTACCGACTCAATGTCAATAGTGATACCCCCCTCCCCAATTGTCCAAAACCAACAACCAAATGTCTCCTGATGTCATGCATCTCTTGGGGGATAGAACCATCCACAGTGAAGGAGCACTGCTTTCAATAGTGACATTTTTATTTCTACTGATAGGTTTGGAGAAACACCAGATTGAACACTTGATGTTTAGTAGGAGTCTCTGAAGGAAGCATATTTTTTTTTCCTCTGTTGGAGCTGTTTTAGAAAGGATTTTTTAAAAATTTTGATGTAATTGTGTAAATCTAATCCTGAAGGCCTGAGAAGGGGTTGAGGTCAGGTTAAGGTAAAATGTTTCTTTATCTAAGACGTCATACCAGATGTGACCACAGGTATCAGAAGACAGATGTCTTTAATTCCTTTATTATTTGTATGATGACTGGCCCAAGCCAGCCCACACATGTGGATTTTACTGTTTGGCTTTGATCACATTGTGCCTTGGATCAAGTGATTTCTGAACTGTCAATATGTGTATAACTTTTCCATATTATCTAAGAGCATTTTTATATGAAAAACTTCAAATACTAATGTTGCCTATCAGAACCCTTGAAAAAACTAAGAAAGGAAAGTAAAAATGAAAGTAAAGAATAAAAAGTAAAAGTGTTAAAGGTAAGACCAACACTCAAAGTATAAAATTAGGGTTCACCAAAGACTTCACTATATGTTGATAGAATCAAAATATACATAAAAATTTAGCTTTCTCAGTGTAGCAGAGGAAAATCAATATCTTTCTCTTACTTACTACTAGGTTCACAGCTGAGGCCACTGTACAAAAAGACAGATTAAGAATGGAAACACGTACATATTTATTTTACATAGGTTTTACAGGATATGAGAGCCTTTGAAAATGAAGACCCAAAGAAATCGGTAAACTCGTGCATTTTTATCTTTAGGTTTGATAAAGAGTGAACAGTTGTCGAGAAATATGATTGGAGGACAAAAAGAT
Source organism: Homo sapiens (assembly GCF_000001405.40). Classification (NCBI taxonomy): domain Eukaryota; kingdom Metazoa; phylum Chordata; class Mammalia; order Primates; family Hominidae; genus Homo; species Homo sapiens. Next base: position 90,270,617 of record NC_000012.12, read on the forward strand.
ATGATCTAATACCTTTCTATTAGGGGGAACTTGACAAGGGCCTATTTTTTTTAAGTGTTTCTGGTGTTTCTGTGTCTTTGCTAATAAGAATATTTCTTTCCTCTAAGTAAAGGAAGAGTTCTTTTTGACTGAGAGTCCTGTGAGTTCTTTTTGACTGAGAGTCCTATGAGTTCTTTTTGACTGAGAGTCCTATGATGTGCTTAAGGAAAGAAGAGCATAGGAAGGTCCTTCCTAGGTTTTATGACCTGCTTCAGGGGAAAAATGCAAGGGGAAGATATAAGGGACCTTCCTTCTCCTGCTGCTTTTTCAAATGCCAAGATGCCACCTTTTAGAATAGAGTGTCTTCTATCCTCTCATCAAAAGTTTTTTAAAAAGCAACTTAAAATTTCTTTAAATACCACTCTTTCTAGGTAAATGTAACTGGCTATTTTTCCATCACAGACAAATAATTTCAATTAGATATATTAGCAATATATTAGAGGAGAATATGAAATAGAAAAGTGGCATCAGATCTATGGCTTATTTTTTTAAAAATAGTAATTTTAGTGATTCATTGGCAACTTCAAGGCACGGTCCACTTGTATAAGCCCCACAAGACACAAATCCCCCAATCTAAATTCAAAATTATAGAGTGAAAATATGTAAATTTGCCTTCTCTAAAAGTCATATTAAAGATATTTCTAATCAATCTTGTGTTTTTCTTCTGGAGCAATTTCAATCTTATTGACATTTGGGCTGAATAAATCTTTGTTGTGGCGGCTGTCCTATACAATATAGATTGTTTAGCAGCATCTCTGGCCTCTACCCACTAGCTAGTAGCAAATCTCCCCATCCATGCACAGTTGTGAAAACCAAAAATGTCTTCAAACCTTGTCAAATATCCCCTAAGAAGCAAAATGTCCCAGTTGAGAACACTTGCTTTGGAAGAATAAAGTTAAACTGTACCCATGAACCCTCACAAAAAGAAAAAAAAAGGGGAAAAAGTAATGCAGAAAAAGATAAAGAAAAAACCAACAACCTTTTGAGCTTCTTGATGTTTTCTTGACACCTTTTAATATTGCAGAAAAACCCATTTAGAGATAATAGGGATTTAAAAGAACAGCAGACAAAATTGCATCATTTCAGTGTAATTGAGGAGAACCTGAACCCTTGCAATAGTCTCAGTAGGATGGATAACAATTGAAAAGTGTATCTTTAGCAATTTATGTGTTCTTGAATGCATGAAAAAAAAATCCTTATCATTCTGCCTGCTACTTATATGACTTCTGCGCAGTTGGAGAATCTATTTTGGGCAACTATAAATTTGATTTAAATGCAAACTATATTATGAGCCAAATGCATTCACTAGGGCTTGGACCAATCTATTTCTATTTGATGCTCTAGAAGGAATAGCTAGGATACATACTAAAATAACCCCATCACTCCAGTACAATAGAAACCAAATGAGTCAACCTGTTTTCTTTGTTGTTCAACATAGCAGCTCCAATTAAAGTTGGAGCTCGTGCACTCTGCTGTTTGCTAGCTATACCTTTTTATCTTTTTTCTGAGTTACTGTGATGTCAAGCCTCCCACCTGGAGCACTGTGAATATCTACAGATATTATTATTTTATCTCAGCTCAAGCAATATCAGGTCAGTGTTTCTGAGATAAAAGGCAGGAACAAAGACAGTGCCATTGACAACAAGCCTGTGGGGGGACTAGGCTAACAATGAAAGACCTAGGCATGGCATCCACTGAAGGCCAGGCTCCTGACTCCTCTAAGAGGGCTAACCTAAATAGGACAGAACCCTTATGTGAAATTCCAAGGAATCTATGCAGGAAAAATGATACCAAATTCCTTCATCTTGTTCCTGAGTGGTATTTTCTTTACATTTAAGTGTTTCAACAGAAGGAATCTTCATCTAGCTAGAAATATCAATTGGGTAATTATAAATTTAGGAGAAGGATGTTTTCCTTAATAGACATAAGTGAACCCAGAACATCTACCTCTACTCATGTAAATTCATGGTCTTAGAGCATCTACCTCTACTCATGTAAATTCAATTAGGACGATATTGGCTGGATCCTTCTAGATAGCAGAGGCTTTCCAGCATACCTGGACCTGGGTTTACTCTCAAAAGGAGACACAGTTATTCAGTTTTTTAACTGTAAGCAATAACTAACTGATCTGTTAGAGGCAATAGAGTCTTTCACCAGGGCTACAGGCTGTTTGTACATTTTGTCACATGAACTGTATACCACTAATTATAGTTTATAGTTTTAGGGCACTGTTTGGAAACTGCTATAGTATGTAATCTTGTTTAATTGATTTTTATAAGCACAGATATTGTTAATCAATACACTATAAATAATATATATTTGTGGGATTGCTTTGTTGCGATGCATACTGTCATTCTTGGGGCCCATGTAAAAGAAAGCACTGCAACTGCAAGCTAAAAATGCACCATATCATTGAAGCAGGAAGAAGAGGAAGCATTGATCCATGTGCCCAGGGATAAAAAGGAAAAGAGCTAGTCTAGTGTAAACTAGGAAGTAATACTATATAAAATACAAAAACGAACAAAAGAGCCAAAACAATCTACTGATAAAATTGTTAAAACTAGTAAGTGTTCTGTAACTACGTATGTAAAAAATGCAACAAACTAATACATTTTCTATATATGAACAAAAATACATTAGAAAATAAATAAAAAGTAATATCTTATAATTGATACTTTCATAAATTCATGTATGATCTGTTAAAAAAGCAACCAAAAATTACTCATGCACACACAATATGAAATAAGTAAATGTGGAGATATTCCATATTCCAGTGAGGAGCAACAATTAATGCACAAATCTAACCTAATTCCAGTCAAAATATCGTTGAAGCTTTCATTTTTAATTGTGACAAGATGATTTTGAAATTCAACTACATGAAAAAGTGAAAAATAGCTAAGAACAATGAAAAAAGTTCTTTAGAAAGATTAGATCTCCCAGATTCTAAAACATGTTCTGAAACTATAATTATGAAATCAGTACAGAATTGTGAAGAATTAGTCTGACTATAAATAAATTTTATTATATAATTTAATATATAATAAAGTAGAAACATTAATCAGTAAGGTAAGGTCAATTTTTCATTAGAAAGCTGGGACAACTGGTTAGGTGTTGAGAATTTTTTTTTTTTTTGGAGACACTTAGGTCTTAAATAATACAATAAAATTTGTTGTAGAGTATTTAAAGATTCTAGTGTAAAAATTCAGACTAAAGAGAGGCAGAAGAAACTACTTTGTCAACAGAGAAATTATAGGTGATGTGCAGACAATCAAAATGATAAATAGAAAAGTTTTGCAGTGTTCCAGTTCCTGGGTACACCCTAGCCTGAAGCCCAATGGCATCGCCATCCATGGAGTTCATGTCACACTTCTGTGATTATATCACAGTGAGATCTCCTTCTTTAATACAAGATAGTTCAAATGTGTTTCTATTCCTCATAACCAAAAATATTTTAATACAGTAATTCTATTTCTAGGAATCTATCCTAAAGAAACAACTGAAAATCTAGAGGGAAAACAATTAGAAGCTATAATGCACTAGACTCTTAATCCGTTGGTATAATTGGTTCATTAAAAAGGCTAAGAAGTTTCAGCCTCTTGGGTATATATCCTGAGATAGTATTATTTCTTCTAGTCTCTGATTTAAATTGTAGCATGTTAAATCCCCCTTTCACTATCCTTCAACAAAATTTTGAGCAGAATTAATGAACTTCTGAATACTTTTTACTTATGGAAACATAGTAAGTACTATATAGATTCAGATTTCATATTTTTTATCTGACTCAAAGCCTGCCCCCTTCTCAGCAAAACTAGACTGTTGAATCAAAGAGATTTGAGGTGAGGCAGAAAGGCAGCTGTGGCTCTGGGCACACTTCCCCTTCAAAATCTATCCCCTGTGGGCAGGACAAGGGAGAGACTAGAAGAGAATAGATTGTACTATGAAAATGGCCTGTGTCCCAATGTGTGTCCCAAGAAGGTGTCTCTAGGTGGTGTCCTTGTTCTCTCTCTGATTTGATCTGATTCTATTTCCTCCTGGTCTCCTGCTGTTGTGTTGGTCTCTGAATTGACGGTGAGCATAGTTTCTTGGGGAGTGTTTAGTTTTATTGTATCCCCAACTATGGATGAAGACTCCTAATTTCCCTGCAGCCCTCCCAGTGGGGAAGGTTTTTTTTTTGTTTTTGTTTTTGTTTTTGTTTTCCAGATCTACCTTGGTAGCTCTCCTTTTCCCCTAACCTTTCTAACACTTCACTTAGATCTGCAGACCGTACTAGGTCATCTTCTACACTTCTTGAGAGCTAAGAACAACTGGCATGGAACATTCTTCACCAAGTTCCCTTCAGGTCTTGTTGGCACAGGTTTCTCCAGCAGTCTCTTCTCTCTTCAGAAATCTCTAGCCCTGTTTTTCCTGTTGACATACATCTGCAAACAGGGAATACATGTAAGTACTCCTCACAGGTACCTCACCACGACTGATTCCACTCTGCTGGGGGCACTGCAGAGGTCTATAGGGATGCAGGGTAGCAAGCCACTAGAAGAATGATGCCACTCTCCCCTCCTTTCAGGCCTCACTGTCTCTGCGAGTGTCTCAGAGCTGCCACCTTTCTTGGCTTAGGGTATGAATGAAGCAACTCTCTCAAGCTCTCTAGGGAGAGGAGAATGACTAACCTGCTTCCCCAGATGCTTGTCTCTAGGCATAGCCTATGTCTCTTGACTGCTGCCTTCTTTTTTTCCTGCCCTGTCTTTGTATTTGAGAGATTACATATGTGAGTATGAGGCTTAGGTAGCAGAAGCTCTGTCACTTGTATTAGGGTTCCTCAAAAAAACAAAGCCAACAAGAGATATAAATAGATAAGTAAAGAATCAATTTACATGATTATGGAAGCTGACAAGTCCCAATTTCTTCTTCTAGCAAGCAAGCTGGACACCCAGGAGAGGCAATGATGTAGTTCCAGTCTGAAGGCCAGCAGGTTCAAGACCCATGAAGAGGTGATGCTTCAATCTGAGGCCAAAAGCTGGAAAAACATATATCCCAGCTCAAATGCAGTCATCTAGGATGAATTCTCCTTATTTATGGAAGAGTCTGGTTCTTTTGTTTATTCTATTCAGGCCTCCAACTCATTGTAGGAGGCCTATCCACGTTATGGAGGGCAATCTACTTTACTTAGTCTATCAATTTGTTAATCTCATCCAAACACCCTCCCAGAAATATTTAGAATAACATTTGACAAACTCTGTGGGCACTCACGGCCCAATCAAGTTGACACATAAGATTTGCCATCACACACCTCCTATAAGCTTTGAGAGTGACATCTGTTTCCCTTTGTTGACTGCTCACCAGTGATTCCCTTTCAAATATGAAATAATTAGTAATTATTGTCCCCAGGCTTTGACATTAGACACAATTCTAGGACAGCAGAAAATAGTTCACTTATTATGTCATAATTTCTATAATAAATAAAAGAAAAATACAGGTACCTAGTGTTAATGGAATTATTTTTTAAACTACTATAATATTCTACAAGGTAGAATATTAGAGATGTGTTCTAGAAAGCAAGGACCAGCCACACAGAGAGCTAGTTATGCTAGCTACACCAAATACCACTCATGTTTCTGTCACCTGTTGCAACTTTCCTCTGTATTTTGACTACAAGAGGGGAGCCTGAATAACTACAACCTGCAATTCTGCCCTTTTTTCTCCATCTTACTTCTTCCTTTATTAGGGCTCTGTTCCTACCTTGGTTCTTTCTTATGTCATATCCTCCATCCTCCATAAACTATAGTTAATAGGAAAAACTATAGTCAGAGATTCACATTTTGTTTGCTATATCTTAAGGAAGATATTTATTGTTTAATAGTTTATTTTTGTTTACAACAAAGCATTACTATAAACTCTTTTCTCATAAGACTTGCCAAAATTTAATTTTAGACGTGAAGCTAAGCAGTACTTTTTTAAAAAATGCTGTGTGGTGTTTTCTCTCTCTCTGAAGTGATGTCACTGATTCAATGTGTAGGGAGAATCAGAAATGTATGATTAAGAAAAAGAGTAAAAAATACGTTGTTTAATAGTTTTGAAAATTGTATCCCTAATGCATTACGTGTAAAATATAAATATAAAACTCTGGTTTTAAAATATTGAAGTAGACAGACAGTTTAAAGTCTTTCTCTTCTTGGAAATTATCCTCAAGCAATAAAGAGAAAGGAAAGGAAAATATGTTATCTTCCTTTTGGATAAAACTAAAAGTCATATGAATATCAACTATAATGTGAAAGAATGGGTTGTCAAATACCATAAAAATTAAACAGAGGTGGCCAGACATGGTGGCTCACATCTGTAATCCCAGCACTTTGGGAAACCGAGGTGGGTGGATCACCTGAGGTCAGGAGTTTGAGACCAGCCTGGCCAACATGGCGGAACCCCATCTCTACTAAAAGTACAAAAAGTAGCCGGGCATGGTGGCAGGCACCTATAATCCCAGCTACTCAGGAGGCTGAGGCAGGAGAATTGCTTGAACCCGGGAGGTGGATATTGCAGTGAGCCGAGATCGTACCACTGCACTCCAGCCTAGATGACAAGGGCAAGACTCCGTCTCAAAAAAAAAAAAAAAAAAAAAAAAAGAAAAAGAAAAAAAAAAATTAAACAGAGGTGCAGATCTAAGGAGAGACCTACAGGACATTGCAGTGCAAAGTAGATAACAATTATTAGAAGAGAAAACCAACATTTCTTATTTTCAACAATAGAAACATGGTGCGTCTATTGGCAGGAGATCCCCTAGACTTAGTTGGAGTTTAAGAAGGAAGAGAAGAGCTGCCAAATATAGAAGCACAAGACACACCTATGTTCAGGAAACAAATGGAGGGAAATGAGCAATATTTCAGCTATCAATCACTTTTGTCCAGAAAAACATCAAGTCATTCATTCCTACAACTTTGTGCTTTATAAGGAACTTTACGTGAACCAGGAAAAGTTCTTTCTGACTTGAAATATAGCTCAGATTTTCTTTAACGCCTCATTCGAAGATTAACAATAATAATAATAAATGAAATACGTTCTATAAAATAATGTTATAAAGAGGAGAAAAAGAAGAGGAAAAACTTCTTTAGAGTAGAATCACCAGAAAAATACAGATATAGAACTGAATCAATTGGTCACCAGCTGTATCACCATGAATTAAAGAAAGTTATTGCAGGAATATTAATATGAATAAAATCTTGAAGCAAAAATGAGAACTCAGGAAAAAATGGTGAAAGATAATAAAAGGACATAAAATAGGAGCATGTCAACAAAGGGAGGAGAAAAATAGACTATCAAAGAAATGAAGTGCATATTGGTAATATGGAGGACAAACCCCAAAGAAATTGCAAGCGTAATTGATTTCCAATTGAAGCATGTGTCATACAAGATATTGTGAAAAGCCCTTCAGCTAAAATTTACCTTGATGCTGAATAATCTTAACAAATATACTTGTAACATATTCTGGAGTTCTGCATCAGATAGGACCCTTGGGAAACAGACATTGAGACAGAATTAAGGGTGACAACAACTTATTGGGTTATACATACTGTAAAAGATAAAATGATGAATAAGAAAAATTGAGTGGAAAGCCTTTAGATCTAATATATGTAAAAAGGAAGTGGAGAGGAAGCAGGAGTGGGGCAGAGAGAGACCCAGACTATACAATGCATAGAAATAAGTCTCTGCCAAGTAGAAGGAGAACTTTGAAGCAAAGATCCCTTTTTAGAGGAGTCCTCTGTTAGGCAGAAATGATTAGACATAGTACTTCCTCCATGCTTATTCTTGGCTGATTTGCTCAGGAAATTCATAGCCTCAACCTGAAAGCTGAGACAGATCCTGAAGGTGCTGAAGGTGGGAGTGGTCCTCCTAACTGCACTTCTTGCAGCAGAACAGTAGCAAATTGTTTTATGGAAGACCTGTGTAGGGAATTCAATGGCTGCTGCAGTCCACCACTTCCTTATACAGATACCATATGCTTTTGGGAAGCCTCACGTGTTTTGATGGGTCTTTCTTCTTTGGGGAATATTTAGGAGGGAGTTTAGTGGGATGAGCTACAGCCTCAATGATGCAGCTATATTCAGGATTACAACTGGCACTTATTTTACACCTTCACTTTTTATTCTAAATTTCTTTTGCCCTCAGCTGTCACCTCCTGCCAATCTTGGTGGCTCACTAAAGGCTGTGGCCCACAATATTTCCTGAGATAACTGAGTTTCTGCTAACCATACTATTCTCAGGAGAGAGTTCTGTATTTGTGCAGTCGCAGTCCCAAGTAATCAAGAGAGTACCAAGAGATGTCCAAACTGATTACCTGAGTTCCACATGTATGTCTAGGGTCAATTACCACTTCCAATATGGTGACACTTCTTCTTGCCTGCTGGTCTCTATAAAAAATAAGTCCTGAGTGCTCACATGGCAGCCATAGCTTGTAGTTCCAATGAGATCTTTATTTTGTCCCTTGGATAAATTGCCTCCTTTGGGACCAGGCCCTCTAATTCTGCAGGTAAGGTTGTATAAAATTCCTTTGTGTGTCATTGGAAATGATGATAAGTGGCACTGCCTTCTTTTCCAACCTTTGATACCTAGACAGATGGTTTCCACCAAAGAATAGCATCAAACAGAAGTGTCTGATATCGCATGTGCAAATGTTGCATGATAGATGGTAGCATCCCATTCTTGCAGAGTATTCCCTGGGAGCATCACTTTCTGTGTGCTTTTATCAGTCTGTTCTAATGCTTTATCGGAGTGGCAACTTCTATACAGCAGAGATGGAATGCTAACAGTGCATTCTGTTGTCATAGTCCCATTCCTATACCTGCTTAGCTATAAAATGGGTCCCATGTCAGATTAGATTCCATTTCTGTGGGATCAGGTACTCTGTAAGCCCCTCAGTGCTGACTGAGGCTCTGTGGGCAAGAAAGGCAACACATACTCAGAATAAGTTGCTGAGCCTTCCAAGGTAGAAATGGTCCAATATAATCAATTTGCTACCAAATATTCCCTTGGTATATATCATATGAGGAGCTTAGCATTGTTCTCTGTTGCTGGGAAGTTGAATATTCAGAGGCAGCCATTGCTAGACGGCCTTGGTAAGTGGGAGTTCATGCTGTTAAGCCCATGCATAGCCTCCATGTAGCCAATCAGAAAAGACTCTAACATCAATTGACCAGTTTATTTTGTCTGATTGATTTTTCTGTTCCTCTTCCATGGTGAGTGTTTTCTGATGAGTATTAGTATGCTCCTCCCCATCATATGTTAATCTACCCTTCACATAACTCTCTCCTGGAGCTTCTTATCTTCACTTGTATATTACTTTCCCTTTCAGAACCCAGAAAAATCAGCAAAGTCAGTGGTTGCTGCCCTTGAGTCTATATATATTCTCACCTCAGCCAACTTTTTCTTCCATATAAAAAAGATGACCTGGTACACCATGTAAAGTTCTGCCTACTGGGAGATTATTTTTGAGCTACTGTATTTCAAGGTTACTACTGTATTTCAACCATGTACTAAGCTGACCTCTTTCCTCCTTTTTCAGCGAGTCATAGCTGCATATGGCTATAGATGTGAAATGACAGGGGAGTGCTGAAGAAACTATTGTGAGTCACATGGGGGCCTATCTGCTCATAAAACTTAACTCATCATCTCTACTACTTACTGCTCATGTTTTATCCTGATTGTACCATTTCTACTTTATAATGGATGCAGCTAGATTTCCTCAATTTAATGACTTGGTAGGTCATTATGATACCTCCTCTATGGCTTGGGATAAATTCTACACTGCATCTTTTCTACCACTGATGACAATAGCACCATCAGGTCTTTCAGACTACCTGACCTAATTGTGTGATTGATTATATTACATTCTGGATCTGCTGCAGAGCCCTTTTGTACTCAAGGTTCTGCATAAAATTGGCAGCTTTTTATGTCACCCAGTCTGTGAGCCAGAGGAGTATTCCTAGATGTGTTGTCATGAGAACCCAAAGAGACCTACTTGGCACCAGGCTTTGTTCTTGCAATAGAAGATGCATGATATGGTTTGACTGTGTTCCCACCCAAATCTCATCTTGAATTGTGGTTCCCATAATTCCCACATGTGGTGGGAGAGACTCCTGTGGGAGGTAATTGAGTCATGGAGGTGGTTTCCCCCATGCTATTCTCATGACAGTGAGTAATTTCTCACAAGATCTGATGGTTTTATAAGGGGCTTCCCCCTTCACTTGGCTCTCATTCTTCTCCTTCCTGTCACCATGTGAAAGATATGCTTGTTTCCTCTTCTGCCGTGATTGTAAGTTTCCTGAGACCTCTCAAGCCATGCTGAACTGTGAGTCAATTAAACCTCTTCCCTTTATGAATTACCCAGTCTCAGGTATGTTTTTATTAGCAGTGTGAGAATGGACTAATAAAGTATATTGGTATCAAGAGTGTGGTGCTGCTGTAAAGATATCCAAAGATGTGGAAGCAAATTTGGAACTGGGTAGCAGGCAGAGGTTGTAACAGTTTGGAGGGCTCAGAAAAACACAGGAAAATGTGGAAATTTGGAACTTCCTAGAGACTTGTTGAATGGCTTTTACCAAAATGCTGATAGTGAGATGAACAGTAAAGTCCAGGCTGATATGGTCACAGATGGAGATGAGGAACTTGTTGGGAACTGTAATATGATAACTCTTACTATGCAAAGAGATGGGATGCATTTTGTCTCTGCCCCAGAGATCTTTGGAATGTTGAACTTGAGAGAGATGATTCAGGGTATCTGACAGAAGAAATTTCTAAGTGGCAAAGCATTCAAGAGGAAGCAGACCATAAAAGTTTGGAAAATTTGCAGCCTGATGATGCAATAGAAAAGAAAAACCCGTTTTCTGGAGAGTTCAAGCCAGTGCAGAAATTTGCATAAGTAACAAGGAGCTGAATGTTAATCACCAAGACAATGGGGAAAATGTCTTCAGGGGATGCCAGATACTTTTACAGCAGCCCTCCAATCACAGGCCTGGAGGACTAGGAGGGAAAAATGATTTTGCAGGCTTGGCCCAGGGCCCAGCTGCTCTATGCAGCCTTGTAACATAGTGCCCTGCATCCCAGCTGCTTCAGATCCAGCTGTGGTTAAAAGGGGTCAACATGCACCTCAGGCCAATGCTTCAAAGGATGCAAGCCCCAAGCCTTGGCAGCTTCCATGTGGCATTGGGCCTGTGTGTGCACAGAAGTCAAGAATTAAGGTTTGGGGACCTGCATCCAGATTTCAGAAAATGTATGGAAATGCCAGGATATCCAGGCAGAAGTTTGCTGCAGGGGCAGAGCCCTCATGGAGAACCTTTGTTAGGGCAGTGCAGAAGGGAAATGTAGAGTCAGAGCCCCCAAACAGAGTCCCCAGTTAGGGACTAGTGAAGCTGTGAGAAGAGGGCCATTGTTCTCCAAACCCCAGAATGGTAGCTCCATTGACAGCTTGCACCATGTGCCTGGAAAAGTGGCAGACACTCAATGCCAGCCCATGAAAGCAGGCAGGAGGGGGCTGTACTCTGCAAAGCCACAGAGGTGGAGCTTCCTAAGGCCATGGAAACCCACCTCTTGCATCAGTGTGATCTGGATGTGAGACATAGATTCAAAGGAGGTTATTTTAGAGCTTTAAGATTTAATTACTGCCTCGCTGGATTTTGGACTTGCATGGGGTCTGTAGCCCCTTTGTTTTGTCCAATTTTCCCATTTGGAATGGGTGTATTTACCCAATGCCTGCACCTCCATTATATCTAATGGAGTTAGTTATCTAAAAGTAAGTTAGTTAACTTGCTTTTGATTTTACAGGCTTATAAACAGAAGGGACTTGCCTTGTCTCAGATGAGACTTTGGACTTAGACTTTTGGGTAATGCTGCAATGAGCTAAGACCTGCGCTGATGGAAAGGTATGCTTGTCTTATTGAAATGTGAGAACATGAGATTTTGGAGGGGCCAGGGGCAGGATAATATGGTTTGGCTGTGTTCCCCCGCAAATCTCATTTTGAATTGTACTTCCCTTAATTCCCACATGTGGTGGGAGGGACCTGGTGGGAGGTAATTGAGTCATGGGGGCTGATTCCACCATGGTATTCTTGTGGTAGTGAGTAAGTTCTCACAAGATCTGATGGTTTAATAAGGGGTTTCCTCCTTCACTCAACTGTCATTCTTCTCTTTCCTGCCACCATATGAAGAAGGATGTGTTTGCTTCCCCTTCTGCCATGATTGTAAGTTTCCTGAGGCCTCTCTAGCCATGCTGAATTGGGAGTCAATTAAACATCTTTCCTTTATAAATTATCCCATCTCAATATGTTTATTAGCAGTGTGAGAACAGACTAATACAGTGCAAGAGGCGGCAATTTTTCTTTTACTCAGGAGGAGATGTTCTTACATACACTTGACCTCTGAACCTTTAAATCCTTTACTGGTGTTGCAGGCCCCAGAATCTTCACAAGGTATATCTCTCACTATCTGTCCTACAGATAGACACACTATTTGTGTGCCTTTCCAAATCCTTTAACTTACTAGCTACAACTTTCTAATGTTGTCTAATCAGTATGATGTTATTGATATCAATGTGAAGTTCTGCTGGATGTCCAAATCTCTGTGGATTTTATTATGACAAAAACTAGGAGAGTTAACAAAGCCCAAAAGCAAAATTATGAATGATTATTGTTGTCCCTTACATTTAAATGTAAGCTGTTTATAACACTCTTTTTAAATTGGGATAGAGTAGAGCATAGTCACCACTGATTAAAGGACTACATACTGTGTATTAATTTGTTAGGTTTGCTAGGCTGCTGTAGCAAAGACCACAGACTGGGTGGTTCAAACAATAGAAATGTATTTTCTCACAGTTCTGGAGGCTAGAAGTCCAAGATCAAGATCCCAGAAAGGTTGTTTCTCCAGAGGCCTCTTGCCTTGGTTTGCAGATGGCCATCTTTCCCCTCTGTCTTCACGTGGAATTCCTCTGTGTGTTCTTATAAAGACACTAGCTATATTGGATTAGGGCCCACCTATATGATCTCATTTCACATTAATCACCGTTTTAAAGGTTCTATCTCCAATACAGTCACATTCTGAGGTAGTAAGAGAAAAGACTTCAACGTATGAATTTTGTGAAGACCATAATTGAGCCATATACCATGTGTCTAAGGTCATATTATTCTGCTGTAAGAAAAATCCCATATCTTGCATGGAAACTGTGATCAGGGATATTATTTAGTTCAACTTGCTACGGACTAAAATTATTCTTCAAGGTCCATTCAATTTCTGTAGAAAATATGATGGAGTAAATATCCCCCATCCTCTGAAGCACAATTATTTTTAAATTACTAATTATTTTTAATTTACTATCGTGATTGGAGTGAAGTGTAGTTTCAGAGGTTTTCATGTGGCTCCTTACCTGCTGAGTTTTAACTCACAGACCAAAGACTCAATGTAGGGATCAATCCAAATTTCAAGTATGTTGATCCCAATTATAGATTCAGGACCTGCACAATTGAGTCTTGGGTATGTCAGTGGACCCAGTGGGCTCATTACCAGCCAGATTTTGACCACGGCTTCATTCACTACTGCCATTTATTTGCCCCCACTCTAAAAGTGGGGCCCTGATGATGCTTCAGTTCTCCAGATATAAATGTCAACTCTAGTCCTTAGACCAATAATCCTTGAACTGTCGGAGAATTCCCTTTTCTTCAGTGCACAGTCATCTATGTAAATAGTCACTGTGGCTACGTGGTATCAAAATTGCTGAATATATAGGGAACATAATGTTTCTTAAGCAATATAAATAGAATAAATAAGTATCTAGGCTCATCAAAGTGAAACTGAAAAACACCCAAAATAAAGAAAGTATTTTAATAGCAACTCGAGAGGAAAGTAGATTACCTACAAAGGAACAAAAACTAGGTTGGCAACAGAATTCTCCAAAGGAACAATAGACAGTAGGATGTGTAGGATTCAGAGCTGTGTGGTTAAAAAAAAAAAAAAAAAAAAGAAAGAAAGAAAGAAAAACTTGTCAACTTAATTTTTGTATTTATCCAGATTCTCTTTAGAGAATGAGGGTGAAATACATATATTTCTGTAATAAAGGGATAAACAATAGATCTGCAATAAATAAGGTGTTAAAGTGGTATTTCAATGAAAGGGGAAGTGATCCAAGGGGCAGGTTGTGGGATTTAAAAAGAAATATAGAGCAAAGAAATTAGTAAATGTCTAAGCATTTCAAAGCAATTTTGACTATATTAAGCAAAATAAATTGCGTCTAATATGTAAAGCTAAAAACAAAGAAGATAAAACTAAAATCTTATATAACTTAAAAGTTGAAAATGTGATAACCAGAGTTTAAACAGACTCCAATTTCGTTATTCATATTGTCTGTAACATTCTGTCTTTTCTAGGTCATATAAACAAAAAATGTTTTTAATGGGGTTTAAATAATGTAAGTAATACAGCAATTTAACATATTTATTTACTATTTTGTACTGTGCAGAGAATGAGCTTTCATTTAAAGCATCCAAAGAACAAAAGAGTCATCAATAGCCAAAAGTACATTTCTCATATCTCCATATTAAAATAATACGAAAACAGTATCAATGTTTAAAACTTCAAATTAATAGCAAAGTATTTTTTAACACATATGTTTTTCTGAATAACTAATGTGTTAGAGAGAGAGGCAAAAATGAGAACAAAGAAAAGCTGAAATTAAGATGGTCCTACTATACAGTATCTATAAATTTTTTTCTTTTTTTTCTAAATTTTTCCTTTGTGAGACAGTTTGCATATTATCTTTTAAAACACATCTTTATTGAGATATAATTAATATAACATTTATCAACTTAAAATGTATATTTCAATTATTTTTAGTGTATTTATAAACTTGTGCAACCATCACCACAATCTAAGTTTAAAACATTTTGCAACCAAAAAGAAACCTTCTACCCATTATCAGTAATTAATTCCCTTCCACTCCCAGCTCTAGGCAACTTCTAATCAACCCTGTATCTATAGAGTTACTGTTTCTGGCCATTTTATGTGCAGAACATTCCTTAAGTGTATTGTACTCCATACAATATGTAGTAGAAATAGCAATTCAAATATTTTGCCCATTTTAAAATTGGGTCACTTGGGTGTTGTCGTTATTGTTGATTTGTAACTTTATTTATATTTTGAATACAAGTCTTTATCAGATAAGTGATTTACAAATACTTTTTGCCATTCTTTGACATCTCTCTACAATTTCTTCATGGTGTCTTAAGAAGCACAAAAGTTCTTAATTTTGATGAAGTGAAATTAATCTATTTTTCTTTTATAGCTTTTGTTTCTGTTGTCATTTAAATAAGCATGCCTAATCTAAGGCTGTGAATACTTAATTGTATGTTGCCCCCTAAGAGTTTAATAATTTTCATCTTCCATTTAGGTCTGTGATCAATTTTGAGTTAATTTTTGTATATGGTGAGAGGTAGAGGTCCAACTTTATTGTTTCACATGTGAATATCCAGAAGTCTCAGCACCATATGATAAAAAGACGCTTATTTCCCGCATTGATTTGTCCTGGCTCCCTTGTAGACTATGATTTGACCATAAATTTGTGGGTTTATTTCTAACTCTCAAACCTACAAATATTGACCAGATTGTCTACTCTCATATCGGTACTCCACTTTCCTGCTTAGCTTTGTATTAAGTTTTGAAATTGGGAAGTATGTCTCCTCCAACTTTATTCTTTCCTTTTAACATTTTTGTTTAGAATTATTATGTGTTCTTGGATAATTGATTAATTTATCATTATGTAATGCTCCTTTTTATATCTAAAAATTTTGCTTGTTCTGACATCAGCTTTTTAGAATTAATACAGCTGTTCCATTTTTTTTGGGGGGGTGGGGTTAAAGTTAGTTTGACATAGATCTTCATTCTTTACTTTTAACCTATCTGCATCTTTACATTTAAATCTGGTTTCTTATAGACCACATATGTTTAGGTCTTGTTTTTATCCACTCTGAAAATCTCTGTTTTTTAACTGATGTATTTATACGATTCACATTCAAATTGATTATTAATATAATTGGATGAGTATCTACCATGTTTGTAACTATTTTCTACTCATTAAATTTGTTTTGTTTCTCCTCCACTCTGATTTTTCTGCCTTATCTAGTTCTGATTAATTATGTGATTCAACTTTATTTCTTCTGTTAGCATATCATTTATATAAAATTTCTTTATATTTTTATTAGTTTTCCCAAATTTTTCAGTATGTCTTTTTAAATAATCTATGTTTCCCATCAAATAATACCATACGTCTTCACAGTTAGTACACATTTCTTCTAATAGTCTTACCAATTCCTCGCAGCCATCATTTATGGCATTACCAACATTCATTTTACTTACACGTATGTTATTAATTCCCCAATACCTTTTCACTATTGTTACTTAAATGAGATCTTTCAGATCAATTAAAATTAAGAAAAATAAATTTTTTATTTTACCTTCATATACTCTTTCTCCAATGCTTTCTTTCTCTATGTAAATCTAAGTTTATGACTTTTATCATTTTTCTTACCCTGAAGAACTTTTAAAATTTTTTGCAGGATGGGTCAGTTTATGGCTGATGGCTTCTGTTTCAAGTAACATTTTAAAGTTTAAATTTTAATATCAAATATTTAAAAATAATTTTTAAAGTCTTTCATTTTTCAACTTTTTCTTGCAAAAACATATATCAAAAATTTCAACCTCTTTACATGTTAGAGCTAAAACCAGAATGCCTTACAATAACTTTTTAAGTAAGATAAGAGAATAAAGGAGAATGAAAATGTAATTAGATCATCTTTTGTGATTATGTACCTAATGATTTTTATTGACATTCTTTGTTTATTTGTGCACAGAATTAAATTATTGTCTTGTGTTACTTGATTTCAACCTGAAGAAATTATTTTAATATTCCCCGTAAGGCAGGTCTATTAAGAACACATATTAAGATATTTTACTAGCCTTGGAATGTCTTTATTTCACCTTAATTTTTGAAAGATACTTTTGCCTAATGTAAAATTCTTGGTTGACAGCTATTTCACTCTCAGCACTTTAAATATGATATCCCACTGCTTTCTGCTTTCATTGTTTCTGATGAGAAGTCAGCTGTTAATTATCCTAGGGTTGTGATGAGTCACTTTTCCTCTTACTGCTTTCAGGATTTTCTTTTTAATTTTCAAAGTTTCGACTATAGTAGCAATCTGGTATCATTTACTGCTTTTATCCTACTTGGTATCTGTTGAGCTTTTTAGATGTATGTATTAATATTTTGCAACATATTTGTGAAGTTTGTCAACCATTATTTTTTCAAATATTTTTTCTGCCCCCTTTTCATTTTCACTTCTTCTATTACTTTTGTTTTTGTGGGTGCTTTAACTGGTATCTCACATTTCTCTGTGGCACTGTTTTTTTTTTTTCATTATTTTCTCTCTCTCTTTTTCAGATTGTCTGATTTGTATCTATTTATGTTGAAATTCACTGATTATTTTCTCTGTTTGTTTATATTTACTATTGAACCCTCCAATAATTTTTCATTTTATTGATTACAGTTTTCAATGTTAGAATTTTTATTTTGTTCTTTTTAAAGTAATTTCTATTTCTTTGTTTATATTTTTATTTAGTGGAAAATGTTTATTATATTTTCTTTAATTGTTTAGACAGGGCTTTCTTTGCTCTCCGAAACCCATTTCTGTTATATCTAATACTTGTCTCAGCTCAAAAGAACTTTCATTTATTTACTACATATGGGTTATAATTTCTGTGTCTTTGCATGTCTTGTGATATTTTTTGTTCAAAAGTGGACATTTTAGATAATATATTGTAGCAACACTGGTACTGATCCCATTGGAAATATTATTAATATTATTATTGTTTTTGTTTGGTCTTTGTTTATTTGTTTAATGAGTTGAAAGAACTAATTCTATGAAGTCTATTTCCTTCCTTAATGTACAGCTTCTGATAACCTTGTTCAGATTTTTTCTCTTGGTTTTATTGTTTAGCAGCTATCATTCCTGTGTTACCATAGGCTGTTTATGGGTCACAGGTTGTGTTTTAGTCATCTTAGTCAGTTAGATCTTTATCCTTTACCACTGAATTTGTATGCCTGGCTTGAAGGTTGCTGTCACAGTTCCGAGTTTACCTTTTTTCCCATATATATAATCAGTAGTTTGTATGTTCCCTCTCTGATCACTCTTGAGAGGAAACATACTTGGACATGACTTTACAGCATGAAATTCTTGATTTACTGTTCTGACAAGATCGGGCACATTCAGGGTGGTATGGCCTTAGGCTTGATTTACTGTTCTAAAGAAAGTCTGTCCTCTTATAGCCTATCTCTTCCACTGGGCAGAAACTCTGTGCCACTGTACAGGAACTGAGGGTTGAAACTGAGATCCACTTCTCCCGGAGTGTGAACACTGGGTACAAGGGTAGCCCCTGCTTTACTGTCTTGTTCATCAAGCTTTGAAAATCTATCCTACAAGTGAGCTTGCATAGGGGTAGTCAAGACCCAAGTAGTCTTGGGCTACTGTGTATGAAGTACAGCTTCTTCCCTGTAAGTACGTGCTAGGTGTGGAAAGAGTTTCAGATTTTTTGGCCTTATTCACCTAAAATATACTTTTGCTATACAGTGCTAAGAGGTATGAGAAATACCAGTGAAACTATAGCTTTAGACTTAAAATTGAGTGTAGAGGGAGTGTCTGACTTCTTGGTTGCATGTGCCAGGAGTAGGGTTTCCGTAAGTCTGAGCAGGTGTGGGGTGTAAGGAAGGGAACAAGTAATGGTGCAATTGCCACAGATTCTGACTGTTCTTACTGAGATTAGTAGATTTTCTTTAAGAGAGTTTCTCCATATTCTGTATGTCCTTAGGACTCTATCCAGAGACTTTATTGATGTTTTTTGTTTTTGTTTTTAAATAATTTTATCCATTTTAATAGCTGTTTTTTGGGGGGAAAGGTCTGTTGATCTCACTCTGCCATTACAAATTTAGATGTTTACAAATTACTGTTTTTTCAGTTTACTAATCTGTTGTTCTGCTGTATTTCGTATGATATGACACCCACTTATGGCTTTCTTAATTTCAATTATTATAATTTCTATTTCTAGAACATTGTTGTCTAATAAAACTTTCTAGGATTATAGAAATGTCCTGTATCCTTCACTATTTAACATGGTAACCACCAACCATATCTAACTGCTGAGCAGTTAAAATGCAGCTAGTGTAACTAAGGAACTGACTTTTAAATTTTACTTAACTTGAATTAATTTAAATTTAAATAGCAACAAGTGGCTAGTAGTTACTGTATTGGATAGCACCCTTCTAGAATTGCCTGTTTAAAAATAGATTTTAATTCCTTGCTCAAATTCTTAATGTGTTTATTTTATTGACTATTTTATAGTTATTTTAAAGACTAAACCATCTGTTCTCTTTCTTTTGCCGGCTATTTTGTTGATTTCTTATATATTGTTCTCTTTTTTAGCATGATATATAATTTTTTATCAGATTTCTGAATTTGAGATGAAAAAATTGTAGATGTTCTAGATTATATTATCTCTCACCAAAGATAGTATAATTTTTATTTGTCAGTCAGATAAAAGACATTAGTACAAAAGACACCATTTTTATTCTCATCCCAAGCATTTATTAATTTTGTAGCCTTATGCAAAACATGCAACAGTCTTGAACCTGTTTCTTCATCCATAAATGGGATTCATCTTGCTTAAAGCAAAGATTGAAAGGTAAATAACCAATTTCTGAAATTTTTGGGAAATCTGCAAGGTAATATATGAGCCTAAAATTTATATGAATAATTCATTCATTCTGTATATATTCATCAATGTTTTCATAGCTTGCTTGAAAGTAAAAGCAGGATGTTGTTGGGTAAAAATTGTTTATACTATTTGTTACTCCATTTGTGTTGCTCTAAAAGGAATACCTGAGATTGGGTAATTTATAAAGAAAAGAGATGTATTTGGCTCATGGTTCTGGAGGCTATACATGAAGCACAGCACTGGCATCAGGTTTTGGTGAAGACCTCAGAAAGCTTACAATCAGAGCAGATTTTTTTTTTTTTTTTTTTTTTTTTGATATGGAGTCTCGCTCTGTCACCAGACTGAAGTACAGTGACACGATCTTGGCTCACTGCAACCTCTGCTTCCTGGGTTCGAGCGATTCTCCGGCCTCAGTCTCCCAAGCAGCTGAAACTACAGGTACGTGCCAACATGCCCAGCTAAATTTTGTGCATATATATATATAGTGGAAACGAGGTTTCACCATATTGGTCAGTATGGTCTCAATCTCTTGACCTTGTGATCTGCCCACTGGCCTCCCAAAGTGCTGGGATAACAGGTGTGAGCCACTGTGCCCTGCAAAGAGGGTGTCAGCATATTACAAGGCAAGATCGGGAGCAAGAGAGAAGAGGAAAGAGATATCACATCCTTCTTAAACAACCAGGTCTCGGGAACTCAGAGAAAGAACTCACTCATTACCATAAGAAGGGCACCAAGCCATTCATGAGGGATCTGCCCCCACAACCTAGACACCTCCCACCAGGCCTTACCTCCAACATTAGGGATCACATTTCAACGCGAGATTTGGAAGGCATGAACATCCAAAGTATGCTGCTATAACCAACAAGTTATTTTGTATTTATATGTGTGTTATGACTGTTTTTAATGGTCTTTGATAGAAAAAAAGTACCTGTTTTCTGAAGGCAATGAATGGTTATGAAATCAGCTATTAATATTCCTACAATAGCAAAGTGAGAGCACATTTCAGAGTCCCTGTAGTTGCACTCTTTGGTGCAGTTTCACAGCAGTAGAAAAGAATCTCAATGCTAGCCTGAATTTTTGGCCACAGCCCAGTTATTCTGGCACACATTGAAATCTCAAGACATCAAGAGAAACAAACTTTGGGACACTCAGTGGTACCATTTTTTAAAGCCAGATTCTTTTTCAGTGGGTTTTCACATTTCCTTATTCCAATCATTCCAATGATTGGACAAAAGAAAAATTGTTTTCTTATTTTGCACTTTATTAAGAGGAAAAAATTTCTTTTGTACTAAAAGCTTCTTTTTCCTGTAAACAGAATGATTAACTTGAGATTGTGCCAAATAATTTCTGAGTGTCTAGATAAGATTAAATGCCTTTATTTTGCTAAACTCATGTGTTGATATTTTCTCATTACTTTCTCTATTACTTAAGCCAAGAGGTTTTTATTAATCACTCACAAACTTGCATCTCTGCACTAAATTCTGGCAATACTTGGAATGCTTTGATGTCATATAGTATCTGAACAGAGCAATGTTCTTGATGGTATGTAGAATAATTGTAAAATAATTTTTATTTTTTCAAAAACAAAATTATCTTCAAAAGTGCCCACCTAGGGCACACTCTTTTTAACTTACATTCTGGCAAATAACTGATATTGACCATCCATTGCTCCTCAAAAGAAAAATGATTCCCTGTTAGACAGACTCTTAAGTTAAAAATACCTTTTAGGCATATACTTAAAGTCTCATTTCTTTTCCTATGTCCTCCACAATGTCTTTAATGTGCTTGATTTGGGTAATAACACCCAGCAGTCACGGAAGACAGAAACAGCCACCTTGATTACTCCCTCAGCATACTTATGCATGAACTGAGTCTTGATGCATGAACAAAAACACTTCAAGGTCATATTCCTTATCTCTCTAGGTTATTATTCTCTCTTAAGAGGAAACTACGATGCTTCCTCTCTTACCAGAATGATAATCGAGATATTAACACACGGCTTTGTCATAAATCCTAAACACAACTAAGTATAGATAAAGATCTACAACAGAGCAAAAATTCTCTAGCACTGGATACATACACAAACTATCCTAGGCAGTTTCTCCTAACAGCTGCTAAATTACTTCTATTAATTGCAGCTTCATAAAACTAAAGAAAAGAAAAGAAAAAGAAAGAAAACAACAAGGCTGTTTAATGGCATGCCTCTGTGTTACTACTTTTCTGTATGGTACACAGCAAAGCAATCAAACATTTGGACATTACAAATATCCTAGCAATCAATTTGATTTAAAATACTCTCCAAATGTAGATACTGCAAATGAAAAGACTCATTTCTTTTAGCCATTATTTCTAATGCTGCTAAAAAGATGCAGTTGGGGAAATGCTTATCAGAAGTACTAAATCAGCATTACAGATATATATCAAGGAACCAGATGAATCTACAATTGCAACCAATTTGTTTTTCAGACGAGGTTTTATTTTTTTTCAGACTTGATGGATGGCTGTTTTTTAAGAATAATATTTGTCTAGAATGGATTAACTCAGGAGAGTGATACAAATATACCCAAAAGAATGAAGAAGTGTAAGTGGAGAGTGGTATATATAAACTATATCCAGGAAGAAATGAAATAATCGAAAGGTCCATTTTATGCTTGACATTTAGAGAACAGCCCTCCAAATTTACATAGTGACAAGAATGCTGAACAAGGTCAGGACAATGGAAACTTCTTTGGCAGGATCTAGTTGTGATATCAATGGGGAAATGTCTTAAACCAGGTATCTCAACCTTAGTTCTATTGACATTCTGGGCTAGGTAATTCTTTGTTGTGAGAAACTGTTCTCTGTATTCTAGAATGCTTAGGAGCATTACTGACCTCTTCCAGTGCGATGCCAGTAGCACCCTCAACTGTGAAAATAAAAAATGTCTCCAGACATCGCCACTTGTTTCCTGAGGGCTAAATTACCAGTTGTTGTAAACTACTGTTTTACATACTTTTTGGTTTTTTAATCTCTAAAGAGAGGAGTTGTGAAAAGATGTGTCTTTTCCAGCTCTGATATTCTCTGACCTGTCCAGCTATGCTCACAAAATTGATGAGAAACTCTATCTGTTCTTATCAGGTAACACCAGAACTAGCCTTTTTATGTTCTCAACTTGCAGAAATTATAGCTAGTTTCCCCACACACAGTAAGGGAATTCCAACTGCATCTTGTGCCATATTTTGAGTTAAAATTTTACTTTGCTCGTTTTCATTCTTTATGCAGCATCTTCCGGATAGGGTGGTCAACTGTCTCAGTTACCTGAGACTTTCGTGGTTTTGGCATTGAAAGTCCTGTGTCCTGAAAAAGCCCTCGATCCTGAGGAAACAGATCACTTTCCTTCTATAACTATTTCCACATGGTTTTGCATGTGTGTAGATATGCGTATATACAAACATGTCATGAAGAATACTATAGTACTATTCTAATAGTGTTAGAATAGTATAGTAATAGAATAATATAGTACTCAGTTATCTTAATCTATTTTTTATTATTTTATTTTTAACATATTTTATGTTATCAAGTATTATTTAACTATATTATTTTAATGCATGATTATTATCTTATTCTATTAACGTACTACAGTTTATTGAATAATTTCCATATGATTAGACATTTATGCTCTTTCTAGTTTCTTTTAAAATAAAAAATCAATGCTCAATGAACATTCTAATAGTTACACATTTATGCATACCTTTTAAATATTTTTAAATTAAACATTTTAATTTTGAATAATTTAAAATATCCTACAGGATATAGATATATAACAACCCTGTATCTATTCTGTCATATTTAATTTACATTACAGAGTTAAAAAATAAATAGAAATGAAATTTAGCAAATTCAGCTGAAGTCTGTCCTCCCTACCTCCCCACGTGTACCCACTGTCCTTAAGAAAGTGTGTGCCATTCCCATCAATGACCCTGAACATTTGTCACATACTTAATTATCTACAAAAAGCAAAAACGATTCACCAGCATTGTACATTTCCTTTTGCATCTTGAGTTTTTGCCCAACATCATTTTTTAGAGATTTATCCATGTTGATAGATCTATATTATTAGCTATAACTGCTATATAATGTTCTGTTTCATGACTGAACTTTCATTTTTCCACTCATATTTAAAGACAATTACATTTTCAAATTATTTTGCTGTCACAAACAATGTTGCATTATTTGTATATGCACAAGTATATCTGTGTATATGCATCCTCATGTACAGCACAAAACTTCTGTAAGGTAAACAGATTTAGGAGGAAATGAGGATATGCATATCTTTAACTTCACTTCAGCTAGTTTTCTTCCTGAATGGTTATTCCAAATAACACTTTCGGAAGTAATGTACAAGAATTCTTGCTTCTCACTGCTTTCCTAAAACTTAATATTAGCAGACCTTATATTTTTTCCTTCTACTTCCTTTGAATATATAACCTATCCTTTGTGATTTTTCTTTTGGGGTTTATATTATTTATTTTTCTAACTTCTTCAGCAGATTCTTAGCTCATTAATTTTTAGTCCCTTTCTCATTTTATTATGCTCTTTTAAAAGTATGAATTTCTGATTAGTATTTTTGCTGGATATGACACATTATGATTTGTAGAGCTGTTATTAATCAGTTATAATTTTTTAGCAACTTTATTGAGGTAAAACTGACAATAAATGTCACATTTAAAAGTAGTCTTTTAATTTCAAATTTGTTTTATTTTAAACCATTTTTTATTTTTGATTTTTGTGGATATATAGTAGGTACGCAAATTTATTTATTTTTTTTTATAGTAAGACATTTAATTTTATTCCCTTTAATAAATGAGGAATGTGGTTTTATTCCTTCCATTGTCTGCTTCTAAAGTATAGATATAAACTTGTGTCTACTGCAGATGCAGATAAGAAACGTGGGAAGCCACAAGAAAGCCAAGTAGCCTGGGAAAAAGTGGTCATTGAGCCATGAGAAAAAATTAACATTTGATCCTGTTGGTGCCACCTGAAGGCAGAGATGGCTGAGGACCCCCGAGTGTAAGTCCAGAGAGCTCCCCTGCAGCCCCACCCTGACTTTCCAGGATGAGCCTTCTCTAGGAAGCCACTGCTCATTCGGAAAGTGAAGAACGCCTGTGTTTCCAACACCAACCCCAGCTCTGCTGACATCTCAGGATGGCAGGACCACGCGTGATGGAATACCAGGCAGGGGAGACTCAAATTTATAAGTTACATGAGATATTTTGAAACAGGCACACAATGCATAATCACATCAGGGTAAATGGGGTATCCATTATGTCAAGCATTTATCATTTCTTTGTGTTACAAACATTCCAGTTATATGTTTAGTTATTTTAAAATGCACAATAAGTTGTTGTTGACTGTGGTCACTCCATTGTGCTATCAAATAGTAGATCTTATCTTATTCATTCTATCTAACTATATTTTTGTATCCATTAACCAGCCCCACTTCTCACTTCTCCAGCTTCCATTCCCAGCCTCTGGTAACCATCATTCTACTATCTATCTCCAGGAATTCAATTGTTTTAATTTTTAGTCTCCACAAATCAGTGAGAACACGCAGTTTATCTTTCTGTGTCTCTCTTATTTCACTTAACATAATATCCTCCAGCTCCATCCATGTTGCTGCAAATGATAGAATCTCATCTTTTTTTCAATTGCTGAATAGTACTCCGAAACAGTGTGTATTTGGTAAGTGCTGATATATGTAAACACCACTGAAGTCTTCAGCAAAATCAGAATAATGAACATGTGTCAATCCCAAAAACTTCTATCTGTCTTCTTTGTATTTCATTTCTCCCATCCCTCTACCCCCATCCCCCATCCCCAGGCAAAACTAATCTGCTTCCTTTATTTACTATTGGTTAGTTTGCATTTTCTAGAATTTTGTATAAATAGACTCATATAGAATGTACTCTGTTTTGGTCTAGTTTCTTTAATTTAGCATAATTATTGTGAGATGCATCTATGTTGTTGCATACATCTTTTTTTTTTGCTGAGTAGTAATCTATTGTATAAATGTAACACCAATTTACTATTTCATTGATAGATATTTTAGTTGTTTCCAAGTTTAGTTTAGGTTATTACTTAAACATGAAATTATGAATGTTCATGTTTAAGTCATTGTGTGAAAACATGCTTTTATTATTTTTGAATATATACCTAGAAGTAAAATTGTTGGATCATATGGTTAGTATATGTTTACTTTTCTGGGATAATGTCAATGTCTTAGTATATATTCTAGATGTTGTTTTTTCTTGTTACTTTACTTTTTAATCAAAATAATCTGTCAATAACTTTAGAGAAGTAAAATTTTCTTCTAGAATTCCCCATAATTTTTGCTTTATATTTTACTATATTTTTCTGTATATATATTTGCTACATTTGCCAAAATATGTCTTGTATATTGAAGTCATGTTAGTTACCCACATGATCAGAGCATTAGCATTATGTTGTAATGCTTTGCCAATTTTTTTCTTTTATTTGTCCGTATGTCTGTTTTGCTTGATATTAATATAACCAACTTTCATTTACTTTATATATCATTTCCATTCTTTGACTTCAAAACTCTCTGACTTTATGTTTTTGCCTCTTGTAAAGGTATATATCTGGAACTTATTTATCAGAGCATCACTAAGAGCTTTTCTGTAAGAGTGATTGCCATTTATTTGTGAGTAATATATTGCTACTCTCTCATAGTTTTGAACAGTTTCTCTCTTAGCTCTTCCTATCTTTCTTATTCTCTGTCTTGCTTTCACTTTTGTTCCTGTTCTTTCTTTCTCTCTGTCTCTGTTTTCTGTTTCCTACTTTATTATAATATATTTACGTATAAATTCTGAATAATTCTCAATTATTGTCATCTTAAGCATTTATTTTTCTACAGTCTCTCTGTCATTTTCTTTTGCTCCTATTTAGATAAATGTTAGATATTTTTAACACATTTAAATATATCTCTTTTTTATGTCGTAATTTCTTCTGATAGAAATTGTGTGATATTTTCAACTATTTTTTCCATTTCAATTATCCCCTTTTCAGCTAAATATAGACTGCTGTTTACCTATCTCTATCAGCTATCTATGTCTACCTATTAATGTGTCTGTCTCTCTATAACATATGCATGTATATATTTCAATGGAACTGCATTTTTAAAATATATATTTTGTTCTTTTCTGAGATGTATTGTTTCGTTATGTCATGCTTTTTCCCTAAGGTTTCAATTTTTCTTTTACATTTTAATTAATTTTACATTTATTTTGTATCTTATTTGAGTGATCTTGATATTACAACATGTTCATGGGGTTATAAATCAGATGTGTCTTTTAACTCATAATAGATTCTTTCCTCATATGCTTTTAATTTTTGCTTTTAATTTTTTATTGTTAGCTCACACATTAGGAAGGCTTAATTTTTCCCTGCTGTCAGAAAACCTTGTAGTAGCTTGCACTGTGTTCTGCAAAAGAAGCCTCAGAATTATTAACAAATTTTATATTAATTTCTTCAATTGGTGGTACTGACATTACATAGGTAATGAAAATTTGAACCCTAAACCAATGTGAGATACAAAACTGGAACCTCTGAGGATTATTCTTTTTCCTTCTATAGCCCACAGTAATACAGATGAGCTTTCTTTCCACTTCCCTGTGCCGGTGGGGAGAATATTTGTCTAGTTTGCCCTTTCACTAAGGGTATAGCACTTTGGGGATTCTAGGTTTATGTTAGTCTCAGTTTCTCTTCCCTGTCTTGTATCCAAGATGCTGTATCGCACAGACAGAAAATCCTTATCCTTCCTGCCTACAGTAGCCTCACCATCAGCTCAAAATATTCTGCTTTCAATTACCTATTCACTTATGATACTTGACATTTTTCCTTCCTCACAAGCTGTCAGGCATTTAAAACAATTTCAACATTTTAAAGCATGAGAGATTTTACTTTTTTTTTTTGTCCATGGCATTTCTGGAATCTGAACTCTCCCTTAGTAATATCTTAGTAAAAGTTCTATAGGTAAAATTGCTGAGTCAAAGTATTCATCTATCTTTAATGCTTTTAACATAATTGTCAAAATTGTTTGCTACAAGAAGCATGCAAGGATAGGATCATGATGATGCCTCAGTCTACACAGATGACCTTTGCTTTGCTTCTCTGTCCCTTCTCTTTCATCCTTCTTCTACTCTGGTGCTACTTTATGACAGCCTGGAATCATTTGTTTCTGCATTTCTGGGGTGCTATGGAGCTCTTCAGTGCTGTATTGACTTGTCTGTCTTGTCACCTACCACCGCAAATTGTAATATGGTTTATTGCTACTTCCTCAGTATTGACTGAGGATAGTGTAAGTGTTGCTATTGCTTTGTGTTCCTACAGGGACAAAAGCCTTTTTCACAGGGACTCATGACTTGCTACCCTTTCAATTCACCTTCCTTCCCACTGTCTAAGAAATCTTTACTGATTTTCGAGTTAGAGAATGAAGGTGGTTAAGAGTCTAGCTGTTAAGTAAACTGCATTTTCCCATCTATTGTCTGGCCTGTGTACTAGAGTCCTCTCTGCTGCTCTTGGGAGAGTGGAATTTTAAAATTCCAAATTCAAGAAAGTATGGCATCTTTTTTTTTCCCCCTTGTTTTCAGTTCATGTGAGACAAATCAGTAGAATGTCTCAATGACTGAAGGGTCACAGAGTGAAAGAAGGCAGGGGAATAAAATCACTTTTGTTAATATAGCATATTATTATCATATAACATTTAATGAAGCTTCGGGGGATTCTTTTACTTCACCCACATGGTCCCTTGCCACTCTTACAATACCTTAGACCTCAAATCTCCAAACGTATACTTTTTTGACTCACAGGAAGTCTAGGTTTCCGTTTCGGTTTTGCAAAATATCTAAGCTATTTCTCCTGGGAGTCCTTAGAGAGACAGAGTTCTGGCATAAAATGAAGCTACTTCTTGCATTTCTGGGGTTCTTCTTTTTAGTGTTCCTTCCTCTGGTCATCCATGACCTCTGTAGCCCAAGATTGTTGCTGATGGAATTGCCAGTGTTGTCACAGATATCCTCTATTTTTGACGCTTTCTCCCTCTAGCCATTAGAAAAGAAAATTTTCTTCTTTATATGACGAGTCTTCTGAAGTTTCTCATAGCATGTATGTTGGCGCCGTGGTAAATTCTTCCTTTATTTTATGTCATTTTTTGTCTTAGAGTAAGCAGACATCCAAAGGGCAATGTTAGGGGATGGAGAGGTCTATTCTCATACTCTCTCTGAAAATACTATTTCTCTTTTGAAACTCAGGTTCTGTTGCTCTACTTACATACTCTATCAGACTTGTTTTTCACTTGGATATTTTCTCACAGATTTCATTATCCCATGGAAATCAAGTTCTATTACTGGAAATCTGGATCTGTGCCCTAGAACATTCCCAGGCAGTTAAGACACTCTTGATCAAGTTATGATTGTTAGAAGATGGTTCTGCCCAAGAGCACAGAAAGAGCCTCTGTGGACTAATGAGGTTTAACTTCCAATTACATCTAATAGAGTTTTATATCTGACACAGCCTGCAATATTTTGTCCTGTATTTTTATTTTATAGCTGACAAATTTACCAAGTGTTTTTATTTGTTGCAATAGTTTTGATGCAATATTACAAATATGGTTATTACTTCCTAATTAGCTTATAAATTGTATGCAATTCTAATAAAAACTTTATTTTTTTACTTGACACATTTCTAAATTTCTCCAGCAGAATGTATGAATGAAAGACTTAAGAATACATCTGACCCAGGCAGCCTGGGTTCAACTCTCCATGTGAGAATACCAAGCTTGGCTGGGCACAGTGCCTCACATCTGTAATCCCAACACTTTGAGAGGCTGCGGCAGGAAGATTACTTGAAGCCAAGAGCTGGCGAACAACCTGGGCAACAAAGTGAGACTTCATCTCTACAATTTTTTTTTTAATTAGCCGGATGCAGTGGTGCACACCTGTAGTCTCAGCTTCTCAGGAGGCTGAAGTAGGATTGCTTGAGCCTGTGAGCCCAGAAGTTTGAGACGGCAGTGAGTTACGATCACACCACTGCATTAGAGCCTGAATGGCAGAGTGAGAGCCTATCTCTAAACTAAGTAAACAAATACAGACATACATACATAAAGTAAGAATTATTATAATAACAAGAATACAAGCAGTCTGCAATTTGTGTTTATGGTGCTAACTGCAACTCATGTATGTGGTACCCTCATTTTTCACAATATCATGGTAACTAAATAACTGTGCAAATTAAGAGTACAGTTCTTATGTGTATGTTTTATAGTTAATACATACTGTTCAAAAAAAGAACTACCTGTACTAAATAAGAATAATATAGGTGGACTTGTCTACTGCCTAATAAAACACATGATAAAGCACTACAAATGAAAGACAATAGTTCTTACAAGCAAATAGGGAATGCAGAGGAAAAATAATAGAGGGGCATCTCAGTCAAGATTCAAATTTAGTTTATAATAAATACAAAACTTTTCTCTCAATTTCTGGATCTGGATTATATATGCTGTTATTACTAATTTTACATATGACTGTCTTTTTAATCATTTATTTAGTCAATTAATAGATTTATTTATTCAGAATTTATTCAGTCAGCTTCTGTGAAACTGCCACCCAAGCCAAAAATAGAAATAGTAGAAAACCTTACATCTACCTAAACCATTCTCCTCAACTACCTCCCTTTCACTTCTCGGATGCAAATACAATTGTGTGTGTGTGTGTGTGTGTGTGTATGTGTGTATGTGACTTATTTTAACTTCAGAGGTGTAAGTTCAGGTTTATTACATAAACTTGTGTCATGGGGCTTTGTTGTACTGACTATTGCATCATCCACGTATTAAGCCTAGTACTCATTAGTTATTTTTCCTGATCCTCTCCCCCCTCCCACCCTCCACTTTCTCAAAGTCTCCAGTGTGTGTTGTTCCCCACTATGCGTCCCTGTATTCTCATCATTTAGCTCCCACTTATAAGTGAGAACATGCGGTATTTGCTTTTCTGTTTCTGAATTGCCATTTAAAAAATTGGTACATCTAATGCATGCCATAACATTATTTTATTTAGTTTTAGCTTGCTTTTGAACTTCATAATAACTATACCATATGTAGTCTCTGGACATGCCTTTTCACTTTATATTATTAATACTGTATGCAGCTACAGTACCTTTAAATTTACTGTTACATAATTTCTACTGTGTGAAAAAGAGCACAGTTTATTTACTCTCCAGTTGATGGACATTGGATTGTTGCCATTTTTTTTTCTTTTATGCTAAGAACAAGACTGTCAAGAAGCTATGTATATTCCTATATCTTTTTCTGGCACACAGATATAATGTAAGTGTTTATCACACAAAGATTCAGTTCTTTATCCCTGTAGAGTTGATTTCCGTGTGTGTTATGACATAAGGATCTGATTTCATTTTTTGTACTCATATGGAACTAATTTTTCCAGCTTCATTACTAAACAGTCTTCTTTCTCTATAATCTGCCATGCCATCTTTGCATATGTCAGTGTTTCCTAAGAGCATGGGATCCTCTGGGCTGTAGATTCTTTATTATTATTATTATTTGCCTATCCATACTCTAATGCCACACTGCTCTAATTACTGTAGCTTTATAGTAAGTCTTCTTATTTGGAAAGTCTTATCCTCTCCTTATTCTTCTACTGAAGTATCCTGGCTATTCTGAGTGCTTTGCTATTCCATATAAATTTTAGAAGTAATTTATAAAGTTTCATTAAAATATTACATTCAGAATTTTTAAAGGATTAATTTTCTTTAAATTAATAGTCATTTTGGGGATAATTGACATTTATAATTGTTTTCCAATCTATTAACATGGTATATCCCTATATTTACTTACCTTGCCTTTAATATCTTGCAGTAAATTTCTATAATATTCTGCATAAAACTTTGGTACATTTAAAAAATGTATTCCTTGTGTATTAGTTAGGGTTCTTTTTTTTTTTTTTTTTTTTTTGAGATGGAGTCTCGCTCTTTTGCCCAGGCTGGAGTGCAGTGGTGCAATCTCGGCTCACTGCCAGCTCTGCCTCCCGGGTTCACGCCATTCTCCTGCCTCAGCCTCCCAAGTAGCTGGGACTGCAGGCGCCCGCCACCACGCCTGGCTAATTTTTTGTATTTTTAGTAGAGACGGGGTTTCACCGTTTTAGCCAGGGTGGTCTCGATCTCCTGACCTCGTGATCCGCCCGCCTCGGCCTCCCAAAGTGCTGGGATTACAGACGTGAGCCACCGTGCCCAGCCTTAGTTAGGGTTCTTTACAGAAACAAAATGTATATTCTGCAATATACGTATACACACACAGACAACATGCACACACGCACACATACATGCAGAGACCTAACTCTGGTGGAATATGTTCCAATTTGAGGACAGAATAAGATGCATATCTCAGCTCAGGCAGACAGGCAGAGAGAGAAGGAGAATTCACCCTTCTTCCACCTTTTTGTTCTCTTCAGACCCTGGATGGATTGGATGATGCTCATCTGGACTGGAGAGGGCAATCAGTTCAGTCTGTTGATTCAAATACTAATCTTATCTAGGAACACCCTCACAGACTCATCCAGAAATAATATTTAGCCAAATATTTGGGCACCCTGTGGTCCAGTCAAGTTAACACATAAAATTAACCATTATACCTTGGTATTTTATTGTTGTCGTTATAGTAATTTACTGTTTTGTTGCTGTTATAAATGGTAAAATTTAAGTTATTATTGCCAAATACTGGTTGTGGGAATATTGAAATGCAATCTTATGCCCATCAAATTTGCTAAATTCTGGTATTATTTTGTGTAATTTTTACTAGATTTTAAAAAATTATATAATTATGTCACTTTCAGATAATGACAGCTTTGTTTCATTTATTTATTTATTTATTTTTTATCTTATCACACTTGTCAAGACACTTACTTTGAGTAGAATTTAAAAAGTGAGTTGTTTTTATAATTTTAAAAAAGTGCTTTCAATATTTCTCTATCTAGAATATTTGAGGTGTGCCTTTTGTAGATACCATTTATTATATTTCCTTTTACATTTAGTTTAGTAAGACTTTTTTTATTCTGAATGGCAAGTTTTTATGAACTAATTTTCCAGTATTTGTTGAATAGAACATTTTACTCCTTTATTCTGCTGTAAATATACATTTTCTAATAGTGGAAAACAAATGACATAATAAACAAAATTCATTCAATTAATATATCTTGAGAAAAAATATACAATAGTCTCCTGTACCAAATACCAGATAGTGAGAAAAAGGGAAAATCTTTCTGAATATAAAAGCAAAGAAAGAAAAGAAAATATTGATATGTTCATGTAGTCAAATGCTCTACCACAGAGCTATACCCCCAGAATGTTGATATATTTATTTTTCAAAGTTTAGAAACTTCTGAGTTATATTAAATGTCTTAAAGAAAAATAAGAAAGAAAGTACCAACTGGGCAGGGGGAAATACTTGTACCATGTAGCATCAATGTGTCATCAATCATGTCAACATGTCAGCTCTTATGAATCAGTAAGAAAAGGACAAAAAATACTACAAAATAATCTGGACAAGAGATCTGAGCATGTCATACAGAAATATGTCAGATGTTTCCAAATCACTTTATATTTAATACAATTTACCCTCCATAATGATCAAAGAAATACAAATTAAAAATAGAAAAATTTTTGCCTTTTGAAATTTCAAATATAGAAGAGTAAAATAATAGTAACCAGTATTTGTAAGAATTATGGATCTTGATGTATTTATATCCTAGTTCACTCATTCTTCTGAAAATATTTATTTATTTATTTATGAGACAGGGTGATGCTCCATTGCACAGACTGGAACACAGTGGTGCAATCATGGCTCACTGCATGCTTGACCCCTCAGCTCAAATGATCCTCCCAACTCAGCTCCCAAGTAGCTGAGACCATAGGTGCGTGCCATCACACCTGACTAATTTTTCAAATTTTTTTGTAGTGATGTGTGTCACTATGTTGCCCAGTCTGGTTTTGAACTCCTAGGCTGAAGCAATCCTCGTGCCTCATCTCCCAAAGTACTAGGATTACAGGCATGGGACACTGCCCAGCCAAATATATATTTTGTGTAAATTATAATCATTATGGATCAGGCATTATACTAGGTGTCTGCAAAATCCATCTCAAACATATATTTTTGAAGTATGTAAGTCTCAACTCTATGTTGAAACTCTATGTGGAAACACTTATTTTAAAATTAGAAGCAAGAGAAATACACTGCTGTCATAATTTTTATTCAGCATTACTGTGGAAGTTCTGGCTAGTGCAATAATTCAAAAAAAATAAGTTAAAGGTATAAAGATAAAATGTTGAAGTAAAAGGGCCACAGTCTTTGCTTTCTTGAAACTTAGAATCCAGTAGTAATCTGAATTGTTATAGTCTACTTAAGAGGAGATTTTGAAGTGAACATCAATTATGTAAAATATCCTTTTACCAAGACCTGATAATTTGGCTTCCAGAATTTTAACTTAAGAAATAATTAGATTTAAATGAAACTAATGTAGAAAATGCTCATCAAACATTAGATTTAGCTTTGAAAAACTATAAACAAATAGAACATCCTAAAAATTGCGTAAAATTATAAAGACCTACTTGAGTTATAATTTGTATAAAAAAAATACAAAATATGGATCACTTGAGGTCAGGAGTTCGAGACAAGCCTAGCCAACATGATAAAACCTTGTCTCCAATAAAAAAAATACAAAAATTATCTGGGCAAGGTGACGTGTCTGTAATCCCAGCTACTCGGTAGGCTGAGGCAGGAGAATTGCTTGAACCTGGGAGGTGGAGTTTGCAGTCAGCCGAGACTGTGTCACTGTACTCCAGCCTAGGTGTAGAGTGAGACTTCATAAGAAAAAAAAAAAAAAAAAAAAAGGAAGAAGAAGAGGAAGAAGAATAAACAACATGTAAGGAAAAAAAAAAAAAAACAGTTTCAAAGGGTGCATATGCCATATGAATCCTTGTGGTCCATCCAAAGTTTAATTTCTTTATCATCAAGCCTCCTTTTACAATGCCTCAAGTCTGGCTTTCTGACACAGAGACCTCGCCTGACTTAGAAGAGATATTTATGTAACCTGTCCTGCCACATTCCAGAGAGGCAGCCATTCCCGTTGCTGTCTCTTTGCCACAGAAGCATGCCATTATTGCTAGCCTATCTGCTTCAGTCTTTTTGGGTATGAGCTACATCCCAATTCCTGCATCTATAAGATTTCAGGGGTACATATTTAGCTCTCCATGCTGTTATCAACGGTTTCTTCATTTGGTTTTAAAGAAATGGGAAATACTTTCTTCTCTCTAATTAAACACTTGTGATTTATATTATTATCAGTTTTTTACTTTTAATACACTCTGAGCTTTCTTTACAGATCCTGGATATAGATGATGGACTAATGTTTATTGCCCATTTTTGATAGTTTTTTCTAAGTACTGCATAGAAGAACTGGTATTTTGATTTGGAATGACACCGTAGTACCTACTGTTCTCAGCATTGAAGTCTCAGCCAAAATTGTAAGCAGGAAGAGTCCTTGTGAATATCCTGTTAGATCAGCTAATAGAAAAGCATGCAAATAATTTGAGTAGACAATTTCAACAATGTATAAAAAGATGTGCAAACTCATGAGTAATGTAATTGGGTATTATTATGTAGTAGTCAGACTTTAAAATTTTTTAAATGCCATGAACACTTATAAGGATATTTTCATATATTGATGATGGAAATGTGAATTACTACAGCCTCTGAAAATTAGGTATTTGTCAGATACATAGTTTGCAAATATATTCATTCTCTATGTTGTCTGTTTATTCTGTTGATAGTTTCCTTTGCTGTGCAGAAGCTGCCTAGTTTAATTAGTTCTCACTTGTCCATTTTTGTTTTGGTGCCATTGTTTTAGAGGACTTAGTTATAAATTCTTCTCCAAGGTGGAGTCCAGAATGATGTTTCCTAGGCTTTCTTCTAGGATTTTTATAGTCTGAAGTCTTACATTTAAACATTTAATCTATCTCGAGTTAATTTTTGTATATGGTGAGATGTAGGGGTCAAGTTTCATTTTTCTGCATGTAGCTAGCCAGTTTTCTCAGAATTATTTATTGAATAGGAAGTCTTTTCCCCATTGCTTATTCTTGTCAATTTTATTGAAAATCAGATGGCTGTACACGTGTGCCTTTATTTCTGGGTTCTCTGTTCTGTTCCATCGTTCTATGTGTCTGTTTTTATACCAGTATCATCCTATTTTGGTTATTTTAACTTTATAGAATAATTTGAATTTGGGCAATGTTATGTCTCCAGCTTTGTTCTTTTTGCTCAGGATTGCTTTGGCTATTTGGGCTGCTTTTTTGGTTCCATATGAATTTAGAATAGTGTTTTTTTCTAATTCTGTGAAAAACAATATTGGTAGTTTTATATGAATAGCATTGAATCTGTAGATTGCTTTGGGCAGCATCATCATTTTAACAATATTGTTTCTTCCAATCCATGAGCATTTTGTTTTGAATTTGGCTATGAATTCTTCTGGTCTGGGGCTTTCTTTGGTGTTAGGTTTTTTATTACTGATTCAGTTTCAGAACTCAATACTGTTTTGTCCAGTTTTCAATTTCTTCTTGATTCAATCTTGAGAGACTTTGTGCTTCCAGAAATTGATCCATTTACTGACAGCATTAAACAGATCATTGAGGCACAAAACTAAGAAATTCTGTACTTAAACTCAGCACTTGACCAATTAGACCTAGCAAAAATCTACAGAACACTTCATCCGTCAACCACAGAATATACATTTGCATATGAGACATACTCCAAGATTGACCACATGCTTAGCCATAAAGCATGTCTCAATAAATTTAAAAAAATCAAAATCATACTAACCATACTCTCAGAACACAATGGAATAAAAATAAAAATGGATACCAAAAAATCTCTTGAAACCACACAATTACGTGGAAATTAAACAATTTGCTCCTGAATTACTTTTGTTCAAACAACAAAATCAAGATAGAAATAAAAAAATTCTTTGAAAGAAATGAAAACAGAGACACAACATGTTAAAATATTTGGGATGCAGCAAAAGAAGTATTAAGAGGAAGTTTATAGCCCTAAATGCCTACCTACCTCAAAATATTAGAAATATCTCAAAATTAATGATCAAACATCACTCCTAGATGGAATAGAAAAACAATAACACACTAAACCCAAAGCTCAAACATCACACCTAGAGAAATTAGAACAACAAGAGCACACTAACCTCATAGCTAACAGAAGAAAATAAATAGCCAGAATCAGAGGGGAAATGACTGAAAGTGAGACCTCCAAATCCATACAAAGATTCAGCAAATTCAAAAGTTAGTTATTTGAAAAGATTAAGAAGATCAATGAGCTGCTAGCTAGATTATTGAAGAAAAAAGAGAAGAGGTCCAAATAAGCAAAATTAGAAATGACAAAGGTGACATTACAACTGATTCCACAGAAATACAAAAGATTCTCTGGGACTATTATGAACACCTCTGCAAATACAAACTAGAAAAATTTCTAGTTAAATTGTTTTTTAAATGTATAAATCCATCTGTCCAGCAGTTTCACTATGGGCTTCTAGTTTTCTGTCCTATAAAAATGAAAGTGCTGGTAGGTAAAAATATATCATGAAAGATGTGTATTTCAGCATTGTTCAGAATGGCCAGGATATAAAATAATATCAAGAATAAATTAAAAAATCAACTTTCCACAATGTAAATGCCCTTAATAGGAGAATGAATGGTTGAATAAATTTTGGAATGTTAGGCAACCCTTAAAAATAAAATTTTTGAACTAATTCTCTCATTGCTATCCTTCATGTATTGAGTGAAAAAAAAAGATGCAGAAAAATGTTTGTTTTATGATCACATTTTTGTGAAAAAAGTACTAGAGCCCTTAAATTTATGTGTGCATTTATTCACATGCATGGGGGTATATTATTATGGGAGTGGGGAAATAAATATGAAAATGATACATTAGGTTGCTAACATGGGTTATTTGTGATGGTTGGGCAGAGGAATAATGTGAGTAGAGTAAGGGGAGAGAAAGTTGGAGACAGCAAACAAAACAGAATAAACATATAAAATCACATTTTTCAATGTACGTAAAAGTTATATGTTAATATAATAAATTAAGGAGATAAAAGCAAAACAAATGGCAGAACTCTGAATTTCAATAGAAAAACAAACGAAACCAGAATCCCAAGGAATAAATTTGTTAGCTAATATTTTCACGCAGAAATTGAACTTCCATCATTCTTGTCAGTGGAAAAGAATTATTAATATAACAAATGAGCCAGGCAGAGTCAATATCTGATTTAATACAAGGCATAATCATAATTGAAGATACAGAAATCAAGCAATGAAACATAATGTAGAGTTAGCTTCAATTTTGAATCTTCCTAGGGCTTAAAGTTTTCTAGAATAAGTTTTTCATAGCAAAGGATTTGTTTGCCCACAACTATTAAGCCACAGAGAAAAATAAACTGCTTTAATTAATCAATGTTTGATGCATTGGTGGTGTTTTCTTCATCATTAAATAGACTATCTTTCTGTTATGATTAATTGATTTATGAAGCCACAATACCTGGGCTGAAAGGGCATGAAAGGTGAACAGGATACATTCTTGCTATGTCTGTAGACAGAAATTCTTGCTCCAATGAAGTAGTTATCACAGTGTGGTCCAGGTATCCCTGAGGATTTCCAAAACTTTTTCAGGTACACAAGGTTAAAAACTTCTTTTGCAATAATACTAAGACATTATTTGCCTTTTATACTGTCATTATCTCACAAGAGTATCTTGGAGTTTTCCACAGGCTACATGATATTTTATATCTCAGCAGATTAAACTCAGAAGCAGACACTAGAATTTAGTGCTTTTCTATTTTTAAAATATAATAAACTGATAATTGTAAGTAGAGTGTTTCTCTGAGTTCTATGAGCTGTTCTAGCAAATTACTTGAACCTAAGAAAAGGGTTGTGTGAACACTAATTTATAACCAGTCAGTCAGAAGCACAGGCTACAACCTCGGGCTTAAGTGGGCATCTAAAATGGAGATCTATCTTTAAGAAATGAGCCCTCGGTCTAAAAGATCTGACACTATCTCCAGTAGATAGTGTGGGATTGAATTGGAGGACACTCAGCTGTTGTTTGCTGCAGAATCTTGGTTTGTATATGGGGAAAACCCTCACATATCTGGTGAAGTGTTGTGTTGAGTGGTGTGTAAGAGAGAAGAAAACACTTTTGTTTTGTTTTG
The DNA here is from genome assembly GCF_000001405.40 of Homo sapiens. Classification (NCBI taxonomy): domain Eukaryota; kingdom Metazoa; phylum Chordata; class Mammalia; order Primates; family Hominidae; genus Homo; species Homo sapiens. The sequence continues at coordinate 90,309,778 of NC_000012.12, forward strand.
TTTTGTTTTTCTGTATTTTTAGGTACCATGTTACATTTTTATCTTACTTAAAGGATAGACAAGATTACAAAGGATTTTACAAAGTACACAGATTAACAGCCAGATTAAAGGGATGCAGAGAGCGGGGTATGGGAGAAGCTTCCATGCCCTCTCTGGGTGCACCACCCTCAGTAACCTCCGCGTGTTCACCTATCAGGAGGCTCACTGAAGCCTGTCTTTTTGGAATTTTATGGAGACTTGATTAAGCAGATATGGTTGATTAAAACTTTGGCCATTGGCGATCAACTTAATCTTCAATCCCTCTTTTTTCCCAGAGGTGTTTCTAAATCAGCTGACACTTTTTAAAGTGCCCCAGCCACCAGTCATCTCAGTAGCATAAAACAAACAAACAAAAAAACCCACTCATCACTCCAGAGATTCCAAGGATTTTAGGCTTTGTATGCCAGAAAACAGGAACTAAGACTAAATATAATTTTCACAATATTACGGTACCATTTTATCTTTTCCAAGTGTAAGATTGATACTCTCACACTCTATTGTTGGGAGTGTAAAAAAGTCAAACTATTGGGAAACACAGTCTATTCAAAATTAAAAAAAAAAACTATTTTACTATAACTGAAGCATGCCTCCTTTTCTGTATGCAATCTATGGGTGTATTAATGTTGGCTCAGGTCTGCAATAAGAGAAGCATAGCCACATTCACTGAAGCACAGCTTGTACCACAAAAAAGTGAGAACAATCAAAGTGTTTATAAATAGAAGAATTCTGCAATAAGTTATGGATTCTCTCTTCAATGACATCCTATGAAAGCAATAAAAATGAATGATGTTGCTTCTAGGGTGCTTGTATGAAAAGCTTCCCAACAGACAACTATTCTGATTATCATTAATGCAGTTCAGATTTTTAAGTTAGTTACAGAACAGTATGAGTGATATATACTTTATACTTTATATATATATATATATGAATACATGTATACATACAAATTCTAGTACATGAATAAGTGCTCATGGAGGGAGTATGAGTGTGTAAGACTGTGGCATGTGTGTTTTTCTATATCTATTTTCTGGAAGGCTACACAAGAACTAATTAATAGTGAGAATTTCCAACAGTGTTAAAGGTAGACTAATGGGGGCTTTTTGAGTTTTGCTTCACTTTTTTTTCTTTCTTTCTTTCTTTTTTTTTTTTTTTTTTTTTGAGACGGAGTCTTGCTCTGTCGCCCAGGCTGGAGTGCAGTGGCGCCACCTCGGCTCACTGCAAGCTCCGCCCCCCGGGTTCACCCCATTCTCCTGCCTCAGCCTCCCGAGTAGCTGGGACTACAGGTGCTTGCCACCACCCCCGGCTAATTTTTGTATTTTTAGTGGAGACAGGGTTTCACCATGTTGGCCAGGGTGGTCTCGATCTCCTGACCTCATGAACCGCCCACCTCAGCCTCCCAAAGTGCTGGGATTACAGGCATGAGCCACCGTGCCCAGCCTTTGCTTCACTTTTATCTATCTTTGTTTATCTATATTGTTTATCTAATGTTTGAGTTTTTTAAAAATTACAAACCTTTAGTTTTAATAATACATTTTTAAAAATAACATCTTAGTTACTAAAAAATCAATGCAAATATTATCTTCTTTTAGGAGTTTGCCTTCAGGAAGACATAATTGTGTTAAACACAGAAAGCTTCTTGAAAGGGAATAAAAAAAAATACAGGCGGATTTGTTCTATGATAAAGTTAAATTCCAGCCAATAAGCATTTTTAATCATCTACTGAATGAAGAGACTGTACTCTATGCTGCTGCTAGGACCTGAAGATGAACTAATATGGACTGTACCAACCCAACAATTTGCCATTACGAGCTCAAGTATCCTTAGTCCCGGCAGGTCTGCAGCACGAATAGTATAGGGTGGAAGAAAGAGGTATTCGCAGTTGCTTGGAAAATCAGGAGCAAGAAAAGCCCTAGGAAAAGCTTTCCCTCAGGGAACTGATTAATATTTCATGGTTCTGACATATGCCTAGAGACAGAAGTGACAGTTAAGGAGAGGAAAATCAGACAGAGAATAAAGAAGACAGAGGGAAAAAGCAGCAACTTCACATGAGTGACTAACAGCATTTTCTCTGTCTAAAGAGTAAGGCCTAATACTTATTGAGAATTCACTCTGGGCTTTGGCTAAAAAAAATAAAAGAGTTATTAAAAATGACAGACTAATATTATATATCTATGTAGCATATAGTATGTATATTACACATTATATGACATATATCATGTTCTATCATCTAGATCACATATTATCAAATAGCTAATGTACATTCAGAGCATCATGTTATTACCATTTCAAATCTTCCCAAGCTATTACCTCTTAACTCTCTCAGAGAGATGTGATTTTTTTCTGAGAGGGGGAAACACTATTTCTGAGAGGTTGAAAGCCCATTAAGGTTTCATGGCAAGGAAGCAGTATGGTGGGGGCCTTGATGTTAAAGTCCTTAAAAATTTCACTGTACTTTTTTTTTTTTTTGAGACAGAGTCTTGCCTGTTGTCCAGGCTGGAGTTCAATGGCACGATCTCAGTTCACTGCAATCTCCGCCTCCTGGGTTCAAGTGATTCTCCCTGCCTCTGCCTCCCAAGTAGCTGGGATTACAGGCACTCACCACCATTCCCAGTTAATTTTTTGTATTTTTAGTAGAGACGGGGTATCACCATGTTGGCCAGGCTGGTCTTGGACTCCTGGCCTCAGGCGATCCACCCGCTGGGCCTCCCAAAGTGCTGGGATTATAGGTGTGAGCCACTGCACCTGGCCCACTGTACTTTTTATTTAAATATAATATATCCTTCCATATCCCGCAACTTATGCAGCAGAGAGACCTATTTCTCTATTATATCCACCAAACTTGCACAACAACTTCAAATTTTGCATCTCATAACTGTCACACTTTAAATATTGTTTATCTAATGTTTTCATTTGTTTTGAGCTCCTATGTCATCATCAAAAAAACTTTCCTGAGCACCTACTGTGTCCAGGGCATTGTGTTAGAGGCAATAGATATAAATTAAAAAGGAAAACAATCTATGCTTCAAAGAGATTGATAATTGATTTCATGAAAAGGGAAACATATAGAAAAAGATGATAGTTCCATAAGGCAAGAAATGGCAAACGCTAGGTAAAAAATACAATCAGAAGGTGACATAGAAGTTCAGAGAAAGGAAACTTTTATTAAGCTTTGTAGTCTTGGGAAACTTCCTTAATTTTCTTAGCCTCTGTTTCCTCATCTGTGAGGTAGGACCATAGAGACCATTTAATAAACAGACACTACTATTAATATTTTCTACTCTTCCTCCCCTTATCCTCTCCCTTTCACTTTCAGAGGTGGTCTTGAAAGACAGTTGGTGGTTGGAGGGAGATAGGGAAGGTCATCCCAATAGGCAGAGTTTTAGGCAACGCGTCTGGTTATCCACCTGGCCATTTGGAAAGTGGCCCAACATTAGAATATATCCAAATTCATGGATGGCTGCTCAGGGACTTGTAAGGGGAAAAACTGGAAGATTGGAGGCAAGGAGAACTGAGATAGAGAAATCTGAATGCACACATTAAAGAAGGCACAAAGTGTGAATATCTTAGAATTAAATGTTAGATTAGAGCGCATTCACCACAGAGTAGGCATCCAACAATGAAGAAGACAAAATGACTCAGACAGTGGATGTCATCCAGACTTTGAGATTCATTACCCTAGTGGTGGCATAATGGCTTCATAGAGACAGTCCTCTGTGGCAGAGATGGAGACCATATCCCCCCAAAATGGGTGGGCTTCCATTTACCAACACTGATATAGCTTCTACCAATGCTAAGTGTCTAAACTGCCAGCAACAAAGAAAACGCTGAACTCCTAACATGGTACCATTTCTAGAGGAGCCCAACTAAGTATGTGGTGGCAACTTGATTATATTGAGTCCCTTCCAAACTGTAGGAGACATAGGTACATTTTAACAGGAGCAGACACATATTCTGTGCATGGTTTGCCTTTCCTTTCTTCATGGCCTCAGGTCAGCACTACTATCCAAAGTCTTAGAGAACGTTTGCTCCACTAGCACTGGCTGATACCACAAAACTTTATTTCCCAAAAGGTAATCTACTTTAGAGGATAATAGTAGGCTTCTTACCATGTGATTCACCGTTTATATCACATATTGTGTCTTCCAGAAACTGCTGGCCTGATAAAGTGCTCGAAAGACCAACTAAGTAGTACATGCCAGCTCAGAGCCAACACTTTGAGGGTGGAGTGCCAATCTCCAGTTTGCTACATATACCTCAAATCAAAACATATAACATGATATTATATCCCTCATAGAAGTACATGGGTTTGGAAACCAAATACTGGAAGCACGAGTGGATGAGATCATCCATTTCCGCAAGTCTGGGCTATGGATAATTCAAAGTTCCTGTCCCTCAGAGGGGGAGAACTTCAGCCAGGGGGCACAGCAGGATGCTTATTGAACTATTTAGGCCCTTGTGTTTAGGGATCAGCAAGTAACTTGGCCTGGGCAATTGATCTGATTATCAGGTGGAAATAAAACTGATATTACTGCACGGGAGCAGGGAAGAATATGTTTGGCATCTGAGATTTACTTGAGCACCTCTTGGCATTTCCAGGTAGCCAAGTGCAACAGCTTTGGTTTGAGAAGAGCATGGTGACCAACAGCTCAGACCCCTAAGGGATGAAGATCTCTAGTCTGTCACCAGGTAACCCCAAAGACAAGCAACTGAGGGTAAAAGAAGCTTAGAGTGGATGATAAAATAGAGAGAGGAGCATTATCATTTGTAGCTTAAACATCAGCTGCAGTGGTCAGGAATATAGTAGGTCCCGTTAACCTCCCTCTTCAAAATTTCTTTCAGGAAAAGGGACACACTGCAATCCTGGAGGAGCCGCTCTGTGGATGCATATGAAAAATGGAATCATAGATGCGCAAGGGATTGAATGGCGAACACAGATGTGGCCCACAAAGATCCTTAACAACTGCTGGGTGTACTGCCAGCAGACAGCCTTTAGAGAGGAGCCTCTTCAGGAATTACTTCAGCTATAGAGACCCACTTTTTCCAAGATCATGTCTTTCCAGGGGTGGTCCACATTTAGCGACTGATCTAGGCAAAAGTAAAAAAAGTTCAAGCCCTTTTATCCCAAAGTGGGGCAACTCTGTTGGGCCATTTCAGCTTTTAAATTCCTTGTGGTGTTGGCTGATGTTATTGGGTTGGCCTGGCAGCCCTACATACTCTTCTCCCCAATCTTGTTTTTTTCCCTTTTCATTCATGGCTTTTGATCTCAAGGCACTTCTTTTTTAAAAAAATTTTTACCTCATTTTTTTTGGACAGGGTCTCACTTTGTTGCCCAGGGCAGAGTACTGTAGCACAACCATAGCTCATTGCAACCTCCAGTTCCTAAGTCATCCTCCCACCTAAGCCTCCTGTGTAGCTAGGACTATAGGTGCATGCCACCATGCCCTGCAAATTTAAATTTTTTTTTCGTGGAGAAAGGGTCTTGGTATACTGCTCAGGCTAGTCTCAAATTCCTTATCTCAAGTGATCATTCCCTCTTAGCCTCCCAATGAGCCATTGCACCTGGTCCCAAAGGCACTTCTTAATAAGCATCCTGCATGCTAAACCCTGTCTATAAAAGTCTTTAAGAATTGGCTTTCTGTAAACCCCAGCCAGCAATACATAACTATTTTGAAGCCTCCACAGAACTCTTGAGCATTTGCTACAAACCAGCCAGCAATCTCCTCCCATCCAAGTTTTTCAGTGTATAAACTCCAATCTCTTCACAAAGTGTCATCCTGCTCCACAAAGAAGAATAAACTAGTTATTGATTATGTCTTCTTTGCTTTCTATACACTCCAATCAAGCTGTTTCCTCCTTCATAGTGTGATGTGAACCCATATTGTAGGCTTTTACTCATGAAATGACTATATTATTAAAAGAGAGATTCTCTCATCTCTAAGCCCTTCCTTATGAAGAAATTTGTAAATAAATTTATTAATGAATTACCTATCATGTTTTTCTTACTCAAAATAAATCAGGTGCCCTATAGCTGCTGAAGCCTTGCTTGCATCTTAGTAATAATAAAGTTGGTGGCTTTAAAATGAATTCTAAAAAACTCAAAATTACATGTATTTATTCTTTTCATTTCTTATTCTCAGACTTGAATTGGCTCACTATTCAAAGTATAAGTAATGTAAACTTTTCAAGATGATGCTATTCATGAATTGTCTCTTCTAAGCCCAAATTACATAATTTTCTAGTTTAGAAAAGGCTTTGGTATATCTCATTCCTATAGCACTCAAGTTTATCATCAACTTTATTGAGGAGATTTTTAGATTTTAAATACTTGAATTTTGTTTAAAATATCAGACACATGTAAACTTGTCTGACTTTTAATTTAGCAGGAAAAAAGCTTAATATTTCAACAAGACATTTACCCTGAAGAGAAACAATAACATGGAATAAAATAATTAGAACATCTTTCATTTATTAGAATAGTGAAAATACAAAAACAAAACAAAACATAAAAACAACAATACCAAATGCTGGTAAGAATGCTGAATACATTCATTGCTGGTAAGGGTGAAAATGGTATAGCCACTTTGGAAAACAGTTTGGTCAGTTTCTTGAAAAAAACTAAACATAGCCTTACAAGTGGTCCAGCTATCCCTTTTCTAGTTATTTACTGAAGTAAGTTGAAAATTTAGGCTCACCCCAAAATCTGTACACAGATGTGTATAGATTTATTCATAATCCTCTCAAACTAGAAATAACAAAAATGTCCCTCAAATGGTGAATTGATGAACAAATTGTATGTAGTATATCTATATAATAAAATATAATTCAACAACAAAAAGATATGTGCTGTCAAGCCACATAAAAAATGTAGAAATCTAATATGCCTATTGCTTAGTAAAAAAGCCAGTCTGATAAGGCTACATACTGTATGATTCTAAATATATAGTATTCTAGAAAAGGCAAAATTATAGAGACAATAAAATATTTGTGGTTTCCTGGGATTGAGGGGAAGAGGAAGATTGAGCAGGTGCTACACAGGGGCACATTAGGGCAGTGAAAGTATTCTGCATGATATTATAATGGTGGATTCATGACACTATGCATTTGTTAAAACCTATAAAACTGTAACACAAGGAGTGAAGCCAAATGTAAACTATGGACTTTGGTTAATAATAATGTATCAATATTGGCTCATCAATTATAACAAATGTACCACATTAATGCAAGATGTTAATAATGAGGAAGACTGTGAGGTGATAAAGAGGGGATATAAGGGAATTCTCTGTACTGTGTTCTCAATTATTGTAAACCTCAAACTTCTGTAAAAATCCTATTAATAAGATAAAAAGGAAAATATGTGTGTGTGTGTGTATATATATATATATATATAATCTTACCACCTTAAAAATATTTGCTAATGTTAAATTGTCTAATATTTTAAGACAGCTATGAGATATACATTTTTATTATCTTAGAAAACTTGAGTTGGGGGCAAGATAAAGCACATAGTAGAAATTTATTAATTGCCCAATGTGAATGGCAAAATGTTTGACTTATGACACTTGAAGGAGGTCAGAAATTCTACCAATTCTATTTACTATTTCATTCAATTCCTATCTCAACTTCGAAGTAAAATGTCATCCTTGTTTTTATTGGAGAGTGTTATAAATCAGGAATAGGAAAAAGAGGGGTTGTAGCTGATGGGGTTGGATTGGCAGGGAAAGGAGAGGGATAACTCATTAGGTGGAACATAAAAAGGGAAGTCCGAAGGGAAATCCAACATGCAGTCCCTGGAGGAATACCAAATGGAGGAGGAAGCATAGGCCAACCCACTAATGAGAAGTCAGTATGAAACTGGCAATATTGTAATTATTTAGACTATAAGTGGTGAATTTGAAAAGCACACAGTGTTCTTTTATCAAACTAGTCTAATCAGAGGGCATAGAATATATGTTTTCAGATGTATAAGAAATTCCTAAATTGGAGACTAATTGTGATACTCTTTGACCTGGGATTTTAAGAAACGAGTATGAACTGAAGTTTGGATTCACTCTAGAGGACTGTATTACAGAGAGATAAAAAGAAAGAAAGGGGCTTCATGACCTTCATATAAAAAAGTGATACTTGTCTAACTTTCCCAAACAATACCCCGACATGAGAGGAGAGTAAATAAACACCCAGGGAGCATGGGAGCAGAATCCAAACAAACAAACAAACAAAAAACCCCAATTTAAGAAATATCTTTGAAGTTTTATACTTTAATTATTCATTTGACTTTTACAGCCTGTGATGTACTTGCAATTGTTTTAGTATAAGAAAACTGTGGTATGGTGCTCAATATGAAGTAAAATGGATACTCTGGAAAGGTGTGTTTTATTTATCCTACAATTTCATACACATTCACGGGCAATGGCTTTGGGGTATAAGCACTCCAATTTGTGAATAATCTACTTAGAAATCCCTGAGTTGCACTTAACTTCAGAACCTGCATAAGATGAAGGCTCATGGCTCCAAATATCATTAGCTATTTGATATTATACAATTAAAACTATTTCTTATCTGTAAAGTGGTAAAATCTACCATATAAAGCTACTTTGCAAGGCTGGCTGCAGGACCTGCTCTAAGTCACTTTATGGGATGATTTCTATGTGTCTGAAATCTATAAAATTTTACCATTCTCATTTTAAAATTAAGATTCCTTGGCTCTTATTAGTTCATGGAGATCCAATTTTGAAAGTATATTTATGGATGAGTGAAGTCAACATTTTCTAGTGAATAAACTTCAGAAAACCAGTAATACAATTTGAGTTTCATTTCATAGGTTTATCATGTAGTAGCTATGCAACTTTGGACCAATAACTTAATGTTTCTGAGATTCAGTTTCTCATCCACAAATGGCAGAAATTTTATATCCTGCCGTTAGTCACTCACGGGAACTTGTGAAGACTAAATAAAATAATGGATATGAAAATGCTTTTTCATTGCTGATTCTACCATCTAACAGTGCTTTACATCCTATTTCTAGAATTGTATTATTTTAAGGCAATATTGTAAAATTGCTTTCTGGAATTCTTGTATTCATAAAGTAACTTATCACCAGTTAGATATCAGAGGCCTCTTTCTCCTCAGGACAAGAATTTTGATTGCTTACTGTTTCCTCTTGCTCTCTTGTTTTCATCATTTCTACTTGGAAGTTGTGCTGCTGGCCATAAAAATAAGATTTAGGGTTGCACATAGAACCAACTCTTTATTATTGTAAATGTTGCAAAATGATAATGTATAAGAATAAGCAAAGAATATAAAGAGTCTTTATATTTTCATATATCTATAATGGTAATGTATAATAAACAAAAAAGTTAAAAGTCTAAAATCACTTTTTATTTGGGTTTAAAATTATATTTATACTTATATATGAATAAACATATCACTTCTATATTGGATATTCATCAAAACAATAAAGATATCCCTATAGCTATACTTAGTTCTTCATCTTTCCTCACTTTTGAAACAACAAATAAATTTCATCATTTATTTGATTGATGCAAATGATCTCACCAGAGCAGACCTATCTTTTTTAGTTTTTTGAGTTGTTTCCCCCGGCACAAAGGCAGTCAATATATTTATTAAAATATTATCTTTTTGAATTAATTATTTTATTAAAATAAGAATTTCACTATGTCAAAGAAATCATAAAAGCAGCAGATTAAGTAACAAATATTTGAAAGCAAGATGTTTACAGATAATTTATAACTTTTTGATTATACATAATTAACTTTCAGGTAATAAAAATGTTTATCCCCAAGAAGATTAGGTGTATATTGAAATGGGAGGTTATACAGAAAAATTTATTTGAAAATGTTAAAGGTTAGAATTATTTTCATAAAATTTTAGTTTTATGTATAATGAAGTAATCTTTTTACATAAACATGTATCAGTGCCACCACTCTTAATTACTATCACGCTACTCATAAGGAAAGATTACATTATGCACTAATGTGGAAAGAAGAATTTTATTTAATTTGCACTCATGTCCAATAAAAATTAAATATTTCATAATTTTTAATATGTAACATTTTAATTACTGATAAGTTAGCAAGAAATGTTTTTTGGTTTGATTTTGCTATAAGATGATTCTGCCTCTAAATTTCTACTTTGACCCCAAAAATGGTATTATGCTAAAGCTTCAGTGCTTTCAAATGAACAGCTCGTATGTAAGAATTAGTCCAAGTTCTGTATCAATTTCTTATTTTAATCGTTGAGTATTGGGATTATATTTTGACATTTCTAGCTGTCTTTGTGCTGTTTTTTTTTTTTCCTGTAAGTTCTTCACATGAAACCCAAAGATTATACCCTTACTTAATACGGTACTCTTTAACAACTACTTTTAGCAGAACCGGGCTTTCTGAACCAATAAGAAAACAGTGATAATATTATATACTCCTTCCCTGAGTGTAATTTATGCAAGTATAACCTCATTGTGTTCGTTATTTATTGCTGTGTAACAAAATACCCCAAAATGTAGTGACCTAATAAAACAAATATTTATTATCTCATATGGGTAAGGAATTTAGGAAGAGCTTAGGTGGGTAGTTCTGATTTAGAATCTCTAGTAGCCAGAAATCTGAGATGGCCTCCATGACTCCTGACTCCTAGTATTCAAACCTTTACGTAATCCTCTTTTAATCAATAGAATATGGCAAAAGTGAAAGGATTTTCCAGATATGATTAAATCTCTAATCTATTGTCTTTAAGTTAATCAAATGGAGATTATCCTGCATAGGTCTAACCTATTTGGATGAATGACCTTGAAGAAGCAAGCAACCATGAATTCTACAGTTGCAAGGAAATAAATTCTGTCAGAAGCATCTTGGAAGAATACCTGAGCTCCTTAAATCAGTGAAGCTTAGCCTTAATTTAGCCCTGTGTAACCCTCAACAGAGAACCCTCTTAAGCTGTGTCTGAAATCTTGATTCATGAAAAACATAAGATAATAAATATATGCTGTTTTATGCCATTTAACGTGTGGTAATTTATTAAATAGCAGTAAAAAACTAATACAGGGTCTTTCCTGAAGTTGTAGTCAAGGCATCAGCTCAGACCAAAGACATCTGAAATCTTGACCAGGTTGATGGACTCTCTTCCAAAACAGCCTACTTAATGTGACTATTGGCTCAAGGCCTCAGTTCCGTGCCATGTGAACCTCTCCCTTGGGCTTCTTGAGTGTCCTCAGTACATAAAAGTAAGTTTCTACCTTTCCATAACTGCCTCATTTACACTGTGACATGGTAGCATGGTATCCTCCAAAGTGAGTGATGAGGGTTGGGGAGGAGAAAGAAAGGTTGAATATGTGCAACATAGAACTCACAATTGCTTTATAAACTATCTTGGAAGTAATGTCTTATCCTTCTAAAGTTAAATTTGCCAGAAATGAATCACTAAGTCTATCCTACACTAAGGGAGGGGGTACAAAGCTCCAATTGTCAAGGAGAAATATCAAAGAATCCATGGATATATCTTAAAAACTATTGTAGGAAAGGTTGATATTTGAGTCTGTAAAATAAAATGACTATAGACAGATTAAAAGAGAAAAGGCATACGAATTTATTGCATGCACATGTGTGCACACAGGAGTCACAAAAAATATGAAACTCAAAGAAGAGCCAGATGACTGAAATTTTAGTTTCATAGAGAAAGGAAAAGAGGGTTGAAGCATGGTGACAGGTTATGGAAAGGGGAGGGGAGGAAAGGCATGGTGAGCAAAGGCTTTGTTGTGATGCAGATGAAGCTTCATGGGTAGCAGTCCTGAGGAAGAATAGATGGGAGCCCATAGTAAAATGTTCTCTGTCAAACTTCCAAAAGTTTCAGACTTTTAGTCTCCTTTTCTGTTAATCACTTCCTAGATTCATATAAGGCAAATAAGGGTGGGGGGTGGGGTCAGATAAAGCCTATTTGCGTCTGCTGTTTATTTCACTAATGTAGATTTCCTTTACAGATGCAAATCTCTTCCACAAAAGGACAGCTTTTCATAGCTATTCCTGTGTCTGCAACCCCTCTAAATAGCCATCTCAAAATATACCAAAGAAACATATTTTGCTGTGGCATATTTTGGTTTCCTTCACCACTAAACTAATATTTAGATTTTGGCTCTTTAAATTTCATACAGGTCTTGGAGTAGTAGCCATTTTAGCACTATATTTTAATTCTAAAATTAGTAAGATTGAGATCCAGCAGCATTTTTTTCATTATCTAGAGACTTTGTTTCCTAAACAATTCACTTATATACATATGTTTTTCTGTGTGTTCATAAAGCATGGTATTTTTTTTCTTTCATTCTTATATATTCTTTATATTACTTTGACCCAAGTAGGTTCTAATCAAGAAATGTTCCCATCTCAAGTGACTCACTTGGCAGGCAAGACAAGTTTACTACCAATAATAATAGGAAGACAGTAGGGTATCAGCAAGAGGATGAAGTTGGAAATATGAGTTGTTTCATAATTTTTTAAGCTACAGAAATTAAAAATATCACTCAAAAATCAAGATGCTCTGCCTTTTCATTAATTAGTGACTAAACTTTACCAGATCCATTAATTTTTATAGAAGAAAAATTTATAGACATTATAGTATTGTATAAATATATTCATTGGGTTAAAATAAAACATATTACTTGAGTGAGAAAATCGCTGGTTTAATTTCCTTAAACTATGTCTTCACATTAGGAAATTAAATATTTCTGTCCCTCAGAGTTCAAGGTATGTGACATTACAGAAATTAATTCATTGTTTTATCTCAGTGCAGAACTTTATGTCTCTAGAATATAAAACAGTGTGATTTCAACAGTAGTTGTGAGAATGCAGGAGCTGCTATTTAGCTTTGGATGCCGGTTTGTTTTCCCTGCATGAATTCATTCATTTATTCATTCAGAAAATAATATATAACAAGTATCTAAGTAAGGCAATAAGAAAGGCACTAGGGATATTTATATGACATATACTGCTTCTTCCTTCAAATACTGTGGTCATGGTGCAATAAGAGCATAAGAGGAGTGCCTTCATCTACCTATGTGAATCAGGAAAGGGTTGGCCAGGGTATTAGCACTTGAAATAAGTCTTAGATGCAGAGAAAATATTTTATAAGCAAATCAATGCTGGAAGAGCATTCAAGGAGAGGGAAGGCAGTGAGCGAAGTTGAGAAAGAGGAAGAGAGAAGGAAATGCAAATAGAAATTGTCAGAGCAAAATATTGGGAAATCTGATCAGAAACCCAGTTAAATACCAAGTCAAAGTCAATCTTCAGATATCACAAAAGAGGTAAAATTTTTGTATTGCTAGTGCTTATTTGGGAATTAAAAAATGGCATGATCTTACTTTTCTAAAGAGCCTGGAGTTATTGTGCTATTTTATGAAGAAGGGCTACTCCATAGCCAGTCAGCATATTACATTAAGTTAGAGTCCAATAAAATAGAAATGACTGAGTACATATCAAATTAAAGAAGAGTTGTTAATACTTTAGATAAATGAGCTTAACTATGCAGTAGACATCTTCTTTCTTTGATATGACAATACACTTATTTATTATGGTTGAATCTAAATGTTTGCTTGCCAATCACATCTGTGTCATCATTTCTCAACACAACTCAGCTTTTGTTCATTTATTCATTCACAGATTACTTATTCGGTGTTTACAAAATGCTGGGATCTGCTCTTTCTTCCTTGGATATAGCAGTGAATAAGACAAAGTTCTCTTCTTCATGAAGCTTAAAATCTAGTGGGAAAAAGAGATAAAAATAAAAAATTATATCTCATATATTGACATTTGTCAAGGATTAATTTAAGCAAATAAAAAGAGGTATAATAGTCCTTAGGTAAGATATTATTTTATATAGAAAAGTCAGGACTTACTGAGAAGGTGACATTTGATCAGAATCCTGAGTGAAGTAAGTACCCGAAGTAGAAAGAAGAGCAATTTCAATGACCCTGGTGTAAGAAGATGCTTGGTGTAGCAGAGAAATGACAAGGTGTCCAGCGGGGCTAGAATGAAGTAAGTGTTGTCAGACAGTAATAGAAAGTGAAGTCAGAAAGATAATAAGAGCAGATATCCAGGACCTTGTAGGACACTGAGATGAATTTGAAGTTTTGCTTTGAACAAGAGTGGAAGCCACTAAAGGGTGCTGGGCAGAGGATTGATACATAACTTTAAAAGGATTACCTATATACTCTATCTGCTTTGTTGAGAATAAAAGACTAATGATCAAAGTTGGGACTCAAGTTAAAGCAGGTAATTGATCATGTTTGCCTTGGATTAAGGTGGAAGCCATCCAAGTGAGGGTTGGTTGGGTACTGGAAATATTTTCATGATAGAAGGGGAAAAGTCAAGGCTGGAAACAAATGTGAGAGTTGTCGGTGTATACATGATAATTCAATCCACATTGGAACACCGAGGGAGTAAATGTAGATAGGAAAAGAAGTTCAGAACTGAAAAATTTACGTTTACTCTTTACCAAATTCAATGCTTTTATAGAATCTACAGCTAAGATTCCTTTCTGTTCAAAGTTTAGGACGCCTGGAGTATCTATAGGCAGGAAGAAGTAATAATGAGTTTTAATGAGCATACTTAAGGTGGGATCATTAAAGTCCATCCGGCTTTTTAACTTATTTTATAATATAATGTGGTAGATTGTGTGCTGTTAAGTTGGCATCACACCACATCCTTCTATGGTCTCACAGAACTACATTTTCCAGAATTTCCTTCCTTGAATATTTCCAGGGTAAAGTCGGCCAGTAAGAGACAGTCACCTGAAGTGGAAGGGGAAAAGAGGCCTTGATTCTCTAGAGGCATTTAGGGTAGACTCTTGGGAGGACAGTTGTCTTTAAGTTTGTAACACTTGAGGTTTACAGCACTGAAATAACTGCTTTAGTGCTGTGGCTACTGATCAAATTTGTATTCATCTAATCTCATGTTCTTATATTGTGACTTTGTCATGAAGTGTGTTAAGCTAATAAAAGGCCCCAAAGCTAATTCGTAGTATTATTTGATAGTTTTCATCAGCAAATAAATTACTCAAACTAGGCTATCAAAACATAAAATTCACCTTATAATCATTTATATTATTTATGTGATACTTTTATAATCACAGTTATGAGATAAATAGATCCTGGAAGAAAACATAGAAATATTTTTATTTTTTATCTTTCTGTATTTTCTAAATTTCTTATTTTTTATTGGGGTAACTAGTAGATTTTTACAAATATTTTATTTTAAAGAAAAATATTCAAAATTATTTCAAAGATCTATTTTACTAGATAAAACAATTTGTAAGAAAAATATTTGAACATTAAATATGTTTTAGGCATATGAAGTTATTTCCATTTTACTTCATATTACCTAGAAATGCTTCTAAAATATGTATATACATTTCATATCATTAATTTGTATTCTGTGCTTAAAGAATCTACTAAGACAAGATTAAATTCACCTTAAGCCTCATCCTCTGCACAAAATAAGCAAAATCTGAAAAAGTAAGATTTTTAAAAAGAAAAAAAGTGAAGTGATTGATATAGACAGAGGAAAGTTGAAATGAGGTCTGAACAATGTTTCTCTGTACTTCACCCACTCATCTCATTAACGTGTCAAATGCTTGGAAGCAGTAAGCACAGAATCAGGACCTGGTTATTCCACACAGACAGAGTGTTTGCTCTTCTTGTAGAAATTACATTGTTATTTATTATAACCATCCTAAATTAACATCCTACTGAGATCTTTATTAGAACAAATGAATTTTGAGGACTCTTTTGACATATTATTTTATAAAGTGATGAAAAGTGGCCTCTATTGTTTATTGCCCTCACAAAAGTAAATAAAGGGAACAGATATAAAGTCTGATCCATGGTTGCATTCTGAATATCATCTTTATGTTATTTCTAAATATAATTTTCCTCTGAAACTTCTGCAAGATTTGCCTGGAGTATTTGGGCCAGTTTAGTAAGAGCTGGTACTTGTTTCCATCATTTCCATGAAGTCATAGGGGTTCAGAATATACCACCTCAAAATATGACACTTTGGCATGAAAACTCTTATGAGCTAGAGGCAAAAGAAAATCCACACATGCAGAAATAAGCCTTCTCAGAGCTTCCATTATATAACCAGAGGCAGAAGCTTCTGAGAAATGAAGACTGCCATAAATCCCCTCTTTCCAGCAAGTTTTATGGTCCTGAAGAAGATAGAAATTTGGCTACCAGACGGTTCTGCATAAACAAATCTTGCTAAGATACTCCTTACCTTACATCTGTTTCCCCCGTATATTTACCTTCCCAAAGTTTGCAACCTCAGGAAGCCTAAAAACTTGTTGTTTTTTTGTCTTTTCAGTTCTGTACAAATATTGATATTTGTTAAGATGCTATATAAATCCAGGTTTTAAATACTCCTTTGAGTTACTCATTACTGAATTTCTCTTGCAGGCTATACATGTTAATAAAGTATTCATTTTTCTCTTGTTCATCTGTCTTTTGTCAGTCTAATTTGCCGGAACCCAGATGGAGGACATAAGAGAGGAAAGAAAAAAGGATTCTGCCCCCTACAAAACATTTATTTAATATGTTCTCAATGAGAACTCTTAGGAGCAATCTGGGTGTCCAGTCCTAGAGACTCAGGATTGAAGACAAGCCTCCCACTTAGCATAGGAATAATCTTGTTCAATGCAGCTGCTCCAGATCTCGGTTCTTTCACTGACAAAATGCTTTGGAAAATACTTCTTCATATAATTGTTGAAACAATTAGAAATTATATATGCAAAGGATGTAACAGCGTCTGGGACATTTATGTGCTTGGTAAATTATTGGTATTGTTCTTCTATTATTGTAATATTAATAGATTATTGAAAGCAGATAACAGTGCTCAATGGTGAAGAAGCTTTCTGAAAAAAATTAGCTTTCTGACTGACTCATTTGGAATTGTGAAAAGAGAAAATTAAGTATGGCAAATAAGATGGGTGAAGATACAATGGTCTACCTAATTCTCATAAGCAGAAAACTACTTTTCAGTAATACTAAGAGCTTCTAATCGAGAAACAAAGGAGGCCGAAGTGTGGCAATAAACATATAAAGTTGTCACTTATATGCTGGTGGAACACTCACCATGGGTACACCATCTGAATTCTCCTGTGCTTAGTCCTCTGTATTCAACTGCCTACTCAATATTCTCACTTGGATGTGTTACACTTATTTTAAACTCAACAAACTGGATTAATGTTCTTTTTATCAAACATTTTTCCTTCCGCATTCTTCTTGGTAATTTATGACAGTTTCCATCAGTTCATATCAAAAACAAGGAAGGCATTCTTCACATCTGTGTTCTTACTGCTCTGTTATCCAATCAGCTATGCATCCAGAAGCAGCTGCCTCTTAAATGCTTATCAAATCTGTTCACTTCTTTCTAACTCCTCCATTATCACTAGATTCTAATTCACCAACATCTTTACCAGTCTGAACTACTGCAATAATAATATCTTAACTATTATTTCTGCTTCCTCTTGTCTTATTCCAAATAATTTTTAAAAATACCTTAGGGTAATTTCCTCTCTAATCCTAAGAGATATTTAGTTACATCTGTTTCCCATCTACGAGTCTTCCATGGTCTCCATTGCTTCTGTGATACAGTTCAAAATCTCAAACACAGTCTGAAAGGACCCCATATTTCAGGCCTACTTTTCCAGTCTAATTGTGAATCACTTCCCACAATCTTTATTAAACCTCAGGACCTTTACACATGCTGTTTCTTATGCCTTAAACTCACCTTCCGTTTTCTCATGCCCAGTTGCCTGGCTAGTCCATACTCATCTTTCAGAAGTCAGCACATGTGACATGTTCTCTCTAAAGCTTTCTCTCACCCGAACACTGAAATAGGCCCTCCCATTTTCTGCTGTCATAGTAACAGATTTTGTGGCAATTATCCCAATAATAGAAATTCTTTGCCTAACTATTTATTGGAAATACCCACGAAAATAGACTATAAACTGCTTGGTAGCAGTGACATTTTCTGTCATTGGTCTCTAGACAATGCAATATTTGTTAATAGTAGGCTGTCAATAATACTTGATGAATGCATAAAAACAAACAATGAAATATGCAGTAAACAAGCTATTTTTGTGGCTCAGGATACAGATGGGCCTATGAGATCATTCTAGTCCTGGAAGTTAGCCCTTACATATTACTCTGGCTAGCTGAATTAATGTTGAAGATATCTGCTCTTAGCATTCTTTATAGAATGTGGAATCAGAAAAAGTTACATTAGTTTATAGCCATGGGACCTTGGACTTGCTACAGAACATGAAAGTTATTCAGTTGAATGAGAACAGATAATGCTAGGAACAGTGGTTTAAGCAAGATAGGTGTTGTGTTTCTCCTTCAAAGCCAAAAATTCCGAAGTAAGCAGTCCAGTGTCTCAGGGATGTCAGGCTGATTTTCTTGTTTTTCCCCCGACAGTCTGCTTGAGATGGTTGCTGGAGTGCTTCACCCCATAGATCTGTATTTCTGGCAAGAAAAAAGGAAATGTGCCATGGGCAAAAAGGATATATCTGGTATTACATGAGTCCATTTCCTATATAAGGTGCTTTCCCAGAAACCCCTCCCAATAAAGTCACTTATATATTATTGTCTGGAAATACCATTATATGGATACCTTTATCAGCAAAGGAGTCTAAGAAATGCTTTTTAAGTAGGAACTTTGCCAACACCAATAAAATTAGCTTCCTGCTACATGAGAAAGAAAGAAAACATAGTTATTGAAGGTGCTATTGGCAGTCTCTGCCTAACTGAAAATACTGAGTTTCAGTTTATCTGAAAACAAAAGATAAAAATATATACATTTTAAGGTGTTTATGATCATTAACCAAGACAAAGGACACTAACGCTGCATTACGGGTTTTCTGCACATGTTACATGCAAAGTAACAACTCCATTATTTAAATAAGGTGAAATACAAGGTAATTTTCAAAGAAAGTCATACCAGCTCCCAGATGTTTATGAGTTTGCTTAGGATTCAAGTCCATTAGCACTTTTTATCCAAAATTGAAACATTCTTAACCAAAAAAAAAAAAAAGAATATGAATATTTTACCCAGGCAATTGTCTTGACTTTTTTGTTCTGAAGCAAGAAGTATATAGACAGATGTCCCTCCTATGCAGCTAAGTTGGAGATTCATTGATGGAGAATGACTGACTTCAGATTTCTGGAAATTCTGAGTGAATGAATCTTGTGAGGTCATAGTGAAAGGCGTTCATGGGATTTAATTTGATTATGCCTCTATCTAATACGTGCATGCTAATGACCCTCTGTATGTCAAATGTCCTTGCAACACCAGTGAAAGAAGAAACTTTTTATTTTCCTCAAAGAACTGAAAATCTTCCTACAAGTATAATTGATTAGAAAACAACAGTTTGGCCAGGCGTGGTGGGTCACGCCTGTAATCCCAGCACTGTGGGAGGCCAAGGCAGGCAGATCACCTGAGGTCAGGAGTGGGAGACCGGCCTGGCCAACATGGTGAAACTCCATCTCTACTAAAAAATACAAAAATTAGCCAGGCATGGTGGCGGGTGCCTGTAATTCCAGCTACTTGGGAGGCTGAGGCATGAGAATTGCTTGAACCCAGGAGGCAGATGTTGCAGTGAGCTGAAATCTCGCCACTGCACTCTGGTCTGGGCAACAGAGCGAAACTCCTTTACAAACAAACAAACAATCAACAGTTTGTTACCAAGGATTTTGTTTAGGGTGTGCATGTGTCAGTGTTGTGCATTCTGTGGCAATGCTAAGAAGGGAGCTTATGCTTCCATCTTTGGACAACGAGACTCATAAACTTCTTTAGAGATGAAAGGGAAAATTTTACTTTTTTTCTCTATCTTAAAATTATTTCAAGCCCTGAAAGTCTTGGAATCATCACTTTCTAGCTTGAAAGGCCCAAGAAGCAGAGTAGTAAGTTGCTACTTGTCCCTGGATCTTCAAGGTAAAATATGCCCTTGTCTATGTTTACAGAGTTTTTAATTAAAATGCCCCATGAATTTAATCTTATGCCAACATTTTGAGGGATTTGGTTTTCTCATAAAATTGGGATTACACTTTCTATTTGTCGATGTTTTCTTTCACTTTTACAGTGTAGTATGTTTCTTACATTTTTATTATATATTCCTCATTATATCTCACGTCTGTATCTTTTATGTTATACCTTTTTCAAAATGCTTTTTATTTTTTTCTTTCTTATTTTATCTAAGTTAATTCAGAATAATGATTTTGGATTTCTTTGGTTAGGGATTGGCAAAATGATTTTTAAGTGTTTTTCAAATAAAATCTGTACACAGGTTAAAAAATAGTCAAAGGACTTAATAATTTTGTTATGTTCTTTGATAAAATTTTTACATACACTCGGTAGAATGCTAAGAAATTTTAGCTTGTAACCAAAGGAAGATTTATTATTTCTGGCTGCTTTCTTTTTCCATGAAATGTGTAGATATGCTATTTGACTTAAACCAAGTGTGTAGCCTTCTGATTCATAGTTTAGTTTGTCCTCAACTAAAGAACATACCAGGGTGTGCTTTTTGTGTGCCCGACATGGCTGCTTAAGGGAACTGCATATACCTTAATCCAAATCAAAGCTTCTGAGGAAGAAAAGATTGAACTCACTCAATATCATGTGGCTACTGAAGAATGAAAAGAACTAGAAAAACAACATGGTAGAATATTAGTAATGAGAATACCAATTAGAATTGGAAGCACTGTTTCCATTCTAAATACTCTGCCTTGACCACTCAGCAAAGGTGCTAACAGTATGTGTCATTGATCCCTGGGGTGCCTGGTAAAGTCACCATTCTTGAGACATTGTAATTTTGTAGGGGAACATGGCCTAAGAACTACAATGCAAAAATTTGGACACTGGTATTAAGGAAAGAGTTAAAACTTAGTCAAAAGAAAAGGGTAATTTAAAACGAGCAAAAGAGTAAACAACAACAAAACAACTACAACAGAGTGCTTGGGATTACTGAGATGTGGGTGTCAAAAACTTAAAGAGAGGGATTATTGTGTTCTAATAAGCAGACTATGGACATTTTCAGGTGGGGATAAATCTGTGTATATTTATGTATTAGAAAGTAAACTCAATAAAGTGAGCTAACTATAAAAGGTTATCACAGATTCGTTCAGTGAAAGGCATTCATTGACAATGGGCACAAGCTTAAGTGGTTGATAAGCATTCATCATTAAAAATGTATATATGTATATATACATACACATACATATTTTTAACATTTTCTATGTGCCTGGCATTGTTCATGACAATAGGTTTATAGGTGCTGAGGTGGAAAAAACAAGCCAGGGTCTCATTCTCATGGAGCTTATGGCAAAAAGAGGACACAAATACAAAGCTAATAATTACAAATACTTTTTTCATTATATTCAAAAGAGGAGCCATGAAGAAAAATACAGATGAATTTAAAATTACGTAATACGAAATCTAATTTATCAGCAATAGTGACAGCAGATTTAGACCTTTAGAAGCATATTTTTTCCTATGGCCCCAGTGTTTGTATATGGAGGAGGGAGTGGAGAGGTGGGCAGACAGGGAGAGAACAGCAGTCTAGTGGCCTGCAGCCAAGGGAGGAAACAACTTTGCTCACAATAGGCATCCTTAGCAAAGCCAAAGAACAGTGACATCAGCGTCTACACATTTCCCATGATTTCTAAAAATATAATCAACTCATTAGCAGGAAAACACTAAAACATACAATTTTTAAAAAATTAATGGATGGTTAGAGCACTTGGCTGTGAGATTGGGTAGTGCCATCTACATTTGGGTAATGGCCCCTCATATTTTCCATGCCTTATACTGCTGGGAAGACATCATGCAAAAGGAAGGCCACATCTTCTGTCTCAACCCCAACCATTTATTTCCCGCCTTCCTTCATCATTATTATTAATTAGAATGTTTGCAACTGTGAACTGTCCTAGTTTTTATTTTTGGCTTTCTCTACTAAGTCCAAGTATAAAGAGAACATACAATTCTCCTTGATGACCATCCCCTCCTTCAGTTACAGCAATAATTTTCCTAGAATGATGGTGCTATTGATTGCCCAACTGCAATCTCTGTGCCAGAAATGCTTAATACTATCTTGTCATTCACAATATGCTTAATGGCAAACAGGGGATTTACAGTCTGTCAAATTTAATGACCAGAAGAACCAATAAAATATGACAGGAAAGACTTCCTACTGTTTAGGAATGGAATGGTTCCATCTGCACAATGATGGCATGTTGGAAAATCCCTCTTGTTTAAAAAATTATATATATATATATAATTTCTACTCAAGAAAGAAAATGTACACGATGTCATACAGAAGAGAATGTTATAATTTAGAACAACATTATTCCAAACTTGTTTTTCTAGGTTAGATTTCTCAAAAGTGAATTTTTATGTTTCTTATTAGGATTGAAAATCTATATAGCCAATTTTGGCTCCCAGGAGAGTCTAAAATCCTCTCATTGATGAACCCAATACCTTATGCTCAGGCCTGAATACCAGAAAAGTAGGTGTTGTAGTAGCAGGAGAAATGGTGCTGGTGGATCTGGAGTTAGTAAAGTAAGTGAAACTCTTCATTCATTTTGCATTGTTGCCCTTTTCCGACACATACACACACACACGCACATGCACACACACACACACAGATACTGCTACTACAACCCCAGCAAAAGTCCCCCTCCTTAAATTATTGAGCAATGGTTCTCAAAGCAAACAGAAGAATCACCTGGAAGTGACTAAATTAATCTCTCTCCTCTAGATGTTGTGATTCTGTGGTCATACCTGGGCCTAGGAGTTGTTTTTGCTTGTTTTTTGTTTTTCAATGTGTCCCAATGAGTCTTATGCCAATGGTCTAATATGATGCTTTATGAACTCTGCATACACTCCAGTATAGTTAAACACTGTGTAATTATTGAAAACTGCTTGAATTCATACCCTGTTCTTCCAAATGCCACCTTGGACATGATTATTGTCTATCACATAAGGTCATTGTGAAGCTAAAGTAGATTAATCTTATAAAGATGTAAAACATGACTTTACATTTATAGATGCTCCATAAGCATTAGTTAGTATTGTTGGATGGGGTTTATTTTTGGTGGTGGTGTAGCTTTTGTTATTACATAACTATAACCTCAAATGAATTTAAGAAATAAAGATAAATATATAGTTATGAATTAGTGGAAGCCTCAGGACTCACAATTTCAAAATACAGTCAAATGCCATTGATGAAGTACAGGAGCTGGATAGCCACCAAAGGAGGCTTTGTCTTAGTCTTTTATGGAAACTACACACTGTCTCATCTCCATTTATCTCTGTATGTCTGCTTCATTCTCTCTCTCTTTGCTGACTCTTTGCTTTTTCCAAAGCATGGTGGATCATGGTCAGAACACCCACTCCTGAGTTTAAATTAATTCTTCTACCTGCAAGAGAAACACTAGCTCCATTAAGTCCCATTTTTATATTCCCAGAACAAAGATTCTGATTGATTCAGTTTATACCTGTTGATTATCTACCCTTGGTTCAATTGGCTATGGAGTGGCATGCAGGATCTGAAGTGGAAACAAACTGCTAAGACCCAACTGCGGTGTGAGAGCAGTTCTAAAATAGGAAAAGGTATGGGCTAGTTAGGTAGCCTTACAGGTATCTGCAAAAGGAAGTTTCAATATTACTGCAGTTAGTCGGTATTTCAAGATATCCATAAAATACATTGTGAGCTCTGTTCAAACAATTTTCTGGGATAGATTCCAATTATTATTTGGATTCTGTCTGGACTTTTGAAAGTAAAGATTAGATGATGTATCATTGGATGAAATGTAAGCCAAAATCTTTAGGGAAAACTGTGAAAAAAAAATCACTGGTGTATCTCCCATTTCTGAACTTTTTTGTGCCTACCATTTTCTGATGACTCAGGTTCTCATTTGCCTCTTTTAAAGAAAAACAGTAGCACTTAAACTTGTGTTTTAATGTGTTACTATCAGTGATATCTGCACTTAAAAGTATCATGGACTAGCCAGTGCAAACCTTGACAAAAAGGAATGAATTGACAATAGAGGCAATGGTGGGAAAGCTATTTTTGAGGGCTAGGCCTTTTTGGCACCCCTTGGATTATGCTGAAGTTATATTAATGACTATTTTATTATGTTCCTGGTTATCTCTGCCTGTTAGGTGAATTCAGTTTGTTTGCAGAGTACAGATGATTTGTGGTTGTATCCAATCACTGAGTCATTGCAATGACTGAAAGTTACATCCTCACTGTAGTTTGGACTTTTGCCATATTCCTGACCATCATTTGAACTTCAATTTTGACATGGAACCAGGCTATGCTGGTCATAGTACAAGGCCCCATTCACTGTGGTATGTCTGACCTTTCAAGGTTCCCCCTGAGCAATGATTCCCTGAAAATAAATGGCCTATACAACTTGATGTCTTATCTATTCATATAACTGCCTATTTGTTTTAAATACATTTTCATGTTTTAAACTTCTTGTGTGATGTTCTTATAGGCAAGCATTAAATATGTACATGTTGGCATAAAAAAGATTATTGCTTTTATTTTACTTGTCATTCTCTTCATCACTGTAATTTAAGTTACAACTGTTCCTATAAACAATATGAAATTGCTGATATTTTACCATTTTCAATCTACTAAAATGGTAATTTTATATACTTCAATCTAAATATTTGCATGGTATTTTCTGGAAAGAAATGGTATTAGCAAAGAATTAATATTGAACCTATAGTGCAAAACCAAAGTGTTTTAAAAATTATAATTATGAATAAAAAATGATTAAAAAATGTAAAAATAGATCAGTGGATGCTTTTGGATGATAAGTAGGACTAAAGGGATATTTTATTTTATTTGCTCTTCTTATTTTACAATGTAGGTATGTATCATCTTTATTTAATAACATTTACTATGTTTGTGGTTATTGAAGTAGCACACGTATCTTGGAAAACAGGGAAAATGGTAAGAAGAAAACTCCTACCATTCAGAGAATTTGTGGTGACTTTCTACCTACTCTATTTGTGTCATTTAAAATAACACTGTCAATTTTTCATAACTTCTATTCTTTTCTTATTGATGAAGATGAGTATTTTTATGTTTATTGCTCATTTGTATTAATGGATTGATTTCCCCTGTTATTCCTGGATCCTTCATCTACTGCTTATTCCAGGAATAACCTGGATGTTATAAGACAGGGAGGACCTTTAATCTGCTGTTGGTCCTAGTTTACCTCCAGTGGTAGTAGCAAAAGTAATGAGTTTTCAGAAAGAAGAGTAGTCATTCTATATGTTGACAATAGGGCCAGTAGAAAAACAAGTTAGCCACGAGGGAAAACAAAAACAAAACAAAAGAAAAACAGGTATAAAACTGCAGGGTTGAGAGGTACCATAAGTCTTTGAAGATAGCTGTCATAGAGTTAAAGATCATAAGGAAAGTCAGGTTAACTATGATTAGAAGACAGAGCTTAAAAAACATGCATACAGTAAATAGTGTATGTATCTTTTAAAAATTGGAATCCATCTCCCCCTCATGGCTTAAACTGGTCTGACCTTTCCTGCAATTTGCAGAACTTCAGAAGGAAAACATGGGTCATTTTTTTCTTTCTTTTGCTTTCTCCTCCATACCTTCTCCTATCCCCAACAGGTGACAGGAATGTCATGAATAAAGTGAAATGTAGGTTGGCTTTTACTTCCAACACTTTAAAAATCTATATCATGAACTTAGAGATGTCAGAGTACTTGGCAAAATGTGCTTCTAAAATAAATATCACAACCAAACATATTCTGTAAAATGGCTAGTTTTGGCCTAGAATTCTTGGTTGGGTAATTTTGATGATGTGGTCACTCTTATTTTGTGGTCAATGAACTTAATGTACTGTAGAGGAGAGCCGCAATAGAGCCCATACTTGTGTTAAAATAGCTCACTTCCCTATTTCCCACAAATTGCATATTTTCTTCTTTTTCTCCAATCTAAAAATAACTAAGTCATTTGTGGTGACTACTCTTAAAGAATCAACTTTCATTTAAGAAAGCCCATTTCAGATAGAAGAAAACTTGAAGTGCAAATTCTTAGCATTTACTCCTAGATGACTTCCTATTAGAGTAACACAATTAATGGTATAATAATTCATTGCTTTTAATTAATTGAAGTCCTATCTTAACTATATTCTTCTTATTTCCTTCTGTTGGGGTCTTAGAACTTAGCACCAAGGTCTCTTACTTACCATCTTCCTCAAAACAGGAGGGGTAGAGGGGGGTGTTGGGGAGGTCTCTCGCGAAACTTCTTTCCAAAAGAGATGCAATTGTCTTAAGATTTCCTTCCTAGGAATCTCATCAAATGATCAGAAAGAATAAACTACTGGAGAAAAGACTGAGAGATATGTCACCATGTCCAGATGGATGTTTTATCTATTCTTCTGAAGGCAACTCATGGAGATTACCTGGGACACTGCATTTATAAAACAAGACAACTTTTGTTTGCAATGCATTTCCACTCCTCACCTTCCCCAAATTTATCAACAACATATTTTTCCTTTAGTTCCTTTCAGCTCCAAATAAGAATCATTTATAAACCCTTTTCTAGACTCCAGGGCCATTCAATCATAGCCCATTCCCTACTCCCTGTCCTCAATAAAGAAGGTATTTAAGCATCAACCATCCCATCTATCCCTTCTTGAGTTTTCATGCCTTTTGAGATTCCCTTGTTTATGTATGTTAATAAATTTGTTATGCTATTCTCTTGTTAACCTGTCTTTTGTTATAGGGGCGTCAACCATGACCCTTATGAGAGAAAGGAAAAGAATCACCCCCTTTCTGCAGCTACACCTTCATGTTTGATAAATAGTTTTGTAATAATAGGAGTCAAATTTTTCAAGTTGCAGAATACATTATAAGTGGGATAAACTTGAATGTTCCTTTCTTAATTCCTGTGGTGTTAATCAAATTTGGTTTCCAAATATAGAATTAATCAAATCATTTTTTAATTAAGGAAACTTCTTAATGAACAGTGTTCAGCTATGCACAATCTGTAGATTACAATCATCTTCTAGAAAATACACCCTTTTCTTCTTCCAGCCTTCCCTCCCTTACTCCTTCCTTGTTTCCCTTCCTCATTTCCTCTCTTCCTTTCTTTTTTCCTTCATATAAGATAAAGGGACAATTCACCAAAGCAGTTCATTTTATTCCACAGGGCAGTGGTTTTATTTGGAGTAGACACTCCAAGTAAATAAAGATAATTTAAATGTCATCATTTTATTGATTTTCTTACTCTTTTAATTAGCAAGAGAGTTGATCATTAATCTTTTGTGAACCACTTTTCAATGAAATCAATTTTTTGCTGACATAGATATTAAGCTCAGAAAGTCTGATGAATGAAGAGAAGCTTAGCAAAAGCTGTCCTGAGGCATTCACTCAGAGGAATTTACAAGCCAAAAATTTATTTTCCTCTTGTGATTCTTAGCAGAAGGCCAGTTAGTATAGGTAGGTCAAGAGAAAAAGAAAATCAGTTTTCTTGAGATACTGCTCTTCTGTAATCTAGTATGTGCTTTGCAAAGAATCCTTTTCCCTTTGAAAGCTTAAATCAGAGTAACTTAAGTAAAAGGAATAGCAGGCATAGGTTAGGAAGTTGAGGGAGTTGAGGAGTACACAACAGAAAAATTAAATAGCCAGACAAAGAAGGCTTTCAAATAAAATAAAGCCATATTAATTCAGACATAGACATTGCTATTATTTCAAGAGAGATGGATATCTTTATATTATCTTCCAATAAAAGATAATTAATGTATAGTAGGGTGTTTACTTTCTTAACAGAGCAAATGTTAAATCATTTTGGGAAGTGTATGTATATACTAAAGATTTTTTCCTGAATAAAGGAAGAGTGGTAATTTAGTCTAATGCTGTGGCACAAAAATACAAATCATTCTTTATCAATAGCAGGATTTTGTTAGGTAATTATAGTACTAAATACAAAATTCAAGAAAAACATTAAAATAATCTGTTAGCTCAACTTCTTTTCTACATTACCAATTGTGTCTATAGTGTTATATACTAATGTTTTGTGACCTTATTTATTAATATATACAACCCCCGGAATTAATTCATACATCAATATCTCTCCACCTTGTTTTTTCACTGTCACCTCCATGAATATATTTTTAAAGACATTATTTTTCTTAATTATCCCCATGCAATAAAATTTTGATATCATACTTATACTGTATATCTGTTTATGTACTCTATACATATCTGCATTTTCTACATGAAAAAGAGTAAGGGTTTTTTTCATCCCCAAAGAACCAAGTTTTGCCCTTTTGAAGGTAATATAGCCTATTAAGAATGCATGATAAAAATATGTTTTGGTGAATTTGAAATCTCTGAGTTGGTGAATTCCCTTTAACGGACTGTCCAATTCATTGAGAATTTGTTTGCTTTTTTCATTTTATTTTAAAGGAATTTAGGTCACATTCATATTTTAAAAAACCCAAGTATTCTGAGTAGCATCCATAAACACAGTCCTGAGGATGTGTATCTTTAAATTGACAAATGTCAGCGTGTACTAATTTCCCCAGGTTCTGCACCTCTATTCTCCTCACAGTTGGGGGTATTTAAATTGGTTTTTAGGTCCCTAAAAACAATGCTAGCCTCAAGGAAATAGTACTTAAGCATTGTTTACATCAACATCTTACAGCTCAGCATGCAATCACATGTGCTGCTCTTTTAATTCTGCTGCAACATTCCAATTTTGATTACTGGGCGACTACCTTGCCCCAGGTCTGTTGGGTATTGGTCCTGATTCCCTTTATGATTTTGCTTGAGTTGAGATACTTTACTGAACACTTTCTTTCCCATTTGGGTTTTTCATTGTTCTTGCTACAATCTTCTTCTTTTCCTTTCCTTTTTCTTTTTTAACCTCTGTCTGTGCTACACCACCCTTACCCCTACTATTGCCTCAGAACTGGATCCTTGTCCTTGGTTTCTAGTCTCACAATGTTATATTATAAAATTATAATTGTGTTTAAAATTACAATGATGATGATTAGTTGGTAGTTGTAGATATTGGTGTATTGCTATGCCTTGAAAGAGCCAGAGTGAACTGCAAATATCTTAATGCTTGTTTGTTTCCTTAATGCAAAGCTCACTTTTTGGTAATTCATATGAGAATAGAATGTTCTAGTTTTTCTTGTTGGCGTCTGCTGTGGAAAATTTAAATAATGGGCAGGGAAAATAACTAAAACTGACTAGTGCTATTTCCTTAAGGGATTAGCTTAGTATTTGCTTAAGAAAATTGAATTGACTAGATCTTTATGGTGGCGAAGCCATTACACAGGCTGATGAATGAAGACATTTGTGAAAGAATGTGAGGAAAAACTGTAGCTTATTTGTTTTTGCAGGCCCTAAGTTTTGAGTTCTACCTTCATAAAAAGTTTGTGCTTTAAAACATTTATTGAATTGAATTGATGCATACTTTAGCATTTTTTTCTTCTATCTTTAAACTGATCCCTCTTTTCTGTTGATTTAACCTGGTATAAAATAAAATAATAAAGACTACTCTAAAATGAACATAAAAATATTTTTTTTAAAATCTGGCGGGGTACAGTGGCTCACGCCTGTAATCTCAGAACTTTAGGAAGCCAAAGCAGGTGGATCACTTGAGGTCAGGAGTTTGAAACCAGCCTGGACAACATGGCAAAACGCTGTTTTTACTAAAAATGTAAAAATTAGCCTGGTGTGGTTGTGTATGCCTGTGATTCCAGCTACTCGGGAGGCTGAGGCAGGAGAATCACTTGAACCAGGGAGGGAGATGTTACAGTGAGCCAAGATCATGCCACTGCCCTCCAGCCTGGGTGACAGCAAGGCGCTCTCCCCAACCCCCACCGCCAAAAAAAACAGAAAAGAAGAAAATAAATAAACTGATCTAATACAAGCATGTAAAAAATCAAGCAACAGCTCAAAGTATGATGCTATATTGCCTGCACTTTTATTCACGTACACTCTCCATGATGTGGATTTTAAAATTGGCAATGGGCTTTATATGTTAATGGTGGGATAGGGGAAAAGTTGGGAAGGAGGTTTTGTGTTGTAAATCAGCTAGGAGAGTGAATCACTTCTCTCTTCTTGTGAAACCGTATCTTTTGAAATTTGTTTAGCAGTGTTTGCTCTTTTAGTTGCTTGTATCAAGTAGACAAACTGTTCTTGATATCTTGATTCTTGATATCTCTATGATTTAATATCCAATGCAAAGGCTGCTTGTAATCATTTTTCTTGAATAAAGCACTCTGCAGCTGTGATTCATAGAAACATATCTGAACTCACTATTCTAATTTTCTCTGTTACCAAGGCCAGATCACGCTGTTCTGAAACGATGAAAAAGATGCCTTTGTTTTCTGGAGTAGTATTTCCTCTAGATTAAAGCCAAATATATATATTCAAAGATATTAGTGAATTCATGAGTTATGAATTTCTGACCAATTATTAGGGAAAATAGCATACTTATGCAGGGGCCAAGGTAACACGTTCCTTTCACTCTCTGAAAGTTTGCTGAAAAAGCAACTGACAAAAGGCAAATGAATACAAGGAAAGACATACAAATTTGTTAATGTGCATTGAGGGGGGGAAGCGCAGAATGATTATCCCGTCATGCAATATGGTACAGATGGGTATATATCCTTCTTCTTAGAAAGGAAAACAAGGAAGTATGGATAATTGTAGAGGGGTAGTCAATGATTTTTAGGGTAAGTCAATGGGCTTAAAGAACATACAATGACCTGGGATAAAGTCTGTTGGGCTTGCAGAGCAATCAATCACTTGTGACAAAAGTCTGTCCAGATGTGTTGACAGACTTGTCTTTCTTCGTACAATACGAGTCTAGTTAATGAGAACTTAGGAAAGGGAGCAGAAGTAACTATTTTATTATTTGAAACTCTCAGAATTTAGGCAGGTAAGGGAATTGTAGAGAACAACTTCATCCTGTGCTTTGGGAAAAGCAGAGAATTGAGAGATAGGATTGGGGAAAGGTTAGAGAGAGCTTGAGGCTTCTTCTTAAATTTAGCACGTCAAAGTGCCATATTTTGGAGTATTGGTTTCTGAGACCCAACATTCCCCTGTCTGAAACTTTCCCAGAAGTTTTAGGTACTAAAAGCTAAGTAAGTTGCTGTGGAGAGAAAAATCGAGACAGCAGCTGAATCGCAAAGGATCCAATCAAACCAGCCTCTCATTTCTGGGAATAGGCCAGTCTAACTAAGCAGCTGTGTCACATTTTAGAAGATGACCTAGCAGATGGGGTCTCAAAGCTCAGCTTCTATATATTATGTAAGCAAACATATTTTTAACCCATTTATGCCTGAGATGGCAATTTTTTGAATTGCAAAATCAGACCTTGGCTATGACCTTGACCAGAAGGATATAAATAACTCCCACATGCTTAGTGTTCCAATAATGGAACACTAGGCATAAATCAGTTTAGTAAGAGGAGCCTCTATAGAAACAGAAGAAAAACAAAGGTCATTGTCTAGAACAGTCTATAAGCTAGTCCTTCTAGAGTCTGAAGGACAAGCAGCTGAGAAGACCATTGAAACAAATTAAAGTTTGTCCAATATGGCCAAAGCCCTTACCGAGTTTTAGAGAAAATAGGGTAGCCAGAGACAGAATTTAAGTTTCTTTAAGAAGGTGTTTGGGCGTCTTAGAAAAAGATTGAAAATGGATATTGATGAGACATAAAGTCATGGGAATTCGCCACATAATTTTACAAGGAGACTAATTTTATTTAGATAGGTAGCCTCTAAGTTTTAGTCTCTGTTTTTCAACTGGATGACAGCTCAGGGAAAAGCCCACTAACAAATAGTGCCAAAAAAATTGTGGTTTCTAGTCCTAATGTATATGTATATACATTTTTGTGTATATAAGCCCTAATACTTATATACATAAAAAACAGGTGCATCTGGAGGACAGGGCATCTAGATGCCCCCTAAAATCACAGATCCTATTTTTTTTTTTTGAGATGGAGTCTTGCTCTGCTGCTCAGGCTGGAGTGCAGTGGCGTGATCTCAGCTCACTGCAATCTCTGCCTCCTAGGTTCAAGCAATTCTTCTGCCTCAGCCTCCTGAGTAGCTGGGACTACTGGTGCCTGCCACCACGCCCGGATAATTTTTGTATTTTTAGTACAGACAGGGTTTCACCATATTGGCCAGGTTGGTCTTGAACTCCTGACCTCATGATCTACCTGCCTCAGCCTCCCAAAGTGCTGGGATTATAGGGGTGAGCCACCGTGCCTGGCCACAGATCCTATTTTTAACCTGAATCCAGGGTCCCCCAAAAAGAGGGAAACACTGCAGGATGGTGCTGTGCAACACTTCCACAGTGCACCTCATTGCAAAGACATTCTCCCAAGGCTGGTGGGTGGCCCAATAGCAATCAGCCCACTCTGTGATCAGCACATCAGTCATGAGAGTCCTATTTCTCAATGGCAAGTGTTCTCACAAACTCCAAGTGTTCAAACCATGCCTTTCATACCTAAATGTGCAAAGAAACGAGTAGCTGCCAGTAATACTAATCATTCACTACAACTGCTGTCAGCCAACTCCAAAACTGTAGCCCTTGCCAGTGACTTGCCAGCCATGGCATACCCACAGGTCATGCTCTTTCATAGTACAAAGTGAATCCTGGTGCCCCCTCAAAGGCAAGAGATCAAGCAACTCAATCCAAAAACACAGCAGAGCTTTAGATCTGAGAAAAACATTCCTGCTACCCTTGGGACTCCCTGAGGACCTTTCTCTGTGTTCCTCAAGGGGTCTCACAACCGCAGAACCTCTCTAGATTCCTTCATGTAGTATCAAAGGTGGCAAAGAGGAAGGTCAGGTAGAAGTAAGTGGGAAGATAATTCTTACAGGAACCAATTTGGGGAGATTTTAAGCTTTCTAAAAGGCCAATGAGGTTTTACATTTTTGTCACAAAAAATTATGCCAACAGGAAAGGAAGCAAACATAGGGACCACAAATATTAAAAAGCATTTTCAGTCAGCTTAAAAAGGTTCCCAGAAGCAGGATCCAAAGAGAAAAAGCAGAAAGTTCTAAAAAAAAAAAAAAAACACAAAACACACACACACACACACACACACACACACACACACACAAAGTTATAGCCTGAATATCAGCTTTTAGTTAA
Source organism: Homo sapiens (assembly GCF_000001405.40). Classification (NCBI taxonomy): domain Eukaryota; kingdom Metazoa; phylum Chordata; class Mammalia; order Primates; family Hominidae; genus Homo; species Homo sapiens. The sequence continues at coordinate 90,343,032 of NC_000012.12, forward strand.
GCTTTTACAATAGAATTCTTTCAAAAACATCCGTAAAAAGCTCTTTTCAGATTTCAGCCAGGACAAACAGCCAAAATTCTTGGCTTTTGAACTTTTTATGTCGTCTAAACCAAAGGTATCTTTCCAAGTGACTCACTATAACCAATAAGCCTTAACTATGGTTATGACTTAACCAAGGACACATGAAGCATCTCCAGAGGTACAAAGCAGTTTTGACAAGATCCAGAAACCACCCTAAAGGAAACTCAAAAAAAGGAAAGTTTCACTAGCTGCAAATGGGGTACAACTCATATTTCTGTTCAGTCATATTCTCTAGGGTCTCAGCTTCTCAGCTCACCATCTACAAACAAAGGCGTGAAAACCCCATATCCCTGCAGATGAAAGGACAGAAAATCAAAAGCTGTCCATGGCAGGGAAAAGGATCAATAACAAATAGGTATTCTGAAAACTCAAGAGTCACAAATATTAAACCATTTTTTAATCATTGTTTCTTAAGGAATTTATATTTGCAAGGTCTGATACCCTGATCGGGAATAGAACTCAGGCCAGGTGATTCCTAGCCACTAGACTACAGGTGAAGCGCCTTTATTTGTAAATTCTGCAGGAAATTCAAGGCAGGCAGTTTAAGTGTACAAAGAATTTTAACTTTGTCTTGGTCAGATTTCTGCTCTGTAATTTAGTCAAGAGAATTTCTAAGGGTAGCCATGACATTATTATGTGTCTTTTTTCATTAATTTGATCTTAGAAATACAAATATGGCAATTGTTTAGAATGAAGATCTTTTAAAATCTTTTTTTTTTTCAAATTTAGGGGTCTTTCTAATTTAAAGGATCGATCTTTTGGTTGCTGCTGATTCGGAGTTCCAATGTTGTAACTTATTCCAATAGCAATGCAATCCAATGAGTCTCTTCATGGAAAGCCTAGGAGGTAATTTTACAGGCTTAGAATAAGTTTTTTTCCATCTACACAAGAGATGTTTCCTGGAGACAGTATAGGAGATGCAGTCCCAATAATTTTGCCCTAAAACAGTTCACTCCAAGGAATAAGTTAAGACAGGAAAGAACTTGTTGCCACAGACAATTAAGGGTAGTGTTTGTGCATCTAGTTCCTCCAATATCCCACAAATTTGTGGAAGGCTGCCAGTCATAGGTTTGGACTTCCCCAGCGCTAACTAGGCAACAGGTTTGGAATGATCAAGTGTGTTATGGATGAGACTTCTTATTAAGACAAACTCCCCTGAAAGCCTAACACATTCAGAACAAAGAGTGTTCTGTTGAAAATCTTATGTGTCTCAGCGTTCCTATTTCTTTTCAGACTGGTCACTGGACATGACCCCAAAATCACACCCCCCAGATAATAGAGACCAAGAGAGAATGTTCCCCCTTGGTCACAAGTCAGGCTCTCAAAGACATAAAACAAGATGGGGAGGAACCTTGTTTGGTTTTTATTTTGGGGACCCATACACAGCAAAGTTTGCCTAAATAGATGCTGGTGTGGTCAGAACCACAAGACTGACTAGTCTGCAGGGCTGGCTCAAACAATGGGCATATAGGGGTTTTAGCCTGTGTTCTACTCTGTAGTAACCCTCTTTATAACAGAAAATCACAGAAAGACAAAGGCAAATGGAAAAATACTATTTCTGGAAGGAAATGGATAAGACAATAAGAATATTCATACCAGAAATGTATACTAGCTACACACAAGACTAGTCAACAAATTCTTTTCTCCCATTAATCAAGATTTTAGAGATGGAAATAATAGTGATTTTTTACCATCTGTTCAACCTAATCTGAGAGAGGGGGAGACAGAGAGAGACAGAGAGAGAGAGAGAGAGAGCGAAAGAGAAAGAGAGAGAAAGAAGCTGGGATCCCAGATGGTAAAAATTTCTTACTCTTCTGCCGGTTTGTCAAGTCCTGGACTCCCTTCACTTTGCTTCCAAGAGAGTAGAGCAGCTTTGGTATACTGCTCAGAGTGCCAAAACTTTATGTGCCATGGGAAAATTTTACCTTTGCCCTCTAAAAGTCACTGAAAGTCAACTGACTGACAAAAGGCACGTTGATGGGAGAAATGGCATACAAATTTATTTTCAGGTATCTGTTTCTGAGCCCCAACACTTAGGTCATACCCTTAGTCTTTGGGGAAGTTTTAAAAGTAGAATATATTATAATGTAGATACACTATTTATGTTTATGCCACCTATTCACATTTAACCTCTTCCATGAGACCTGTTTTACCTACAACTTCTACTATGAGGAAAGTCCTTCAGTATCCATGCAGATTTTGCTGTCTATGACTTATCTGATATGGCATTGCACCTGATCCAAGAGTCATTAATTTATATACTAACTCGTGTGTTTGTGTGCATGTGTTTTAGTAAATTATATGTCTCCTAGTGGGATTTTGAAATAAAAATATAGAGATATTGACTGATCAGCTGAATGACTATAAGTTAGATGCAAGGCAAATGACGAGGGGCCAGACTCCATGAGCAGGTAGAAGAATGAGGGCAGGGGCTTTATCTTGTGCATCACTCTGACCTGGTCATGGTAGAGTACACTGACACACAGTAAATGAGCAATCAATAAACACTCGGTATGCAGGGATACTCAGAAATGCCATACAAATAGGACCATGTGAACCATACAAGTTATGGGAGGAAGAACAAAATTATCCTTTTCTAAAAGCACTCTGAGGCTGGGGGCTGTGGCTCATGCTTGTAATCCCAGCGCTTTGGGAGGCTGAGGCGGGTGGATCACTTGAAGTCAGGAGTTCAAGACCAGGCTGGTCAGCCCGGTGAAACCTCCTGTGTGCTAAAAATACAAAAATTAGCCAGGCATGGTGGTGTGCACTTGTAGTCCCAGCTACTCTGGAGGCTAAGGCAGGAGAATCACCTGAGCCCAAGACGCAGAGGTTGCAGTGAGCTGAGATCGTGCCAGTGCACTCCAGCCTAGATGACAGAGCGAGACTCCATCTCAAAATAAATAAATGAATAAATAAATAAATAAATAAAAGCACTTTGAATAATCTTCAGTTTCTTGCAACTAACAGAGCCTTCTAAAAAGAATGCAGCAAACAGAGGTCCAAATTTTTAAGAGAAATTGTTCACCTGACTTTGTCAATTCTGGGCACCAGAATCTTGCTAAGTGCAATTATCAAGTTTGTCATCTTCTAACCCAGGCATTTGCCTATAAAGTCCACCTAAAGACCTTGTTAATGTAGAACTTTATGAAGATCCCCCTCCCTTAAAACAAAGGATTTAGTGATTTTTTTTTAGGTTTACCCCCCCCACACACACCCTAGAAGAGACAGGATTCTACTCTTGAGCTAATGTGGTATGAAACTTCTCTTTTGTATCCTATGCTCTTTGTGCCCTATATGTCCCAGTCTATTATGCTGAAAAGTCTAGCTCTTGCTCTAGAGACCTTATAGACAACCACATTTAATTCTTAGTTTTTGCTAATTAATTCCTGGAATGGTCAAATAATGTCTATCTATGTTTCCCTAGCAGAGACTTTGATATTAAAAACCTCAATGACAGTAAATTCATTGTGAAGACTGCTGTATTTCTCTTACTCACCCAACCTTGGAGGTGATAAAGAAAAGAAATGGAGATTGGTACAGTTCTGTAAGCAAAAGAAAACTTGTGAGAGACCTTTAAGGGACAGTAATAATTGAAGAGGAAAAAACAAACAAACAAACTTTATTTCCACTCCCTGAAGTTTTGATAATTTAAATATCAGAAAAAAATTGACAATAACAAGGAAAAAGGCATAGCAATAACTTAATGTGCAAGTTCACAGGAATCACACAAAGTATGAAACTCAAAGAAGGGCCAGATAGTTGAATCTTAAGTACTCTTTATATAGGAGAAAGGAAAGTGGGGGTGTAGGCAATTTTAGAGAAAGCAAAAATGATTTTTATGGGAGATAAATGGGTCCAAAGAACAGACAATAGTCTGAGGCAAAGTCCACCTGGGCTCCAGATGGGGAGTCAACTGTAGCCTTTCATCTTGCAGTATGGTTCAATTTCTATTAGCGGATGAGATAATCTAGGGAAGAAATTCACAACTGTATATCTCATGGAAGATCTGGCCTTTAGGTAGATAGGGGAACTTCAGAGAAAGCCCTTTCCTTGATTTCTTTTGTCCCTACATGCTCTCTGAATTACAAAGCAACATATTTGGGGGTATTGTTTTCTGACCTTCAACGTGATGTAGGGAGGAAAATGTAGCTTTGTGTAGGGGATGGATAGAGTGGCATGGATCTGTGACAGATAATTTCTATTGCACCCTCTCTGCCCCCATATTGCCCTAGGTGAGTCCAAATCCAGAGTTGTAATCAGAAGCAGCTGAGCCATAAGTTGGAGTACTCAGAGACTTAAAAAACAGGTGTTTGGTCTACACATATACCCAAGTTCTCACACATAAGCTGTGTGAGTATTTATTGTATACTCTGAAGTACAGATACTGAACTTTTGTCCCATCTCCAACCAATGGCAGTCTCAAATAATACAAAAGGAAGTTAGATGAGCTTATAGGAACATACTGCAGTTTATTTGTTGCATTAGAGAATTACAATGAAGACAATAAACAACCTAAATCAGGGGAGCAGAATTAACAAAACAAGTAAAACATTAAAATAAACCCAATAGTTAATAATAATGTATTGTATATTTCAAAATTGTGAAAAGAAATCTCATAGATTCTTAACTCATCAGAAAAAAAGATAAGTTGATGAGGTGAATAATATGTTAATTAGCTTGATTGTATCTTTCTACAATGTATACATAGATGAAAATATCACATTGTACCCCATAAATATATACAATTATTTGTCAATTAAAAATAAATTTAAAAAATGAACAAACCTAGTAAGTATTGAAGATCCTAGACTTACAATGGTTATAATTTTTTGACTTTTTCATGGTACAAAAGCAATATTCATCCAGTTTGTATCACCACTAATGTTACGTCCGGATAAACCCCACTGCACGTTTTTGACTTATAATATTTTCAACATATAATGGGTATATCTGGACATAACCCCACTGGAAGCCCCAAAATATCTGTTTATGTAGAGATAGAATGAGAAATGCTAGAACTCACACTCAGGGCAAAGAATAAATTATAAGTAAATGAATTTGAAAAGAATACATTTTCACAATATAATTTTTCAAATAAAGCATTCGGTGGATATATTAAGCAGAGTATATACAAATAAAGAACAAATTAAATATGCTTAAAAATCATTTTTAGGAATTCTCCCTAAAGGAATTAGGGAGACCTAAAGAAAGAAAAAGATTAAAACAAGAATTGAGATAGGGAGAATGAAGGTGGAAGAGTCAGAATTTAGTAAGAGTCTCAAGAAAAGAGAAGAAAACATCACATGTGAGAAAAATTTGAATAAGTAATGGCCAAGTATTTCCCAGAAGTACCAAGAGACATGAAACTTCAGACTGAAAGGAATCAAAGTGCCAGAGAGGATTAGTAAGAAAAATCTCACTCCTAAATCTATTAAAGTTAAATTTAAAGATATCAAAGACAAAGAAAAAAAATTAAACAGGAAGAAAAATAGTACCAACAAATAAATAAACATCAGTTGCACATCACACTTTTCATTCTTTTCATTAGTAACACCCAGCACAAAAAAAACAATGGAGAAGGTTTTTCAAAGATTTGAAAAAAAATTTGCAATTTTCTACACAGGCATAAAAATCATTTAAGTATGAAGAAAACTGAAGGTATTTCAGGCCTATAAGGTGTCCACAAGTATCTTAGTCTAGACTGTCCCAGGAAAACAGAGCTTGTGTGCAGGTAGTTTATTTCGGGAAGTGATCCAGAGAAAATGAGGAGACTGGTGAGAGGAAAATGGAAAAGGAGGAAATGCCAATTCAAGGGTAGATTTTGGAGTTAGTCAAGTCTGTGGCGAACTGTGCTGGATCTCAGCGGGACCCTCAGAGGTACTGTGTAGAATGTATTTTGATTACCCAGCTTTTTCATTCCAACATTAAGCATGAAACCGGTTGGTTTGAGAAAAACATTAGTTTATTAGAAGAATGAATAGTACATTTAATTAAGAGGTGTTTCATAATCTATTAAAAAACAAAACACATACTTTTAAACTTTTGATTTATTAAGGTGATAATTGTTCTAGTATTGAAACATCCTTTTATTTGTATATTTACTGTACTTGTTTACAGTGTAATGTTTTTGTGACAATGAATTTGAGGCACTATTATGTTAGCATCTGTATTTGTATGTGAGATTTGGCTATAATATTTTATAAGGGGGCATATATGTTAGATTTAGAATCTATGGATATGCAAGTGTCATCAGATGAATTGATGACATTTTTGTCAAGTTTAAGCACTGAAAGAACAAACCTCTAAATCATGCAGGGCCATGCCTGCTTTTGACAGTAGTTTTTGACAGCGATTCTAATTTTATATTTGGATTAATTACTTTTCCTGATAAATTGTCTATTTCAGTCACAGTTTAAAAATAAAAACTTCAAATAATGTTTTTCCTAGTTTTAAAATTTCCCATATTCATAATTACATTGTTTCAGAAATCTTTTAAAAAGTATATTGACAATAGTATTAATACTTATCTAACATAATAAGGAACACATGATTGTCAAGAATATGTATGAAATCTTGCATGATTATCATTAATCTTGAACTCCCTTGGATTTAAATTTTATACTGTTTTTATTGTTTTACCTATATAAAGTCTACACAGACTAGCACAGTCTAGTCAATCGTAAAGACTATTTTTCTAATGTTTGTACATCAGCTGCTATTTTGAGAAAATTTTTTCTTGATAGTATTTTCTTTAGAATTGGCAGTACTTTTAGCTAGAATTAATAAGATACAAGAAGCAACTTATCCGTTGCCTATCCATTCTAGTTATAAGTGTCATTTACTGCATGTTAGAGGAAGTTGAATAGTGGAACATACCTGAATCATTTCTCACAAGTGTGGGAACCCATATAAAAACCTATGATATCATGTAAATATATTTTAAGAATAATTAAAAAGAATATGTAAAACCCCGAGAGTCTAAAGACATGTAGGACAAGTGTTCCCTCTATTCATTGTGGAAAATCTTGTAATTCATGCTATAAATTGCATTAAAAACAGAAAATTTTTCAGTGATAATTTATGACAAATCTAATTATTCCACATTCTATGCTATATATTCTAATTAAATAAAGTTTATGAAATTTTGGATAACTTTTTATCTTTCTATTTCCAATGGAACATGCCAAATACCGAAAATTGTATTGCTGAATGACTAAATAAATGAAGCGTAAGTTATTTCAGTATTTTTTTAATGTCAATCTTGTATACTATCTAAAATATTTAGTTCTCCTATAATTTTAACCATCTTGTGTGTGACTACTTGATACTATAGAAGTGAAACCTAAATCCTTATTATCTGCCAATTCATATAAACAAATAGTTTTCAAAGGCAGATAATGATAGCTTACACTATTTATCCTAGTCTTACAATCTAGACTTCTAAAATAAACCATGAAAGAAAAAAGAAAACAAGTTACTCCCTAAAGGTTCTGGAAATTAAAAAAAAAAATCTACATTATTTTTAATCTTTGTACTTTTAAATTTTGATAGTGTTTGCTAATTTTCATTTTTTCTCACTATCCATTTAGGTACGAAGGTGGTCATCTCAATACACACATGGTTTACAAGAGTTTTAGTCCCTATGCATTTCTTGCCATGTTGTGATTCACCAATCCAATTATTTGGAAGAAGACTAAAAAATAAAGCTATACTTAATCTAAGTTGGATTAGGATAAAAGAAATTTTATTTCTCTAATTCCAAATATCTATAGTACTTACTTCTCTGGCACCATATTTTGGGGTTTTGGTTTCTGTGCCCCAACAGTATCATACTAATTGCATAGAGGTATAAAAACATATAAATTGTGACCTCTGCATTCAAGCTCATTAGAGACTAGTAAAGTGGCAGACATGTTAATTTAAATAAATTTTTAACTTATTGGAAATAATTCATGTAATTCATATAATTATAAAGAAATTATTAGCTCTTTGACAATGCAACCTTGAACATGGCCTGAAATATGTTGAGATAATAATAATTGTGAACTGAATAAATAAATACATGCATAATTAAATGAATGAATGAAATAGCTTTTGTACAATGTATAGGAATTTAAGGGGTGAAGGGCCACTTTTGGCTGAAATTATCAAAGAAAACTTCATATAAAACCAATATTTGAGCCAAGTGTTCAAGAATGAGAAGGATATGTGATGGAAAGAGGTCATGGGGACAATATGTAATAATGCTTTACATTTACAAAATTTCTTTTTCATCAAAAACTCAACAAATTTTTAAAAGTATGTTTACATACTTTCAGTCTTACAATTTCAAGGGGATGGTTTCTTCCCTAAAGCCTCCAAAAAGGAATGCAACCCCACTGAAATCTTGATTTTAGCCCAATGAGACCTTTGTTAGGTTGTTCACATCCAGAACTGCAAGAAAATAAGTTTGTGTTGCTTTAAGCCACTAAAATTGTAGCAATTCATTTGCAAAAGAAAACTAACACATTAAATACTATGAGAATCAGAATATAACAGTGATGATTGACATTGAAAGCATAAGTATTTTAAGTAAAAATTTTAGCACAACAAAAACTTTGTTTCTGCTTAGGCTTGCTTTATCTAAAGTCATGCTTAATGTAATAGGTGTTCAATAAATGCTCATCAAAGGAGAACTTTGGATGGAAATATATAGTGTGTCACTTATTTGATTGTTATTTCTTTGAAACTGTATTGTAAATTAAATAGTCAATATAAAATATTCTGTTGAATGAAAGCACTACATTTTAATTCAGTTATTTCAAAAAACATTTGGAAGCTGCATACTTTATATCTTTTAAATTTCCTGTCTTGTCAGATCTCATAACCAAAGAAATATCTTCAAAACTCTGCTGTTCCACAATCTGGACTCAATTTTTCTACATTATCTTTCTTGGGACCTTTTCCTTCTACTTAATCTCCAAGAAGCATAAATGATATACTGCAGTGAGTTAGTAATTCTAGTTTTTTATTCATTCTCTGCATCCTTACTCATTTTTGCTTAGTAGCTATGATAGATGGGAAGGGTTAAAAAATCTGTCAAGATTAAGTAGTTTTTGAAAGCTATAGTTACCTGCAATAGTGAATGTGGCATGCTAAAGTTGTGATTTCAAAAAGAGAATTTAAAAGCCTGGTTAGTGTAGCAATTATTTTGGCACATCCTCTAACCCTAGCATTTTATATCATAAGAAAAAAAATGATGCTGCTTAAATTACTCTTTGGCCATTTCAATGTACAGGAGCCAGATTAAATGAAATAGAAGTCAGTGAAAAGAATTAGAGTCAAACACTGTATTAAAATAAAATTATTCTCTGCCTCTGCTAATGTTCAATAAAAACCTCATTTGAAATAATTGTTCCAGAATGCTATTAAAAATTCTACTTCAATCAGCATTTCTACCAAAGTAATTTTAAAAACTCCTTAGGTTTGGGGAACTATTCGGTTTAGGTGGAATGGGGCTTAGCTGTCCTGACCAAATCTGATCCTGTAGGCTTCATGGTCTTTCTGAATTCCCTAGGATCTTTAAGACTCTGAGAGACCAGGGTTTGGTGCAGGTTTCTAAGATATCCCATGATATAGTTTGGCTCTGTGTCCCCACCCAAATCTCACCTTGAATTGTAATAATCCCCATGTGTCAAGGGTGTGGCCAGGTGGAGATAATTGAATAATGGGGGCAGTTTCCTCCATACTGTTCTCATGATAATGAATAAGTCTCATGAGGTATGATGGTTTTATAAATGGGAGTTTCCCTACACAAGGTCTCTGGCCTGCCACCATGTAAGATGTGACTGTTCCTCATTTGCCTTCAGCCATGATTGTGAGGCCTCTCCAGCCATGTGGAACTGTGAGTCAGTTAAACCTCTTTCCTTTATAAATTGCCCAGTCTTGGCTATGTCTTTATTAGCATTGTGAGACCTAATACACCCTAGTTCAGATTCAAGTCAATTGAGTTCAACCTCAATCCAGGTTTGACTAGACCAACTTACTCTAATCCATACTAAATGCTCAACCTTCCATGTATTCATCTATCCATCCATTCATTCATCCAACCAACCAATAAGGAAAAATTAGACTTTCCATTGCACAAGAATGTAAGTAACACAAGTCACACGTTTGGTGGTGCCACATTAGCCATTTTATTATTAGATTTGGTGACTGCATATGCTAATTTATCTATGGTAGCCTCAGGATTTTTGTTTGTTTGCTTGTTTGATTTTCTCCTTCTTAGACAATGCATCCTGATTATTTGTCTGGAGAAGAGGTGTACCATGTTTTGGAGATATTCATGACATACTTCCACTTCTCTGGGAAATCAAACACTACAGAAAAGGAGTTCCAGTGAGGGCCAAGATCAAGCAACAGTTTAGTTTAGAATATAGTTCCTAGGCCTCCTTAGAATCTACTGATTTTGCCTTATTCTCTTTCTGCATTTCTATTTGTTTTGTTTTTCCAGAGGGAGAGATTCATTCTTTTTCTCTCTGTCTCTTAATCCTCTACAGTTAGAGATGAAAGATAGTTTATTGTGTTACTTTTGCTATCCTGGGAAAACCAAAATGTAGATAATTGAGGCTTTGGGGAATGCTTTTCTATTTTCCCTGATGTTTTTTTCTCTCTATTGGGGTTGCCTCTCACTATAATTTCTATGCTTCTTTTAACATCTGTAAAGACCTGGAGAGCTAAGATAAGGGGACTGATTTATGGGAAAAAAGGGATTTTTTAGGCAAGAGACAAAAATACTGTATCTGGGCTTCCTGCAGCTAGGGATTTTGCATTATAGTAACAAATAGCGTGCATTTCCTTTTGAATAGCTCCCTGCTGAACTTGAGCAGCAGTAGAATATAGATGTAGAACATTGTACGGTCTCAGCATGACTAAGAAGAGAAAAATAAAATTTTCATCCTAAACATTATAAATGTAACAAACACCTTGACATTTAAGTACAGCTGACTATATGTTTGGCCCAAATGTTTGGAAAAAACATTAACTCCTTGTTTTTTTCAGTTTCAATTGGTTTGGCACTAGAGTTTTCAAGGTAGAGTTTTCAAGGAAAGTCATACATTTATTACAGATACGTGATACAACTACAAGATTAATTTGTACTACCTTAATATTCTTTTTCCTGCATTTATTTACTTTTCACTCTACATATAACGAATGGTATATGTAACTCAGCTTTGGAGAAAATTGCAAAGTTGGTGGCATTCATATTTTTTATCTCTGCTAATTATCTGGTATCCTCACGGTATTCTGAGTGGTCTAACATCTCCAGAGCAGGTTCTTCCAGGATGATAATTCGTATGAATTTAAAGCTGAAAGGCACAGGAATTTGGCATGGGGGAAATTGGACATTCCATAAATGAACAAAGGTAGGTGGTTACTTTCTCCAAGTATAAATATTGATCTTGTTTATAAAACCAGAAACATATTGAATGTTGATTGTGTTGTTTTGCCTGAAAAGAATGCAACATTTTTACTATGAAAATTAGCAGCACTGGTAGCATTTTATTATTCCAGGTGTGTTCAATTTTCTTATTTTTATAAATTACTTTGTTCATCTATATTCAAATTATTCACTATATGTAATTTTCTGTTATGTTTAAATTTCTAATATTTAACAACTGCACTGTCTGTATGTTTCAGAAGAATTACAAGAGCTCAGAGGTAGAAAGGAAAAAGGTAATTTTTCTGTTTACCAAAAGCAGTTTTCCTAAAATATCTTTCTCAAATAACTGACAAGTATCACCAAAAAAAAAAAAAAAAATCCTTTTAAGTTACTTGTCAGTTTCCATGCATTTACCTTGAACCTAAATGGATTTTTCTATGGCAATAATCCTGAGCTTATCAGTAACCATTAATGGATATTTTTTAAAATATGATGAGAAAGCATTTCATTCAATTTGAAGCCTTATATTCAGCAATGGCTCATCACCCAGAGACAATCTTTGTGTGTAACCCACTGTGATTAATAGCAAAATTCCTTACTGTGTGTGTGTGTGTGTGTGTGTGTGTGTGTGTGTGTGTGTGCTCTCCAAGGGTGATAAAGGAAGCAGGGAGAAAAGACTGAGAATGGTATAAGGGAGGAAGAATGAGAAAAAGATTCTATCAATTTGAGATTTAGGGAATATAAAAAGAGCTTAAGCTTGATGACTAAAATCTAAGACTGTAACCTGGCAATTATGAGTTGGAAAGTATTCATGTAATTTATGAGTAACCCTATTTTTGGCTTAAAACACAATTCAAAGGAATCACTCACTGCTTGAAAGAAAGCCCAGGTATATTGGCACATTCACTAAAAAACAACATTTCTATAGTGCTTCCAGCAGCTCTTTATTACTGAAAGGAATACAAATGGAAAATCTCCCTCACTTGGGACTTCAAAGATAGCTACCTGTAGGCATTTTACTTTTTTAGTGTTAACAAGATGAAATAATATTCTATGAAAATTTATTTTTTTTCCTTTTTTCCTGTAAGATTTGTAATAGGATGGCTTAATAAATTATGATATTTTCCTTATGGGTTAACTATTTCTAACATGTGCTTAAGCTGAATTTTCATGAAAATGTTTTTCGGAAGGTACAATGAAGCTATTCTAAATCTGCAGTTCTGTAAAATTCAGAAAGAAGCTGTTTAAATGGAATCATCATGTCTTTGCTTCCTCCTAAGCATTTCTCTGACGTTCGGAATAATCAAGACCTCTGGTGAAAACAGTTTCCGCATTCACCTTGAGCATGATTGATGGTGATATGAGGTTGCTTTGCTCTTGGAATTTCAGGGAGTTGTGGCATGTTTATGTTGAAAGGTGAGGTCATTCTAACTCTGTAGGAACTTAACAATCAGCAGAGTGAGTATCTGGGACATAAAACTGGTATTTGATAGATTTTCACTGGAGCCACAAAAGAATGAATCTAGAATGAATGAGTTAATAATATGTGTGTGTTGCAGGAATACTTCCTTAATCCCAGGCAGCTGTCTTTGGAATGGGTGCCCTCTGTCCTGAGAGTTACTATTGGATAAGAAAAATCCAGAGCAGATTCACCGAATACGCTTGAAATTGGGAAACCAAAATATGCCACCACCAAAGTGTGCTTCTTTGGCATATTTTCAGATGGCTATTCAGAGGGGCTGCAGACACAGGAATAGCACAGAAAAGCTGTTTTTTTTTTTTGTTTTTTTTTTTTGGCGGAGTGGGGGGGCGAGATTTGCATCTGTAGAGGAAAACTACTTTCACGAAGTAAACAGCAGATGCAAACAGGCTTAATCTGAGATCTCCTTATCTGCCTTACCCAGATCTAAGAAAGATTAAGTCTCAGGAAAAGAGGACTAAAGGTCTGATACTTTCAAGGATTTGACAGAGAAACTTTTACCATGGGCTCCCATCTATTCTTTCTGAAGGCTGCTACCTGAGAAACTTCAACAGCATAACAAGAAAGCCTTTGCTTGCCATATTCTCCTCCCTTCACCCCCTCATAACCTGTCGCCACCAGCCTCCAGAAACCTCCAACCCCCAATTTCATTCCATAAGAAAATGCTGTTCGAGCTTCAACTAAGTGGCCTTTCCAGTCTCATATGTTGTTTGACTCCTACGCACATATGCATGCAATAAGCATGTACACCTTTTTCCCTACTAATCTGTCAATTGATATTGTAGGGGGCTCAGAAAATGGTACCCGAAAATGAAGGCCTCACACTCTCTCTGACCTTCTCCTGTCAGTCTTTCTTTAACCCTTCATTCTCCCCTGAGGCTAGCAATAGAAACTTGACTCCCTCTTCCCGCAAGGCAACTAATAGAAACCAGAACCCCTTTTCCCAAAGCTAGTCATAAAACCTAAGAATGTTACTCTAACTTTCTTCCTACCTTTCTGTATAAAAACTGGCCATAAAGAAATCTCTGAGTGTTCTGAGGTGGGCAAGTGTACAGAAATCTATCTGCAAAGCCCAAGGAAGCTGAAAGTTGGAAGAAAGAGACTGACAAATCCAGTTTCTCTGAAAGACACATTTAATAGGGACTTACAGACCAAAGCCATGCCTGTGTCTTTGGTGGCAGTGAGACAAGATGGTGGAGGTCTGCACCATTACCCCTCAGACCCAGGGCTTACATACCAGAGGGAAATTCTGAAGGGATGTGTTGGACAATTGAAGCATGATACATTAAAATTGTTTTGACTAATGACAGGATTTACGGTAAGTATATGCTCTCACACAGGAACAATAGATACATTGGAAATCTTAGAGGGCTTCATGGAACCGGGGTTAATCAGAAGTCATTATGGTGAATTAGCATCTGAGATGGAGTTGCTTTAGCCTCCACTCTGACCTACCTTGTTTGACTGTAGGTCATAAGACCTTCATTCCAGAGAGGGTCCTGCCCCATACCCACATGGAAAGAATGCTGCAGAGAGGCTCAGAAAAATCTAAATGGGCAGGCCCTACTGGGTTACCCAACTCAATTAGTATTAGATCACATCCTTTTGATCCAATTATATTTCTACATGGCTGTCTATACTTTGTTGAACCTAAGCAAAAAATGGACAGTTTCCCCTGCATCTTTGGGTCTTCATTCTGAAGGCTTCCGTGTCACATAAAACTACTATCAAATAAATTTGTATGCCTTAAAAAAACTAATATGCCTTTTGTCAGTGATTTCCAGTGAAACTTCAAAGAGCAAAGGGGACATTTTTCCTTGGCCCTTACATTACTTTGCTTTATGGACACAAATTATCGAACCTTCAAAAGAGGAGAAGTAGAAAAATTCCTTTTGTTTCTATAGTAACAACTGTCATTCCCCGAGACACAGTTAATCCATTAGGGTACTCTTCTCAGAAAAAGAAATCTCAAAATGTTGTTTCTCAACACAGTTCTCTAGGCAGCCACTACTGATCAATTAGAGTTGGCATAAGAATTCCAATGTTTGTCTTCCAAGGTCTGAACAAATTAGTACAACTTAACTCTAATAGATTTTTTTTAAAAGTCCCCCATTTATTCATCTTTTTAGTAGTACATTATTAACCCAAATTGTCAAAACATGGACTGGAAGAAACAAGTATGTGGCAAGTGTAATATTAGGTACTGTTGTTTTTGCCCTAGGTCTTTAAATCAGGTCAATTATACGCGAATCACATGAGGCTCTTATTAAAATGTAGGTTCAGATTTCGTAGGCTGGAAAAGGGAAAAAAATGTCTGCATTTCTGACAAGGTGATGCCAATCTTGCTTCTTGGTCCTTAGACCGCACTTTGATTTGTCAGAGTAGACAATTTGTTTTCAATCTTTGCTGCACACTGAAATTACCTGGGAAGTATTTTTAAAATACTAAAACTTGAGTCCTTTTTTAAGAGATTCAGGCTTAATAGGATTAGGATGTAACCTAGACTTTGAATTTGTATGAACTTCAGCTAATTTTAATGTGTAGGCAAAGTTGAGAATCACTGGGTTAAGCTTACACAATCTCTGTATCTGGTACTTCGTTCAGGCTAATAATAAAAATTAATTGATTCTGTGGAGCTCACCTCAAAACACCCTTCTCCCCCTCCAGCTCTCACTGATTTTGATTTGGCTTTTAGCTCAGTTTCACCCTTGTCTTTATGATCTTTATCCCAGTTTTTGCTTATAGTACCCGCATTTGCTTCTCTTGTAGCCAAGCCTGGGCTTTTCTCGGTATACTTCAGCTAGGTTTCTTCTTTTCTCTTAGGTCTCTGGCTCTTTCCAGTAAGGAATCCTTTGCTTACATTTTGACCTCTTTAAAAATGGTAGGTACCAAAGCTTTATTACTCCTGAATCTGTAAGGAAGTCAGAGAACTTTCTAAACCTTAAGAGCTCAGAGGCTGTAACTTAAAATTAACATTCAGATGATTCTCATTATTTCCACAATAGTTATAAAATAATACAGCTGGAGGAACACATAAAGTTTATGTGTTTCAATACCCTTGTGTCAGATCTACCCATGGATAACCCCCAATGAGTGCAACTTCGGTATAGCTTCGGGAGGTGTTACTGCCCTTGAATGAAGTGCAAATTGTGACTTCCTTCTAACTGACAGAATGTAGCAAAGGTGATGGGCTGTCACTCTCATGATTACATTTAGCTCTAAGACTCCATCTTTGCAGACCAGAAAATTCTCTTGCTTTCCTTGGAGAAGTCAATAGTCATGTTGTAAACTGACTGTAGAGGGGCTCACATAGCAAGGAACTGTGGGCAGCCTCTGAGGGCAGCCTCCAGTGACAGTCGATGTAAAGCTGGGTCCCTCAGTCACACAGCCGCTAGGAAATAAACGCTACTAAGTATCAGAATGAGCTTGTAAGCAGCTACTTCCCTAGTTACACCCGTAGATGAGACTCTAGCGGAGCCAGTACCTTGACTGCAAGCTAGTGAGATCTTCAGCAGAGGACCCACCTAAGCAGTGACAAGATTTTTGACTTTAGAAATTAGGAGATAATAAACATGTATTGTGTGTAGCAATTTATTACCTATCCATAGGAAACTAATACATACACATTTTATAAATCAGGAAACAGGCCTGGAGCGTATATGACTCATGAACAATACCCTGTAAATCAGCAGCAAAGCTGAATTCATAAGTACCAGTATTCTTAAGTACCAGTCTGGACTGCACTTCTTTTTACATAATAAACCAATAAATGTATGACCAAATGTGGGAGAATAATGAAATGGAATGCAAATAAAATAAGTAAAATAAATAATAAATATTTATACAACATTGTTGATCTTTCCCACCCATTATGTCCTTTTTATTTTCGTTTGCATGTGTTATGTAATGTAAAATAAAGATTCTGTTTTTGGCTTTGATTCTTTTTCAAGTTTTAGTCATTATTTGATAAGAATATATTACATTTTTGAAAAATCATCACCAAAATGTAGAGGCAGAGGAAAATATATCAGCACCATATAGTTGTCAAAAGAAACAAAAGCATATCTTCCTATAATCAAAAAATATATGGAACGGAAAATTAATTTTGTTTAAAAATGAAAAACAAGCAAAACACTTGGAATACTAGAAATTAAAACCTGTTTAAAATACATATTGGATGAATCAAAATGAACTCTACTGAGGATTCAGCAAATGAAAATTAAAAGTGTTATTTCATTTTTTAAGGTAATAAATTTTGCATTGTCAGAAAATACCTATTAAAGGTTATTTTTTGCAATAATTTGGATACACAAATACATTCTTTCCCTGCTGTCTTAAACTTTGATCTTCAACTCAGTTCAAGGAACAAATATGAGCCCTCACTAAGGGCCAGGTGTGTTAGTCATTGGAGTTGCAGAGATAAATTAGGTAATATCTCTTCCCTTAAAGAGCTCACAGTCAAGTTCATACTCTCCTCCATGCTGGCATTACTAACAGTGAGAAAAATGACAGTCATCACAGGTATTTGGCTTATATGATTATGAAGTGTGCAGGCTGATTTTCTGATTAGTGTTTAGTATCATGCTAGGTTCTTAAGAGTGTAAAAAGAATCTGAATATGTTGTTTTTGCATCTTAAGCACATTATCAAAGGGCTTTAAAATAGAGGAGCTGTTTCCCCTAGGCAATATAGTGAGACCCTATCTCTACAACAAATAGAAAAATCAGCTGGGCATGGTGGTGCATGCCTACCTGTATTCCCAGCTACTCGGGAGGCTGAGGAGGAGGGATTGCTTAAGTCTGGGAATTTAAGGCTGCAGTGAGCTGTGATTGTGCCACTACACTCCTGCCTAAGTGACAGAGTGAGATCCTGTCTCAAAAAAAAAAAAAAAAAAAAAAAAAAGGAAGAAGAAAGAAAAAAAGAAAAGAAAGGGAGTAGTGTTTCCCCTCCAGTGGTAAGAAGTTCACATCCTCTTCCTTTTAACTCTTAAATATCAGAATATCACAATACATTAGAAATGATTCATGAACAATGAAATTTACCAAGCAGACTGTCACCCCCACATTTATTTGAGGGTGTCACGCTGGGAAGATCACAGGCTATACTTAGCTTTAGATAGAATGTTATTTGATCTCTGGTCATATAACTTCTATGTGGGCTTGGGAAAGTCATTTAACTCCCCTGTATATCTGGTTCTTTATCAATTAAATGTGTGCTTTGCAGAGCTGTGAACATTAAGTTCTAAGCACCTGATACACTGGCATCTGTTAGAGACTGAAGGTAATAGTTTGGGATGTGAAAAGAATCTGCACAATATTTCTTTATATCATCTTCTATAATAACCAAAGCTTTAGCTGGTAACATGACTAATCAGCTACAGACTGCATTTATCAACCTCCCTTACAGTTAGCTGTGGTCCTATTACTAGGTTCTGGACAATGAAATGTAAGCAGAAGACATTTATGCAACTTCTAGATTATCTCTTAAAAGAGAAGAAGCTTTATCTCTCTCCCCTTCTCTTTTTCTTCCTCTCACAGGCTGAAATGTGGAATTGATAATAAGTCATGTTCAATTTGAAGCAAGCCCTTGTGATGGCAAAGAAACAAAAATGAAAAAAAAGTGTTTGGATCTTTGACACCACTAATCTGCCTTACTAGCAATGGACTACCTACTTAAGCTGTTTTGGGGAGAAATAAATAAATTAATCTCAATGAGGAAAAAAATCAACTATATTTTAGAGTTTCTTAATATAAAATTATAAACTGAATCTTGATTAATACAGCAGTCTAAACAGTAATCTAACCAATACAGTGTTCTGGGCATATTGCTGTATGTGTTAGCCAAATGCCCACTCTTCTCACCAAGCCTTATAAAATAATAAGGTTACATTGCATTCACTAACTTTAGGTCTTCATTAATGTAATTTCAGAATCTAGTATGTTTTCAGGATACATCTTTTTCCCTTTCAAGTATTTCTTAGTCTCCATAAGTTTTCTCAGAGTGTTTGTAAATTAACTGGGGCTGTTTGTGTATACCAATGCTTGACATCTGTTTCGGGACATTACTCTTCTGTATTTCTGTCCTAAGAAATTCTCTAAACAAACTGAAGTTTATTTTCCTCATTTTACTGACTCATAAGCATTTTATAATAAAAGATGAGTTGGAGACCTCATTCATCCCAGGGTATACCTCAACTACCAAGGTGGCTGGGTTGGGCTCAATTGAGTTAACAACTACCAATGAGTTTTGGCTTTTTGTATCTGGCTTATTTCATACAAATGATTTTTAACTTTGTGAACTTTTGGTGTCCCTAGGAATTGTATTTCTAGAGCCTTACGTATATGTTAGCCCCAGTTTGCTCTGTCTATATATGCCCAGTTGAAAACCCCATTTGCTGATATACTGTACATAATTTATCCAGAAATAAAAAATTAAAAAGGTTTACTAAAATAAATTCAAATAATCCCAAAGGAGGCAAGATTAAGGTAGATATACAGATAATTAGGGTGGAAAGTGGGTATAGAATGTGTATGTGTGTGGAGAAGCAGAATTTAGCTCCAAAGTAGCCAGTGTCTTAACTTTATAATGTAGATTACATTATAGAATGTATGCTCAGATCTCAATGTTAACACTATTTTTCTGTCTTTAATGTTTTAATCCTTTTAGTTGGTATTTTAAAATAAGAAAAATATATCCCCTTTGCCAGTACAGATTTCTGTACCTCAAGACAAACCATGACATTTCAAGAAGATCTGAGAAAAAAAATCCTGAAATGACTGCCAATTACATCTCCTGTCATAATAAAGATTCCTAAACAAGGATTGGTTTAAATGCATATTAATATAAAACATCCTTATGTAGAATTTTGTTAGTGAACAGTGATATGAAAGAGAGAGGAGGGAGGTGCATAGAATTTAAAATAGAACTTTTTAATTAAAACCTTCTGAAAAGACTACTATAGTGTTTATTTCCTTGTTTTTCAATAATCAAAGAGCACAGTTAATTGAAGCAGAACAACTTAAAAACCATTTTTAGAATATAAAAGGAATATATAAATGAATATATATATATATACACATACACACACACACACACACAGAATCAAAGGTAAACACTGAATAGCTTTAGTTCTCTAGGCAGTAGACTCATTTTCAAGATAATAGCAGCTGATTGGTAAACATAAGTAAACATCATTGTAGAATTGCTATTATACATTTATAGTTTTTACCCATTTTCATATAGAAAGAGGGCAAGCAATATTGGGAAACATAACAAATGAATAATCTGTAATAAGAATTTAAAAATGTATTTTCTAAAGTATTTTGGTTTGGCCAAGAACCATCTAATGACTGCTTCACTCAAGAAAAAAGGAATGGTTATGAGACCTGACTTGCAGATTTTGATCATAAAATGCAAAACCTAGAGTCACCCAAGTAGTAAGTGTTTTCACAAAGTGAATTACAACTAAAAATTCTTTGGTAAAGTCACAGAAAACTGAAAGGAAAAGACACAACACTATTAAATGAAAAAGTAACAGAAATTGACTCCAGCCACAAAGCACATATTCATGACCAAACATTTAACTGCTCTCCTAACAATGCCAAAATAAAGGCAGAAGGGAACAGGGAGAGGAAGGAAATAATAATTTATATGAGTTGGGAATAAAAAGTGTCCCAAGCAAAAATGAGTTACATTTGAAAATGCTTTTTCAATGTCAAACGTTTTCTAATGGGCTGAAAAAAAGATGGAAAATACATTTTACTTATAAACATAATTAGTCTCACAAATATTCTACCACTACATTGTCTTTTTCCCACAATGCTGTCTCTATTTATTACTAATTATTTTCTACTGCTCATTGTGTCCAGATGACTAAATGTATAATGTAAGTATCAGCATGTAATAAATATAGTCATTGGTTTTCCCCTAATAGATTTGTTTGAAAAACAACAACAAAAAGTCCTCCAGAATCTGTTCCAATGATCTCATGAATACTGATTTGTCCACCAGCCTAATCACTGGCTAGATCAGCCCTTTCTGCTTCTTTGATACAATTAGGTCAATATGCATAAGATGAAACCATGGCATTATAGGATATGAAAGCAATTTCAGCATTATCAAAAAAGATTAGAATATGGCCAATAGTATGAAGTGTATTTTATTATATAAAAATTTTAAGAAAAGTTGACAGTACCATCTCCATGTGTCAATTACACGGAACTATTCCCATTTCCCTGACCAAGCCATGTTCCCCTATGCATCCATATGTCTGTTGAATGGGATCTTTTCTTTACCATAAATTTTCTCTTTTCTCGTATATGCTTGAAGAACTCCTAAGTATTTTATGTGTTAAACAATTTTTGAATGTAATAACAATAACACATAGTGCTTAGAATTTTTTAAATTGCTTTCAAGAATTTACACAGTGCTTAGAATTCATATAGTGCCTTTTCCTATATTAGCTTATTTAATCTTTTTAGCCAACCTAGTGAGATAGCTCTGTTAACCATATATGTGATTAACTAGAACAAATGTTGTATTTAATCAGATTGGATTGCATAATAGTAATTTCCAAACCTAGCAAATTACCAAACTCACCAGGGCAGATTTCTTACAAGTTAAAATCTAAACTAAGTATCTCTGTAGTAAAAAATGCAAGAGGTACAAAGGGGTATATTGGATATACACCACCACAAATAAGATCAGGCTATACATTTTATTTTGTAATTTACTTGTTTCCACCTAGTAATAGTTTGGAGGTGGATTTCAGTAGCTTCAGAGATCTACTTCATTCTTTTCAGTGCCTCTCTTTTTTTTTTTTTTCTTTTTGAGAGGGAGTCTGCCCGGCTAATTTTTTTTGCATTTTTAGTAGAGACGGGGTTTCACCATGTTAGCCAGGATGGGCTCGATCTCCTGACCTTGTGATCTGCCCGCCTCGGCCTCCCAAAGTGCTGGGATTACAGGCATGAGCCACCGTGCCTGGCCTTTTCAGTGCCTCTTGAGCATGCCAATATACGGCTGCACACTTTATTTAACCAGGACTCTTTGTTTTTGTTGTTTGTTGCAGGTGAGTGTTGTGCTTGTTTGTTTTGTTATTTTGACGAAAGCTGCAATGGTTATTTTATGTATATATAAAAGCTAAAAGCCATGCCAATTTTTAAATAATGAAGGCATTTTTATTAATACTGTTACATAGCTTTATAGCTGCCATGTACAAGAGTAATAATAATGATAATAATGGCTATCATTTAAAGCATTTTGCTAGCTACTTTATATGAACTGACTTAGTACCTAGAGGTGGCAATTATCATTTTTTACAGAAAAAATATATTTGAAAATAAATGTATTAATATATAAAGTATCTATATCTATCTATCTATCTATCTCTTTTTGTTTGTTTTTGACACGGAGTTTCACTCTTTTTACCCATGATGGAGTGCAATGGCATGATTTCGGCTCACTGCAATCTCCACCACCAAGGTTCAAGCAATTCTCCTGCCTCAGCCTCCCAGGTAGCTGGGATTACAGGCACTTGCCACCACGCCCAGCAATTTTTTTTTTTTCATATTTTTAGTAGAGACGGGGTTTCACCATGTTGGCCAGGCTGATCTTGAACTCCTGACCTAAGATGATCCGCCTGCCTCAGCCTCTCAAGGTCCTGGGATTACAGGTGTGAACCACTGTGTCTGACCTATATATATCTTTATGCATATTTTTACATACTTTTTAACATATTTGCACATACTTTACATACTTTCTGAGTATATTTGGAGATAATATTACCATACATGGATTGCTGATTCCAAAGACACTCGAATTTAAAATTTTGATAGATGTTGCAATTGGTTGCCAAAATTTTATCAGTTTGAAATCCCACTAAGAAGAAATGAGAGTTACTGATTCACCAAACATTTGCCTACAGAAGTAATATTTAATTTTAATTATGGCCTATTCTGATAGTGAAAATTGGGATTTTTTTACTGTTATACTTGAGTTTCTTTAATTATGAGTGAGGTTGAGCATCTCTTCATATATTTATTGGACATTTGTGTATGTGCACATGTGTGTGCCATCTGTTCATATTCTTGGTTCATTTTTCTTTTATATTGTTAGTCTTTTCTGCATTTTTTGTAACAGCTCTAGTATACGGAAATTAGTCCTTTTACATCCTTTGCAAATACTGTCTCCAGTTAGCATCTTGAAAGAGTATCTTTAACATACAGAGCTAGGCATCTCCCCTCATACCTCCAATAATGACCTATTGGCTCTTTGGAAGTGAGAACTGGGAATCTTAAATTTTGAAAAACTTTTCCAGGTGATTCTAACACAGCTGGCCCATGGACAGGGTTTGAGAACTACAGGCTTATATAGCAGGCAAAGAAACGGTTAAGTTCAAAAACCTGTGTTGCTAAAGAAGTTATTTTTGATAGTAGCATGCAAGAAGAACCATGGAAATCATGACTCACCCAACCGGGAATCCTTTCCTCATGGGTGCTAATCTGGAAGTTATTTTTCCTGACACAAGGATCAGGGCTATACAAACTCCTCTTGGCATCATAGCATGGTAGAAATATAGAAACCTTCCAAGAAACAGAGTGCTGCTAATTTATTTCTAGGGTACTTCAGAAGAATATTTGCAAAGTATTTAGAGGAGGCAAGTATTTTCTGCAACAGTATGGGCCAAATGGAGATGAAAAGACTGAGAATTATCAGTAAATAATAATATAGTCTGATCAGCAATAGCTGACTATAGAGGGCATGTTTACCTTGGATGAGAAATAAAGCTAAGAGCCGTGCCAATTATTCAACGATGAAGGTATGCTTATTAATAATATTACAGTCGGAGGCGGTGGCTCACGCCTGTAATCCCAGCACTTAGGGAGGCCGAGGCAGGCGGATCACAAGGTCAGGAGATCAAGACCATCCTGGCTAACACGGTGAAACCCCGTCTCTACTAAAAATACAAAAAATTAGCAGGGCGTGGTGGCGGGCGCCTGTAGTCCCAGCTACTGGGGAGGCTGAGGCAGGAGAATGGTGTGAACCCGGGAGGCGGAGGTTGCAGTGAGCCAAGATCACGTCACTGCACTCCAGCCTAGGCGACAGAGCAAGACTCCATCTCAATAAATAAATTAATTAATTAATTAATTAATTAAAAATAATAGTTTTTTAGCTGCCATATACAATGATAATAAAAATAACTAACATTTTAAACAGTTTGCTAAGTAGTTTATACGAACTGACTTAATACCCAGAAAGTAGTCATTATCACTTTACAGAGAAAATTGAGGTTTAAAGTGGTTAAATGGTTTGCGTGAGTTTTCTCAGATGGTAGGTGGAAGCGGTAGTCTTTGAAAAATATAGCTCAAGAGCCTGTACACGTAACCCCCATTCTATGCTTCTTAAACTTCACCGTTCATTATTCATAAAGTAAGGTGAATGATATTAAGTCGTCCTTCCACAGGGTGGATGTAGACTCTAGGAAATATCGTTTTTCCTCTTCTCTCCATATTTTTTTTACTTTGACCTATAAAGAAGAAAATTTCCACCAATCTATCCAGGCAAATGAGAAAATTTGAGGAGTCAGTCTTTTTTGTTTTGTTTTGTTTTTGTTTTTGTTTTCTTAATTTTCTTCCTCGTAAATGTTGCAAAACTTATTCAAATCATTTATTTGTGTTAAAGACTATGGCTCATATGTAACATTCCCCTAAAGTTGTCTCTTTTGCTTTCTTGATGCTATTTATTTATTTATTTATTCCTAGGCTAGATGGGGTTTATATTGTTTCCACTGTTTGTGAAGTGAGAGAACTTGGCTTTCATTTAGCAGATGCAAGCAAAGTTCACTTCTCTTTATTCCATATTCTCTACCTGGCTTATGTGGGTAAGCAGTGTGTGTGTGTGTGTGTGTGTGTGTGTGTGTGTAGATATGCATGCCTGTGTGGGTGCACATGTAACTACACACCAAAGAAATCCTAATGTTGTCCCCAAATCCTCACCATATTCTCAATTCAGCTTTTCTAGTAATAAATCTGATATTGTAAGCTTATCCAACTGGAACACTTCTGTGGTTTTCCAATTGACTAGAATTTGTGGGAGATGATACAGGAACAATTAGTGCCTCTTATTATAACACATGGTTCACAAGTAGGAATCTTTTAGAATATGAGTAAGAATTAATATTAGAGGAACAATGTATCTCATGGGAAGATGAACACATTTTATTTCGCTGTAGTGGCCAGTGCCCCCAGAGCACATGCTGTATTTAAGAGGTGCATGCTAGTTTTAAAGGTCAGACTACTAGGCTGCAAGGGCATATCTTTAGTATGACCTCAGACACAAATCTGAGGCTGTACTTAGCAAAAGAATGTTTTTCAAGGATTGAGAAAGCTTTGTCCAAGACTTTGTATTAGAAGGGCTCTGGTTTGAGATGAATAAATACATACAGATTTCTTCCCTCACATTAGGAATCTCTCTTAGAAAACTTAGAATAGAATAGCAGCTTCATTTCTCCAAGTACTTGCTGAAGCCAGCCCTGGTCATAAAAGCTAAGGAGAAATAATGCGCAGTCTTTGCTTTGGTATCTAGCCTTTTAGTTCATTTTTCTGTTAGCTCTGCATCCTGTTTGGAAGCCGGGGTGAAGATGACTACTATCCTACAGAGATTAGAATTTGGAATGACAAAACTATAGTGAAGGTTATTGAAGTTTAAGGGGAGTACATGGTAAAGAAGGAAAAAGGTTTGAGAAGAAATATGTAGCAAGGGTCTTCTTGGTCTCTAGAAGCATAGGCCCAAAGAGCTCTAACAAACTAGGAACAAAGAAATGTGTGGGCACCTGAGCACCTAGGTAAGAGTGCCTACTTAGATAATTACTTATCAGTGGCCTTATGCGGGAAGCTTTATGGTAATAGCCAATGTTTATGATACTAAGAAATTTAAAAATAATTTATGGTCTTAATGGGATGGAGGTAGAAAATATGGCAGCCACATTCAACATTAAAAAAAGTCCTCTTGCAATCATAGGACATCTGTCTTCTAGATGGAGTTCAGAGTCAGTTCAATTTGAAGGGCTGGAAATACAAGACTTAAACATGAATATGGAAATGATAATGTTCCACACTTGCAGGGTTCAGCAAAGCAAGAAAGGAGGCTCAAGTAAGTCCTGGAAACTGGGGTACCAACATTGCATATGTCTACATTTTTCAAAGAAGATAGAAGAGGGTCAAATGCTTATACACTGTTGATGGGAATGTAAATTGGTACAATCGCTATGAAAAACAGTATAGAGATTTTTCAAAGAAAAAAAATAGAATTACCATTCAATCCAGCAATTCTACTACTGAGTGTCTACACAAAGGAACAAAATTCTTTATATCAAAAAGATACCTGCACTCATACGTTTATTGCAGCACTATTCACAATAGCAAAAATATGGAATCAACCTTAGTGCCCATCAAAAGATGACTGGATAAAGAAAATGTTACATGTACATACATATGTGATATATATCTACACACATATACATACACACACCTCATATGAATACTGCTTAGCCAAAAAAAATCTTTTTTTTTTTGGGCAACATGGATGGAACTGGAAATCATTGTATTAAGCAAAATAACTCGGAAACAGAAGGTCAAATACCACACGTTTTCACTTATAAGTGGGAGCTAAATAATGTGCACACATGGACATACAGAGTGGAAAAATAGACATTGGAGACTTGGAAAGGCGGGAGGGTGGGATGGGGTAAAGAATGAGAAATTAATGGGTGCAGTATATACTATATGGGCAACGGTTACATTAAAAGCACAGACTTCACCACTATGCAATATATCCATGTAACAAAACTGCACTTGAACCTCCTAAATGTATAAGAATTTTTTTTAAAAGAAAGCAGGGTTAAAAACTGCTACTGTCCGAAACACAGTTCAATGCATAAATGGCTTTCTGCCCTGAATGTGGGAGACATAGTGACACAAAAATTTTCCCAAATGTGGTTAAATTTCCAGATAATAAATTACAAACATGTGGCTGAAAAAATGGTTTCCTCTGTCTTTAATATTTCTTTCTCCAAATACATTCTGGCTTTTTATTGCATTGGAAGTATGTGTCCTGATAGGACTACATACTGGTTTATGTAAATATGATTTTTATATGAGCTAGCCACCTGAGTATAGATTATTGTTTGTGCATTCTAATTGTTATGTGAGTGGTGCTAGTGTGGCCAGCATCTTCTTTGACACTTTGGAGTCTTCAGGGAAAGTGGAATGTGTGAGAGTCAGTATTTCTTCAGTTCAACTTTGAAGCTCTAAAGATCTTCACCCATTCCTGAAGCTGGGGTTGGGGAAACAGCCCATGTTGCAAACCTGAAAAAAAGAGAACTAATTCTATTCTGGTGTCCAAATTAAGATCCTTAGGCTAATAATGTGCTTATATCTTCATTTGGCTCTTGTTCATTTGTATTTATTCAAATAGGTAGAACTCAGAATTGGGAGAACTGATGAGTCATTTTCAATTAATATTTTTACTGTCATTATAAAGTCATCTATTAAAAAACTCATAAAAAAGTGGATGCAAATTGTCACATATTGCATGATTCTATTTATATGAATTGTGCAGAAGAAGCAATTCTGTAGAGATAGAAGCAGATTAGCCATTATCAAGGACTGAAGGTGGAAAAGGATTGTGATTACAAATGGTCACAAGTTTCCTCTTTGGAGTTATGGAAATGTTCTAAAATTAGATGGTGGCGATGGTTGTACAACTCTGTAAATTTACTATAAATCATAAAATAGCACGCAGAAATGAGTGAATTACATGGTATGTACATATAGCTGCTTCAAAAATAATAAAAACAAAAACTTCGAGCTCATCAAAAAGTACTATAGATTAATATCTTAGCCAGGTGGATCTCAAATGAAAACTACAGGTAAAATACTGGTTTCTAGGAAGGCCAAACCAGATAAGCAGCTTTTCTTGGGGCAGGAGTTTTCTTGACAATGTGCTGTACAAGTTATTATACTGGCACTCATTACAAAAGAGCCTAAAACCAAGACACATAGGTGTTTACATTTCTGTTTTATTCCATAGCAAAGATAAAGCATGGAACTGCAAGCACCCTTCCCACTTTGTTATTAACTGTGTAAAGAGTTAAAATCATGAAAGATAAGTACTATTACTATTCCCATTACATTGATGAGGAAATTAAGGCCCAAAGTTGCATAAAGGTTCAGATACTACTAAGTACAGGTTGAATATCTCATATCTGAAATGCTTGAGACTAGAGTGTTTTGGACCTCAGATTTTTGTGACCTTTGAAATATTTGCATATGTATAATAGTTATCTTGGGGATGGGACCCAAGTCTAAACATGAGACTCATTTATGTTTCATATATGCCTTATATACATATCTAAAAAGTAATTTTGTGGAACATTTTAATAACCTTATCCATGAAACAAAGTGTGTGTACGTGAGATCAAGTGTGAAATATTCCACTTGTGGCATCATATTGGGGCTCAAAAAGTTTCAGATTTTGGAATCTTTTTGATTTGGGGATTAGCGATACATAAACTTTAGTGAATGTAGACTCAATCCCAAAGTCAAATGGTTCAAAATACTGATTTTGTTTTTTCTGCATTAAAAAGGGGATCTTGGGACTTAAGGCTCAGAGTTACAGAAGAGTGTGGATACAAGAAAGTGGCAAATATGGGACTCAATCCAAAAGTTATATGGCTCCAAGTCCTGATTTTTAAATGTATTTTAAATTTATTTTTTATATTTGTTGTGGGTACACAGTCAGTATTTATATAGATAGATGTATATATGTATATATATGTCTATATATATGTGTGTGTCTATATATATATATATAGACACACACACATATGTATATGGGGTACACAAGATATTTTTATAGAGGCATACAATGCATAATAATCCCAACAGGGTAAATGGGGGCACCCATCATCTCAAGCATTTATCCTTTCTTTGTTTTACAAACAACCCAGTTATACACTTTTCATTTATTCATTTATTTTTTGCCCACCAAAAAATTTTATTTGGATTTTCACTTTATCTCTAGTCCATATAAATCAACATTATCTGCATTTTTGGTTGGCAGATATAAACTTCAGCCCTGCTTCTGCTAAAATTACAGCAAAACTTTAATTATGTTATATTGAACTATTAGGGTTATATTTTAATGATGGTTTTCAAGTCAAATTCTTTTTTTTTCGATTCTTTTTATTATTATTATTATACTTTAAGTTCTAGGGTACATGTGCACAACATGCAGGTTTGATACATAGGTATACACGTGCCATGTTGGTTTGCTGCACCCATCAACTCATCATTTACATTAGGTATTTCTCCTAATGCTATCCCTCCCCTAGCCCCCCACCCCCCGACAGGCCCCAGTGTGTGATGTTCCCTGCCCTTTGTCCAAGTGATCTCGTTGTTCAATTTACACCTATGAGTGAGAACATGTGGTGTTTAAGGACAGAAAACCATACACTTTTACTTTTAAATGTACCATAAATTATTGTTGACTGTAGTCACCCTATTGTGCTATCAAATACTAGATCTTATTCAATCTATATAACTATATTTTTTACCAGCTGACCATCCCCACTTCCACCCCATTCCATTACTCTTCCCAATCTCTGATAACTCATCACTCTACTCTAATCTCCTAAGTTCAATTGCTTTAATTTTTAGCTCCCACAAATAAATGAGAACATGCATGGTTTGTCTTTCTGTCCTGGCTTATTTCACCTAATGTAATGTCCTCCACTTCCATCCATGTTGCTGCAAATGGTGGGATATCATTATTTTTATGTCTCAATAGTAGTTCTTTGGGTATATGTACCACATTTTCTTTACCTGTTCATCTGTCGATGGATACAGGTTGCTTTGAAATCTTGGTTATTTTGAATATTGCTGCATCAAACACAGGAGTGCAGATATCTCTATGATATACTCACTACCTTTTTGAAGGGGGTCGGGGGGGCGCATATACTGAGCAGTGAGATTGCTGGATCATACGGTAGTTCTATTTCAGTGCTTTTGAAGAACCTCTGAACTGTTCTCCACAGTGGCTGTATTAATTTACATTCCCACCAACAATGTATGAAGTTTCATTTTCCTCTACATCCTCATCAGCATTTGATATTGCCTTTCTTTGTGATAAAAGCCATTTTAACTGAGGTGAGATAATGTATCATTGTAGTTTGGATTTGCATTTCTCTGATGACCAATGATGTTAAGCACTTTTTGAAATATACTTATTTGACATTTGTATGTCTTTTTTGAGAAATATCTATTCAGATTATTTGCCCATTTTTTAGATTGGATTACTAGTTTTTTTTTTTTTCCCATTGAGCTGATGTAACTCTTTATATATTCTGGTTTTTAGTTTCTTATGAGATGGATAGTTTGCAAATATCCTCTTCCATTCTGTTGGTTGTTTCTTCGCTTTGTTGTTTCCTTTGCTGTTCAAAAGCTTTTTAACTCGATGTGATAAACTTTGTCTACTTTTTGTCTACTTGCCTGTCCTTTTGGGGTATTACTCAAGAAATCTTTGCCTAGATCAATGTCCTGAAAAGTTTCCTCAATGTTTTCTTTTAATAGTTGAATAGGTTGAGGTCTTAGATTTAAGGCTAATCAATTTTAATTTGATTTTTGTATATGTTAAGAGATAGGGGTCTAGTTCTATTTTTCTGCGTATGGACATTCAGTTTTTCCCCAACCCCATTTATTGAAGAGACTGTCCCTTCCCTAATGTATGTTCTTGATATCTTTGTTAAAAATGAGTTCACTTTAGATATATGGATTTATTTCTGGGCTGTCTATTCTGTTCCATTAGTTTATGTGTCTGCTTTATACCAGTACCATGCTGGTTTTGTTATTATAGATTTGTAGGGTAATTTGAAGTCAAGTGAAGTAATTTCTCCAGTTTTGTTCTTTATGCTCAGGTTAACTTTGGATATTTTGAGTCTTTTATGATTCCATATAAATTTTAGGATTATTTATTGTATTTCTTTGAAGGATGTCATTGATATTTTGATAGAGATTGCACTGAATCTGTAGATTACTTTGGGGAGTATAGACATTTTAACAATATTGATTCTTCAAATCCATGAACATGGAATATATTTTCATTTTTTGGTGCTCTCTTCAATTTCTTGCTTCAATGTTTTATAGTTTTCATTGTGGAGATCTTTCATTTCTTTGGCTAAATTTATTTCTAGGTATGTTATATCATATGTAGCTATTGTAAAGGATTACTTACTTGATTTCTTTTTGAAATTGTTCACTGTTGGCATATAGAAATGCTACTAATTTTTGCATGTTGACTTTGTATCCTGCAACTTTATTGTATTTGTTTATCAGTTCTGATAGCTTTTTTGCTGGAATTTTTACATTTTTCCAGACATAAGATTATGTCATCTGCAAACAAGAATAATTTGACTTCTTCCTTTCCAATTTTGATGTATTTGTTTTTCTTTCTCTTGTCTGATTGCTCTAGCTAGGACTTCCAGCCCTATGCTGAATAACAATGGTGAAAATGGGCATCCTTGTCTTGTTCCAGATCTCAGAGGAAATGCTTTCAGTTTTCCTTGTTCAGTATGATACCAGCTATGGGTCTGTCATATATGGCTTTTCTTGTGTAAGGTATGCCCCTTCTATACTCAGTTGCTTGAAGGTTTTTATCATGAGTGGATGTTGGATTTCATCAAATGCTTTTTCAGCATCAACCGATATGGTCATTGGGTTTTTGTCCTTCATCGTGTTCATATAAGATATTACATTAATTTGTATATGTTGAGCCATCTTTGCATCCCTGAAATAATCCCTCTTGGTCATGATGAATAATCTTTTTAATGTGTTGTTCAAATCAGTTTACTAGTATTTTGTCGAGGATATTTTTTTTTCAACAGTGTTCCTCAGGGATATTGGCCTGTAGTGTTTTGTTTGTTTGTTTGTTTGTTTTTTGTTTTTGTTTTTGTTTTTATGTGTCTTTGGCCTTATAGGATGAGTTTGGAAGTATTATCTTCGCTGTTTTTCAGAATAGTTTGAGTATAATTCATATTAGTTCTTTAAATGTTAGATCTATTTTTTTTTCTCACCACATTAGTAAAGGGTACTTGTAATTTAAAACTTCAAAAACGTGAATGGGAGAAATTTTTTCACTAAACTCTGTTAAGTCAATCTTATCAGAGGCCACTGGTTTGGACTGAGCACCTGCACTAGACTCAGTAGGGCAAACCAAAATGAAGTTACACATAATGAATGAAGTTCACACCACCAAGTCATTTATCTAACCTTCCTGGAAATCAGGAGAATGAGCAAAAATAACCAAATTTCCAAACAGGCCAGTTTTAGCTGGCACAAAAAGGAAGTCTTATCCACTTTAACCTTTATCTGAAAAATAACCTTCAAAAGACCAACTGGCCATGGGCATGGTGGCTCACACCTGTATCTCAGCACTTTGGGAGGCCAAAGTGGGAGAATCACTTGAAGCCAGGGGTTTGAGACCAGCCTGCGCAACTCAGTGAGACCTCATCTCTAGAAAAAGTAAATAAATAATAATAATAATTTTAAAAGATTTAAAAGAAAACTGTGTAAATACCTCTTGGTAAATATTATAGTAAAGGACATTTTTGGTTAGGTTTTATTATTAAGAATTTTAAACATATGTCCATTTTTTTACTACTTTTTTTTTTTTTTTTTTTTTTGAGACAGAGTCTCACTCTGTCGCCCAGGCTGGAGTGCAGTGGCACAACCTCGGCTCACTGCAAGCTCCACCTCCCAGGTTCACGTCATTCTCCTGCCTGCCTCAGGCTCCCGAGTAGCTGGGACTACATGTGCCCGCCACCACGCCCGCCTAATTTTTTGTATTTTTAGTAGAGACGGGGTTTCACCGTGTTAGCCAGGATTGTCTTGATCTCCTGACCTTGTGATCCGCCCGCCTCGGCCTCCCGAAGTGCTGGGATTACAGGCTTGAGCCACGCACCCGGCCCCATTTTTTAACTTCTATTTTAAGTTCAGGGGTACATGTGCAGGTTGGTTAAATAGGTAAACTTGTGTCATGGGAGTTTGTTGTACAGGTTATTTCACCACATGGGTATTAAGCCTAGTACCCATTTATTCTTCCTGATCCTCTCCCTCCTTCTACCCTCCACCCTTCAACAGAAGCTAGTGTATGTTGTTCCCCTCTATGTGCCCATGTGCTCTCATCACTTAGCTCCCACTTATGAGTGAGAACACGTGGTATTTGGTTTTCTGTTCCTGCGTTAGTTTGCTAAGGATAATGACCTGCGGCTCCATCCATATCCCTACAAAAGACATGATCTCATTCTTTTTTTGTGGCTGTATAGTATTGCATGGTATGTATGTACCACATTTTCTTTATCCAGTCTATCATTGATGAGGATTTAAGTTGATTCCATGTCTTTGCTATTGTGGTTAGTGCTGCAATGAACATATGCATGCATTCATGTGTCTTTTTAACAGAATAATGTATATTCCTTTGGGCATATACCCAATAATGGGATTGCTGGGTCAAATGGTATTTTAGTCTTTAGGTCTTTGAGGAATTGCCACACTGTCTTCCACAATGGTTGAGCTAATTTGGATTCCCACCAACAGTGTATAAAGCATTCCTTTTCCTCCATAGCTATACCTACACTATGTATTATTTGTTTACTCTTAAGATTGAGCATAATTGTTTTCTACAGCTTCCAGTTGCATACGAGAGTTAGTATTGCAGATAAAATTATATAAGTTCTATAAGAAAACCAATTTGCGGCTGGGTGCAGTGGCTCACGCCTGTAATCCCAGCACTTTGGGAGGCCGAGGCGGGCGGATCACGAGGTCAGGAGACGGAGACCATCCTGGCTAACACAGGGAAACCCCGTCTCTGCTAAAAGTACAAAAAAGAAAAAAAGAAAACCAATTTGCACAGCACCCTGCTCCATACATTGTTGTTCATAGGGAGCATCAAACTTATTTTTAAATGAAGCAGTCTATATGCAAATTGGTAACTTTGATCTGCCCAAAATTGTAGAACAATTTGATCTGCGGTTTTGGAGTTTGGTTAAATTGAAAAGAAAAAAAAAGCCCTGGTGATTTTATGAGAGGGTGAAAAATATTTGAGTTTAAAAAGTTTGCTTCCCTGCTTTGTAATGATTTTAACTACAATGAATTAAGAGGAAGTAGGCTTTTTCCTGTATTTTATAGATGACAAAGCAACAGTAGTATCAATCTGTGGAAATTAAAACATGATTCAGATCTTGGTTTATTAGGACAGAAAGCCTTATTCTTTAGAGATATGCTTTTTAAAAACATAGAAATGAAAACCTGAATGGCTACTTCTGTTAAGGAATCAGGTCTTCGTTACTGTGTTTAAATGCAGATTGCATGGGTCAGGTAGACATTCCAGAAAGATAGTTAAGCAATCAAGGGATATTTTTTTTTTCTTCAGTTCACATACCTGAAGTATTTCTGCAAGGATAGAAAGGTGCAATAAGGTTCATGGCCAAAACTCCTATAACAAAAGACAGGTTAAAAAAAGAAAAGCATAACAAGTTTATTTATTCAAAGTTTTATGTGACATTGAAGCCTTCAGAAATGAATACCCAAAGGCTCAGGGAAAGCTATTTTTAATGCTTAGACTTGATGAAGAATAAACCTCCATGGGGAAGAAGAATTCTAGTTTCTATGGCCTGTCTTAGGGAGGAAGGGGAGACAAAGAAAAAAAGGGTAGGAGAAGATCAGAAATAGACATTATTTCTAAGACTCTTCCAGAGTTCTTCAGTCCAAAGTCCTCAGTATGCCAAAGCACTATATTTTGGGATATCATTCTGAGCCCCAACATTTCCAAGGATAGGTATATAGTTATTATCCGTACTGCATGGCTGAAATGTAGAACTGTCAGGAAACAGATGAGAAGGATCCTGGGAAAGCTGAAAACTGTGTCCACTTCACTGCAGAAGTACAATCTGACAAGATGTTTAGAAGAGGCCAAGAGTTTGGACCAATAAACTTTAAGTTATCTTGCAATTCTAGAATATAATATTTTCTTTCTTTTGAAATTCATTAATAATTATTGTTGTTTTTAATTGAGTGGGTTCATTAGAGTTATTGTTGCTTTTGATTGTGTTGACTTTTAATATATAGAATGACAAATGCAGTGATAGGGAAGTAGAGTTTTGAAGACAGAATCCTAAAGTATCATTTCTTTATCACTATGTTTAATGCTTTGAGTAGCTTGAAAGCTTTCTTAACAATAAGCACTATCTGTTGTTTTCCTCATGAGTTGTGCAGACATTTTGAAACAATCTATAAAAAATATTCTTCTCCATTCTCTTTATATAATACAACTACATCTGCTGAGAGATATTGAATGATAGAACTTTGGCTAGACCTTCTAGCAGGTCATCAGAGGAACATTCACACCCTCTTTTAACTCTCATGAATTGGTATGGGAATGTGTGATATTGACTTCTTTAAGACATATCTTGGGAAATTGACCTTTTAATTGTTACATTTGCTTACATGTGGTGTAGTCATTGTAGAGAACATAAAAGAGCACCTGAACATAATGGGTTCAGGGTGTACACATTTGGAATCAGAAGCTGAAAAGACCCAAATTATTTTGAAAAGAAAAGAGAAAAACTTGAATGGTCTGAACATGCATTATAGATGGAGAAGGTTTGGTAATTTGCAGCTGAGAAAATAAGGTTGAAATGACTGTATGTTGAGAAATTTTTTCTAAGTATGACGTGTGCTATATACTCCTCTCTCTCTCTGAAATCTTTAATAAATGATACATTGTTCACAATCTCATTAGTATGAGTGGATTCTCCCCAATAAATGAATATCCCTATTTGGTCTTGTCTCAAATCCTGGCATGTGGCAAAAATATAGATTCTACTAATGGTCAATTCAAGATATGAGTTTCCATCCTCAGTCATTAGATTTCAGTAAGAGCATGACAGCTGCCACCAGTGATAAACTTCCTCAATTAAAGATGGTAAGAAGAGGGTAGAGAAGAAAAGAGGTTAAAAAAATGTCTTTTGAATGTAAACCTATATACTTTGTAATAAAGAATGAAGAACAATTTCTAATCCTATCTGAACTACAACTATTTTGGCATATATATATATATATATATATACAAACACACAAATTAAACAGTGCCAAGAGCTTTCATTTACTGTATTTTCAATTGCACATATGCCAAAATTATTTACATAATAAACCAAATCCACTGCCCGAAAATCATCTTTCAATGATGTACGAATTCACCACTTGTAACTCAGATACCTGCCACCGGTAACGTTTGGGGCTGAGAAACTCAGATATTTCCTACTGGTAACAGTCCTACAGAACCATAGCTGGAAAGACTTAGCCATAATCAACAGAAGTGTTGTTAAAGAATCATTTCACACTATAGTTGTTTTCAAACTTCACTGTTTTCACCACTGACAGATCCCGCCTGGTAAATTTATCTTTGTAAACATCCTTTGTAAATCCTGCTACTGCGACTTGTTAGAAAACTCCACTCCTGCTATGTATTTTCTCACTTTCTTAAAGGTAGGAACTAGGGAAGTATGTGAAAATCTGAGATTTTACCTTTTGTTTTTCAAGAGAATTAAATCGTTTATTGATTACAAATGGTGATGGATGATAGATACACAAGCTTCACTCCCATCTATAATTTTTGGTTCTGGAGAGTTTACCTTTTATGAATAGCAGTCTCATTTTGCTTAATCCTATTTTTTTATGCTTTGCTTTCCTCTTAGCCCCTGTAAATTGTTCAACATTGCCCAGCTTCTTGTGATAACAAAAGTCAGTTTTGATCATTTGCATCAATGGGAATACAGGATGTAAATTTTGAAGTTTGAGGAAAAGCCATCGGCAAGTCAGAACAAGTTGAAAGTGTCAGGGCAGGTCTTCTGAGATCAAGCAAAAATGCCAAGGCCAAGCGAAATTATGGGAACAACTTGTTTAACTGCGATAAAAATGCTAATAAAATACTTTTACATGACCTCAAGGCAAAAGGCTTAGAGGGTTTGTGAGCTGGTGAAACAGAGAGAATATGACTGGGGAGGTGGCACAACAGAAGTCATTTCTCTGAACAGCGCCCAGTGATTCCCTCTATATATCTAGTTGAGTCCTAGTAATGTCAAAATAGAGATAGAACGGGTGTAAGCTCCCAAGGAGCTCTCTTTGCCCACTGTCCAGATAAAGCCAATTTATCAAGACAGGGGAACTGCAATAGGGAAAGAGTTTAATTCACACAGAACTGGCTAAAGAGGAGACTAGAGTGCTATTACTCAAATCTGTCTCTGAAAATTCAGAGGTATGGGTTTTTCAAAGGTACTCTGATGAGCAGAAGGCAAGGAGAATGGTTGCTGCTGATTCATTGAGGATGCAATAATAGGGGTATAAAAAATTGTCCTCATGCACTGAGTCCATTTCTGATTGGGGGGCCATAGAAGCAGTTGAGTGGTTGCAGGTCCCAGTGGAACTATCCAGTCATTAGAAATGCAAAAATCTGAAAGAACATCTCAAAAGGCCAAGCTTAGGTTCTCCAATAATTATGTTATCTGCTGAAGTAATTGAGGCAGTTGCAAATCTTGCGACCTCTGGAATAATAGCTGGTAATCATTTAACCATGCCTACATCTTAGCAGAATTCAAGCCCCTCTCATCCTCCTAACCTGATTATATTTTATCAGTTTTACAAAAGTGGTTTACCTTTTGGGAAGGGCTATTATCATTTAAACTATAAACTAAATTTATCTCAAAGTTAGCTTGGCCCAACCCCAGGAATGACCAAGAGCAGTTTGGAAGTTAAAGGCAAGACAGGAATTTGTTAGATCAGATCTCTTTCACTGTCATAATTTTCTCACTGTTATAATTTTTGCAAAGGCAGTTTAATGGGGACAACAAACAAATTATCCACTGTAAATGCAAAGAACTTGACAAGTATTCAATGCACATGAAGATCATAAGATGCAGTAGAAAATAGGATTTTTAGTCAAAATGCTCAGATTAAAATCCCAGATCTGCCTCTCACTAGCTGTATTTTTAAAAGCAGATTATAGCTCTGAGACATGGTTTTGTCATTTTGATAAAATAAAGACTTAATGCCACGCAGTTTATATAATGAGTTCATAGGTTATTTTAAGAGTAGAATGAGATAATTTAAACAAAAGTAATTTGTAAAGTGCCTTGCACATTTAGTTTTTATTATTAATCATAGTAATTAAGATACATGACATAAAAGTACTTGGCAATGTATCCTTTAAATGCCAAATAAATCTTAATTTTGCTATTATTATAAATAATGAAATTATCAATAAACCTAACCCTCATCTGCTTTCTTTATCCAAAAGTAAATAAAAACAAATGCAAAGCATTAAAACCAGGATGGTATGCCCTACTATAATGTATTTTCTGATTATCTTAGAATTTTTTTTTCCAAAAAAGAATATGCTTATTTCTGCCTTGTAATTGAGTTAGTGATTGAAAATAAAGCTAATATATTATATACTTAAGACCAACTATGTTTGATACTGTGCTGGCATCTTACTGTCTATTTGTGTAATCCTGCAGAAGCCCTATAACATAGTTCTCATCCTTTCATTTCTAGTGTAAATGCTGAGAATAAGAGTAGTTAAATAACTGGCCCCAACAGACCCGACTCCAAGATTCAAACTGCATAATCTAAGTGAAATGTGAATGAGGAAAGTTAAGAAGATGGAAGAGTAACAGAAATCAAAGAAGGAAATATCAGAATTTATATTCCCCAAAACTGAATCAGTAATATTAAGATCAGACTTGAATAACAGCCAGAAATGCCTAAGAACAAAAAAAGTGCCAAGAATATAAGAAAATATGACAAACTCCAGATGACTATATTGTTGATGATGTATTAATGATTCATATATTGTTAAAGAAAAGTGTCTAACCAATTCACTATTGCTAAAAGTCAAAAGAAAATGTGTATATTCCCCCCAAAATTAAAAATTAAATAGACTTATTTCTCTCAGGTATATTAGTTGTGAAGAATATTAGATCAAGTTAATAATTCTCACATTGGTAATGATGAGGTACCAGAGTCATGGAGGGTCATTACCATGTATCAGAATATCCTAAGGATACTTCTTCAACATAGACATCTTTTGTTTCTTACTCCCTCTTCTTCCTCATCCTTACCTTCCACCTTTCACATTCTAAAGGTTACTGTGGGAAAAGTTGCAAAGCCACCAAATTACACTGGTAAAGTTTAACTGCTAAAGTTCTGGACAGCTTGTTTTAATTTCCTAAGATTTATCTTTGTTGATAAACTTTTTGCAAACCCAGAACTTAAAATCACATGACTCTGTCTAACTTTAAATGGAGTTCAAGGTCTGACAGATTCAGAAAGGGTTATTTTAAATTTTGTTTTGTATTTTCTATACCAGCCAATCCATGATGAGCCCAGATACTGATGACTGCCTACTTCTCACAATTGCTGTGAGCCCAGAAGAAATTGGAAATTCTTTATATAACACAGCCAAGGGAACTGAACATCTAAGAATGAAAGAGATATCTGCTGGCTGTTAACAGTCAGACTAGCCAGTAAGTAATTACTATTTCCTTGTATTAGGCAGCATGAAATGAGCGTTGTAAACTCTAATATAATTTAATTCTCAAGACAACTCTCTGAGGTCATTGTATCATCACTGTCATTTTATCTACAGAAAACATAGGCTCCAAGAGTTAAGGTAGAAATCCACCCAGAGAGTGGCAGCATTACACCAGCTGGACCCAGTGATGCATCCTTGTTCCTGGCGCTTGAGCTAACTCAGCACTCTAGACCCCATGGAAAAGATGGACCAGCAAATCAGGAAGACTGCTCCTAGGACACAGAGACTCAAAGCACATGGTCCCCAGGGCCTGAAAGCCACCTGCCAGGACTGCTGTCAGCAAAGCAATCCTGTCTCCTAGAGTGGAAGGTCTGCAATCTGCCTAAGTGTACCACTCAGGGGCCAAGAACTGGCATACCTGGGGATGCCATCTCTACTGCCTGCACCTATGTGCACCTATGTATGTCACCTGAGGGCCTGAGAACTGACCTTCTCTGGTGCTACTACTGACACCTGCATCCACCAGATGGGGTTCAAAAACCAGCCACCATTGGGTTGCTGCCTTTACTGGCAGTGCCAAACAATGCTATATGGGGGCCCAAGGAATGCCCCTCTCCATGCCTGCCACCACTACTGCCAGGTCCAACATGCACCTCTTAAAGGCCTACGGACTGTCCCACTTGGGGCCTGCTACCACCACTGT
Source organism: Homo sapiens (assembly GCF_000001405.40). NCBI lineage: Eukaryota > Metazoa > Chordata > Mammalia > Primates > Hominidae > Homo > Homo sapiens. The sequence continues at coordinate 90,383,357 of NC_000012.12, forward strand.
TGGCACCCATGTAAAAGTGATATTTCTAATTCTCAGAACCTGACTGGGGCCCACTACCATCACTGTTGGCATATAGGCACACAACCCTGGACCTGAGGACTGGTCTACCTGGGTCCACATTTGGTGCCCATGTGTGTCACTTAAGGGCTGAAGATCAGTCAGTCTGTAGCGCACCACCACCACTGCCAGGAACCCCACCCAGTTTAGCAGTGGGACAACTGCATATCTGTGCTCACTGCTGAGGAGCCTGGAGACTGGCCCACCAGGTGTCTATTGCTGCTATTGCCGTGCTTGTGTGCACTCCCAAAGGGCCTAAGGACTAGCTCACCTAGTGTCCTTATCACCAACAAAGACTCACAACAGTTTTCACAACCACAGCCAAAGCTGCTAAGGAAATTGCAGACACCACTAACATTGATTTACAACCAAATAAATCATACAGAAACTATAATATTTCACCCACTGAGAATTAAAGCCAAAGCACCTTATCCACCTGACACTAAAGATGCATTTATAGGAGAAAGTCTTTCTCTATGAAAGCTATTCCATATAATTGAAAGAAGCCACCATTATACCAGATTCATAGCTATCAATGTAGGGACATGAGAAACACAAAAAGAAGATAGCATCTCCAAAGGAACCCAAATTTCTCTGTTAACGCCTCAATGAAAAGGAGATCTATCAAATGCTTTTAAAAAGAATTCAAAATAATGATTTTGTTAAAACCCAGCAAGTTATGAGAACAAAGATGGATGATACAAATTTTTGAAAAACTATTCATTATGTGAGTAAAAAATTTAATAAAAAGATATACAATGTCAAAAAAGAAACAAACAGAAATCCTGGAACTTAAGAATTCAAAAAATGAAATAAAATACAATTGAGAGCTTCAACAATATATTAGATAAGCCAAAAAAAATCCTGAACTTGAAGACAGATCTTTTGAAACAATCCAGTTCAGACCAAAAAAGAAAAAAAAGAAGAAGAATAAAATAATTGAAGAAAGCCTATATGACTTATAGGATACAATGAAGCAAACAGACATTTGCAATTTTGGAGTTCCACAGGAGAAGAGATGGAAAAAGCCATAGAAAACCTATTTAACCCTTTTTCTGTTTGCCCTGAGAATACTTGCGCTGGTGGTTATTGTGGCTCCAGCATTTACCCTGAGATAACTGCCATGAAATATCTTGCTTTTATTATTATTTTTGTATTTCCCTAGCATTGTTTTGGAAACAAAAGACATCATTATACTTACAGCATTCTGTTTTCAGTAGTGGTATTTCCAGTTACAAAATATAGTAATTCTCAATTCTTAAAAATGTCAAATCCTAGAAAACGTAGCATTCCTATGTGATCTTAACATCATTCTCAAACACTTGTTGGCTGAAGATTCACTTAATAAATCTGAGTTTTTCCAAAATAGGTAATTCTGATGATTCAGATGATTCTGATGTTAGTTCTGTTTAGAAATAACTCCAAGAACAGTTTTTTATATTTTATTTGTACATTGAAAATCAGTCATATTTGCTTCAGCCTCAAAGAACATGTTTATGCAAAATTAAATGAGCACTAGCAGTGAGCTGCACTATTTTTTTTTCTAAACAGGAGAAATGTTAACAAAATAATAGCTGGAAACTTCCCAAGTCAGGGAGAGAAATAGAAATTCAGATACAGAAAGCTCAAATATACCCAAACAAATTGAACCCCCAAAAGGTTCTTTCCAAGATGCATTACAGCCAAACTGTTAAAAGTTGAAGACAAAGAGAGAATTGTAAAAAAAGAAGAGTATCAAGGTATCAAGTCATAAATAAGAGAATCCCCATTGGAGTAACAGCAGATTTTTCAGCAGAAACCATATAGGCCAGAAGATAATGAGATAACATATGTTAGCTACTGAATTTTTAAAAAAGCTGTTGGTAATGAATACAATACCCAGCAAAGCTATTCTTCAGAGACAAAGGAGAAATAAAGTCTTCTCTAGACAAGCAAAAATTGAGATAATTCATCGCAATTGGATTGGCCCTCCAAGAAAAGTTTAATAGAGTTCTGCATTTGGAATGCAAAAGATGATATTTACCATCATGAAAACACAAAAATATAAAACTGACTGAAGAGTAAATACACAAATGAGAAATAGAATGGAACCAAGCCATTGTATTTCGCTACAGAACACCACCAAATCACAAATATGTACAATAAGAGAGAAATAAAGTAACAAAGAATATACAAAACAATTAACAAAATTATAGGATTAAGACATTATTGATAACAACCTGGAATATAAACAGATTCAACTTTCCAATTAAAAGATATAGAGTAATGGAATGAATTTTTTACAAAAGACTTAACTATATGCTTCCTAGGAGAACTTTACCTATAAAGACACACATATACTGAACGTGAAGAATTTAAAAAAGCAACCTATGTACATGAAAACCAAAGGCATGCAGGAGCAGACTTAAAAACACTCATAATCTCAGCACTTAGGGAGGCAAAGATGGGCAGATCACTTGAACCCAGGAGTTCAAGACCAGCCTGGGCAACATGGTAAAAACCTGTCTCTACAAAAAATACAAAAAATAGTGGGGTGTGGTGGCATGCACCCGTAGTCCCAGCTACTTGGGAGGCTAAAGCAGGAGAATTGAGGCTGCAGTGAGCCATGATTGCACCACTACAGTCCAGCCTACGTGACAGAATGAAGCCGTGTCTCAAAAAAAGAAATAAAGAAACAAAGAAAGTCACTAATGATGAAAGGATCAATTCAGCAAGGTGATATAACAACTGTGAGTATATATGCACCCAACCCTCAAGCATCCAGATTATATAAAACAAATATTATTCAGACTAATGAGAGAGATATACTCTAATACAATAATAGTTAGTGATTTCAACACCCTACTTTTAGGACTGAAAAAATTATATATGCAAAAAATAAAACAAAAACATAGGACTTAAACTGCACTATAGACCAAAAGAACCTGAAGGACATTTAAAGAGCATTTCATCCAACAGCTACGGAATACACATTCTTTTCATCAGCACATGGAACATTCTCCAACATAGACCATATGTATGACACAGAACAAGTCTCAATACATTTTTTAAAAATCAAAAGCACATCAAGTACTTTCTCATACTACAATGAAATAAAACTGTAAATCAATAAAAGAGTAACTTTGGAAAATGTACAAATACATGGAAATTAAACAACATGCTTTTGAACAATGACTGAGTTAATTTTAAAAACTAAGAAGAGTCCGGGCGCGGTGGCTCAGGCCTGTAATCCCAGCACTTTGGGAGGCCGAGGCGGGTGGATCATGAGGTCAGGAGATCGAGACCATCCTGGCTAACAAGGTGAAACCCCGTATCTACTAAAAATACAAAAAATTAGCCGGGCGCGGTGGCAGGCGCCTGTAGTCCCAGCTACTCGGGAGGCTGAGGCAGGAGAATGGCGTGAACCCGGGAAGCGGAGCTTGCAGTGAGCCGAGATTGTGCCACTGCAGTCCGCAGTCCGGCCTGGGCGACAGAGCGAGACTCCGTCTCAAAAAAAAAAAAAAAACTAAGAAGAGGATCAGTTTTTTAAAGCGAATTAAAATAGAAACCCAACATACCAAATATATAGGATACAGCAAAGCAGTGCTAAAGGGTAAATTTATAGCAATAAATACCTACAACATAAAGTAGAAAGATTTCAAATCAGCAACTCAGTGATGAACCTTAACAACTAGAAAAGTAAAAACAAACCAAACTCAAAATTAGTAGAAGAAAAGAAATAATAAATATCAGAACAGAACTAAATGAAATAGAGACAAATAAAATAAACAAAAATGTTATTTTTTTTGAAAAAGTAAAAATTGACAAACCATTACCTAAACTAAGAAGTAAAGAAGGAAGACCCAAATAAATAAAATCAGAAAGAAAATGAGACATAAAAATTGATACCACAGAAATACAAACGATCATTAGTAATATGGTTTGGATTTGTGTCCACATCCAAATCTTGTGTTGAATTATAGTTCCCGGTTTTGGATGTGAGGCCTGGAAAGAGCTGATTGAATCATGGGGGCAGATTTCCCCCTTGCTGTTCTCATAATTGTGGGTGAGTTATCAGGAGATCTGGTTGTTTAAAAACATGTTGCATCTCCCTCCTTTCTGTCTTCCTTCCTCCTTGGCCATGTGATACATGCCTGCTTCCCCTTCATCTTCTGTCATGATTGAAAGTTTCTGGAGTCCTCCCTAGCCATGTTACCTGTGCAACCTGTGGAACTGTGAGTCAATTAAGCATTTTTTCTTTAAAAATTACCCAGTCTCAGGTATGTTTTTAACAGTACAAGAATGGACTAATACAGTTAGTGACTATTATGAACAGCAATACACCAACTAATTTGAAAACCTAGAAGAAATGAACAAATTCCTGGACACAAATAACCTGCTATAATTGAACAAGAAATTGAAAACTAGAAGAGAATAATAAGGAGTAACAAGATTGAATAAGTAATAAAAACCTTCCAACAAAGTGCTGAATTCTACCAAACTCTTAAATAAGAACTAGTAAGAATTGAAACTCTTCCAGATATTAAATAAAATATAATTCTTCTTGTCATTCTACTAGTCCAACATTACCCTGATCCAAAATCAGAAAAGGACTCACACACGCACACAAAAAACAGAAACTTCAGGCAAATATCCTTAATGAACATAGATAAAAAATTCTCAACAAAATACTAGCAAACCAAACTCAACATCACATCAAAAAGATTATACATCATGATCAAGTGGGATTTATCCAAATGATGCAAGGATGGTTCAATACATACTAATCAATAACTGAAAAACAGAATGATGGGCAAAAACCATATAACCATATCAATGGTTATACAACAATCATTTGATAAAATACAACAGCCCTTTATGATAAAAACTCTCAACAAGTTAGGTGTACAGGGAACATACCTAAACACAATAAAAGCCACATATGAAAAACACATAGCTAACATCCATACTTAATGAGGAAATGAAGCCTTCAAATTACCCCTCTTGGCAAATACATTATCTTATATATAGAAAAACCTAAAGACTCTACGGACAAAGGCTTAGAACTGATAAACAAGTGTAATACAGTTGCAGGATACAAATTCAGTATAAAAATCAGCATTTCTACATAGCAATAACAACCTAGCTGTAAAAGAAATCAACAAATTAATTCCATTTTCAATAGCCACCAAAAATATACCTAGGAATAAATACAACCGAGGAAGTAAAAGACCTGTACAATAAAAACTACAAAACACTGATGAAAAAAATTAAAGAGACCACAAAAATAAAAAGATATCTCATACTCATGGGATTGGAAGAATTAATATTGTTAAGATGACTATATTATCCAAAGCAATCCGCAGATTCAAGATAATCCCTAACAAAATATCAAAGATATTTTTTATAGAAATAGGAAAAGCAATCCTAAAATTTATATGAAATCACAAAAGACCAGAAATAGTCAAAGCAACAATGAGCAAAACGAAGAAAACTTGAGGCATCACACTACCTGACTTCAAAATATACTACAAAGTCATAGAAATCAAAAGAGCATGGTGTCGGTATAAATACAAAAGCATAGACCAAGGAAACAGAATAGAGAACACAGAAATAAATGCATTTATTTACAGCCAACTTATTTTTGACAGAGGCCCCAATAACACACGTTGGGAAATGACCCCCTTTTAAAGAAATGGTGCTGGGAAAACAGAATATTCATATGTAGAAGAACAAAACTAGACCCATATTACTAACTGTATACAATAATTAATTCAAAATGGATTAAAGTTTTAAATGTAAGACCTGAACCTACAAAACTACTAAAAGAAAACATAGAGGAAATGCTTCAGGACATTGGTCCAAGCAAATATATCATGGTTGAGACTTCAAAAGCATGAGCAACAAAAGCAGGAATAGACAAATGAGATTATATCAAAGAAGTCAAAGCTTCTGCAAAGCAAAGGAAACAATTTACAGAGTGAAGAGAAACCCTGTGGAGTGAGAGAAAATATTTGCAAACTATTTATTTGGCAAGGCATTAATAACCAGAAAAAGATAAGGAACTCAAACATCTCAACAGCAAAAAAAATAATAATAATAAAAAATAAAAAAAATAAAATCCAATTTAAAAATGGGCAGAGGATCTGAATAGACATTTCTGAAAACAGGTCATACAAATGATCAAAAGATATACGAAAAAAATGAAATATCATTAATCATTAGGAAAATGCAAATTAAACCACAATGAGATCTCATCTTACTCAGGTTTAAATGGCTATTAATAAAAAAAAAACACAAAAAATAAGAAATACAGGTGGCAATGCAGATAAATGGAACTCTTATACATTGCTTATGAGAATGTAAATTACTACACCCATTATGGAAAAGAGTATAAATGTTTTGCAAAATCCAAAAAACACAACCACCATGCAATCTAGCCATCCCATTAATGGACATTTATCCAATCAAAAGAAAATCTGTGTACCAAAGAGTTACCTACACTCCCATATTTATAGCAGCACTATTCACAATAGCCAAAATATGTAATCAACCAAAGTGTCAATCGATAGATGAATTTATAAAATGTGGTATATATACACAATGGAATAATGTTTAGCCATAATATAGAATGAAATCCTGTCATTCCTGGAAAAATGGATGAGCTTGCAGGACATTATGTAAAATGAAATGTCAGACACAGAAAGATAAATACTTCATATTTCACTGAAATGTAAGAGCTAAAAAAATTGACATCATAGAAGTAGAGAGAATTGTGGTTATTTGAGACTGAGAAGGGCAAGTGGGCAGGGGCGATAGAGAGGTATTGGTGAATAGATGCAAATTACAGCTAAATAGAAGGAATAAGTTCTAGTGTTCTATAAACACTGTAGAGTAAATATGGTTAACAATAATTTTTTGTGTATTTCCAAAAAGCTAGAAGATAGGAAGAAATCATAAATGTAAAGAAATCATAAATGTTTGAGGTATTAGACACACTAATTACTTTGATTTGATCATTATACATTGTATATTTGTATCAAAATATCATTCTTAATCACATAAATATGGGTAATTATTAGGTGTTAACTAAAAAAAAAAAAAATGGGAGTCAAGGTAAATTGCCCAGTATCACTGAACTAGCAAGTGGTGAACCAAGCAATTAGATTCCAAAGCCATGACTACAATACTTTTACAATTTAAGATTTTTCTGGGGAAGTGTCTGTGAAAGAAAATAAAATATGAGAGAGAGACAGAAAAAAGAAAAAGAAGGGAGGGAGAGAGGGACGGAAGAAAGGGATAGTGCTATTCAAAGAATGAGAGGTAAGTCAAGATCAGATAAGTCAAAAGAAGCAAATTCATTAATGTCAGAGAATTTGGAAAAAGGAAATACAAACATCAATAAGGAAAAGTAGAAATAAATGTTAAGTGGAGCAGCTCAAAGTCTGAAAATGTTTAAGTTATAAGTAAATGAACCTAAATTACTTCTTGTCATTAAGGAATTGCTTTTCTTTAAGTGTTGAGGTTTATAGAATAATATAATTTCAGTCTTGAAAAGGTAGCTTAAAGTTATCTCGCTTAACCATTTCTCTTATGCTTGAATTCCCTTTAAAGCTATTGTGTAACATCTTTGAGATTATGTTGATGCTCATAGCATGTAATCTTGTGGTATACTATTCTCTTCCTTGTGGTATACTATTCTCTTCCTCATTGCCTTTACTTCCTTCTTTCATTGCAAGACGTGAGTTCCTGGCTTTTGGTTTTCCCCTTCACCCTTATTCCAGTTTTTATTCTTAGTGACTCATTATCTGTAGGAATATCCAGTCCAATGTTCATTTCCTTGGCTTCCTCTTTTCCTATCCAGACACTATTCTAGGATTGTCTGAACCTAATTATTTTAAACCACTGCTTTAAAACAAACTTCTGCCAAGAATGGTCAGAGACACTATTCTGGCTAACAAGACATAAGCAGAAATATGCTAGGTCCATAAATTCTTTATTCAAAGTCCATATCTTATTTTTCTCACTTTAAAATGGTTGTCTTTTTTTGCTAAATGTGCCTTCTTACCACTCATTTATTTTAACTCTCTCAAACCTGGCTTTAATTCCGAGTGCTACCCTAAAATAGACTTCTAAAAAAATCATCAGATTTACACTTTATCAAACTCAATAAATATGTTTTTCATCTTTATCATACTACACCTCCATAGATACTATATATTTGATACTCAGTAGATACTATACGTTTGCTCACTACTCCCTTTTAAAAACATTCTTCTTTCTTTGATACTATTTATCTTTTTTTCCCACCCTCATTTAATGCTTCTCTTTGGTTTCTTCTCCTCTTTTCTCCTCCCTTATCTGACCATTAACTATTAGAGTATACCAGAGATTGATCCTAGACATGCTTCTCTTCTCATTCTCCTTCTAGATAATGTTATCCAGTCCATTTTAAAAAATACTATTGTATTAGTTTCCTGTGGCTGCTGTAACAAATTACTGCAAAATTAATGCTTTAAAACAGAAATTTATTTTTTCATAGTTCTGAGGGCCAGATGTCTATGATCAGTTTCACTGGGCCGAAATCAGGATTTGTGCTCCCTGTGGAGTTTCTGGGGGAGATTGTTCCTTGTCTCTGCCAGCCTCTAGTGTCAGCAGGCATTCCTTGGCTGGTGACTGCATCACTTCAACCTTCAAGCCCTGCCTTACCAAAAACCCTTTGTTTTGTCTCATATTGTTTTCTCTTCTATGTATGTGTAAAATCTCTCTCTGCCTCCCTTTTATAAGGATACATGTGATTTTATTAGGGCCTACATGGATAATTCAAAATAACCTCACCATCTGAAGATCTTTTAATTACATGCACAATGATGGCTGGGTGTGGTGGCTCACAGCTGTAATCCCATCACTTTGAAAAGCTGAGGCGAATTACTTGAGGTCAGAAGTTCAAGACTCACCCAGCCAACATGGCAAAACTCCGTCTCTACTAAAAATACAAAAATTAGCCAGGCATGGTGTTGCACCTATGGTCCCAGCTGCTCGGGACACTGGGGCAAGAGAATAGCTTGAACCTGGGAAGCAGAGGTTGAAGTGAGCCAAGATTGTGCCACTGCAGTCCAGGCTAGGCAAGAAAGCGAGACTCTGTTTCAAAAAGAAAAATGCAATGACACCTTTTTAAATTTTTGCTGTATATGATAACATTCTTAGGTTCCAGAGATTAGTGCATCAATATCCTTTGGGATGGACATTTTCATCCTGTCATAAATTGTATAAACTGTATGTAGTCCATTGACTGAAATTTATAACTCTAGTCCTTGCTACTCACTGGACAACTCATTAGAACCCTAGATTGACTTGAATATTTAATAAACCTCTCAAACTTCTGTGCAAAACAGATCTGTTTATTTCTACTATAATCTAGTTTTAAAGATTGCTCAGCTCAATACTTGGCATCAGCATGTTCCCAGAGGTTCAAGGTAAACACCTAGCAACCAATCTTGGTTTATTTTCCTCTTTATTGCTCTGCCTTTGTGTATTCAATCAAACAATAGCCCTGTGGATGATATTACCAGAAACTTTCTTTATTCTATTTCTTTCTTTCCTTTTCTAATACAACTGCCAGGTTCAAACCATCACTTCTTGTCATTCTGCTAAAACTACCTCTTATGTGTTCGTTTTGCTTTCACTCTCATCCCACAAAAATTCATTCTCCATAGAGCAGTCAGAATGCTCTTTTGAAGATGTAACTTGTACTTTGTCTCTCTCTTGCTTAAAACCCTTTATATGCTAGCCTCTCTGACACTGAATATGCATTTTACTTACTGTGACTTACAAGTTCCTACATGACTCAATCTACTTGTCCATCAGCCTCCTTCTCCAACCTCATTTCATTCCTCTTTGATGCTTGAGAATGGCAGGCTTTCTCCTGCCCTGTCACTCCAGCATTTACTCATCTATATGTGTAGCAATCTCTTTCCCTAGCTCTTCATATTGCTGGCTTATTTTTATCCTCCATGGTTTAGCTTACATACCTTTGACCAACACATATAAAAAATGATTTTCGGCCGGGCACGGTGGCTCATGCTTGTAATCCCAGCACTTTCGGAGGCCGAGGAGGGCAGATCACGAGGTCAGGAGATTGAGACCATCCTGATTAACACGGTGAAACCCTGTCTCTACTAAAACACACACACACACACACACACACACACACACACACACACACACACACACAAATTAGCCGGGGGTGGTGGCGGGCGCCTGTAGTCCCAGCTACTCGGGAGGCTGAGGGAGGAGAATGCCATGAACCCGGGAGGCGAGCTTGCAGTGAGCCAAGATCGTGCCACTGCCCTCCAGCCTGGGCGACACAGCAAGACTCCATCAAAAAAAAAAAAAAAAGATTTTCCCCATCCTAACTGATGGGGAAAATAGTTGCTCACTATTGCATCATCAATGTATTTTCTTTATACCAGTTATTCATCTCCCTGTTCACTGTCAAAATTCTGCTAAAATGTAAGCACAATGAGGGGAATAAATTGTCCTTTCTTTTCTATTAGCTTTCTATACCTAGAACAATATTAGGGATCTGGAGACACTGAATACATTTTTATTAGACAGATATTTTTCTATAATGCAATAATGAAAGTACAGACTAAAGAGCATCATTAGTTTAAATCTTAGCTTCAGTGTTTACTTACTATATGAGCTCTTTGAATTTTTTGTGCCTCAGTTTCTTCGTCTATTGAATGTAAACAATAATGCTGACTATCTTACGTAGCAGTTGTAAGATTTCAATTAATGAATATTGTAAACTATTGAAGAGTCTCTGGGACACAATTAGCTTCTAACATATGACTAAAAAAAGTGAATACATAAAAAAAAGGATTTAAATCTATGTTTGAACATTGTTACTATCTCCCTAGTTCCCAGTGAATAATAATAACATCAAGCCAACAAGAACATTGTAAATGATTTCTCAACCTTTTTGTTTATTAAATGAGAAAAAATGTATTGTTTTTATGTCATTATTTCTCACAAAGTAATTTACTTTTTATTTGGGAAAATAATGCTAAAATTTCAAATGTTCAGAGCTTTTAGTTAACTGGAACTTCATTTGTTTAAAATAGTAGTTTCACTGATCAAATAGAAGGAGCTTTATTCTTCCTTTTTTTTTTTTTTCCCACACTGCCAAGATTTTGGAAGTGGTAAGTTGTGCTTTTCTTCAGTTGGGAGAAAAAGGCTCTAACAAAGCCTTAATTACCATAAAAATATTAAAATATTTTAATATTTTTATGTTATAGAGTCTTTTATTCTATTTATAGATCTCATTCCAAATGGTTAAGTTTCTATGTACAGTTGCTGACATAAATGATGTGGTGTGGTATTGGTGAATAAATAGACTGACCAAGTTAAAAGACGTAAAGATTTAATCAATTCAGAAATATATACAATTACTATAGAAATTGAGCATACAAAAAATGCAGCATTAAGTTGGGCATGGTGGCTCACACCTGTAATCCTAGAACTTTGGGAGGCTGAGGCGGGCAGATCACCTGAGGTCAGGAGTTCGAGACCAGCCTGCCAACATGGCAAAACCCCTTCTCTACTAAGAAATACAAAAAATTAGCTGGGCCTCATGGCACGTGCCTGTAATCCCAGCTACTCAGGAGGCTGAGGCAGAATTGTTTGAACTAAGGAGGCGGAGGCTACAGTGAGCCAAAATCACACCACTACACTCCAGTCTGGGTGACAGAGTGAGACTCAAAAAAAAAAACAAAGCATTATAAATTGTTGGGCAAGAGTTTTTTTTTTTTAAACAACAAATAGTATTGAGATAATTTTCTAATTAAAAAGGTAAAACCATCTATTTGTCACCCTATAAATGAAAAAATCAAAATGGAAAAGAAAGTTATGAAGTTATGGATAAAAATAATTAAATTATGCTAATACCAGAGGAAAACACTGGTAAATTTTTTATAACCTAGGAATGGGAACATTTCTCCTATATAAGTTATACATTTTTTCTAAAAGAAGAAAAATTAAAAGTCTTAATACCTATAACTTGATATTTTTGGCATGGGAAAACACCATAAGAAAATGATATATGACTAATTGGGAAATAAATTTTTAATGTATGTCAGCAAGATCCTGAAAGATGTCAGGAAGATGAAGAGAGCTTCAGGCCCTCTGTTTTCCCTAGAAACATTGATTTAACAATCATGCACAGACCAGAGCACTTCTGCAAGAATTCTATAGACCAATTGAGAACTTACAGAACCTAGATTAATATAAAACCCGGAAAGGATTCCAAGTAAAAGAAGCAGGAAAATGCATAACATTGTATGTGCTCATCTGTGTTCCTCCAATACCGAGGTTTCTACCCCATGATGGAAACAAAAGAGTGGGCCACACATCCAACCTTCTGGCTATCTCTGGTTTCTCTCTTAACCTAACAAAGAGCAGCAATTGATATGGTTTGGCTCTGTCCCCACCCAAATCTCATCTTGAATTGTACTCCTGTAATTCCCACACGTTGTAGGAGAGATAATTGAATCATGGCGGGCAGTTTTCCCCATACTGTTCTCATGGTTGTGAATAAGTCTCACAAGATCTGATGGTTTTATAAGGAGTTTCTGCTTTCACTTCTCTCTCATTCTCTCTTGCTGCCACCATGTAAGAAGTGCCTTTCACCTTCCACCATGATTGTGGGGCCTCCCCAGACACGTGGAACTGTGAGTCCATTAAACCTCTATTTCTTCCCAGTCTCGGGTGTGTCTTTATCAGCAGCATGAAAATGGACTAATAGAGTGATAGACTAATACCAACAGCCAAGTTCGGATATCACTGAAAACAGAGGCAAGCATCATAGCACATTAGAGCTTCAGTTCCACAGGCAGGTGCCAGGGGAAGCAAGAGATCAGACAAGATTTACGAGGTCCTCTTTATAGAAGCTCTGGCTTGGCTGACTGGTGAAGGTTTATTCCTGCCTAAAGCTAGTATAAAAAGACTGGATGAGGAGGCTGTTTATTCAAATATCCATATCTCAGGAAATAATTGTAAGATATACAAAGAAACAGGGAAATGAAGCCCAATCAAAGGAACAAAATACAACTCTAGAAACTGATCCTAAAGAAACACAAATATATGAGCTTGAAACAAAAAATTTAAAATAACTCATAAAAATGCTCAGTGAGCAAAAGGAGAACACAGACAACTAAACAAAATCACAAAAATGATGTATAAGAAAACAAGAATATTAGAAAACAAACAGAAACTACAAAACAAGAGCAACCAGAAATTCTGGAGCTGAAAAATACACTAAAAAATACACTAAATGAAGTAAAAAGTTTACTAGAGGGGTTCACCTGATTAATTCCAGAAGCTTCGAGAACTTTAAGTGTAATTAATCCAAAGAGAAACACAATGAGATGCATTATAATAAAACTCTCTAATTCAAAGACAGAATATTGAAAGTAGTAAAAGTGACTCTTTATATACAAGAGAATGTCCATAAGATTATCAGCAGATTTCACAAAAGAAATCTTGCAGAACAAAAGATAATTGGATAAAATATTCAAAATGTTGAAAGAAAATAAATCTGTCTACCAAGTATACTGTACCCGAAAAAAATTTCCATAAAAATGAAGGAGAAATTAAGACTTTCCCAGATAAACAAAAGCTGAGGAAGTTCATCACCTCTAGTTCTAGTGTAAATGAAATGCTAAGGGAATTTCTTCAAGTTCAAATGAAAGAACATTAGACAGCAACATTAAGATGAAGACAAATATTTCTCCAGTAAGGGTAAGTATTAAACCTCTTTGATGACTGAAAGAATGGCAAAAGCCTCAATTACTTTTGCACCAACCTAATACATGTATTAATATCAATATAGTAACCTGTATTATTGTAATTTTGATGCAGGAATTTAAATGATAAAACATTAAAAAGCCTATAAATCTATTCTAATGGGTATAAAACATATGAAGACATAATTTGTGAAATCAATAACATGAAATTGGAGTTTGGAGCTGTCAAGAATTATTATTTTTTGTATGTAATTTAAATCGTTTTCAGTTTAAAATATAAATTTTTTTATGTAATTGCAACAATTATAAAAGACGTTCACTGTGCACTGATTACCATTACAGTTCAGTGCCTCTCAGGTTGTGTTTGTATTACTTGCCTGAGTCCGTTGTGACAGAACACTGACATACACAATGAGTTACGTGAAGCAGGTTTATTACTTATACAAAGGTAACAAGAGGACAACAGAAAACTAGGACTCATGATGAGACAGTCCCAGAGGCTCAGGAAAACTACACAGGGTGTATTGTGTCTTATCTGTGTGTGCTCTACTTGTACCATAGCTTAGGGACCATAAAAAGTAGCATGCTCTGGGTTTTCTACCCTGGGGTAGCCACATGACATGCTGGGCTAAAATGTTGAAGGAAATAATGTTTCCAGGAGGGACTGGAATAGAGGCCCAGCTATTTCAGCAACTTCCTCCTTACCTCAAGATGTTGTATTTCCAGCACATTTTATAGTTATTATTGAGAACTATAGGTGAGAAAGAAGAGAGAACTATATCAGTCCAAGGCCACACAGAGAACTATTCTTCAGTCCACTTCTGTACCCAGATATCCTCCCTTAGCAAAATTTCCTGCAGATCTTCCCAGATATGGAGACAGAGGTTTGTCTTGCTAAATCAATATGATACTTTGATTGACACAATCTTAGTGCAACATTATTGAGCCATAGTGAGAATACATTTTACTAGACCCAGGAAGGTTACTACTACAAGCAGAAAGGTCAGGCCTTCCAGGAGCAGTGGCCTAAGCCAAGAATCCCAGAAATTCAGGTGAGAAGTTGCTAGAGAGGTGTGTGCCCTGGAGTTTAGTTACTGAAGAGGTCACAGAAGGATCTTTTGCAACCAGTGGACCTGCTTCTGAATGTCCTTCATTTGTATCTCTGTAATGCCAGAGGTGTTTTTCTTGGTACAGCAGGAAGTGTTGGCAGTTGCACATGTTCCTTTCAGTTAGGCTAAAAGAATAACTAGAGCTATTCTGTTGCCTATAACAACCTTCCTAATGGAGTTGAGAGATGCCTGCTGGGTTGCTAAGGCAGTAGCAGAGGAGGAAACAATACATGCCATGGTTAGGGACAGATTTCTTGCAATTTTTTTAATGGGCCCTGACTCCTATGTATGATAGCAAAGATCTCATAAAGGACATAAGTCCATAGTCAATTACATATCTTGGCAGGTTCCTTGTAAAGCTGGTGTACAGCTATAAGCTGTTGGCCAACAGTGCATCTCATTCCCAGGAGTGATATACATGGGCACTGTCAGCATTCTCAACATGCAGGATTCCAGCATACACCAACTTTCCAGGCATGACATTGTTTACCCCCTATTTGGATCATCCCTGACTACCTTCAGTGAAAGATGTAGCCCTCAAGTGCACACAGTACACACTTCCCTTGTTTTAGTGTTCAGTGACCCATTCGTGGGTATGGAGGCATTAACATTTTTCAGTTGTCTTTTGATGCTATTATTTTAACTTTTCAAGGGGATCTAGAAATATTGTCATAAGGGCTCCAGTAACCAGGAGCCCTCAAAAAGTATAAATTCACCTTCTTAAAAAATCTTTTATATTGACAAGTGTACGGGGCCACTGGCCTCCAGTGGGAATCTGGAGACCTGGTCCTCCTCACTAACTATGGCATTCAGCCTGAGATCTTTTGGTCTGCATTATCCCGTTATCAAACAAGCACGCCAACCAGGCTGGATGAGACTCCCCTGACTTTTGTTCATACTTGTCCTTTAGATCTTGATTCTCCTTTTCTCTGTGGATCTGCATTGAGCACGTTGGTTCCCTGTCAAATGACTTGGGGACCACCTGAACACCCATCTCTTGAGCTCTCTAGTCACAAAAATGATCATTGATATAAGTCCCCAACAACCAGAGGAACATGCACTGTGGTTCCCTGCTTTCACATTCCTTTCCCTTTGCCTCAATATGTGCAGCCAGCTCACTCACATCTCTGGGGGAAAAAGAGAGGTAATCTATGCTCCACTTATCACACTTCCTTCTCCATAAATCATCCAGCTGTATTTACAGACACTTCATTCCCAAGCTGATTTTTTTTTCCCATGGGCCCAGTACTGAGGGATATTGGCTTTACTGCTTCAGCAGGAAACCATGGTTCTGTCAGATTGATCTTGCTCACTGCATGAATTATGTGAAGCAGACTTACTGTGTAAGTGTTACCACTTCAGTCCACTGCATCTTGGCTTGTACTTTCACTGCTTGCCTGATTCCAAACAGACAGAACACACACAAACATACACACACACATTACATGAAGCAGGTTTATTGTTTACTACTAGGCAGCAAGAAGCAACAAGCCTAAGATTCATGATGAACCAATTTTCCAAGGCTCAGAAAAGCTGTCCAGGGTGAATGGAGACTTGCATGTACCTACCTTACTTGCACTGCAGCTGAGGCACTGCAAAAAAGCAGCCCAGCCCGGATTTTATACCCTGGAGAGGGGCATATGGCACATTGGGCTAAAATGTTGATGGACACCTTATTTCTAAAAGGGGCTATAACAAAGCCTGATATATTCTAGCCAGTCCTTCCTTATCTCCAGAAGATGCATTTCCACCACATTCTATAGCTACAAAAAAAGAAAAGGTTGAAGCCCTCGGTTAGTCCATGTCCACCCAAAGAACTCTTCTGCAGTAAATAAAAACAAAAAATGTAGAGAGAATATACACAAGAGGAAATGAAAAGGTAATCAAAGCATACCATTACAAAAAAAAATCAGTGAAATACAATGGAGGGTCATTAGGGAGGAAAGAGACAAAATAATTTATAAACATGCAGAAAACAAGAAAATGGCAATAGTAAGTCCTCTGTTATTAGCAACTACTTTAAATGTAAATGAATTAAATATCCAATCAAAAGACTTGATTGGTTTAATGGATAAAAAAAACAAGATCCAACTATTTGCTGTCTATGACACACACTTTAAATCTAAGGAAACACATAGGCTAAAAGTCAAAGGATGTTAAATAAAAGTATTCTGTATAATGGTAACCAAAATAGAACAGCAGTAATTAAAATAACATCAGACAAAATAGACTTTATATCAAAAACAGTTACAAAAAACAGAGAGACATTATACCATGATAACAAGGTTAATTCACCAAAAAGATGAGAATTATAAATCCTTATGCATCAAATATCAGAGCTCTTAAATATATGAAGCAAAGTTTGATAGAATTAAAGGGAGAAATAGACAGTCCCACAATAATAGGCTATGCCAATACCCCACTTTTAATAATAGATGGAACAACCAGACAGAAGCTCGAGAAAGATATAGAGGCCTTGAAGAGCACTATAGATCAAGTGGACCTAGGAGACATACACAGAACACTCCACACTACAACAGCAGAATAGCTATTTACCTATTCTTCTCAAGTCCACTTGAAATGTTCTCCAGGATTGAATACATTAGGCTATAAAATAAGTTTTAGCAAATTCAAGAAGATTGAAATCATACAAAGTATCTCCTCTGATTACAGTAGAATGAAACTAGAAATCAATAGCACAAACAAAACTAGGAAGTCCATTGATATGTGAAAATTAAACAATATATTCTTAAACAACTAATAGGTCAAAAGAGTCACAAAAGTATTTAGAAAATATTTTGCAATGAGTGGAAATAGAAACACAATATACTAAGACTTGTGAGATGTAGTTCTAAGAGGAAATTCTACAGCTGCAATTGCATACATTAAAATAGAAGAAATACCTCAAATTGCCAAAATAACTTTTTACCTCAAGAAACTAGAAAAAGAAGAACACACTAAACTGAAAGCTAGGAAAGGCAAAACAATTACAAAAATTAAAGCAGTGATAGACCACGTAGAGAATAGAAAAACGGCATAAAAATATCAGTCAAACCAAGAGTTGCTTTTTGAAAACATCAGCAAATTTGACAAACCTTTGGTTACATTAACTAAGAAGAAAGGAGAGAAAATTTAAACTAGCTAAAATCAGAAATAAAAGAGGAGACATTATAGAGCAATGCCACAGAAATAAATAGGAGCATAAGAGAGTACCATAACAATTGTATGCTAGCAAACTGGATAACTTAGAAAAAAAGAAGTAAGTTCCTAGAAAATACACAATCTACCGAGACTGAATCAGGACGAAAATCTGAACAGACCGTTAGTAAGTAAGGAGATTGAATTCATAAACTAAAACCTCTCAACATAAATACAAAAACAAAACTCAATACCAGATGGCTTCCCTGGAGAATCTAACAAACATTTAAAAAGGAAAGGACACCTATCCTCCTGAAACTCTACAAAAATTTTGAAGAGAACACTTCCAAACTTATTCCATGAGGCCATCATTACCCTAATACCAAAGCCAAAGACATTGCAAGAAAAGTACAGACCAATAGCCCCCGATGAATATTAATGCAAGTATTTTCAACCAAATACTAGCAAACTGAATTCAACAGCACATAAAAAGGATTATACACCTTGACCAAGTAGGATTTACTTCTATAGTATAAAGATGTTTTTACATATAAAAATTAATCAGTGTAATACAATATATTAACAGAAATAAGAACAAAAACCACATATTCATTTAAATTGATGCAGTAAAGCATTTGACAAACCTTAACATGCTTTCATAGGAAGACCACTCCAAAAACCAGGAAGAGAACATATTCAACACAATAGAGTCACTAATGAAAAGCCTATAGCTAACATCATACTCAGTGGTAAAAAAGTGAAAGATTTTTATCTAATATCAAGAACAAGGCCAGGATTCCTACTTTTGCCACTTACATTCAACATAGTGTTAGAAGTTCTCACCACAGTAATTAGGCACAAAAAATAAAAGACATCAAACTGGAAAGGAAGAAGTAAAATTATCTGTTTACAGATGACATAAGCTTATATGTAGAAAATCCTAATGATTCCACGAAAAAAACCTGTTAGAATAAATTAATTCAGCAAAGTCATAGACTAAAAAATCAACACACAAAAATTAGTTGTGTTTTTATACACTAACAATGAACAGACAAATAGGTTAGCAACACAATTCCATTTACAAAAACATCAAAAGAATAATATACTTAGGCATAAGCCTAATGAAAAAGATGAAAGATTTGCACATTGAAACTAAGAAACATTGCTAAAATAAGTGACTACACAACTAAATGGAAATGCATCCTATGTTCATAGATCGGAAGACTTAAATTTTAATAAAATCCCCATCAAAATAGCAATTGCATATTTTTCAGAAATAGAAAACATATTTCAAAATTTATTTGGAATATCAATAGACCTTAAGTAGCCAAAACAGTTTTGAAAAATAAGAACAAATTTAGAGGACTTTCTGATGAGACCAATCAATAGGTCAATAGGGAAATGACAGTCTTCTCAACAAATGGTGTTGGGAAACTGTATGTCTATATGCAAAAGAATAAAGTTGGACCACTATTTTACATCATATACAAAAATTAATTTAAAATTGATTAAAGACCTAAATAGAAAATCCCAAACTATCAAAGCACTAGAGGGAAACATAGAAGAAAACCTTTAGGGCATTGGACTTGGCAATTATTTCTTAGCTATGATAGAAAAAACACTGGAGGGCCGGGCGCGGTGGCTCATCCCTGTAATCCCAGCACTTTGGGAGGCCAACGCAGGTGGATTGCCTGAGCTCAGAAGTTCGAGACCAGCCTGGGCAACATGGTGAAACCCTGTCTCTACTAAAATACAAAACATTAGCCAGGCATGGTGGCATGCGCCTGTAGTCTCAGCTCTCCAGAGGCTGAGGCAGGAGAATTGTTTGAACCCAGGAGGCAGAGGTTGCAGTGAGCCCAGATGGCGCCGCTGCACTCCAGCCTGGGTGACAGAGTGAGACTCTGTCTCAAAAAAAAAAAAAAAAAAAAAAAAAGAAAGAAAAGAAATAACAAAAACACTGGAAATAGAAGAAAAATATAAACAATGGGACTACATCAAACTTAGAAACTTTTGTGCATCAAAGACTCAGTCATGGAATGGTAGAAAATATTTGTCAACCATATATCTGATAGAGGTTAAATTTAAAAACTCTGGCATCTAAAAAACAAAAATATTAAATAAACCAATTAAAAGATAGGAAAAAGACTTGAGAAGACGTTTCTCCAAAGATGATATAAAATGACCAGCAAGTGTATGAAAAGATGCTCAAAATCACTAATCATCAGATAAATGCAAATCAAAACCACATTGAGATATCACCTCATATCTATTGGGATGGCTACTATTTTTAAAAAAGAACCCATAAAGTAAGAACATACCAATTGCTGTTAAGAAAGCGGAGAAATCGGAACTTTTGTTCACCTTTGGTGGAACTGTAAATTATAGCAACTGAAGTGACAAACAGTATGGAAATTCCACAGAAAATTAAGACTATAATTACCATATGATACAGCAATTCCACCTGTGGATATGTATACAAAATAACTGAAAGCAAGATTTCAAAGGGATATTTGCAATCCCATGTTTATAGCAGCACTATTCAAAATAGACAAAAGGTGGGAACAACACAAATGTCCAATGACAGATAAATTGATAAACAAAATGTAGTATATACATGCCATAGAATATTATTCAGTTTTAAAAAGAAATGAAATCCTGCAATATACTACAACATGGATAAAACTTAATGACATAATGTTAACTGAAATAAGCCAGTCACCAAAAGGTGAATACTTTATGATTGCAATTAATAAGTTTCCTAAAATAGTCAATTTCATAGAAACAGAAAAGTAGAAAGGTGGTTACCAGGGGCTGGGGAAAAGGGGAACAGGGCATTGTTGTTTAATGGGTATAGAGTTCAGATTTGCAAGATGAAACTGTTCTGGACATGTTTCACAATAATGTGAATATACTTAACACTATTACATTGTAAAAGTAGTTAAGATGGTAAATTTTGTTATCTGTTTATAACATAACATAAAGTACACAGAGATTAAAAACATAATAAAAATAACCAACAATTCCATGAAAGTGGGCTGAGGATATGAAAAGGACGTTCAAGGAAAAAAAACACAAAAGCCTTTTAATCAATGCCTAACCTTTCTATTGAAAGGAAAATACAAAATACAAGTATAATAAATTACTATTTTTTACAAATAAGATTTTCAAAAATTAAAAATTTTGATAACACACAATGTTGGTTGAACTACATAAAACAGGCACTCTCACTCATCTCTGTTGGGCAGGTAAAATAATTAAACTATTTGTAGAGGGATTTGACAATATGTAGAAAAATTAGGTATTATTCTATTCTTTGGCCCAACAATCTACTTCTAAGAATTTATTCCAAAGTTTATAGTGGGAAAAATTATGGAAAGATATTTTCTGTGAATGATTCATAGCAGAACCATCTCTAATGGCAAAATATTTATAAAAATTCAAACTTTCATTAATTTTTTATGAAAAATTATTTTTTTAAATTTTAGTTGGGGCCCGGTTGAAGTACTATGATACACACATGCAACGAAAAACCGTCACTGTATAAAGGAGCAAGAAATATCCGTAAAAACATGAATGATATTTTATTAAGTGAATAATGTAAGTCAGAGAAAAGTATATATACAATGATACTGATTACCTTAGAAAGATCAGTGGCATCAATATCTATCTATCTAGCAATTATCTATTATTTTATAATTTTAAAAAAGTAAAATTCAATCATAAAGTTTAAAAGCTGGTTAGCTTTGATGGGGAAGCAAGAAGGATGGAATAGGGTGTTAGCTAGACTTCACTGATAATATCTCCTTATGTAGATTTAACTATATAACAATAATATTTTAAATAATTATAAAAAATCTAAAAAAAGAAAATGCAATTGCTAAAATCTAAAATAAAAATGAACATATAAACCCAAATTGTTACTGGGTTGGTGGCATAGCCACATGGAAGTGATGATTCCATTTGATTTTAAAGCATTATAATCTTTATCTACATCCTTCTTGGCTATAACCAGCATAAAAAGAACTCCAAAATTAAAACAAAGCACCTTAAAATGTTTTCAGTAATTATATTGTGCTGATATGATTATCCTGAAACTTGCCTGTGTGTATTATATGATTCAACAAATAAGTAAGTTGTGATGTTTATTAGTTCATTCTCGTACTCCTATAAAAAACTGTCTGAGACTGGGTAATTTACAAAGAAAAGAGGTTTAATTGACTTATAGTTCTGCATGGTTTGGGAGGCCTCAGGAAACCTACAATAATGGTGGAGGGGGAAGCAGGCACATCTTACTTGGCAGCACGTGAAAGACAGAAGGTGAGCCAAGGAGGAACTTGCCAAACACACATAAAACCATCAGATCTTGTGAGAACTCACTCACTATCACAAAAACAGCATGGTGGAAACTGCCCTCATGATCCAATCACCTCTACCAGGTTTCTCCCTTAATACCTGGGGATTACAATTTAAGAGATTTAGGTGGGACACAAAGCTAAGCCATATCATGGTGTTATTATTAAGAACAGCATTGGAGAAAAGATAAACAGATGGAACATATGAGATATTAAGCAAATTCCTTGTAATCCTGAAGTAAATTATTAGAAATATCAGAATAAACTCATGATAGTTTATTTTAAACATAAAAAGCTAGTAACAACAAAACAAACACACACAAAAAACATTTCTTAACCTTGTTTGCTATAGAAACATAGAAACAAGCTCTAATTTAATGGCACAGAACACTCATGCCCATTGGGATACCAATTAGGGATACTAATTGCAATTAATTAAGGGACATAAGTGATATTTAAATCCATGAGTTCGTATTGATATTTTTAAAAATAAGAAAAGAAGAAAAAGCAAGAAAATATCTATTGGTCACCTCTGGAAGGTGCAAAGGAATGAACTTATTTTGAAAACTGTTAAAGGAAAAGATTTTTGCAATTTCTATAGAAAAATCAGCCTATGAAAATATAGCACTAAAGAGAAATAATGAGTTGTTTGGTCTAACATTAAATGTGTTTTATAAACGGGTATCTACAGGAGGTATGATTTAAAAAAGTGAGTAACTCCTGTAATACTAGGCAAAAGTTTGGCATAATGCTGAGTACAACAAATGTTACCTTACAGTTGTTTTTTTCTCATTTTTCTCAAATTATTGTTAATTCTATAAAACACAATTACCAAATTAAGTAAGGTTCAGATTCAGATTCCCAAATTAAGTAAGATTCAGAATTTTTTAAAATCAGAAGCGAAAGGATGCGTGCTGTGATCCTATTTCCACTTAACTTTTTATGTTGCATAACTTTGGGCAAATCATATCATCATATTTCTGAGCCTCAATAATCTTGTGATAATATGGGGATAATAATCTTTTCCTTTGTCGCCTCATAGTTTTGTTTGTGAGAAATAAGCTTATATTTTTGAATGCACCTTGTGACCTATACAGATGCTTTTCAAATGGCAATAAGTGTTTTCAGCATTTATTATTGATTTAGAACGGTTATAGCTTTTATTGTTTCTTGTCTTTGCAAGAGACTAATACCACAGAATGAGGTATTTAAAGCCCACCATAGAACACTAATCTGTACGTTTTCAGAAATAACTCATTAGAAAGTTGCCATTGGTCAATAACGTTTGTGGAGCTCACTAAAGGAAGGAGAATTATAACGGAACAATGTGAACCATCCACTTTATCATGATGGGATACTTATATCTAAGTAGAGTATATCAGAGTTAATCCTTTCATCTGTTCACTTGAGTAGAAAACAGTATTTTCCAAAATATTTCTTAGCATTTATTTTCAAGTGGTTATCCCTAACCAATATATTATTTGCAGGAGGTAAACAACTTATAAAATAGAATAAAAAGGAAAAACTTATGAAATACTATAGATGAGACCATTTATATGGATATGTGAAAATTAATTGAATCCTGCTTGCCAATTGCAGTGCTAAAGTCAGTCAAAGCATCATGATCCATCTGTCATCATCCACATCGATTAATACCATGTTTCAGGTATTGTATATAAAGCAATTACCGTGCAATTAGCTGTGTTCTCTTTCATTTAGTAGGTACCCTCCTGAGTTAAAGCAACTTTGTTCCTAACATTACTGTCAAGGATCCATTAAAGTTTCTGATTAAAAAATACCTCCAGGTTGAAACATGGTAGTTAAGCTTTCAGCTTGAGATGATTTTCTTTCTTTGATTCTTTTAAACCTCAGCAATACAAATTATCTGGCTTTAAAATTATGTATATGAGTTCAAACACCTTTCAAAAGTCATTAATAAGCTCCAAAATGAAAATAGCTTATTTCTCAGCATAAAATTGGCAAACATACTGGACAATTTTGTACAGAGTCTTAACTCTTAATGCAGCAACAAGCAAGTTTTGTCCTAACATGAGTGCATAAGTCTTAAAAATCTCGAGTTTAAAGATAAGGACAAATGCTAAGTTCCCTCATTTTCCTCTGAAATACCTTTTCTTCACCTTTCCAACCAACAACAGTGGCAAGCTTAATCCCTGGCCTTGCATTAAAACCCCTGACATCAGACAGAGATGACTACATGCAGAGAGCAAGTTTAGGGACACAGCGCCTCATAGCTAATGGTGGGAGTATGTATGTGTGGGAGGGGATACATTGCAAGTAGGATTATAACTTTTCTCTCTAATCCTCTCCTGTATCCTCTCTTATTAAGTATTCAGCTCTTTTTTTGATGAAGGACTCTTTTACTCCTTTCTTAGGGGTGAATAAAAGCTTATTTCTTAAGACTCTTCTCATATCTAGAATTCTTTGAAGCTAAAGTGTAGCCTAACCCAAACCAATGCCAACTTTTAGTGTCATGTAAGATACAATTGTTTTTAAATTTTACAAATTTGAATCATGAATTTAAGAAAGATTAAAAAGCATTATTTTATATTTTAAGTAAAGTGTTTCTTAATTTGTTTTTACTTCAGTGATCAACTGTTACTTGATTCAGAGGCAATCCTGTGCTTACGATGCTTTTTCCAAATGTGTTCACTCACATTTTTAATATTTTCCAAGTATCTGTGTCACTAAGAGCTTATAGGATCCCCAGATTTAAACATTGTAGGCTTTATGTTTATGGTTTTCAGAGAAAAATAAACAATAAATATAGTCCTAGTGGCATGCCAATATTTTAAAATGTATTTTCTATAGCTATTAAAGTGACCTACTGCATTGGTAAAAATCTTTAAATTATATACATATATTTATATTCCAAAATTTATTTTCAGTGTATTCCTAAATTATTCTCCATAACTTATATCTTTTATTTAATTCACGCTATATTTTATGAGCTCAGTTCAGCTCTACATATTTTTGAGAACTTTGTATATGTCAGATACTCTTTTGAAGGTGTGATGATCAATAAGGATTTTAATTCCAAGTGGGGAGACCAATGTTTAGTATCTTAAACACTTTCTTAAAAACATAAAAGTGAGTACACCAATATGTTAAGCAGCCAAGCTAACAAAATGAATCATGTCAAAAGTCTTTATTCTTCATTTGAAAATTTAAAAGGAATATTCATAATCAATAAAATTTCAATTTACTCAGGATGGCTCTCACCTGTATCACTTGAAAAATAGAAGAAATTTGAAGAAACATATTGTTATGGAAATATTTTTACAAACTTCATAAAATAAGCAGTTACATTCTTTGCTTATCTTTTTAAAATTTTAGCTTTAAAGTGAAAACTTAGGCTATTGATTTTACACATCATTTTTTGGCATAAACATTTAAAGCTATAAATTTATTTTTAATCAATTTTAATGCATTTCTTTTTAATGAAGCAATAGCTGCATTCTACAAATTTTGATATGTAGTGCTTTTATTGTCATTCAGGCAAAAGTATTTTTTAATTTTACTTGTGACTTCTTCCTTGACCCTTGGATTACCTATCAGTTTGTTCTTAAATTTCCAAATGTTTAGGGTTTCTGTTTTTTTAGATACTTTATATTTTATATCACTGTGATCAGAAAACATTCTCTATATAATTTTAATTCTTTTAAACGTATTGAGAACTTTTTTAATGAACCTGCATATGGTCTGTATTGGTGAGAATTTTCATGTGCTCTTGAAAATAATGTTTATTTTGCAATGGTTGCTTTCAGTAGTCTATAAATATCAGCTAGATCAATGATCAACAGAGTTAATAGTGTTGTACAGATATTTTACATTTTTTGCCGATTTGTAGTTGCTATATCAATTGCTGAGAGAAGTTCTAAAATCTTCAGCTACCATTGTGGAATAACCTTTTTCCCCCTTTAATCCTATCATGTTTTGCTTTATGTATTTAGAAGCTCTGTTTTTGGTTATATATTTATTTGTGTGTCCTTCTAATGAATTTAATCTTTAATCATTATGAAATGTTCTTATTTCTCATAATATCTCTTTATCTTGAAGTCTACTTTATCTGATAATGATATAGCCACTTATGAACTTTTTAAAATTCATTTGTTTTAATCTATCTGTATATTTATATATTTAGATTGTTTCTTTTACAGGTAACATTAATTTCATCTTGCTTTACAAATTCTCACAATTCTGTCTTTAATTAGAGTATTTGCTCTACTGGAATAATATAATTCATATAGTTAAATTTAAGGACATTATTGTATTTTGTTTTCTCCTTAATTCTGTAATTATCTTTTTTTCTTTTGAACTAATTGAAAAGAAATTTCATTTTGATTTATCCGTTGGCTTTTCAGATAGTCCACTTTAAATTATTCTTTAATAGTTGTTCTAAGGTGAACATCTTCAAAATGTGGTGCCCAAAGCAGCACCATCAGCATCACCTGGAATGTTTGAAGAGATGCAGATTCTTTGGTCCCATTTGAGACACACGGAATCACAGTTAGGAGGAAGGTAATCTTTGTGTTCATAAGCTTTCCAGATTATTCCTATGTATGCTAAAGTTTGAAGCCACTAATCTAGGGATTATAGTATACATCTTTACCTTTCCATAATTTGCTTACAGTTAATAATGTACAATGTCACCAAAAAAATAAGACCTTTGTAAATTTATAGGTTCACTTATTTCTTTCTACTCATGGTCTTTATGACTTAGATTTCATATGTAAAAATACTTTATGAATCTCAAAATACTGTAGTAAAATTTGTCTATAAAGTGACGGTCTCCCTCTGATGCCGAGCCAAGGCTGGACTGTACTGCCACCATCTCGGCTCACTGCAACCTCCCTGCCTGATTCTCCTGCCTCAGCCTGCCGAGTGCCTGGGATTGCAGGCGCGCGCCACCACGCCTGACTGGTTTTCGTATTTTTTGGTGGAGACGGGGTTTCGCCGTGTTGGCCGGGCTGGTCTCCAGCTCCTGACCGCGAGGGATCTGCCAGCCTCGGCCTCCTGAGGTGGCGGGATTGCAGACGGAGTCTCCCTCACTCAGTGCTCAATGTTGACCAGGCTGGAGTGCAGTGGCATGATCTCGGCTCGCTACAACCTCCACCTCCCAGCCGCATGCCTTGGCCTCCCAAGGTGCCGAGATTGCAGCCTCTGCCCGGCGGTCATCCCCTCTAGGAAGTGAGGAGCGTCTCTGCCCGGCCACCCATCGTCAGGGATGTGGGGAGTGCCTCTGCCCCCCGCCCCGTCTGAGATGTGAAGAGCGTCTCTGCCCGGCCGCGACCCCGTCTGGGAACTGAGGAGTGTCTCTGCCCCGCCGCCACCCCGCCTGGGAGGTGAGGAGCGTCTCTGACCTGCCGCCCCATCTGAGAAGTGAGGAGTCCCTCCGCCCAGCAGCCGCCCCTTCTGGGAAGTGAGGAGCGTCTCCGCCTGGCAGCCGCGCCAGTCTGGGAGGTGGGGTTCAGCCCCCGCCCGGCCAGCCGCCCCGGGAGGTAGGGGGCAGGCCCCGCCCGGCCGCCGCCCCGTCTGGGAGGTGGGGGGCGCCTCTGCCCTGCTGCCCCGTCTTGGAAGTGAGGAGCCCCTCTGCCCGGCCGCCACCCCGTCTGGGAGGTGTACCCAACAGCTCATTGAGAACGGGCCATGATGACGATGGCGGTTTTGTCGAATAGAAAAGGGGGAAATGTGGGGAAAAGAAAGAGAGATCAGTGTGTCTGTGTGGAAGGAAGTAGACATAGGAGACTCCATTTTGTTCTGTACTAAGAAAAATTCTTCTGCCTTGGGATGCTGTTAATCTATAACCTTACCCCCAACCCCCTGCTCTCTGAAACATGTGCTGTGTCCACTAAGGGTTAAATGGATTAAGGGCGGTGCAAGATGTGCTTTGTTAAACAGATGCTTGAAGGCAGCATACTCCTTAAGAGTCATCACCACTCCGTAATCTTAAGTACCCAGGGACGCAAACACTGCGGAAGGCGGCAGGGCCCTCTGCCTAGGAAAACCAGAGACCTTTGTTCATATGTTTATCTGCTGACCTTCCCTCCACTATTGTCCTATGACCCTGCCAAATCCCCCTCTCCGAGAAACACCCAAGAATGATCAATAAATACTAAAAAAATTTAAAAAAAAAAAGAAAAAAGTGGAGAAGTGCATTTTGTCCCTAGTGAAAGGAGAGGACTGTGAGCCTTGGTGTTACAGTATCAGAAATGAAATTATTCCCAGGGTTGAAGAACCTTACCTAGGACGAGACCAAAGCAAAAAAAATTAAACTAGATTGAGACTGAAAAAAAAAAAAAAGTCATACAAATTTTCACAAAAATAAGATAAATTGTCTTTAGAATTTTCACTCCTATTCTTCCCTGAATCTTCTAGTTACTGAATAGTATTATTTCTCTTCATTCTGATAATATCTTTTGTATTTTTCTTATTTATATTGTGCAGTATTGCTGGTAACACATTATATTAGTTTTCTTTTTCACATGGAAGTATTTATTTATCTTTAATTATTGAAGAATATTTTAACAAGTATGAAATTTTGTGTGATACTTTTTATTCCTTAACACTTAAAGTATTGTTTCACTTTTTTCTAGCTGCTATTGTTTCTGAAGAAATGTCAGCAGTTATTGGAACCATTGTTCTTTGTATGTAAGTGCTTTTTTCTCTGGCTATCTTCAGATTTTAACCTTGCCTTTTAGCAGTTTGATTAGTTGATTTTTATTTTTGGTTTATGCATTGCGGGCTTCACTGAACCTCTTGGATCTATAAGTGGGTATTTATCATCTAATTTTGACAGATATTGAAATGTATTTTTGTCTGAAATTTTCAGCTATATTTGGGAGACTTTATATATAATATATAATTTCAGAGATTGTATACATTACATCATAATAGAACAGAAGAGAATATATGTTTGTGGTAGTATGTGTATATAAATGTGTGTGTGTATATATATACAATTGTCTCCTTTCCTTCTGTGATTTCAGTTTTATATAGATTAATCCCCTTCATATTGTCCCATAAATTCCTGAGACTCTGTTTATCAGATTGTATTATTGGATTGGATTATTTCAATTGATCTGGATCTTCTCAAAACGTTTCCACATTGATTGCCTTTTTTTCTTAGTTATGGATTATGGATGACATTTTCATATATATGAGTGTGTGTTTTTATGGGGACATGGGCATATCAAGTAATTTCGAATTGCATTTAGAACACTGTGAATGAAACATCAGGTTGCTCACACAGGGTCACTCTCTGCATTCAAGTATCAACTGTCCTCCAACTATCTTTGTGTTGTTGATCACTCTCCAATGCCTTCAGCATATTTTGCATATTTTGTCCACGATATAGTTGTTACCTGTGAAAAGATCAATTTGACAGAAGCAAGTTGGTCATTATTGGATGTGGAATTTCCATCCTTTAATTGTGTGCCCACTATTTTCTGGAAACTTTATTACTTTTTGGCATAAGATATTCTACGCTTATCTTGTCTCTTCCCTGTCCCAGACTTATAATTACTCATATTTTTTAAGGTACGCTAGTATCTTTTGGTGGAGAATTGTAACCTTGTTAGCAACCTCGTTCTGGACAGTAGACGTACTCAATGCAAGGAGATTGTTGTTGTTTTTAGGTTCTGTCAGTGGCCAAAGATATTCATATACTTATTGTCTATCGATCTTTTGAAAACTATGTATTTACAGTGATATATCTGATTCTAATCCAACATCACAGGTTTCGTTATAGTTTTCTTGCCTTTTATACTTGTAATTCAGTCTTCCAATGATGAGAAACCTGGCTCCCATTATTTTCAATATGTTCAATTACCTGATAAATTCCTCTGTATGTAACCAATTTCCCATTTGAAGAAACCCCCTCCCTCCCATCCCACAGACCTTTTTGTCACTGTGTTCAAGTTTACACATGCTGTGCTATGCACTGCCAGTTGCCTCCCTGATTGCCCACCAACCCTCCTCCAACTCAGGCTTCTATTTTATGGCTAGTATGCTGCAACTGCTAATCCCATCTACAAATGTGGAAAACCTCCTTGCCATGCTTATGCTCTGAGGCTTTGCACAGGCACCTATATACTCCCTCTCTCCTCTCTATTCAGGAGAGAGCTTAAATATCCATCACAATAGAGGGAAAATTCTTTGCTACATGTAACCCCTGTGTTTTAGGATTATATTTTGCCTAATTAAGATTGTTTTAAAAATGGATTTAGCATTCTATTACTTTGCTGCTTATAATATAAAGAGTTTTGAAAATAGTCCAAAAACAAAAGACTGGTTAAGCAAATTATGACATATTTTTAGGATATATCCATTTAAATTATTTTTACACTGAAACTCTTTCTGCTGGATGGTTTTATTAGAATCAAAACGGCTATGTAATATTGTTGAGTTTGTGAACATTTTTCTTAAATACATACATAATTATCTCTGGAATTAAAATAAATGTATGTTTTTGTTTTGCTTTAAGTTTTTCATAATATATAGCCATATATTTCTCATTTACTTTAAAAACTTTATTTTAAAACTTTTTAAGGAAAAAAAGTGGGGTAAGGTTTTCTAGGCCTGTGAAATTTATGTTTCTTAAAAATGAAATGAATGAGAATTGATGGGCCACAGAAAAAATACAGATTGTTTGAGTACAGCCCAACAAGTTTCCTAGATTTTTTCAGTTGCATGACTTGTTGGAAATTGTTTTTTTCTTCATGCTCTGCTCTGTTTCTAAGGTATCCCCCTACATTAACTTTCTTTTCACTCTCTTTTTTTTAACTCTGTCTTTTATATGTTAGCTGTAGACCATAGCTTCTGCTTTCAAATAATTTTCTGCTTATTCCTTTCTAATTGTCTCTTCTTTTCTGGACCTAAGCTCTTAAATATTTTTCCACTGAGGTATTTTGTCTGAATATTATCAGATACCTTTGTATCCCCGATTCCTTTGGCAAAAAATAAACATCATTTATTTTGTAAGTACATGGAGATCAATAGAGAGTGCAGATAACTTTTGATTCTAGGAAGTTAACTTGAAAAACAGGTTGAACTGACATAGTGTTTAAGATGTTCAAGAATATACATTGCCACTTCTACAGGAATTGCCAGTGCCAAGGTAGAATTCATAGGAAAACATATGTCTGTGTCTGTGTTTCTGTCTGGCATAGATTTTTTTTATGTACAACACCTGAAAACAAAAACAACTTTAAATTTCCCCTCTGTTTCTCAACCAATCTGAAGAAAATCAATTTCCCAACAGAATGGCTTGTAGTGTTTATAAAACCTTAATGAGAACTTGCAGCTATTTCATAGTTTGTAGCAAGTTTTCTGTAAATTGGAATGGTGAAGTTCAGCATATTTATTTGCTGAAAGCTGAAAGACAAAAACCTGTGTGAGAGTGGCCTGTAAGAAGATGTGTGCATACACATTCCCCCAAAGAGGGTAGAGAGGCTTACTGTAGGTATCCTTTCTGTCTACCATCAGTAAGAAAACACTAGCAACATAGACAAAGAGGTTGATGACACCAGGAAAGTCTACATCTAAGTTAGGCAGATTTTTGCTTGTGTCACCTGTTTAATAAGCAGCGACAGACTTTGAAAATAAATATACAATTATTAATATTAAAAGAAAACAATTTGTTAGTCCAGTCTATCATCGATGGACATTTGGGTTGGTTGCAAGTCTTTGCTATTGTGAATAGTGCCGCAATAAAAATAAGTGTGCATGTGTCTTTATAGCTGTGCACATGTACCCTAGAACTTAAAGTATAATTTTAAAAAAGAAAAGAAAACAATTTCTAGCCTCCAGAACTGTGAAAAATAAATTTCTGTTGTTTAAGCCATCAAAAAAGAGAAAAAAAAACATGTTGAGAATATATTTGTTTGCATTAAGAAAGGTTTTCTACTTATTAAAAAAATTAAATAGATATTTTCCTAAGTAATGTGGGTATTTGTTTAAGATGACTGATTGGGTAACCACATGTCCCAGTTTTCTGGCATATTTTGAGATTATCCCTTTTGTCTTGGCATAAATATTTATATTGCCACTGTTTGAACGAATTGTATATTACCCTTATGATTGTCTCTGGGTAAGGGGAGTCACCAAATGAAAGTTTTAAATGCAAATACACGGATCACTGACAACAAAGATCTATCTTAAATGAGAATAAGTGATATTGATACCTAAGGCAGAGACATTACAAGAAAAGAAAACTACAGGCCAATTTCTCTGATGAATATTGATGCACATATCCTCAATAAGTTATTAGCAAACAGAATCCAACAACATATGAAAAAGATGATACATCATGACCAAGTGGGATTTACTCCTGGCATACAAGAGTGGTTTAGCATGCACAAATGAGTCAATAAAATACATCACGTTACCAGAATTAAATATAAAAACCACACGATCACCTAAATTAACGTGGAAAAAGAATTGGACAAAATCCAATATCCATACTTGATAAAAACTTTCAACAGTTTAAGTATAGAATGAAAGTTCCTCAACCTTGCAAAGGCCATTGATGAAAAACCCAGAGCTGACATTTATTATCAGTGAGGAAAAGCTGAAAGATTTTCCACTAGGATGCAGTACAAGTTGAGGATGTCTACTCTTGCCACTTCTATTCAAAATACTACTGGAAGTGCTAGCAAGAGCAATCAGACAAGAAAAAGAAATAAAAGGCATACAAATCAGAAAGGAAGTAAAATTATGTGTATTTGAAGATTCCATAATCTTATATGTAAAAATCCCCAATGATTCCACCAAAAAAATTGTTATAACAAATAAATTCAATAAAGTTGCAGTATTCAAAAGCAACACACAAAATTAGTAGCATTTTATACACAAATAATTATATAACTGAAAAAGAAAATTTTAAAAATTCTATTTTCAATAGCATAAAAAAACTAGGAATAAATTTAACCATAGGCAAAACATCTGTCCACTGAAACTATAAAACATTCATGAAAGAATTCGAAGATGACATGCATAAATAAAACAATACCTCATGGTTATGTAATAGAAGAATTAAATTGTTAAAATGCCCATACTACCAAAAGTAATACACAGATTCCACACAATTTCTATCAAAATCTTAGAGATATTCTTCAGATAAATAGAAAAAAAATCCTAAAATTTATGCAGAACCATAAAAATGTCCCAAATAGTCAAAACAATTTTGAGACAGCAAAAACAAAGTTGGAGATATCACTCCCTGATTTAAAACTATATTACAAAACTACAGTGATCAAAACAGTATAGTAATGAAATTGAAAATAGACACCTATACCAGCGGAACAGAACAAACAGCCCAGAAATAAATTCAAACATATGTGGTCAATTAATTTTGACAAAGATGTCAAGAGAACACAATGGAGAAAGGATAATCTTCAATTAATGGGGCTGAGAAAACTAGATTTCTATGTGAAAAGAATAAAATTGAATACTTACGCCACATACAAATATCAATTCAAAATAGATTAAAAAAAAAACAACCACATGAATATAAGACTAGAATCTATAAAACTCCTATAAAAGAACATAAAGGAAATGACCCCAGACATTGGCCTTGGCAAGAACTTTTTAGATTTCACATCAAAAGCTCAGGCCACACAAGCAAAAATATATAAATGGAACTATATCAAACTAAAAAGCTTCTGCACACCAAAGGAAGCAATCAATGAAAAGAAACAGCAGCCTATGCATTGGAAAAATATTTGCAAATCATATATCTGATAAGGGGTTAATATCCAAAATTTATATTCATACACCGAATAGTGAAAAAACAAGCTGATTTAAAAAATGAGCAAAGTACCTGAATAGACAGTTTCCCAAACAAGACATAAAAATGGCCAACAGGTATATGAAAAGTTGCTCAACATTGTTAATCATCAGGGAAATGCAAATCAAAACCATTATGAAATATCATCTCATACCTGTTAGGATTGTTATAATTAAAAAGTCAAAAAATACCTAATGTTAGTAAGAGTGTGAAGAAAAAGTAACTCTAGTACGGTACAGCTATAATGGGAAACAGTACAGAGGTTTCTAAAGAAATGAAAAATTGGGCTGGGTGCAGTGGCTCACACCTGTAATCCCAGCACTTTGTGAGGCTGAGGTGGGTGGATCCTTCTGAGGTCAGGAGTTTGAGAGCAGCCTTGTCAATGTGGTGAAACCCTGTCTCTACTAAAAATATAAAAACTAGCCAAGTGTGGTGGTGTGTGCCTGTAATCCTAGCTACTTGGGAGGCTGAGGCAGGAGAATCACTTGAATCTGGGAGGTGGAGGTTTCAGTGAGCCGAGATCACACCACTGCACTCCAGCCTGGGCAACAGAGTGAGACTCTGTCTCAAAAAAAAAAAAAAAAAACTAGAAAGGTAACTACCATATGACCCTACAGTCCATCTTCTGAGCATATACACAAAGGAAATTGCCATCACCTCATAAAAGTATATGACTCCCATGTTTATTGGAGCATTACCAACAATAACCAAGACGTGAAAACAACTTGTGTCCATCTATGGATGAATTGATGAAATATGCTACTGGTATACAAATGAATATTATTCAGCACTAAAAAGAAATGAAACCTTGCCAGTTGCTACCATGTAGATGGACATAGAGGACAATATGCTAATTAAAATAAGCCAGACAGAGAAAATAAAAATATATATCACATGATCTCACTTATATGTGGAGTCTAGAAAAATAATTTAATTTAAATATGCAAAGATAGAGACGAAAGCAGTGGTTACCAGGGGTGGTAGGAGCAGG
The DNA here is from genome assembly GCF_000001405.40 of Homo sapiens. Lineage (NCBI taxonomy): Eukaryota > Metazoa > Chordata > Mammalia > Primates > Hominidae > Homo > Homo sapiens. Next base: position 90,418,594 of record NC_000012.12, read on the forward strand.
GGGAGGAAATGAAAGATATGAAAGATGTAGGTCAGAGGATACTAAATAGTAGATATGTACAATAACGATTCTAGAAATTTAATGTACGACATGAGGACTATAGGTAATCAAATTGTACTGTATACTCACTTAGATTCTTGATAAGCGAGTAGATTTTAGGTGTTCTTGGCACAAAAACAAAATAATGAGTGACTATGTAAGATGATGGATACATTAATTTTTTTCACTATAGTAGCCTTTTTACTATCTATATGTATTCCACAATATCATATTGTATAATTTAAATATATAAAATAAAATTTATTTTAAATGAAGCATATTTGAGAGTATAAACAGAAAAAATATCTGATTTAAATTACAAAAATAATTTGCACATTATTTTAAAAAATAATGCAACTATCGCATGAAGGGCATACATAGAAAACAGAATATAATTTAAAGCTAGATACAGCTTTAGGGTTTATTTATTCCTCTATATTTTGCAGTTAGATGCGTGAGGCTATATAAAGTAGGGCATATTATATACAGGCTAATTCTAAGCAGATACCAAAAGTCAATCAGTTGCACAAAAGTTTACTGAAATCAGAATCTGTTTTACCATGGAATCTCTCTCAGATACCACTCATCATATTAGTTTCACAAAAGTTATATGTAGGAGTTCCCATGGATATTTCACAGGGAAATGTCATTTCATGAAATGCGTATTCTTTACCATCAGCTAGAACTGTTATCCCTGGCTGTGCATCTGAGTTTTCTTTCTTTTTTAATCCAACTTCCTGAGTCCAATTTTAGAGGGCCCAATTTGCTAGGTCAAATTCAAGAGTATGGGTTTTTGAAAAAGTCTACAGGCAATTCTGATAAATGTTTTGTTTTAAAACAATTACCCTGTTGCTTTGGCGTTCCCTCCCAGATATCTGCGTAGTATCTTGCTTTGGTGATTTAGGCTGGACTTCTCTTGCAGTTTACACTTAAAGCCTGGATTAGCCTCAGGCCGAATAGTCTGCCACTCGCTTGTCTATTTCTTAAGCCAATGCCCTAGTCTTGACTTTCAGAATATTATTTAATACTCTAACTGTAGGAGAAGGATAATAATAAAGAATACAAAAAACCCTGCCTTTAATGAGAAAAATAGAGTTTCAATAACTTTTTTTAAAAATATTTTTTAGTCTCAAAAAAGCTACTCTTTTCTAGTTTGCCTTCCTAGGACAGAGTGTCATCTTTGCACCCTGATAAATACATGAGTAACGAGTTGCCAAAGAGAACTGTCTCCAAGAAAGAAGAGTTCACATGAAAGATAAATGATCTAAGAGAAAGCCAAGAGAAGATTGACTTTACCTCACTACAGTCCTCTTTATTATATCTGCTTATTTTCCATCCTACCATATTTCAACACTCTTCTATTGAGAAGTACATAGCAAATATTGATACTAATGATACAAGGTCTCAGAATTTAGGGTGACATTTTATTGGTCTTAATTTTGAGGTAGCTATGAAACCACTCAGCAGATAGTATGATTTAGATGAAGGGGAAAAAAAGCAAGTAAAAAATATATTCTCTGTTGAAGCTGCAAAATAACTGACCAAAATTATAGTAAAATGTTAGTCCTTGAAACTTTAAGAATTTACTAGTTTAGATGAGTATTTTCTATTTTCCCCAAATAATTGATCGAATATTTCTAAATTTTTTACAGTTAGACTTGTTCCATTCTTTCATCTGGTAATTATTTTAAGTGGACATTTTTTGAAGTAGTTGATCAATTAAAATAAAATATAAAAGCTGTAAGTCTACTCTGTGACACTTTTAAATACCAGGGAGAAATTCCAACACCTGGGTTTGAAGAACATTTTAAGTTTTGAAACGACTGGTTTACTATGCATAAATGTAATGGTAAATTGAATTCTATGAATCAGTGGGTCTATTGAGTTTTACCAGATAGTAGAAGCATTTATAATAAGAAGAAGTCTATTGTTGGAGCACTGTCAACATTAGTTGCCTGGGAAAAACCAGAAAATGGTCAATGATATGAAAGATTCATGAACTGTCAAAGAACATTCAAGAATAGATAGTTAGGAACGTTTCTTATAAATGCTATTGAAAAGTAAATTCGTGGGTATTTTTTGGCACCATTCAGAAATGTGCATTTTAACAAAATGTAAAAGTTGTCATAGATTTAAAATACTATGGATCACATCATTTCAAGATTATGGACTATAAAAATTCATCATTAAATAGGGCAAAATAACCTCAAAGCAGACTAACACAATAATAGACTGAATCTTGGATTTGAAGTCTTTAAAATTTTTGCATAAATGTGCATATATATATATATATATATATGAATGTAAGGACTTTAGACGTTGTTTTTCTGAGCCAAATATTGTTCCTTAGAATGCTATAGTCAATATTTCAATGTATGGGTGAAAAGATAGTTAACAGAGTGTACTGTTCTAGTTTTATGTTTTCAATGGATTTAATGTAACACATTCCAATTAGGTTTAGAAAACCAAAGTTATAGTATTCAAGGACATATTTGAGGTGATATTGTTTCAAAACTAACAAAAAATATTCCAGAGAGAGACAGAGACAGAGAGAGAGAGAGAGAGAGAGCGACATAGCACTGCTTGGCACTTTTTGGCTTGTATCTTGCTCTTCAACTGTTTCTTCTACTTGAAAAAATAATAATATGCCTTTTTATATGACTTGGACTCTAACTATTTTCATACAAATACTGAAGAAAATAGTACCACGGAGAGGAAAAAAGGATTGAACACTGAATGGGCTAAAGACGTTTACACTGCTAATAAAACACAATGAACCCATTGGTAGGACTCAAGGAATATAATAGAAACAAAAACATAAGAGGCTAAACTTTTGCAAAATGTGCTAAGTTCCCCTTAATCCACAACAAATAAACAAACAAACAAACCCTAGTTTTGGGTCACTCCAAAGCATACCAGAGTCAAGGACATTGGGAGCAAGTTGTTTATTCAGAAGGTAATTCCAGGAAGAACATGTGAGAGAGTGTGCGTTGGGGAGGAGTGGTGGTGTGGAAGGTGGAAGGGTCGAACGAAAGGGAAGGAAGGGGGAAAGCCATTACAAAGTGCATGGATGTTCAGGTGAATGCCAGAAACCAGGTGACATATGCTTTAGATTAATCTCTTGGGATATTAACATGGGATTAACATCTCTTGGGAAGCTGGAACATTGGTTTAGGTTTGCGCTCAGATTCAGCAATACTGGTCCTTCAGGTACAGCTCTCCTGATGTCAGAGAATCCTTCAGATAGGGAAGCAGAGAGGCACCTGAGATGGGAGATTTCAGCATTTAAGTAGTCTACTGTAGCTTCTGGTGAACTCAGATGGGGGCCAAGGATAAGTGTAGGGGTTTATTTAACATTAAGAATCAGTGGATGAGTTGAGTTTTATGGATATTGATGGCATAGCATTCTCAGAAATCAAAACTGTAGAATAATTTTAAACATAAGCATTAGAAAATAGTTAGAGTTCTAGTGAAGACGAATAAAATGAGATCTGTTTAATTCCATTACAGATAAATTGAGCCTTGAATTGGCATTCATGTTGAGGCTCTATATGCAGGTCATATGAATGCATTTTGAATCTGATGATCATGCAGCACTTCTCTTTGTAAGAGATCTACACATTTAAAATTGATTATATGTAGCTAAAAGTATTTGCTTTTATCTATATGCAATATAATTAGTTTTGTATTACAGTTTAAGTATTTCCAGAAAAAATATAAATGGGAAATTATGCCTATCCACAATACCCCAGAAATCTTTTACATAGATTCAGGTGCTTAATACTTAATAAGTAAATAAATATTGAATACCTATAACTACTACATGCTAGACTCAGTTAACAATCTCTATTAACAGAGTAACAGGTATGTAAAATGGTTGTCAACAAACAAACACCAGCAAATTGAGATGTCTGGAGAAAGATCTATGGAAAACCAGAAGACAGAATCAATGAGACTTTAATGAAATGTCTGGGAAGGGGAGAAATTTGTACTTGATTTTGAAAGCTACATAGGATGTTTCCTAGGAGATAGCTAGAAAACTGTTTAAAGCAGTCACAATGCTAGAAATTAATATGTATTACCTGATACACAATGAAAATTCCAGGAAGAATAATTAATTCAACATCATACTATTTTTCTTTTTTTCTAGTTTTTTTGTGTCTAAATGAAGTTTTCCAGTTTTTGTCATATAGATCTCAGATAAATTTTGTTAAATTTATTCTTAGGTCACTCATATTTGGAACCTATTAAAATTGTTTTTTTCTTCCTAATAAGTAATAGCTGGCATGAAAGATAACTAATGATTTTAAAATAGATATTTATCATATATCCAGACATTGTAATAAAGTATTCTTTATTCTGGATATTCACCAGTTGATTATCTCAGATTTTCTAGGCAGTAAGTCATATCATTGAAAGCAGTGGTCATAAAGTCATCTTCAATTTTGAATTCGTTAAAAGCTTTTAAAAATCAAAATGGATGCTGAATTTTATCATTAGTTTTTTTTAGAGTCCTTAGAGATGATAATAAGTATTTGTTCTTCTTTAAATTATTAAAGCAAAAAAAGCATTAATGGATTTTATAATGTTGAACTGTCCTTGCATTCCTGGAATAAACTTTCACTTATCATGATGCATTATTTTAATATACTATTGGGATTGACTAACAAATAATTTATTTAGAATAAATAAGTCTATATACATGGATTACTTTTTTGCAAGCTATCTTAATCAGCTTTTGGTAACAGAGTCATACCAGCTTATTAAAATCAATTAAGAAATTTATACCATTTTTTAATATCTACAAGTTTATATAGGATGATAATCTGTTCTTTGGAAGTTTCAAAAAGTATTCTCATCTCTCTGAACCAGTGTTTCTTGCTATATATTTTATAACATCATTTTCAAACTACTCTATTCTTTAAGAACATAATTGTATTCTTTCTTTTGCCATATGGGCTTTATTTTATTCACTTTTAACTATAATAATTTACCAAACTGCAATCCCTTTTCATTTATGTACTTTCCCTATTTTTATCCTTACAGAATCATCATAAAATAGGTATTAATATCCCTAGTTTTCATTTCTAGAAAATGCAACTTAATGAGCTTAAATTACTTGTTGAATGTCATAGCATCTTAAGCTTCTGAGGACACACTGTCCTGTGCATCTTCATGTCCTATATTCCCTTCATGACTCCAGGCAGACTGTAGACACCCAATAATTACTTGCAGAACTGAAGAGAGCCTGCTTCTGCCTGACTTGAAGCTCTCTCCATGAAAGTAATGAAGTACGGCTGTTTCTGTTTTGTATAATAATAATTTATATCAAGGTAAAACAAACCTAGTTATTATATTTGAGTACAAAAATTGCAAGAGCAAAGTATTTTATGCCTATATTTATTAGATACTTTATTGAGGTATAATTCCCTTTCAATGTAAGGCACACGTTTTTAGTGTAGAGCTGGATTAGTTTTGACAAATGTGTTGCTTCATGTAATCACTATGTGAATCAAAATGCACAACATTTCCATCACACAAGAAAATTGTTACTGGCCACTTTGCAATCAGTCTCCCCTCATCCTTGTCACTAGGCAACCGTTGAGATACTTTCTATCACTATGCATTAGCTTTAAGTGTTTCAGAATGTCATTTAAAGGAAATGATACAAAAATATATCTTTTTATATCTGGCTCCTTTCACTTGCAAGTTTTTTTTTCTTTTTTTCCCCCCATTTGCTCATTGATGGATATCTGGGTTGTTTCCAGTTTGGAAGTATTACAAATAATATCATAAATATTAATGCTCATGAACTTTTATATAGCCGACTTAATTTTTCTTGAGTAAATATTGAGGAGTAGGATTGCCTTGTGTCCTATCTTAGGAGTGGAGCATTCAATAGTTCACATTTAAGTATTATATTAGCTGTTTTTTTTTTTTGATGCCTGTTATCAGTTTGTGGAAGTCCCCTCTTCTTTCTAGTTTCCTGAGAGTTTTTATCATGCATAGATGCTGATTTTTTTAAAAGTATTTTTCTGTATCTACTAGGATGATAAAATGATTTTATTTTTTATTCTGTTAATAATTTACATTAATGTTAGAATGCCAAACCAAGCTTCCATTCCTGGGTAAACTCCATTTTATCCTCAAGTATTTTCCTATTTAAATATTGCTCCACTTTTCTTTGGTTCTCTTTTCCAAAGATTTCAGTGAATTCAGCAATAACAAACTCTGATGTATACCTCCTCAGCTCAATAATCAATTTTCCCTTGCTTGCTCTCTAGCTTTCTGTGCAATTATCAGGATATCGTCCCTATGACAAGATTCAGAGTGATTACCAACTAATCATTTTGAGTTTCATTTTTCTTGAGGAATTCTTCTTCAATGTCTGCCAACAGTTGTCACATACAGGTCTATAGTTTGTATGGCAGAAAGACTAGTCTATCAGTAGTTAGCCTGTCATGGCAAGTAATGAAACCCATTTTAATTTAAGTTGTTCTGCTTAGAAGAAGAGAATCAGCAGAGTAAACTGCTACATCAACTTCAGGAATTACATTTGGTTAATATATGGTTAGGGAGAAAATACCCAGGGGAAGTTAGAAAAAGGAAAATACTTGTGATTTTTTTGAATATAAGTTAAATACTACACAGGAGCAATTTATGAATTTTAATTTCATCCTGAATTATCCATATTTTGTGACTTTATATATTATCAAAAACAGATTTCACAAAACTTGACATTCATGTAAAGTCTATCCATGTTTCTATATTTTAAAATAATGATAGGAATTTTAGTGAATATGAAAAAGTTTTTATTTTTCTGCATCTGTGTTTCAGGAAATATATAAAAGATCTAATCCATGAAGAAGGAAAGAACAGCAAACTATTCATAATTGAGCCCTTGATTTCCACCTTAATCTTCTGGGTTATGAGGCTCTATATTTATACCACACTTGAAAAAAAGAAGGTGTATGAGTTGCTTTATTATTTCCCTGTAACAAAAAGTTCCCTTCTTGTCGGAAAACCCTTCTAATATTTTTTATTTCATATTGTTTTCTCCTCAAAAAGAGAAAAAAAGTACTTTTCTGAATATACTTACTGCATTTACACATCTAAATATATTCAAATATTCCTAAATTGATGAACTTAATGTTTCTTTTTATCTCATGAAACACATTTCTCTTTTCCCCACTGGTAGTGTATATAAAATGTACATGCATACACACAATGTACATGTGTACACACTTGCACACATACTCCATTTTATTATAGTATTTACAAACTAAACAGTTGTTTTAAAATTGTGATTCGACTCTATAGCTCTGTACCTGGAGATTATTTTGGATAGCCTTTGACTTTTTAACATTATTCATAAATCTTGTGTTAGACTTAGCTCTCTACCTAGTTTACTAAACTGGTACACCACAAGTCCTTATTAAAACTTTCATCTCTTCCAGTACTTAATCATGACACATCTATCAATTTGTTGGTGTGTCTCATATAATATTTTATTTTTTTTCAGGTTGAACTTGTGGATGTCACACTTATGAAGATTTACATGTTTTTAATTATTTTTTAATAGCCATTATGTATAAATTACTATTTGGCTGGAATTAAAATATAGGTTATAAATTTTTCACCTCTATAATTTTCTAATAATAATGCAAGGAGTCTGATACCAATGGATTAATTTTTCCTTTATTACCTGGTATTCTTATTAGCAATAATCCTTGAATTTTTGATCCATGGATAGGTGTTTGCGAAGAAAATAATGATCCTTTTTAGGTGTTAGTGACTATACTATTTCAGAATATGAAAGCTTTGATAAACCACAGATTGGTTATTGACATCTTTACCACAATATTCAGCCTTCAAATACATTGTTATATTTCTCCATTTGTCTAAAACTTCTTTTATTCTCTCAGTAATGTTTTATAGTATTTACTATATGGGTCTCTACATTTTCTTCTAATTTGATCCCTATTTTATTTTATATTTAAATAGCTTTATTAAGAAATAATTCACATTCCACACAATTCTCCCACTTAAGTATACAATCCTATGGGTTGACTTTTTACTTTCTTGATGGTGTTTTTTCAAGTGCAAAATTTTTAATTCCGATAAAGTGTCAAGTCCAAGACAACACTGCTTAAGTGAAGATCATGGAGATATACACCTATGTTTCCTTCTGGTAGCTTTGTTACTTTAGTTCTTAAAATTGGGTCTTTGATCAATTTTGAGTCAATATTTTTATTGGATATGAGGTCATGGTTCACTCTATTCTTTTGTTTGAAGATATCCGGTTGCCTTAGCACCATTTATTTTAAAAAAATACTATGAACATTAGGAAAAATGCTATTTTTTTACAGATAAAAATAGTCTATGGTTTTCACGATAGTGATAAAGGCAATTAATTTCTATAATGGAACAAGTGCTGTGCTAATTTCCAGGATAGATTGTGAATAAGATAGAAATGTCACTTTTTTCAAGGAGCTCATGGTCTATTCTAAGAAAATGGTGTTCTCTATTATAAATAGTTTATATATACTGAAAGTTACAAATTAAATGTTGGCAATGCAGTATGTGCATGTCATATATTCATTCCTAAACTCTTATCAGTTTTTGAGATGTAACTTTTGCATAAATTTTGTAAAGCTCTTATCATGTTTTTTGTTAGACAGAAAATTTAATATTTATTTTTATGATTCTGATTCCTTAACATTCCAAATGTTTCATGAGAGCAAATAAAGTCCCCCAAAGGTTTATGAGATTATTTTAGAACTGTGTAAAGCTTGTTTTTCTCTCTGGAGAAACAGAAAGTCATGTCTGTCCAAGAGTAAACAAACTCCAACAGGCAATTTGAATTTGGTTCAAAATGAAGAATCCTCAAGATTGGGGTTGGTTCTAAACATAGAGAAACAGCATTTCTTCCTTCCTCATTATTATCCTGACTAGCCCCCTGCAGCTGCATGATTACCAATCACAATCAAATGCTTTGTTCATCTAATTTTTAAATGATCCAACTTCTAAAGGATTGTTATTTATTGGAAAAGAATAAATTGCATTATTTCCTACTGCATATCAATCAAATTAACTCAATCACAGCTCTCTGTATGAAGACTAGATGGCACACAGAATAAAAAGGATTAAGAAAAATTGAATTGATACACCAGGTCAAAGAAAAAAAAGTGCCTCTCCAACTGAAAAGCAATGTAATGCTAAGTGGAACATGGAGGACTTGGAGAAGATTCAGAGGCCAGCCATTAAGAAAGCATCTGTCTGGAATGGCTTAGCTATCCAAATGCCAACAGCGTGGGTCTGGGCCAAAGTGCTTCAATGAAGTCTCTTGCAGCTCAGATGGGCAATGATTCTCTAAGTCCATGTTGGAACATGAGATTGAGTGAAACTGCAATAACCAGAATCCCATTATAAGTTGATTTGAAATTGGCACCTATCCCCACAGCAGGCTCACCATTGTCATTTGTTCAACCTTGCAATAACCCAACCTCACATTTTATGCATTTGATCTTTTGCACTCTACTAAACCAATGATGGAGGTGTTTTTACCATTCGGTAATATAAATACATGTGAAACTGTGACTTGTGGATAAACTTCCCAGAAACTGAGGTTACTCTTTCTCAAGAATATGAATATGAAGCATGCCTCAGTAAAAGGGAAAAGAAATATCTTTCTTTTCCTATTGCTAGGTTTATGGCTGAGTCCTCTATAACAAATAATAGATTAACAAGAGAAAGGTGTACACATTTATTTAATATAAGTTTTACATGACTTGGGAGCTTTCAGGAATGGAGACCCAAAGTACGAGGAAATCTGTGTATTTTTATGCTTATGTTTGATGAAGAATGGATAGTCATGGGAAAGTATGGATACAGGGGATATGATCTAATGGTAATAAACTGGGGGAAACTTTGCAAGAACTGTTTGTTCAGATTTTCCTTGGCATCTCTGTGTCTTTGGCTCCTTTCCTCCTGTTACAGGGAGGGGACCTCTCACATGAGGATCATATGACCCTCATCAGGGGAAGGGCAGAAATTCTTCCTAGGTTTTATAATCTGCTTTATTTATTTTTAAATTTCTGGGACACAGAATCTCACTATGTCACCCAGGCTGAAGTACAGTTGCACAATCATAGCTCACTGCAGCCTTGAACTCCCGGGCTCAAGCAATTCTCCCACCTCAGCCTCCAAAGTAACTGGGGTTACAGACATATGCCACTGTGCCCAGCTAATTAAAAACAATTTTTTTTTTGAGAGAAGGGTCCTCACTACGTTATCTACACTGATCTCGACCTACTAAGCTCAAGCAATCCTCCCCAGCTGGCCTCCCAAAGTGCTGGGATTACAGGCATTAGCCACTCCACTCAGCCATGAGCTGCTTGAGAAGACAACGCAGGGGGAAGGTGAGAGAGACCTTTCAGCTTCTGCTGTGTTCTCAAATGGCAGGATGCTATCCTCAGTAACAACAGCTAATCTATATGCACTCTGAGACAACAGAGTGCTGAGCTACATAACACTCTTTCCCAGGCACTCTTTATGCTGGTTAGTGAAACTACCAACTCCAAATCCTCAACCAGAAACATCATCTTTGCTTCCCAAATTAATGACTAAGTTGTAATGATTTGATCTCCAGTGTTTCTCACAAGAGGAACTCTCTCTTGTCACTCTTATTTCGATAACACAGGCCAGGTTCTTACATAATTTCATTTGTACTGGTGCAGTTGACTCTTGGTGCAGTTGACTCTTAAAGAAATAAGGAAACCTCAAACACATAACAAGGAATACTAGGAATAAAATAATGCACATCTAGTAAACACTACCTAGCTTAAGAACTAAAATAATACTCATGTATTTGAAGTACAAAATGCAATACTACTCCAAGGTTCCAGCCCCTTCCTGCTTCAAGCCCTGAAGGGGTATTTTCTTTCTATCTATCTATCTATCTATCTATCTATCTATCTATCTATCTATCTGTCTATCATCTATCTACCACAAGAGAGATAACAGTGTTTCAGAAAGAGAGGGTAGCAAGAGAAAGACAATATTTTCAAGACAGTATTTATCTGTGTGTGTATGCTTGTATACATATATCACATACACACACATACTTGCTATTTTACTCTGTGTTTTCTTCTGCAACCTGATTATCACTTAAGATGTTTTCGTGTTGTCTATGTTGATTTGTAAAGTTTTAGTTTTCTTCACAGCTCATTGTATTAGATAGTGTAATTATATCATAGTTTATCTATTATTTTGTTGATGGATAGTTAGGTTGTTTCTAGTGTTTCTTACTATAAATAAGGCTGCTATGAATGTTGTTTGACATGTATTCTTGGATTATAAACAAGATTTCTTTCTTTGGATTATGAACCTAGGAGTAGACTTGGTGGAAAAAATGATGTCATATCTCTAGCCAATAGATATGTTGGTGACATTTTACAACTCTTTCTCAAGGAGCTGTAATTTTTGACACCTCTACTAGCTGTGTATGCATCCCTTCTGCTCTGTACCCTCTGCAGTATTAGGTATTGCTGACATCTTAATTTTTACAAAATGTTGAAGCATTGAATTTTTCATCACCCTGGTTTTAATTTGCATTTTCTTAGTTGCAAGTGTAATAAAGTATCTTTAAAAGTTTTGACCACTAAGTTTCCTTTTGTGACTCACTTTTTTATAATATTTGCTATTTTCTGTTGGGTCATTTTTCTTTTACATACGGATTTGTGGTATGACTTATATATTTGAAATATCAATTCTCTTCTGTTAACTTTCTTGCACATGTCTCATTTTTGCCTTTGGTTAGTCATTTTACTTTTTAAATGGGATCACATTATAACCAGAAACATTCCATTTCACTGTGATGAAAGTAATCTGCTCTTGTATAATTTATGTGCTTTTGTAAAAAAGTGTTTTTTATTATTTTCTAATCTGGGGAAAACATTTTCTTCTAATGTTTTAAAATATTGCTTTTCATATATTGAAAAATAATCTGCCAGAATTGGTTTTTTTATATGATGTGAAGTGGAAAACATTTTGTGTGTGTTATGGTTTTACTTTTGTTTTTACCAAAGTAAAACTTTATGTTTTTACTATATTGTTTTTACTATATGAAAAACTATCATTAAAGAGTCTGTCCTGTTTCCACTCTTCTAAAATGGCCTGTCTGCTATAAATCAAGTTTTGTATGCATGTAAGGTTATCTCTGACTTCTCTTTTTTATTCCATTAATTTATATGATATCTCTGTGAAATACAGCATTGCTTAATAAACACAGCACCATAATCATCTTGATTTTCAATTCTCTAAATCCCTGCGTCTTATTCTACTTTCTCCTTTTCCTCTTCAGGAATGTCTTTAATTCTTGGGAATACTTATTTCTCTATGCCTTTTTGAATCCCTCTTTTTTCCAAGTTCCTTGAAAAATCTTTGACTTTTACTAGGAATTTTAGGAATTTGCCTGTCAATAAGGAGACAATTGTCATGCTTGTGATATTTAATCATCTTGAAAAATAACCAGTTTTTTTATTTATTTCTTTCTTTTTTAATATCAGGAAGATTACATTCTTAAAATTTTATTTTAGAGTTGCCGGTTGCTGAAATATAAAAATACATTTTAAAATACAGTTACTGAAATAGAAAAATACAGTTGAAATATAAAAACACAGTTCATTAACCTTCCTGAACTGTTATTAATTTTAATAATTTGGATTTAGATTCATTTAAGTTTTCTGAATAAACATTTTTGTCTAAGAACAATTATAACTGTGTTGCTACTTTAAAATTATTTTTAATATTCCTTAATTTAATCCCTTAACTTTATTTTTTCTTACCTTATTTTGATAGGTAGTAGGTCCACTATCTTGTTTCATACAAGGGATGATAGTGACTGAATTTGCTGATTATAAGGGGTATACCTCTAAGTTTTAACATTAAGTATGGAAGTTTGTGGTACAATTTTAGTTTTCATTCAGGATATGAAAGATGAAGTAAAAAGGTAGAGATGAGAGACACTGTTGCCACATAAAAGGCTGTGCAGCATTTGTCTAATTAAATCTTTCTACCAGTTGCTCCCATAGAAATGTTGAACATACACTTTTTGTGCAGCCCAGCCATTTTTTGGGTGCAGCAATGGCTGGACAATTTCATGAATTCATTTGGTAGCAAATGTCCTATCATGTTAATTTGCTGCTTTTTTTTAAAAAAGCTTTAGGTTTACTTTCACATCAACTTATTTATTTATGGATTTTAGTATATAAACATTATCAAAAATAATTGCAAGCAATAGAAAAATAGGAATGCCATCTGTTTTCTCTGTCCTAATTCTTATATTTTTTAGCAAGTGGAAATTATCAAATTATAATTTAAAAAAAAGTAGAACAAAGTCTTGATTTGAGGATAGTAAGCTCTCCATTATCTTCAATTTCATTTTGCAAAACTCTTTGTCTCTAACAAGATAGACACCTGGCTTTTCACTGTGGCTTTCTTCCCTCTGCAGCCCAATCAAGCAGTGGCTTCCCACCTATCACTCACTCTTGCATGTTTGCACCATTTGATTATTTGTGGTTAACCCTTCTTGTCAGCCTTACCTGCTTCTTTCTTTTAATTACAATCTGCTGACCTGCTAATTATTCTCTCCTATTTATTGAAGACATAGTATCTGCCTCACAGCATTCTTTTCCACCTCAACGTTGTTCTTTCTGTCTGCCCTAACCTTTACAACCATCCTGGCTGATTTTAACTTAAAGATTCCATGCTCTGTTCTCTCTGTTCCTTAATGGCGTTAAGTTCTTCCACTTCAGGAGTTCTTTCTCTTCAGTAGACCTCCAGTCCAGCATATTCTCTCTGTATCAGCCTCCTCTTGGCTTCATTGTGTATGTGTGTGTGTGTATCAGCCTTCATCGTGTATGTGTGTGTGTGTGTCAACTTAGATTCATCATCGGCAATGATAAATACTGTCTTGCAAATGTTGTTTTTCTCTTGCTAGACTTTCCTTCTGAAACACTGGTCTAGAAATTGTTCAACCCTAGATGAGCACCAGGATTCTCTGTTCTGTACCTCATCATCTAAGCATTAATAGAGGAAAAAATAGTATATTGGAATTTAATTTATATTTCAATAAATATTTGAAGATGCTTTAGAATGCTCACATATATTTGAGCATCTATTCTCTACCAGGCACTGACACAGGTGCCAGGGGTACACATGGTAAGCAATAAAAACAAATCTGCATCTCAAAATATAAATTCATTGAATTGTACAGCCTATATGTATGTGCTTATTATATATAATAATGTTAATTTATATATTTATAAACTTATACATATATATGTATAGATATAATTCCAATAAAATGACCAGCAGTTATTTTAGAAACCAGACAAGTTAATTTTATAATTCCTTGGAAAAGTTAAAAAAAGAAACAGAACAAAAACATGGTTACAGAAAGAGAGAGAGATGAGCAACAAAAGAGTGGAGGCACTAATCCTACCAGATATTAAAATATTCTATAAATTCAAGTTCGTCTTGGTTATGCCAAGTCCGTTCCCAAGGCCCTCAAGTTCCTGAACTGTTTAATACTTTATGAGGCATTTTCTTTAAATGTAGAACACAATGAGTTTGTGGACTATTATTCTTTAGGATATGTGCATGTGTATGTGTGTGTATGTACGTGTAAAATGCTAAAAGAAGTGGAGAAAAATCCTAATGATTTTTTTTCTAAATTTTGAAATCACAAATTTTTTTTCTGTACTTTCTCAACTTTCTGTAGCAATCAAGTATCACGTTTCTCATTAAAAATAAACATTTTAAAGTATACAAAGCAAAAATCTATGGGAAACTAAAAGGTAAAAAGAAACTAAAAGTTTTGGATATACTCTTAGACGTAAGTAGAACCTTGCAAACCTGACCGTTTTTATCCTTTGGATGAATATAGCAACAATAACAAACAACTTACATGATGCAGGACATTAGCGGTGACATAAATATGCAAATTGAAAAATAGATTAGTGCAAGATTGAATATAACAGTCGTTATTTATAAATAGTTAACCATCCTGTGATCATCAGAGACTGAAAAATATTCATATGTATATATCAAAAGTAGCAACTCTGTAGTTCACATAATTAGAAAGCCTATATCCAAATAATGTGAAACAATGGGTAAAACTGTTAACATATTTTTGTAAGTTATTTGCATATTTATTTAGGGTTATCATTCTTTATGTCCAATTTTAATTGCTGAAAATTACCTCTATTTCATATAAACTTTAATTTTGGCTTTGTAAAACTAAATAAAAATTTATAATTTTCTTAGAAATCCTAAGAAAGAGCATACATCCACATAATGCAAACTGGCTAATACATTTTGTCCTTTTTAGGCTCCTAAATTGTAATTGTAGTTTTTACAATTAACAACACATTGTTGTGAACTTTTTAAGGAAATTTAATATTTCTGTCATTTTACGGGCTGGAAGAATCAAGATCATTATATAACAAAATCATAACCCAGCATAACTTGAATCACTGGGACATCAAATATGATTTTACAAATATTACTGTTACTAAAACACCAGAGGTTCAGTCTAGGTCCTGCTACTTGCACTCGGAAAGCTAATCACTGAAACAATGAATATTGCCAGATGTCCTGGTTAATACTGAGTGTCAACTTCATTGGATTGAAGGATACAAAGTATTGATCCTGGGTGTGTCTGTGACGGTGTTACCAAAGGAGATTAACATTTGGGTCAGTGGGCTGGGAAACGCAGACCCACCCTTAATCTAGGTGGGCATAATCTAATCAGCTGCCATCATGGCTAGAATATAAGCAGGAAGAACACTATGAAAAGGAGAGACTGGCCTAGCCTCCCAGCCTACATCTGTCTCCTATGCTGGATACTTCCCTCCCTTGAATATCGGACTCCAAGTTCTTCAGTTTTGGAACTTGGACTGGCTCTCTTTGCTCCTCAGCCTGCAGATGGCCTATTGTGGGATCTTGTGATCAGGGGAGTTAATACTTAATAAACTCCCCTTTATATATATATATATATATTTTTTTTTTTTTTTCCATTAGTTCTTTCCCTATAGAGAACCCAGACTAATACAGACTTTGGTACCAGAAGTGGGGTGCTTCTAGAGAAACCAAATATTAAGGATGGAGTTCTTTCATTGGTTTATCGGTTTGGAGGTTTCTGGAGTTGCATGCTTAATATGTTTGGACTCTAAAATGCTAAGGACTCTACTTCTAATAGTATGGACAACACTGACAGTCCTTGGCATGAATTATTTAGAGAGTTATGCAAAATAAATGCATTTGACACTCCTGATTCATTGCTTGTGAGAGGAAAGGGGTTCGGTGAACCTATGCATAATACCTTTGACCATATGTGGAGAACCAAGGAACATAATGAAGCTGGTGGGTTGCTCCTAAGTTCAGTGGACAAAGTGATGAAAGAAAATGATGAACTCAGGGATTCTATCTCCTGCCTTCAGAAGAAATACTAAGCCTCAAATCTGCTAAGATTGCCCTGAGTAAGAGTCTTATCTCCTGTAGAGAAAGAGCTGAAATTGTGGAAAAACAGACATAAGCACTTATCCTGTGAGTGGCTGACCTGGAATGAAAAGTGCATGGACAGCCTCACCACATGTTTATTGTTAAAGTGAGGGCATTGTTTAGAAAAGAATGGGACCCTGTAACTTGGTATGGGAATGTGTGGGAGGACCCTGATAAAGATGGGGACACTGAGTTTATAAACTCTGATGAATCTTTTTTGCCAGAAGAAATAGTATCCCCATCCTCAGTGGTGGCAGTTGCCAGGCAAGATAATGTCAATTCTCCTCAGGACCCACCCCCAACACCCGTTTGCTTCTAGACCTATAACTAGACTAAAGTCCTGGCAGACCCCTAGAAGTGAGGTTGAGAGTGTGACCCGTGAGGAGGTGTGCTACACTCAAAAAGAAAGGCTTGAGTTTTCTAACTTATATAAACAGAAATCTGGAAAGCAGGCATGGGAGTGGATATTAAGGGTGTGGGATAATGGTGGAAGGAACATGGAGTTGGATCAGGCAGACTTTATTGATTTGGGCCCACTAAGTAGGGACTCTGCATTTAATGTTGCAGCTTCGGCATTTAAAAAAGGTTCTAATAGTTTATTTGCTTAGTTAGCTGAAATATGAATTAAAAGATGGCCCATTGTGAGTGAACTGGAAATACTTGATCTCTCTTGGTTTACTGTAGAGGAAGGGATCTAAAGGCTTAGAGAGATTTGGATGGAGGAGTGGATTAGTCACTTTAGACCTACTCATCTCAGTTGGGAGGGTCCAGAAGATATACCCTTGACCAATGCCTTGTGAAATAGTTTTGTGAAGGCAGCAACTGCATCTTTGAAGAGACCTGTAATTGTTCTTCTCTGTATGTCAGCTCCAGCAGTGGAAACCACAGACACTCAACTACAAAATTTAAATAAAATGGAAATAATTGGATCCCAAGGTGGCAGGGGACAAGTGGCAGCACTTAACCATCAAAGGCAAGGTGGGCATAGCTACAGTAATGGACAGCAGAGGCAAAGTGGCAATCAGAATAGTCTGACTCATGTAGAGCTCTGGCATTGGCTAATTAATCACTGTGTTCCTAGAAGTGAAAGTGATAGGAAGCCTACTGCATTCCTACTTATTTTATACAAGCAGAACACTTCTAGGTTGAATGGATAAAAGACTAATTTGAATTAGAAAACCAAAGAATAACAACTCCTCAATCAATTCACAACCACTAAAGAGAGTTATTAGTTTATTATATAGGTTAGAAAACAAGTTTAACAGGTAAAGTATCACACAACAAGTATTGATAACTTCAGAAATTACATCTTGAGATAAAATACAGTAAGTCTATTTAGCCACTTTCTTTTGGGGCTCTTTCAAGTTCAGTAAGTTTTTTTTTTTTTTTTAAATAATTCACTCACTCTATGTAATTATCCACTATTCCCATCTACCCAATTTACATCTTTCTGTGAATGACATACTTTCTTGTTACCAAGAACAACAAACCAAATCTCATTTTGGAGACTACTTTGTGGTGCTATAGGACATTTTTCAAAGCAAATATCCACTAAAAATTGTGTTAACTTATGTTGTAATTAATTACATGTTTGTTTTGGCCAGGTCTTGTAAAACTACTAGCTCCATTTTAGAAATTCCTTGGAACGCATTCCATTTGGATCACATGTCCATCTCTGGACAAATTATGTAGGTCAAGGTGATGAGGGACTATGAACTTCCCACAAGGATCACATATTTGTATAAACATAGAGTGGGGGAGATTTCCCAGAGGCAAAAAATGTAATTGGGATATGGCTAATTAGAGTTTTTTGAGTTGAGAAGTCAAGACAATGTGTCTACTTCAGAAAACATCATGCAAGAGGTTACATTTGAGTGGACTTTAAAGATGAATAGGAGTTCCCCAGAAGACAAAGAAGAGAGGAGTAGGAGTACATTCACTGGAAAAGGTGTAGGCAGAATGTGTAGGCAGCATTAACCGAATCTTAAAATTTTGAATTATAGTGCTCAGTACATGTGTTTTCTTTGAAAGTAAATGTTATACAACTCTTCAGTACTTTCTGATGTTTTAATTTTTTGCCTCAAATCATATAAATAAAAAAATCCCTTTTGCAATAAGAGAATCAAACATCTCTTAGATTTCCCTATGCGTAGAAGGCAATATGTACAATTCCACCTTTATGTTAAAAGGTTACTAGCTTATTTGACAAATATGAATGGACAAAGGGTGTGCTGTGAAACAGAAAAATATTGGAGTAAAATTACTATGAACACCAATGGTATTTCAAGGACTTGAATATTTACTTAAAATTAAAATGCATGTACTAAGGTAGAAATTTCCTGGTCCATTTAGGTGCTGTAAGTAAATCATTTCTGCCAATATGTGCAATGACTACAGATAGTGTACTTTGATTATGTTTCTCCTTTTCATTTCATTTACCTCTGCTTTTATTTTTATTGTTTTCCTTCTGGTTAAGTCAAATATTCTCTTGTTTTTAATTTATTTTTATTTTTATATATAATTTTTTAAATGTAGGCTGAGATCATTGATTTGAGATATTTTTCTTTTACAGTTTTAATAATATTTAAAATAAAATTTATTATGAATTAATAATATAACTTAATATATATAGGATGGGTATGTCTAGAATTGTATTTCCTTTACATTTACTTTTGAAAATCCCTTCACTGAACAAAGACTTCTGGGCTACCAGTTATTTCCCCCACTCCAGCACTTTAAAGGTGTTTATCCATTGTCTTCTGGTTGACATATTTTCTGATTAAGTCTACTCTCATTCTGAACTTTGTTCCTGTTTTGGACATAAAGCACACCATGTCTGTTTCCTCTAGATGCTTTTAAGACTTTCTTTTTGTCAGTGGTTTTCATATTTCTGATTATAATGTGTCCTGACATGGTCTTTCTTATTTTTTTCAGCTTGAGATTTGTTGAGTTTCTTGGATCTGTCAGTACCTTTATATATATATATGAGATGGAGTCTCACTCTGTCACCCAGGCTGCAGTACAGTGGTGCAATCTCTGCTCACTGCAACCTCTGCCTCCTGGGTTCAAGTGATTCTCCTGCCTCAGTCTCCCCAGTAGCTGGGATTACAAGCACTCACCACCACGCCTGGCTAATTTTTTTGTATTTTTAGTAGAGATGGGGTTTCACTATGTTGGCCAGGCTGGTCTTGAACTCCTGACCTCGTGATCTGCCTGCCTAGGCCTCCCAAAGTGCTGGAATTACAGGCATGAACCACCGCGCTCGTCCCAGTATATAATTTTAATCAAATCTGGAAAAATTTAACACTGTTTTTTGTATATTCTTCCAAAGATTTTTTTTTTTTAATTTCTCCCTCTTTGTAGGGATTCCAGTTTTATACACACAGACACACGTATTATATATGATGATTTTATGTTCTCTTGCAAGTCACTGAAGATTTATTTGTTTGCTTTTCAGGTATTTTTCTGTTTCATTATGGACAGTTCTTCACTGCTATATTTTAGAGTCTAAAGCTCTTTCTTCTGCAATGTTTCATTTGTAACTAATATCCAGTATACTTTTCATTAATATGTTGTATTTTTTATTTTTAAATATTATATTTAGGTTAGGTTTAATCTTTCATTTCTCTTCCATTTATACATTTTTCTCTATTCTCTTGAACATATAGAACGTATTTATTATACAGTAGCTCTTTTAAGTGCCTTATCCATTAATTCCTTTATCTTTTTCCTGTTAGTTGATATTTCTTGTGGTTATGGATTACATTTACCTGATTCTCTACTTGTCTCTTAATTTATAAGATGGAAGATTTTTTCAATTTAATATAATTTGTTGCAAAATTATTTGTATTTCTTCATATATACTCATACCTTGTTTATTGCATTTTGCTTTATTGTGTTTTGTAGATATTACGTTTTCTTTCAGGCTGAGGGTTTGTAGCATCCCTGCATTCAGCAAGTCTATTAGCACCTTTTTTCCGACAGCATATGCTTCATTTTTCCGTAGCACATATTGGTGATCATTATTATTATATCTGCTATGGTGATCTGTGATGTTACTACTATACTTGCTTTTGGGTGTTATGAACCATGTTATGCCCATACATGATGAACTTATTCTATAAATGTGTATGTTTTGACTATTCCACTAACTATTCACCTCTCTCCTTCTTGAGCTTCCTTATTCCCTGAAATACAACAATATTAAAGTTAGGCTAATTAATAATCCTATAATAGCCTCCAAGTGTTCAAGTGAAAGGAAGAGTCACATATTTCTTATTTTAAATCAAAAGCTAGAAATAATTAAGCTTAATGAGGAAGAAATGTCCAAACCTGAGGCAGGCCAAAAGTTAGGCCTCTTGGGCCAGTTAACCAAGTTCTGAATGCAAATTGAAAACTCTTGAAGTACATTAAAAGTGCTACTCTAGTGAACATAAGAATTACTAGAAAGCAAAACAGCCTTATTGCTGCTATGCAGA
This sequence comes from Homo sapiens, assembly GCF_000001405.40. Lineage (NCBI taxonomy): Eukaryota > Metazoa > Chordata > Mammalia > Primates > Hominidae > Homo > Homo sapiens. The sequence goes on from NC_000012.12 coordinate 90,439,677, forward strand.
CTTTCTCCACAGAAAGAAAATGACATCTTCTTCAAATAGCCTTTGATTGGAAGACGTCATCTAGGACTTTCATAGCTCAAGAGGAAAAATCAATGCCTGACTTCAAAGTTTCAAAGCACAAGTAGACTCTTTTGTTAGGTGCTAATGCAGCTGATGACTTTAAGTTAAAGTCAGTCCTCATTTACCATTGCAAAACTCTAGGGCCCTTAAGAATTATGCTAAATCAATTCCACCTGTGCTGTATAAATGGAAGAACAAAACCTGGATGACAGTACATCTGTTTACAGAATGGTGTGCTGAATATTTTAAGCCCACTATTGAGATTTACTGGTCAGAAAAAAAATATTTCTTTCAAATATTATTGCTCATTGACAATGCACCTAATCACTCAAGAGCTCTGATGGAGATGTACAAGGAGGTTAATGTTGTTTTTATGCCTGCTAATAAAACATGCATTCTGCACCTTATGGGTCAAGAAGCAATTTTGACTTTAAGGTGTTATAATTTAAGAAATACATTTTGTGGGGCCACAGCTGCATAAATAGTGATGCTTCTGATGGATCACAACAAAGTAAATGGAAAGTCTTCTGGAAAGGATTCACCATTTTATATGTCATTAATAATGTTTGTGATTCATGGGAGGAGGTAAAAATATCAACATTAACAGGCGTTTGGAATAAGTTGATTCCAATCCTCAAGAATGACTTTGAGGAGTTCAAGGCTTCAGTGGATGAAGGAATTGCAGATGAAGTAAAAAGATCAAGAGAACTAGAATTAGAAGTGAAACCTGAAGATGTGAATGAATTTTTTCAATTTCATGATCAAACTTGAATGGATAAGGAGTTGCTTCTTATGCATAAGTGCAGAAAAAATGGTTTCTTGAGTTTAAAACCACTCCTCATGAAGATTCTTTGAACATTGTTAAAATGACAATGAATTTAGAATATTACATATACTTAGTTGATAAAGAAGTTCTACTGTGGGTAAAATGTTATTAAGCAGCATAGCATGCTAAAAACAATTATTTTTGAAAGCAAGAGTCAATCAATGCTATAAACTTCATGGTTGTCTTATTTTAACAAATTGCTACAGTCATCCCAACCTGAATCAACCAGCACCCTGATCAGTCAACAACCATCAAACATTAAGGCAAGACCCTTCACTGGCAAAAACATTAAGTCTCAGATGCTCATTAGCATTTTGTAGCAAGAAAGCTTTTCTTAATTAAGTTATGTACATTTTTAAGATATAATGCTATAGCACTCAATAAACTTCAGTATAGTCTAAATATAACTTTTATATGCACCGGGAAACCAAAAAATTCATGTGGCTCACTTTATTGCAGTAGTCTATAACCAAATCTACAAAGCTTGAAGGTATGCCTCTAGCTTTACATTTTGATGGGGCACATAGTTAAATTACTTGGAATCAGTTGAGTCTTTTTAAGGCTTGGTTTAAAGTTTCTTAGGTTGGGCCCAGAGCATAATTTAGTCTAGGGCTAATTTAGCCACGTTGTTAAGGCTGTTCTGAGAATTGTGCCTGATTCTCTGTGTATTATGAAAATTTTCCACTGGTGGTGGACACACAAACTCCTCCCAGCTCTCTATGAGCTCTGGAAATAGATTACTCCTTTCCCGTGGTTATTTCTCTGGCCCTTATATCTTTTTCTCAAATGTGTATAAATGAATATGCAGCCAATGACGTGGGATTCCTCTGCCTATATCTGTACCTCTCTCTCTCTCTCTCTCAAGCTCTCTCCTGTTAGACACATAGGACTCTCTGAATTATGATTCCTCTCTCTCTTCAGCAAGAATGTCTGGGTCAGTTGGTCCTGTGCCTGTTCTGTGTCCTCGAAATTGCAGATAATAAAGAAGCTGGTACAATTTTATGGATCTCATTTCTTTCTGTGAGGGATCAGAGTCCTGAGCCCCCTGTGGTCAAATGTATGTAAACCATTGTATTATTTAATACATTTTTCAAATTGTTAATTTTTTTCAAATTTTAAAAATTGTTCAGTGGGACAATGTTGCTCAATTATGTCTGGAAACAAAAGTTTTCTATTTGGGATATTTTATAATTTTCATTTTCAAGTGAGTAATATTTTTCTGAAGCTTAATGTATATTAAGCTTAATGTGTATTATAATGCAATTACATATGATTTTTATCTGGAGCCTATGTGTTTTGTTTTATTAAAGAGGAAAACATATTTTTGGAAGAATTTAGAGGAATACTATTTTAATAATTTTTTTAAATGTTTGTACATATTTTAGTCTTTTGAGTAGTTCTCACACCAGTAAGAATAACCTATTTTTATGGACTGAAAGTTTTGCCCTTTCCACACACACCCCAAATTTATATGTTGAAGCTCTAACCCGCAATGTGATGATAATCGCAGATGGGGATTTGGAAAGTAATTAGGGTTAGACGAGGTCATGAGGCTGGGGCCTTCGTGATGAAATTAGTGTCTTTAAAAGAAGAGCTACAGGGAGCTTGCTCTCTCTCTCTCTCCGCCCACACAAATACAAAGAAGAGGTCATGTGAGGACAAAACAGGAAGGCAGCCTCCTACAAACCAAGAGAAAAACCCTCAGAATGAAGCCCACCTTGTTGGCACCATAATCTTGAACTTCTTCGTTTCCAGAAATGTGAGAAATATATTTCTGTTGGTTAAGCTATCTAGCCTGTGGTATTTTATTACAGCAGCCCACAATGACTAAGACCACTGTAATACCAACATTTCTGTAAAAAAAGATTAAAATTCATTTTTTTCTCTCATGAACATGTACATTTTAAAGATAAAATGCTATATCATGGGCATGTTAGAAATGAGATGAGCACACAAATTACTCCTGCCAAATGTGTGTGAGAGTGTGTCTTTAGATGAGTAGTGTGTGTGTGTGTGTGTGTGTGTGTGTGTGTGTGTTTAGATGAGAATTTATCTTTTCCTAAACAAAGAGAAGCTGATTTCTGGGTTTGCCATTTTTTAGCAGAAAATATTGATGAAGTGAGTTGAACAGTTTGGCTATCTGGATCATACCTTGGCATTTCACACACCAACTGCAGGATCATATACAAGTTACTTTTAGTCTCTTATCTGTTAAATTGATATAATAATAGTTTTTATCATACAAGATTGTTTTGAATATTTAAATGAAAACAGTCATCTAAAATACTTATAACAATGACACATGCTAATTTATCAGAAATTTTAGCAACTATTTTTATCACTAGCAACAATGCTACCTTGAGCAAGTGTCACTTAACCTCTCCAAATTTATTTTTTATCTCTAAAATAAAAATAAGGATTCTCACATTGAAAAATTAATATAGAAAACAGATAATGTGTGTGAACTACTGAACACAATTTGATTTTGAGTATGTTAATAAATGTTATTTAATTTTTATTAAATATTGATAACTAGTTCTGTGTCCGGAATTGGTTCCTTCCGGTGGGTTCTTGGTCTCACTGACTTCAAGAATGAAGCCACGAACCCTTGTGGTGAGTGTTACAGTTCTTAAAGATGGTGTGTCTGGAGTTTGTTCCTTCAGATGTTCAGATGTGTCCAGAGTTTCTTCCTTCAGGTGGGTTCATGGTCTCGCTTGTCTTCAGGAGTAAAGCCGCAGACCTTCGCAGTGACTGTTACAGCTCTTAAAGGTGGTGCATCCAGAGTTGTTTGTTCCTCCGGGTGGGTTCATGATCTCACTGACTTCAGGAGTGAAGCCACAGCCCTTCACAGTGAGTGTTAACAGCTCATAAAGGTGGTGTGGACCCAAAGAGTGAGCAGCAGCAAGATTTATGGTGAAGAACGAAAGAACAAAGCTTCCACAGCATGGAAGGGGACCCGAGCAGATTGCCACTGCTGGCTCTGTTGGCCAGCTTTTATTCCTTTATTTGGCTCCACCCACGTCCTGCTGATTGGTCCATTTTACAGAGTGCTGATTGGTGCATTTTTACAGAGTGCTGATTAGTGCATTTACAAACTTTTAGCTAGACACAGAGTGCTGATTCGTGCATTTTTACAGAGTGCTGATTGGTGTGTTTACCAACCTTTAGCTAGACAGAAAAGTTCTCCAAGCCCCCACTCGACCCAGGAAGTCCAGCTGGCTTCACCTCTCAATCCCTCCTCTAAACAGGACACCCCCAACTGCCGTTGGGAATTGGGCGATGACCACTCTGGCTAATTCCTGCTGGATAGGGGCAAAGAAGGGGCCCTGCAGTTGTAGTGTCCTCCAGAGGGGAACTCTTTAGGCCAGTGAAAGGGCCAGCAGGTCGATCCAGGGGTCCTTGGTAGAAGTTGTTAGTTGAGCACATGTGGGGTTCCATTTGTAAGACCATCTGTAGCTTGATGGCCTCGATCCTGGAGGAAACAAATTTGACAAAAAGATTAAAAATAGAAGGCCCAAAGGCGAGTAATAGCACGATGGCTCTCATGGGACCTAGAAAGGGGAAAAGCCATGTCTCCCAACTCCAGAGGTTGGGATAAGAGTTTGAAAGGTGTTGTTTGATTTCAGAAGCCTTTTCCTGTAAATGCCAGGCAGCATCTCATACTATCCCTGAATGGTTAGCGTAAAAACAACACTCTTCCCCTAAGAAGGTGCAGAGTCCTCCTTTCTCAGCAGTGAGGTCTAGGCCTCAGTGGTTTTGTAGAGTCACTGCTGCAAAAGAATCTATTTGGGATTGAAGAGTAAGGATAGATATCATTATTTCTTGCAAACTGTCTGAGAAATCCTTTGAGAGTGTGTGGTAGTAGGATAATGAAATAGATAAACCTGCTATTCTGGTTTCTGTAGCAGTAGCCATTCCTAAACCTATAAGTAGGGGTATTAGTTGAATGGCCTTGTGCTGATGGACTTGAGCTTTGAGGGGCACAGATAGGGTCTGATTTCCATAAGATTAGAAGTTAGGATAATGCATGCTACACTGTTAAGTTTTTTAAGCAAACTTTACTTTTATTGAAAACTTTGTAAGTTTGGGATTTCAATTATTCTTTGCTATTAATAAGACCTCGTTTAGTCCATATTAACTTAGAATTTGTATAGATGACGAGTTAGTGGGTGCAGCGCACCAGCATGGCACATGTATACATATGTAACTAACCTGCATAAGGTGCACATGTACCCTAAAACTTAAAGTATAATAATAAAAAAAATTAAAAATAAAATAAAATAAAGGATTTGTATAGATGGCTCCTTCCTTATTCTGTAAGTACTTTAAGATTTGGCTGAGTGCAAACAACTTCCAGGTTTGAGCAGACCAATTATTATGTAATTTTCCTAACTCTGCTTCTACAAGAGTTTCCTTATCACTTACTGGATACCCATTGTGTCTTTTTCCCTTAATCACCTAGGAGGAACTATCTATCATGCTGTCCTGAAGGGAGTTCCTCCTAGATCTGGTCAGACCTTTGTATGGTAATTAATTAAGATTTAGATCCCCTTTTAGAAAACCTGCTGGGTTAAGGATTTTTGATAGGAAGCCTATGGGTTGTCAGTGGCCTCAGTGCTTTCGAGAGCTATGCCCTTGTTTACACTGACAACAAGGTGGTATTGGAGCGTTACAGGGTTACAGAGAAGACCTTCAATTATCAATTATAGGTTTTAAATTTACTCTGGCTTTTAAAGGAATAGGGCACACTGCTTTTTCTTTTCTACTTCCATCCCTCTTTCTTTCTCTTTGACTTCTTTGTCTCTCTCTTTCTGTCTCCCTCTTTGTCTCTTCCTCTCTTTGACTTTCTGTCTCTCTCTTTCTCTCTCTGTCTCTGATTCCCTCTTTGTCTGTGTCTCTTCCTCTCTCTCTCTCTCTCTGACTTTCTGTCTCTTTCTCTCTTTCCTTTCTGCTGGTCTTTCCCTGCCTCTGCCAGTCACTTCTGCTGCTGTTCTCCCCTCTCCCCCTTTTTGATGGCTTCAGCAGTGTAAGACTGCCACCTCCTTGGGTTTTTGCACTGCATGCAATAACTCCATGATTTCCTTGTGCTATTTAATGGGGGTTCCCCCAGAGGTTAGAAACTCCCTTTTTTTCCATATTGCAGCATGGGTATGTAGGATTAGATAATCATACTTACTATCTGTAGCAAAGTCTCCCAATTACAACTGAGGAGGTGGGAGAAATACCTAGTTACATGTTGTCCCAGGATTCCTCGGATGGTAGCAGACCTTGAGGACAGCTGTCTGGGACAGGAGATTAACACTGGGAAAGCCACGCCAGTGTCCAGCAGGAAGTCAATTTCCTGACCCTCAATGGTTAAATGTACCTAGGGCTCCGTGAGGGTGATAACACGAGCTGGCGCTTGCCCCAGTCACCCTCAGTCCTGTTGTTGGATCATCTGGTTGGGGGCTTTTGGCTCAGAGAACTTTTGCCCACTGGGGCAGTGTGCCTTCCAGTGATTACCTCAGCATATTGGACATGGGCAAGGGGGCAGCTTGTTTCTTGTTGGACAATCTTTTTTAAAGTGTCCCTGTAAACCATACTGATAACAAGCCCTACTGAGTGATTGGCCTGCTCCATTTTCTGTCCTTTCTGAACCACCAAGGTTTGTTTGTCTGAGGGTCATGACTAAGGCTGTGGCCTTTCTCTGATCTTGCTTTGCTTATTTCCTTATAGGCAGGGGAGATTAGAAGAGGCTTATCATTAATAGGAAGGGGAGCTATAGGGATGCTAGGATATGGGGGTAAGCTGAAAGGTCCTCCTGTGGGATGTAAATTGCAAGCTTTGCATAGTTGTATATTCTCCTTCAATGAAAAGAAGCTTGGACATAAGGTATTTCACTCCATTTGCCTTGCCTCTTACAGAAAAGGTCAAGCTGCAGGATAGTATTGTAATTTACACTTCCCTCAGGTAGCCATTTTTTCCCATCAGAGAGAGAACACTGGGGCCAAGCCATAACACAGAAAAAAATGAGCTGCCTCTTTTTCAGGCTTTTGTGGGTCAAATTGGTCCCAGTGGCTTAGGATGCATTTCAAGGGTGAGCCTGAGTGTTTCCCCTCTGAAAGACAAAACCGCTCACAGTTTTGGTTTGTTTGTTTCCCCCACTGCCGCCCAAGAACCTGCAATAGTCCCTGGACCCTGCTGATCAGAATAGTTGCACTCACTGATGCAGCAGCTGAAAGACTAGTTTTCCTCCTAGACCACAAGGAGGACCGAGGAAGGTCGGATTTAGTGGCCATTACCGACTCATCCTCGAAAACCTGCACCTTTGCCTGTCCTCCTAGACCACAAAGAGGACTGAGAAAAATTGGATTTAGTGGCCCTTACCAACACATTCTCGAAAACCTGTTAGAGTCCTAAGAGTTCTCCTGTTAGTATTAGAAACTTACCACTGTCCTATAAAGATGTTATGCCCCAAAAATGAAGTGGAGGGCCATACCCTGAGGGAGGGAAGGGATCTCCAGAGTTGGAAGAGTGATGCCTTTTGTCCTCACTTATATGAATAGGAAAGATACCATTTCTGAAGCTCCCCATATGCTAGCTTCAGGAATAGCTTTTGTTAGGGCTGCTAGTCTGAGGAGGGATCCTAAAATTCCAGATAGTCCCCTGCCCCAGTGGGGCTTTGGGCAAAAATTATGTCTTTCTGATTGGTGAGCCCGGGTGCCTAAAGAAGGTAACAGAGTCCTAAAGTTTATACTAAAAGTCATTCTTACAGAAGAAATTAGAAAAGCACCAGACACAGGGGGTGGTTTTTAGAAACGGGACTAGCCTCAGAGAAGAGAGGCAAGAGGAAGTTTGTCTGACAGGCATTAGGACCCAGGAGGCAAGGGTCAGGATAGATAGGGTAGATGGGCGAGTCTTGCTTAGGCAACATGACTTTGAGAGTTCTGTTCATGGCTGCAGGGTCAACTGGCTTGCTGTCAGGACCCCATAGCTGAAAGGCTTTCCTCTCTGTCAACCCTCGGCTCAGCCCAGAAGTACAGGAAAAGCAGAAGCTGGTTCCAGGCAAACCAACACTCCCAACTCTGAAGAGTCAGGGGTTGTTACAGAGCCCTTTCCCAGAAAGCCTGACACCTGTGTCTTTAGTCTGGTGGCTGTGCTAGTCACTTTCAACTGGCTGACAGGTGCCCAGTATTTAGCCCCCAAATTCTAAGGAAAAATAGGACAGAATAGCAAGCGAAAGGGGTCTGATGGTACTCACTGCTTGGCAATTGTCCCTTGGTCGTCGCCAAAATGTGTCTGGAATTTGTTCCTTCCAGTGGGCTTGTGGTCTCGCTTGACTTCAGGAGTGAAGCCGCAGACCATTGCAATGAACGTTGCAGCTCTTAAAGGTGGTGCGTCCGGAGTTATTTGTTCCTCCTGGTGGGTTCGTGGTCTCACTGACTTCAGGAGTGAAGCCACAGACCTTCACAATGAGCATTACAGCTCTTAAAGTTGGTGCGTCCAGAGTTGTTTGTTCCTCCCGGTGGGGGTTCGTGGTCTCGCTGACTTCAGGAGTGAAGCCACAGATCTTCACAGTGAGTGTTACAGCTCATAAAGGTAGTGCAGGCACAAAGAGTGAGCAGCAGCAAGATTTATGGTGAAGAGCAAAAGAACAAAGCTTCCACAGCGCAGAAGGGGACCTGAGCAGGTTGCCACTGCTTGCTCGGGTCACCAGCTTTTATTCCCTTATTTGGCCCCACCCACGTACTGCTAACTGGTCCATTTTACAGAGCACTGATTGGTCCATTTTACAGAGTGCTGATTGGTGCATTTTTACAGAGTGCTGATTGGTGCATTTACAAACTTTTAGCTAGACACAGAGCACTGATTGGTGCGTTTTTACAGAGTGCTGATTGGTGCATTTACAAACCTTTAGCTAGACAGAAAAGTTCTCCAAGTCCCGACTCAACCCAGGAAGTCCAGCTGGCTTCATCTCTCAGTTCTATTTTTGATATTTCAGAATTAACTGTATTGTTCCCCAAAATGTTCTCATTAAAAATTTTTTAATGTGTGTATGTGTGTATGTTTATAAAACTGTGTGTGTAACATTTTTCATTAGTTGCAACATTTTTCCTTAGGAATGTATCATTTCTTATTTTCTTAGAGATTCAATACAAAAATCAACTTTATTTAAATATACTGTTTTTTTTTTTTAGCCTGGTGAGAAAACTAGTAATAAATAGCAATCTTATTTAAAAATCACGGAGGTAGGCCAGCCGGAGTTGTTCTGTAGTTTCAATGTATCAGAAGTCTTTGTTGAACAACTGCATGAGTTCACACTAGACCAAAAAGCATATACAGATTACATCAAAGTTGTAGTCCTTCTTAGCAGCAGAATCATTCAGATAGAATGTAAAGAAAAACAGACTATTTCAAATGGCAATTATTCTTGTTTAAATTAAAACAGGTGGAGATTTTTCCAGTATCAATCTTAGTTAATGGAGGGCTGTTCAGCCAAAATGATAAACTACCGTTACTTCTAATAACAGAAATAATCACAATTCTAAGTTCAACCACCTGGACCAAGAATAGCAATCATATATTGGTTTTCTAAATTTTAATACTTCATTAAATTTAGTGTTTTGAAATTGTTTAGAGTTTCCTTGTCAAACTAATGTAGAGTAAACCAGTACATCCGTCAGATATGACAATTCTTCTAGGAGCATTACCTATTTTATATTAAATTTTTTTTGAGAAAATTGTAGATTCACATTAAGTAGGAATAAACAATACAGAAAGATTCCATCTACCTTTTATTCAGTTTCCCCCAATGCTAGCATCTTGTAAGACTGTAGTATAATATCACAATACCAGAGGTGATACAGTCAAATGCAGAAAGTTTTCATTGGAACAAGAATCCCTCAATTTGCTCTTTTAGAGTGACATTCACTTCCTTCCCACCTTTATTCAGTTCTTGAGCCCTGTCAACCAGTAATGTGTTCTCCATTTCTATAACTTTGTCACATCAAACATCATATAAATGGAAGCATATAGTGCTCGCCTTTAGGGATGGATAGTTTTAATTCCACATAATTCTCTGGAGATTCATCCAGGTTGTTGCATTGATCAACAGTTTATTCCTTTTTATCAGTAAGTAGTGGAAGTAACACAGTTTGTTTAACCATTCCTCCACTGAAGCACATCTGGGTTATTTACATGTTTGGCCTATTACAAATAAAGCTGCTATAAACATTCATGTGCAGGTGCTGTGTGGACATAAGTTTTTATTTTTCTGGGACAAGTGCCCAGGAATGCAATTGCAGGGTCATATGGTAGTGATGTTTTTTGTTTTGTAAAAATCTGAGAAACTGTTTCTGGAGTGGCTTTATCATTTCACACTCCCACCAGCACTGTATGAGTGACCTGGTTCTTCTGCTTTCTGGACAGCAATTGGTATTTTTCACTGTTTTTTTGTTTGTTTATTTTAGCTATTGTGATATATGAATAGTATTTACCTATTGCAATTTTAGTTTGCATTTCCCTAATGACTATTGATGCTGAACACCTTTTAATAAGCTTCTTTGCCATCTGCACATCCTCTCTTGGTGAAATACATGTTTATGTCTTGCCTGTTTCCCTAGTGGACTGTTTGAATTTATACAGCTGAGTTTTTAGAGTCCTAACATATTCTAGATACAATTCCTTTCTCAGATATGTGTTTTGCAAATATTTTTATCTCTCTCTGTAGCTTATTTTTTCATTCCGGAAGCAGGGTCTTCCAAAACTTCAAAAGTTTGGATGAGGTCCAATTCATCAATTAGTTTTATTTTATGTATTATACTTTGGTGTCAAGTTTAAGAATTCTTTCCTCAAACCTTGATTTCCAAGATTTTCTCTTATGTATTTTCTGAGTTATATAGTTTTGTACTTTATGTTTAAAATTATTTTATCCATTTTGAGTTAATTTTTGCTTAAGTGTGGGACTTTTAAAATTGCCTATGGATGTCTATCTACTACAGCACCATTTGTTGGAAAGGTTGTCTTCATTAAATTTCTGTTTCATGTTTGTCATAAATTAGTAAGGTGTATGTGGGTGGATCTATCACTCCACCACTGCTAAACAGTCTTGATTGCTGGACTTATATAATCAATCTTCAAATCAGGTACACTGATTTTTTTCCACTGTATTCTTTATCAAAATTGTTTTAGTTTTCAACTTTGTTTGCCTTTCTGTATTAATTTTAAAATAATCCTGTACATCAGTTTTTCTGTTACTATTTGGGGTATTCTATAAATGTCAATTAGATCTTTCTGGTTGATGGTGTTAAGTGTTTCTATATTCTTCTTAATTTTCTGTCTAGTTGTTCTATCGGTAGTTGAGAGAGCAGTGTTGAAGTGTCCGAATATAATTGTGGATTTTAGAAACATCATTTTTAATGTTTAACGAAAACTTCATGTATAATATGGAAGAGTATGAAACATTTGGTTTTAATGTGGTTTTCCTTATATATACATAATCAGTTACTAGCTCACTTTAACTTGCTTCATAGATAACAAGAGAATTAGATAAAATAATCAGTCATTGGAAGAGTATAAACGTTGTTTCAGCCTGTAAGTAATCATGATGACCCTTGTAGAATAAAATTACATCACCTACTCTTTTGGCTTGAACTACTAAAAAAAAAAGAAAAGTGTGCCCTCCCACTCTCTTCAGCCCAGTCTACTTTTTGCATATAAACTTTAGAAAAAATTAACAAAACCGTATGAGATCTTGTTTTATGTATATATTTTTCATTATACTTTAAGTTCTAGGGTACATGTGCACAACATGCAGGTTTGTTACATATGTATACATGTGCCATGTTGGTGTGATGCACCCATTAACTCGTCGTTTCCATTAGGTATATCTCCTAACGCTATCCCTCTCCACTCCCCCCACCCCACAACAGGCCCCAGTGTGTGATGTTCCCCTTCCTGTGTCCATGTGTTCTCATTATTCAATTCCCACCTATGAGTGAGAACATGCAGTGTTTGGTTTTTTGTCCTTGTGATAGTTTGCTGAGAATGATGTTTTCCACCTTCATCCATGTCCCTACAAAGGGCATGAACTCATCATTTTTTATGGCTGCATAGTATTCCATGGTGTATATGTGCCACATTTTCTTAATCCAGTCTATCGTTGTTGGACATTTGGGTTGGTTCCAAGTCTTTGCTATTGTGAATAGTGCCACAATAAACATACATGTGCATGTGTCTTTATAGCAGCATGATTTATAATCCTTTGGGTATATACCCAGTAATGGGATGGCTGGGTCAAATGGTATTATTTCTAGTTCTAGATCCCTGAGGATTCGCCACACTGTCTTCCACAATGGTTGAACTAGTTTACAGTCCCACCAGCAGTGTTAAAGTGTTCCTGAGCATCAATACAAAGTCCTGACAGAGGAATTGAGGTTGTCAAACATGCTTATATTCCCATTAGTTTCCTTTTAACAGAATAATAATGAATGCTGAATCCAAACCTTTTGAATGATAAGTAGATTATCAAGACATAAACTAATGTTAATCGTGGAATTTTTTTAGAATAGTGATAAATTTAAAAGATAATTAAGATTGGAGGGATATTTAGGAAATGAAAATGAGAGTACTGACATCATAAACTGTTTTAATGTTTGTGGTGTCTAGAAAATGCATGGCACTTCATCTTTTAAAGGGCACTTTAATAATTTTTCTAAATCAATGCATGTAAGAGTTAGGTGTTCTCTTCAAGTTCATCTTAATTTTATTGAAGAAGAAACAGGCTCAGATATGACAGATGAATTGGCCTGGCTTTTCAAATTTTAAGTAAGTTGACTTTTGATTACAGATTCAGAACTCATTCAATTGGACAACATCTGACTCCTAGAGACAGACTTCAGAAACTCTGTAGAAACCCAAACCAAAACTAGCAAGTGAAAATGTAGCTTCTCTTCTTTATGCCTTCCATATTCTCACATTCTGCCAGTGTTCCACTTTTTATATTATACTTATTTGTTTTTGATTCCTGGTTTGCTTCAATTTTAAGATAAAGATAATAGTAATAAAAAATGGCCGGGCGCGGTGGCTCACGCCTGTAATCCCAGCACTTTGGGAGGCCGAGGCGGGCGGATCACGAGGTCAGGAGATCGAGACCATCCCGGCTAAAACGGTGAAACCCCGTCTCTACTAAAAATACAAATCAAAAAAAAAAAAAAAAAAAAAAAAAAAAAAAAAAAAAAAAAAAAAAAAAGAAAAAAGAATAGTAATAAAAAATGTACTATGAGTATGAATCATTAAATACAGGATTGAAAAGCCTTATGTAAATATAGTTGCTCTTCAAATAATCTTTAAATATTTGTGACCATCTACTGTCATAAAGGGACCAAGGAATTGTTGTAATATAACTGATTTACTGTGATTTAAGTGTGTAATTGAGTAACAAATGTTCTAAAATATGACTGACAGATTTTTTCAGAATAAACTCTGTGTTGTTCATTTTGTTATAGTCAATTAAATTTAAATGTATTAAAAGCGGTTTACCTGATATTAAACTCTAAACTCTATGTTCTGGAAAATAGACTTCAAAAAACTTCATATGGTGGTCAATTACAGATGTTACAAATAAACTAGACTAATGGGATACATTTAAATGCAAAATACAAAGCTAAGTCATCTAAATTCTGACAATAATTAATAAAAAATTGAATTTTTTTATGTTTTTAAATTTCAATAGGATAATTAAACATTCTGATAATAATTTTTTAAAAGGAGCACTTTCTTTGCTCCTCCCATAAAATCTTAAATTTTAATAAAAAATAATAAAATTAAATTAACTTTAACATGATAATTATCTATTTCTTCCTTTGGTTTTCCATCATAGCAGTTGGAGATCAGCCATTATTATTTCATTTAATTACTTCTCAATCAAGAGACTCAGTGTTAACATCAATGCTTTCTTAACTAGGACAAAATTTTTCTTTCATTTGTTTATATTTGAGAAAAAATTAAATAAATAAAAATATGCTTATTAATTTACACCAGGGAAATTAGCCTTTAATGACAAATGCTGTGTTATTGAACATTTAGACATTTCATGACACATCCATATACAAACCATTCAATCAAGAGTACAGAAACAATTTTAAAACCAGACAAATGCTTTTAAATATAACTCTCTGTAATCAGAATGTAGATATTTTTTAACAGAGTTTTCTTTTCTTTCTTTCTTTCTTTTATTTTTTTTTTAAAGAGACAGTCTCACTCTATTACCCAGGGTAGAGTGCAGTGGCTTTATCATAGTTCACTGCAGCTTCAAAGGCCTGGGTATAAGCGATCCTCCCACCTCAGCTTTCCTAGTAGCTGGAACTACAGGCATATGCCACCACTCCTGGATACATTTTAAAACATATTTGGTAGAAGCAGGGTCTTGTTACATTTTTCAGGCTGGTCTTGAACTCCTGGCCTCAAGAGATTCTTCTGCCTTGGCCTCCCAAATCTTAGGATTACAGGCATGAGCCACTGCATCTGGCTAAATTGAGTTTCCAAACTCAATTGGATATCAAAATTTCATCCCTTCATTTCCCATTTTGTAGAAAGATGTTGACTATGTATCTCTTAATAGTTAATTGGTTAAATTATTTATGGAATATCTACATAAAAGAATGCTTTGCAGATTTTAATAATTGGAAGAGATTTCCTGTGTTAATGTTATTGAGGTGAAAATAGCAAAACAACATGTATGAGTGATGCAATTTTAGTTTATATACATCTACATTTTTTTTCAATCTACTTACAAGTTTATTATCTATCTACAAGTAATGTGTGCAAAGGAAAAAACAACACCCATATGATATGAAGGGAGTTATACCAAAATGCTAACAATGGTTATCCAGGGGTGAAGGATGTGGTTGTACAAGTCTGTGCAAAGAAGCTGAAAGGGAATATGATTTATTATTTCATTTAGTTAAGTGAAATTGGAATACTTTTTTAGCTTTATTGATACATAATTAATATGCGTAAAGTACATATCTTTAATGGGTACATTTTGATGGGTTGGACATATGTATAAACCCATGCTACCATTACTGCAATAAAAATACTAAATATATTCATTGCCTCCCAAAATTTCCTTTTGTGTTTGTATGTGTGAACATTTTGTGATAAGAAGGCTTAATATGAGATCTCTCCTTTTGACATATTTAACATGCACAGTACTGTATTCCTAACTATGTGTACTGTGTTCTAGAGCAGCTAGAGCTTTTTCATATTGCATGGCTGAAAATTTACACCTGAGCAACAATTCTCCATTTTCTCCTTTTCCCAGTCCCTGGCTATTACCATTCTATTTTCCCCTTCTATGAATTTGATGATTGTAAATATCTAATATAAGTGAAATGGAGTATTTGTCCTTCTGTGACTGGCACATTTCCCTTAGCATAGTCTTCTCTAGGGTCATCCATATTGTCACAAGTAGGATTTCTTTCATTTTAAGGCTGAATAACATTTCATTGTATGTATTTACTACACTTTTAAAAATCCATTTATATGTTGATAGACTTGCAGGTTGCTTCTGTATCTTGTCTATGGTGAATCATGCTACAATGAATGTAGAAGTGCAGAATCTTTTCAAGATTCTAATTTCAATCCCTTTGACCATATACCAAGAAGTGAGAATGCTAAATCATATGGCAGTTCTATTAATATAGCAGTTCTATTAATTTTTAAAGAACCTCCATATCTTTTCCGTAGTGGCAACACCACTCTATATTATCACCAACAGTGTATAAGGGTTGCAATTTCTCTGCATTTTTGCCAACACTCAGCATTTTTTAAAATAATAGCCATCCTAACAGAGATGAGTGATATGTCATTTTAGTTTTTATTTGCATTTCTATGATATAATTAAAGATCCTCTTTTTATATGTGAATTGGCTATTTCTATGTCTTCTTTACAGAAATGTCTATTTGAGTACTTTATAGTTAGCAGGCATTATTTTATATTCAGAAATTTTTATTTTAGGAAAAGATGAAATACAGGATATTTATTGTAGCTTTCTGGGCATTAGTCTCAATCCTAATGCCTATAATCCTGGTGTTAGAATCAACTCTGTTTTTAAATGTTGAAAACATCTGGAAACCATCATGGTGCTCTTTTTTATTATTATAAATAATATTAAACTATACATTATCCTGAGTGCAATATGAAATAGAGGAGTCAAAACCACATGGAATTAATATTTATTGTTTGTTTTCAAAGGTGTATCAGGGGAACCCTAAGACAGCAGAGAAGGGAACTCTTTAGGATGAAGGTAAATTACTTACAACACAACAAAATCAAGTATGATTTTCTCTGAGGGAATTGTGGAAAAGAGATAGGATTAAGGAAGTTTGAGGATTTGCTCTTCTCAAAGGCGACTCACCACGTTTAGTTGGCAGGGTACCCAGCAGAGTGATACATTTTCACTAATGTGTATAGAGGAAAGATGGAAGAACCCCAATCAGTGCAACTGATGGATGTCTTTTCTTTTTCTTTCTTTTGTTTTTTTTTTAACTTAAGAGCTCTGCCCACAAATTTTACTTACAATCTGGAAGACATTTCTAAGCATTGGATTTGTAGAAAGACATAGAGGTTTAATACAGAAGCTTGTTAATTAAGATTATCATTTTGTTTTTTTCCTAGATTCCATGACAATAGTTTTTCCTCACTGGTACATGACTATAGAATATATGGGCTTTCTCCTCAATGACTTGACCCTGGATTTCTATAGGCTCTAACTAGAGCTCTTGATTCCTTCTATTTCCCTCGTCTCTTGATAATATTGACATTATCCTCCTCTAAACCCCAGTACACTCCAAACCCTAATGCAAAGTGTGAAATAAGCAGAATTTCTCTTAAGTGCCTAGTTTTGCAACTCAGCATTTCTTCCCCTTGGCCTCTCCAAACTCTTTAACTGTAGAATTTTATCCCCCAAATTCTATACCATATCTTACTAAACGGCGAAAGGAGGCCCACAGTTGGTTGGCAGGTTTGGTTTGGTTTGGTTTGGTTTGGTTTTCATGGAAAGTATTCCTTTTTTCTTTTCTTTTCTCCTTTATTTTTGTTTTCTTAGTTGAATCAATATTTAAAAAACACCATATTCTGCATTTAAAAAGTTCTCTGAATTGGGTAAAAATAAGTGAGCAATAAAATGGGAAATGTGTCATCACTGGTCCCAGATTTTGAACTAGCAATAATTGCATGATGCTGAGTAGAAATGATTCCCTTTATGTGGACAAGCTCAACGGAGTCCCCATTACTCTCTCTTGTCTAGCATCCATCCATTGTGTGCATATGTGTAAGTATTTGGTACTTAAAAAAATTTAATTTTGTGACACTTTGCCATATTTCCACCCACTTTTCAAAACATTCCTTTTTCAAAAATAGTAAGGGACTCAGAAAAAGGACAACATCTTGATTCTTCTGTTTGTATTCTTCTCCTAGATCACATGTTTAGGCTATAGGAAGAAACACTAAACTCTGTATATTTCAGATTCAATGAAGGTTATTAAGTTATGGACCTTTTATGAAGTCTATTGAGTTCTTGAAGTCAATCTTGTAAGAGACTATCTTCTGTGCATGTAAAGTGGTCAAAAAATCAAGTTTCCATTTACTGCCACTTCTTAAAGTCTGAAAACCAGAAAGTGAAATTTGAGGAGAGTTTCTTGGATTTTAACTTCTTTGCCTACCTGTTCTGTTAACTCATCTTTCCATACTAAAAATTATATCCCGCGCATTTGAACCCTTAAGTGTGCTCATATCTTTCTCTGCCTAACTCAGAAGAATAGATATACTTTCAAGTATATCTTCATGTTAAATAAAATCTAAGAGATCCATGATTTTGACTTATTTGGTAAACTTATACTTTTATATTCTTTAATTGGATTAGGTACCCTAGGAAATAACAGTTTCTTTTTGAAGTCAGCTTTTGATATAGAAATATTTAATGCATAAGTAGTAACTTTTCAAGTTGCATGAGTCAGTCACTGTTTAGATTTGAATTTCTATAACCTGTTCAGTTTTAGAAATTTCTTTTGCCTTTAATTGCTTTGCCTTGAGTGTGGCAGGCAACCTCAGTGAAGTCAATAACTTCTTATTGTAGAGCTGCATCTTAATGTAACCTTTTAAAAGACATTTTAATTGGTAGTTAAATTACAATTTTAAGTTAAATTATAGTATCGTTTGAAGTCATAGAAACAATTCAATTCAATTCATTTATAAATAACACAAGGCCAAGTCTATACAATGTAGTGACCTGAAAGTCATAATTTACCCCTAAACATGGTAACTGGACATTTTTAAATCAATTATAAAATGTGACTTTTTGTTTGTTTGTTTGTTTGAGATAGAGTTTCACTCTTGTCATCCAGGCTGGAGTGCAGTAGAATGATCTTAGCTCACTGCAACCTCTGCCTCCCAGGTTCTAGAGATTTTCTTGCCTCAGCCTCCTGAGTAGCTAGGATTACAGGTGTGCACCACCATGCCCAGTTATTTTTTGTATTTTTAGTAGAGACAGGGTTTCACCACGTTGGTCAGATGGCCCTCAAATTCCCGACCTCAAGTGATATGCCCACCTCAGCCTCCCAAAGTGCTAGGATTCAGATGTGAGACACCAGATGTGGCCCAAATTATAAATTGTGTCTTAATTTTTAAAGTATTCAACAATTTTAGAACTGTTAAAGTGTAGAAAACATCCATCTTAGAACTGAGTTCATGTGGAAATTTTTCACTCTCCATTTTATAGTGTATTTGTTACAATTGATGGTTTTGGAGACAGCTGGGGCACTGGCTTTTAATTCTGGCTCTATTTCTTTCCACCTGTGCTCTAGATATTTGCTTTCCTTGGGCTTAAATTGCCTCATTTTTAAAATAGAGGAGTAATAATATGTCTGAAGATTAACTAAAATAATATATTAAAGTAATTTTTATATTTAAATACTTTTATATTAAAAATATTCAGCACAGAGTAGGTTACAAACAAAAAATAATTATTGTATTTTTCAAACTTAATTTAAGATAAACTTTAAAAAATTAACTTGGTAATTAAAAAGTAAACATTTTCTATTAAAAGCTTTAAAGGACAATTTTTTCTTCTCAAAGATAAAGTTATAGCTTTCTGTAATCGTGACTACTAGTCACATATTGCCTCTGTCCAGTACAAGTTCTCCTGGAATCAGAATATTTATTTTAGGAAAAAAAGCAAAAACAGGGCATTGCCATTTCCAGAAGGATAAACTTGTGGTTATGTGATATGGTTTGGCTGTGTCCCTACCCAAATCTCATCTTAAATTGTAGTTCCCATAATCCCCACATGTGGTGGGAAGGACCCAGTGGGAGGTAATTAAATCACTGGGGGCAGTTTCCCTCATGCTAGTCTCATGATAGTAAATTCTCATGAGATCTGATGGTTTTGTAAGAAGCTTCCCCCTTTCCTCAACTCTAATTCTTCTCCTTCCTGCCACCATGTGAAGAATAACATGTTTGCTTCCCTTTCCACCATGATTGTAAGTTTCCTGTAGCCTCCCCAGCCATTTGGAATTGTGAATCAATTAAACCTCTTTCCTTTATAAATTAAGCAGTCTTGGATTCCTTTTCATAGCATTGTAAGAACAGATTAATACAGTAAATTGGTACCACAGAGAGTGGTCACTGCTGTAAAGATACCCAAAGATGTGGAAGCAACTTTGGAACTGGGTAACAGGCAGAGGTTGGAACAGTTTGGATGGCTCAGAAGAGGAAAATGTGGGAAAGTTTGGAACTTCCTAGAGATTTGTTGAATGACTTTGACCAAAATGCTGATAGTGATATGGACAATGATGTCCAGGCTGAGAGGGTCCCAGATAGAGATGAGAAACTTGTTGGAAACTGGAGTAAAGGTCACTCTTGCTATGCAAAGAGACTGGCAGCATTTTGTTCCTGCCGTAGAAGAGAGCTGTGGAACTTTGAACTTGAGAGAGATGACTTAGGGTATCTGGCAGAAGAAATTTCTAAGCAGCAAAGCATTCAAGAGGAGGCAGAACATAGAAGTTTGGAAATTTTGCAGCCAGAAAATGTGTCAGAAAAGAAAACTTCATTTTCTGGAAAGAAATTCAAGCCAGCTGAGGAAATTTGAATAAGTAACGAGGAGCCAAATGTTAATCACCAAGACAATGGGGAAAATGTCTCCAGGGCATGTAAGAGACATTTGCAGCATCCCTCCAATCACAGGCCCAGAGGACTAGGAGGCCTGGGCCAGGACCCCGCTGCTGTGTGTAGCCTTGAGACTGTGTCCCAGTCATCCCAGCCATGATAAAAGGGGCCAAGGTACATGGGACATGGAGTCAAAGGAGATCATTTTGGAACTTCAAGGTTTAATAACTGCCCTATTGGATTTTGGACTTGCATGGGGCCTATAGTCCCTTTGTTTTGGCCAATTTCTCCCATTTGAAATGGGTGTATTTGCCCAATTCCTGTAACCTCCTTGTATCTGGTAAGTAGCTAACTTGGTTTTGATTTTACAGGCTCATTGGCAGAAGGGACTTGCCTTGTCTCAGATGAGGCTTTGGACTTGGACTTGAGTTAATGCTGGAATGAGCTAAGACTTTGGGGGACTCTTGGAAAGGCATGATTGTGATTTGAAATGTGAGGACATGAGATTTGGGAGAGGCCAGAGGTGGAATTATATATTTTGGTTGTGTCCCCACCCAAATTTCATCTTGAATTATAGTTCCCATAATCCCCACATGTGGTAGGAGGGACCCTGTGGGAGATAGTTGAACCATGGGGGTAGTTTCCCCTATGCTATTCTCATAATAGTGAGTAAGTTATCATGAGATCTGATGGTTTTATAAAAGAATTCCCCCTCCACTCAGCTCTCATTCTTCACTGTCTGCCACCCTGTGAAGAGGTGCCTTTTGCCTTGATTATAAGTTTCCTGAAGCCTCCCCAGTCATATGGAAAATTACCCAATCTTGAGTATTTCTTTATAGCAGTGTAAGAACAGACTAATATATTATGCTAAAAGTTTCTTTTTAAAAATAAGACAAAAAATGATTTTAAGAATATTAAAGAAGGAGGACGAAGGGGAGGAAGAGAAAGGAGCCACTAAAATATCTTTATAATTCAAATCCTAAATTACAGTGCCAATTGCTTAATTTTATATCCTAACATGTTCGTCCATTTTTGTGCTACTATAAAGAAATACCTAAAGGCTGAGTAATTTATAAAAAAAAGAGGTTTAATTGGCTCATATTTCTGCCAACTATTCAAGCTTGGAACCAATATCTGCTAGCTCTTGGCAAAGGCCTCAGGAAGCTTACAATCATGGCAGAAGGTGAAGCAAGACCAGGCATAACACATGGCAAGAGCAGGAGCAAGAGAGGAAGGAGGGGGAGGCCCATAGTTGTGAACATCAGGTTTCATGTGAACTAACTCAGTGAGAACTTACTCATCACCCAGAAGGTAGTGCTAAACCATTCATGAAGGATTCACCCCTGGTCTTCCAGATCTCATGTTCTTCTCACATTTCAAGATGGAATTATGCCTTCACAATAGTGCCCCAAAGTCTTAGCTCATTCCAGCATTAACTCAAAATTCTAAGTTCTTAGTCCAAATATTATCTGGAGATGAGTTTCTTCTGCCTGTGAGACCAAATACAAGTTATTTACTCCCAAGATACAATGGTGGTAGCAGCATTGAGTGGACATTCTCATTCTAAAAGGGAGAATTTGGTCAAAAGAAACAGGTAACAGACCCCACAGAAGTCTGAAACTCAGTGAAGCAGACATTAAATCTTAAAGTTCTAAAATAATCTCCTTTGGCTCCATGTCTCATATACAGGCCACACTGATGCAAGGAATGGTCTCCCAAGGCCTTGGGCAGCTCAGTACCTGTGGCTCTGCAGGGTCCAGACCCTTTGGATGCTCTCATGGTTAAGAGTTGAATTCCTGTGGCTTTTCCAGGATCAAGGTGCAAACTACCCATAGCTCTACCATTTTGAAGTCGGGAGGGCAGCTGCCCCCTTCCCATAGCTACACTAGGCAGTGCCCTGGTGAATGCTCTGTTTGGGGGCTCCAACTCCATATTTCCTGTCTGCACCGCCCTAGAATAGTGGTTCTCTGTGAGGGCTCTGATCCTGTGGCAGGCTTCTACCTGGGTACCCAGGCTTTCTCATATATCCTCTGAAATCTAGAAGGAATCTACCCACACTCCTTTATGCTTGCATTCTGTGTGTTGGCAGACTTAACACCATGTGGAAGCCACCAAGACTTATAGCTTGCAACTTCCAGAATGGTGGCCTGTACTGCACATGAAGCCTTTTGAGCTGTGGCTTCATCTGGAGCAGCTGGGAGAAGGGAACAGTGTCCCAAGTCTTAGCAGGGCAACAGAACCAGGTCTTGGCCCCTGAAACCACTCTTTTCTTCTAGGCCTCTGGGCCTTTATTGGGAGGAGCTGTCTCCAAGATCTCTGAAATGGCTTCAAGGTCTTTTCCCATTGTTTTGGATATTAGCACTTGCTTCCCTTTTAGTTAAGCTAATCTCTCTAGCAAGTGGTTGCTCCACAGCCTGCTTGTAGTTCCCTACTGAAAATGTTTTTTCTTTCTGTGCCACATGGCCAGGCTACAAATTTTTCAAACTTTTATGCTCTTCCTTTTAATTATAAGTTCCAACTTTAAATCATTCCTTTGCTTCCACATTTGATTTAGGTTGTTTAAGGCAGCCACACCACTTCTTGAATGCTTTTGCTTAGAAATTTCTTCAACAGATACTCTAGGTAATCATCCTTAAGTTCAAACTTTCACAATTCTCCAGGATGTGGACACAATGCAGCCAATGTATTTGCTAAAGCATAACACAGGTGACTATTGCTCCAGTTCCCAGTAAGTTCCTCATTTCCATTTGAGACTTCATTAGCCTGGGCTTCACTGTCCATATTTCTCCCAGAATTTTGGTCACATCCACTTAACAAGTCTCTAAGAAGTTTCAAACTTACCCTCATATTCCTGTCTTCTTCTGACCCCTCCAGATTCTGCCCATAACATAGTTCCAAAACCACTTCCACAACATCAGATATCTTTATAGCAACAGCCCACTCATTGATACCAATTTTCTCTACTGGGACATTTTTGTTATTTTTGCATTGCTGTAAAGAAATACCTGAAGGCTGGGTAATCTATAAGAAAAATGGGTTTAATTGGCTCACAGTTCTGCAGGCTGCACAAGCAAGGCACCAGCATCTACTCAGCCTCTGGTGAATGCCTCAGGAAGCTTGCAATTATGGTGGAAGATCAATCCGGAGCAGGCACACCACATAGCAAGAGTGGTAACAAGAAAGGGAGACAGGAGAGGTCCCAGAATTGTAAATATCAGATCTTGTGTGAACTAAATGAGAATTCACTAATCACCAAGGGGATAGTGCTAAACCATTAATGAGGGAATTACCCTCATGATCCCATCATCTCCTACCAGGCCTACTTCCAACACTGGGAATCACATTTAATATGAATTTGGTTGGGACAAGCATCCAAATCAAATCATTTGGATTTTTTAGGTTTTCTTCCTAGGTATGTATAGTTAATTTACTAAAGAGCCAATAAATAAGGAGACTCTTGCCTGTTTATTCTGAGTACAGTATGACCCACTGAGTATGCAGATAAGTCATGATTGATGTATACCAACCAGACTTAACATACACATGAAGTAAGACTTAGGGTATTGTCTATGCTCAGCCAACATAATTTGAAACTGTAAATATAATTTGAAGCTATAATTAAATATTTGAATTCATTGTAATTTAAAATATATTTTAACATGTCAAAAGATTTAGGAGAACCACAGTGACTTGAATTGAATTGCTTGATGTAGACTAAATAGCAACAAATTTAATATGTAAAAAGCTTATCTAATACTACTAAATATGCATCTATTTATTCTGGCAACTTCATTAGGCCTAAAATAGAGCTAGGGTAAATCTTGGACAGCAATAAAGTCTTCTAAAATATAACACCTTGTTTTTTTGGAAGAATTGTGCTCATCAGCCTCTGCAAAAGATTTCAGGAATTGACAATGAAACTAAATTATTCTGAAAGTGAGGATTCTGTACAAAGACTGTATATTTCATATATTTAAGAGGACAAAGTCTAGACCTACCAACCTGATTTCAAATTCCAGTTCTATCTCTTCTTAGCTGTGGGTCCTTGAGCAGGTTATTCAATTTTCTGTGCCTCAATTTCCTCATTTAAAAAATAGGTGTAGTAGTCCTAATTCATATAGTTTTGGGGAAGACTAAATGAATATAAACTTTTTGAATCAGTGCTTGTCCATAGTAAGTACTATATGAACGTGAGCAACTATTGTAGGTTGTCTAACCACTTTGTTTACTCTCCCAAATACACATGCAGCTATAGAGTAATCTTCATGCAATTACTTCTTCAAAACTATCTGCTGGATAGCAAAACCCTTGCCATCACTCTTGACACGTCCTCATTTCTCAACTACATATCTAATGAATCATCAAGTTTTGTCAACAGTAATCTTAAAAATAGCAAACCCCTCAATATATCCCCTGCTTTTTATCTCCAAAACCATTCCTGTCCCAGACTTTATACCTGGACACCTTAACTCATTGTCAAATGTTCTCCCAGAATCCACACTTGTCCTTATCAGGTTTATTCTCTTCGCTGAAAAGTTACCTTTTCAAACTCCCATCATGCCATGGTCACCATTTACTACTCCACAATGACTTACTAATATCCTTATATTCAATAACCAAAATTCTTAAAATTATTTTTAATTGATGAGTAAAATTATATGTGTTTTTTGGTGTATAGCATGATGTTTTAATACATGTATACATTGCAGAATGGCTAAATCAAGCTACTAATCACATGCATTACCTCCATAACTTACTTTTTTTGTGATGTTATTGCTTAAAATTTATTGTTAGCAATTTTCAAGTATACCATTATAATATTATTAATGGTAGTCATCATGATATACAATATAACTTTTCAATATATTTTTTCTAACTAAAATTTTGTATCCTTTGACCAACAACACCTCCTTAACACCTTCTTTCCGCCAGCCTCTGGTGACCATCATTTTACTTTCTGTTTCTATGAGTCCAATATTCTTAGATTACACATGTAATTAAGATCACGCAGTATTGTCTTTCTGTGCCTAATTTATTTCACTTAACATAATGTTCACTGGGTTTATCCAAATTGTTACGGATGACAAGAGTTTCATTTTCTTTTTTAAGGCTGAATAGTTTTCCATTGTGTATACATACTGCATTTTCTTTACTCATCCACCAATGAACATTTAGGGTGAGTCCATAGATGGGCTGTTGTGAATAATGCTACAATGAATGTGGGAGTGAAGATGTATTTACAAGGTGAAAATTTCATTTGCTTTGAGTATATACCTAGTAGTGGGTTAGCTAAATCATATGGTAAGTTTCATATTTAATTTTATGAAGAACATCCATGATGTTTTCCATAATGGCTTTACTAATTTACATTCTCATTAACAGTGTAAGAGGGTTCCCTTTTTTCTGCATCTTCACCAATACTTGTTCTTTGACTTTTTGGTAAAAGCCATTCTAACAAGTGTGAGATGACATCTCAATATAGTTTTAATTTGCATGTCCCTGATAGTTAGTGATGCATTATTTTCCTATACCTGTTGGCCATTTGTATGTCTTATTTTGAGAAATGTCTATCAGTCTATTTGGACATTAATTTTTTTTTACTATTGAGTTGTTTTAGTTCCTTTTATATTTTGGTATTAACCTCTTTCATATATATGGTTTGCAAATATATTCTCCCATTTCATAAGTTGTATCTTTACTCTGTTGATGGTTCCCTTGGCTGTACAGAAGCTTTTTATTTCAATGTAATCCATTTGTCTATTTTTGAATTTGTTGCCTGTACTTTTGGAGTCATATCCTAAAAATCATTGCCCAGACCAATGTTGTAGAGCTTTTCTTATAGTAGTTTTACATTTTCAGATCTTATCTTTAAGTATTTAATCATTTTGAATTGATTTTTGTATGTGGTTTGAGATCAGGGTCTATTTTCGGTCCTCTGCACGTGGCTATTCAATTTTCTCAAAACAAACTGTCGAAGAAACTGTCCTTTCCCTATTATGTGTTCTTGACAGTTTTGTATAAAATTAATTGACCATGAATACATGGATTTATTTCTGGGCTCTCAATTCTGTTTCATTGGCCTATGTGTCTGTTTTTATGTAACTGATACATTGTTTTGATTACTATAGATTTGTGTTATATTTTGAAATCAGGTAGTATGATGTCTTCAGCTTTTTTATTTTGCTCAAGATTGCTTTGACTATTTGAAATCTTTTGTGGCTCTATACAAATCTCAGGACTTTTTTTTTTTCTATTTCTGTGAAAAATAACACTGGAGTTTTGATAGAGATTGCATTGAATCTGTAGATTAGTTTGAGATGTATAGACATTTTAATAACACTAATTATTCCAATCCATGAGCACAGGATAACATTTCATTTATTTGTATCATCTTCAATTTCTTTCATCACTGTTTTATAGCTTTTGGTGTATAGATATTTCACCTTCTTGCTTAAATTTATTCCTAAGCACCTTACTATTTCTTTGTAGCTATCATAAATAGGATTGCTTTTTTATTTTTTCTTCTGATATTTCATTGTTAGTGGGTAGAAACCCTACTGATTATTGTATGTTGATTTTGTATCCTTCAACCTTATTAAATTTGCTTAATAGTTCTAACAGTTTTTAGGTAGTCTTAAGGATTTTTTATGTATAAAATTATGTTGTCTGCAAACAGATAATTTAAATATTTCCTTTTTTGTTGAGATACTTTTTATATCTTTCTCTTGCCTAATTGCTCTGGCTAAATATGGGGTTGTCATATATGGCCCTTTTTGTTGTTTTGAGGTGCTTTCTTTCTATAACTAATTTTTGGAGCTTTTTTATCATAAAAGAATGTTGAATTTTATTGAATTCTCTTTGTGCATTCATTGATACGAACATGTGGTTTTTTCCTTCATTCTATTAATGTAATGCATCACATTTATGGATTTGAATATGTTGAACTATTCTTGCATCTAGGGATATATTTCACTGGATCATGATGAATTATTCTTTTAATGTGCTGTTGAATACTATTTGCCAGTATTTTGTGAAGGATTTTTGCATCTGTGTTCATCAGGATATTGGCCTGTAATTTTATTTTCATGTAGTATTCTTATCTGGATTTGCTATCAGGGCAATTCTGTCCACAAAAACAATGAGTTTGGAAGTGTTCTCACCTCTTCAATTTTCTTTGAAAAAGTTTGAGAAACATCGTTATTAGTCCTTTTTAAAATATTTAGTATAATTCAGCAGTGAATCCAATAAATCCTAGGCTTTACTTTGGTGAGAGACTTTTTATTATTGATGCAATCTGCTTGCTCATTATTGATCTGTTCAGATTTTCTATTTCTTTATGATTCCCTAGTATCGATAGGTTGTTGCTGTCTAGAATTCATCCATTTTCTAGGTTATCCAATTTATTGGCACTAATTGTTCATAGTAGTATCTTATGAGTAGTCTGTATTTCTGTGGAATCAGTAGCAACGTCTCCTCTTTCATTATTGATTTTATCTATTTGAGTCTTTCCTCTGTTTTTTTAAATTTATAAAGAATAGATATATTTCTTACAATTATAAAGGCTGGAAAGTCCACGGTTGAGGGGCCCACATCTAGTGAGGGTCTTCTTATGTGTCATCCCATGGCTGAAGGGCAAGAAAGTTTGGGAGAGCAAGACAGCATGAGGAGACTGAACTGGCTTTTATATCAAGCCCATTCTTGCAATAACTAATGCACTTCTGTGATACCGACATTAATCCATCTATGAATCATCTATGTTCTTTCCTGCCCCAGCTCATTTGCACATGCTGTTTCCCCTCTGGAATAAATTATTCTGCCTACCACCCATTTACCTTCATTAATTTTTCTTTCTTTCTTTCTCTCTCTCTCTCTCTTTCTTTCTTTCTTTCTTTCTTTCTTTCTTTCTTTCTTTCTTTCTTTCTTTCTTTCTTTCTTTCCTTTCTTTCTTTCATTTGTAGATACAAAAGTAATGTCGTTTAATATTTTTACAAGAGAGCATTTTAAGAAATTGACCATGACTTAATTTCCTCTTATTAGATCCCCACCTCTTAACACTGTTGCATCAGGGATTAAGTTTCTAACACATGAACTTTGGAGGACACAAGCAAACCATGGAATCCCACCCCTGGCCCTCTAACCAAAAGTTTGTTGATATTTTTTTCTTTAGAAAAAAATTATTGGATTTACTGACCATTTCTAATCTTTTTCTAGACTCTTTTTCATTTATTTCTGTTCTGATTTTTATTACCTCCTCCTCCTTTTTCTACTAACTTGGGTTTAGTTTGTTCTTCATTTTCTAGTTATTTAAGGTATAATGTTAGCTCATTTATTTGGGATGTTTCTTTCTTTGTTTTTCTTAGATGTAGGTGCTTATTGCTATAAATTTCCCTCTTGAAACTGCTTTGCATGCTTCCCCTCACTTGGTATGTTGTGTTTCCATTTTTGTTTATCTCAAGATACTTTTCAATTTCTTTTTAAGTTTCTTCATTGACCCATTGGTGTTTAGGAATATGTTGTTCAACTTCCAAATATTTGTGAATTTTCCAAAATTCCTCCTAACATTGATTTCTAGTTTTATATCATCTGGCTGGACAGGATTCTTATTATGATTTCAACCTTCTTAGATGTGTTAAGACTTGCTTTGCATTGTAACATATAATCTACCCTGGATAATAAACCATGTGCATTTGAGAAAATTGTGTGTTGTGCTGTTGTTGAATGGAATGTGTGTATATGTTTGTTAGGTCAGTTTGGTCTAAAGTGTAACTCAAGTGCGATTTTTCCTTATTGAATTTTTAGCTGAATACTTTATCCATTGTTGAAAGTGGGGTATTGAAATTTCCTACTAAATTTATACTGCAGTATATCTTTCTCTACAGATCTATTAATATTAGCTTTATATATTCAGGTGATATAATGTGTACATATGTATTTACAATTGTTATATCTTCTTGAAACATTGATCTGTTTATCATTATGGATTGACTTTTAAATCTCATTTTATAGTTTTTGACTTAGTGTATTTTATCTAATGTGTCTATAGCTACTTCTGCTCTCTTTTGGTTTCCGTTCACATGGGATATCTTTTTTCATTTGTTCACTTTTCATCTATGTGTGTCCTTTAAGTGAGTCCATTGGAGAAAGTATATATAGTTGGGTCTCATTTCCTTTTATAGTCATTGAGCTACTTCATTCGTTTGATTGGTGAATTTAACCCATTTACATTCAAGGTAATTGTTAATAGGTAAGAGCTTATGATTGCCATTATGGTAGTTGTTTTCTGGTCATTTTTTATATCCTTTCTTTCTCTCAAGATGTCTTCCATTATTATTAGGTAATTTAATCTAGTGGTATGCTATAATTCCTGACTTTTTCTATTTTGTTTATCTACTACACTTATGGTTTTTGTAAACATGAAGCTTTCATAAATAATCTTACAGTTATAACAGGCTGGCTTAAGGTGATAGCAACTATGATTGCATAGAAAACTTTACACTTTTACTCCCCTTGCCAACATTTTATATTTTTGATGCCACAATTCACATTATTTTATATTGCATATTCTTTACAAATTATTATAACTATTATTTTTAATCATTTTGTTTTTTAACCTTCATATTATCGATATACATGATTTTTCACACCACTATTACATTATTAGAGTATTCTAAATTTGACTGTGTTACCATTGAGTTTTATATTTTTCATATATTTTTATGTTTCAAATTATTGACTTTTTCTTTTAGTTTGAAGAAATTAATTTAGCAGTTCCCATAAGAGAGGTCTGGTGTGTTGAATTCTTCAGCATTTGTTAGTCTGGGACTTTCTTTATCTCTTCTTCATTTCTGAAGAACAGCTTTGCTGGATACAGTCTTTTTTGCCGGCTTTTTCCTTCAGCATTTTTAACATATGCTACTGTCTTCTGGCCTTTAAAGTTCTGCTGAGAAATTCATTGCTAGTCTTATTGAAACTCCCTTATACATTTTTTGCTTTTTTTGCTGCATTCAGGATACTCTGCTTTTTTTTTTTTTTTTGACAGCTTGATCATAATAAGTCTTGGTGTAGTCTTCCTTGTTTGAATATGATTGGAGACCTTTGACTTTCCTGTATCTGAAAACATGTATATTTTTCCCTCTGATTTGTAAAGTCTTCTGCTGTTATTTCTTTAAATAAGCTTTCTTCACCTTTGTCACTTTCTTCTACTTCTTAAACCCCTACAATTTTATAGTTTGCTCTTTTGACACTGTCCTGTAAGTCCTGTAAGTTTTCTTCACTCTTTTTCATTCTTTCATTTTATTCTTCTGACTGTACTTTCAAATAACTTGCCTTTGAGTTCACAGATTCTTTCTTCTGCTTGATCAATTTTGTGATTGATACTCTTCACTGCATTTTTTAAAAAAATATTTCTTCCATATTTTCAGTTCCAAAACTTATCTTTTTAAAAATAATTTCAGCCGGGCATGGTGGCTCATGCTTGTAATCCCAGCACTTTGAGAGGCCAAGGTGGGTGGATCAATTGAGGCCAGGAGTTCGAGACCAGCCTGGCCAACATGGTGAAACCCCATCTCTATTATAAATACAAAAATTAGCCAGGCATGGTGGCACACACCTGTAATCTCAGCTACTAGGGAGGCTGAGGCAGGAGAATAACTTGAACCTGGGAGGCTGAGGTTGCAGTGAGCCAAGTTTGCACCACTGCACTCCAGCCTGGGTGACAGAGTGAGACTCTATCTAAAAAAAGTAATTAATTAGTTAAATTAAAAATAACAATAATTCCATTCTCTTAGTTAAATTTACGGACATATATTGCTTTTCTAATTTTTTGAACATTTCTCTATTTTTTCAGGTTTGCTGAGCTTCTTTGAAATAATTATTTTGAATTCTTTGTCAAACAGTTTGTATATTTCCATTTCTTTGGGGTCAGCTACTGAAAAATTCTGTGGGCTTTTTCGTAGTGTTATATCACCTTTGATTTTTGTTGTTGTTGTTTCTTGTTACCTTTTGTTGATTTGTGCATATATGATGGGACAATCACTTCTTCCAGGCTTTCTCCAAAGCCTATCTTCTATGGAGGTTATAATGAAGCATGAGGGCACTTTCTGGGTAAAGTGCAGTGTTTCTGGCACAAGTAGGGGATTTGTTCTGTAGTTTCTGTGCAGCTATTTTAGCTGATATCAATGTGAATAAAAATTGCAGGGTTCCTCAGTGACCAATGCTGTGGGTGTCTGCAGTGACAATGGCTAAGTTCTTCCTAATCTCTTTTTCTCCCACTGAAAACATTGTGGCTGAAGGAATCCTTATGGCACTAGGTCTGGTTTGCAGGGCTGCTTAGGGTGGCAGTGGTACCAGTGTCTAATTAGTGGTACCTGTGGAATGGCCACAGAGCTAAACTCTCAGCATGAGCATGTGTGGAGGAACTACAGCTTTAGGACTGGGGGCAGTAATGGCTTTTATATCCAGCGTGTAGTCACTTCTATTAACATGCTTGTAACAGCATGTGAGACAGTTGCTTGTGGAGTAGGTGAGGAGCTGAAAATGGAAGCATGGGCCTTCGCATAGTTACACTGGCTCCAGGGGCAGGGCAGTGGTTACCTCTCTATGGCAGCTGAGCCAGTGCTCAGGATGTAGGCACATACAGTGAGATCTTGTCTTTAGGGCTTGGAGTTCAACTAGCTCACTCTCACAATAAGTCTGATGTCTGAGACAGGAGCAGTTCCAGTCAGCCACAGAGCCTGGGTCTGGAGTATGGTCATTTATGGAGTAGCCACAGCTCCAAGGTTGGGGCATACAAGGAGCTGGGAATGGTTGTGGCTCATTTTTCAAAGTGGCTCAACAGTGACTGCTTTTGGACAAAGGAGGGGTGTGGAGCCACATCTCCCTGTTTGGTGTTCCTAGTGAGAATGGTTATTTTTTACCACAGTGGCAAAAGATGTCACTGTTCTCTGTATAGAAGGCCACTGAGACCATAGTAGTTTCTGCTGTTTGGCTCATACCAATAGCCTCTACCTTTCTCCTTTGCTGCTAGCTATCTCCTGGCATCTGAGGTATGCCAGTCTCACCAGTGATTTTTTTTTTCTGTGTGGATATTCTCCATTTTTTAATTTGCTTCACTGTGTTACTATAGATTCTTTATTGAGCCATTGAGTCCTCTTTGGGCTATTTTGGTTTGTGAATAGCCATTTATCTCTATATTTTTTTTCTTTTTGGAGGAGGATTAGGGCTGGTAACCCTTAATCTGCCATCTTAGTAATATCATTCCTCAACGTCTGAATCTTTGATGCTGCCTGAGAGGCCCTGCATGAGTGGCCACTGCATTATATTCCTCTCAAACCTTTCTTTCTCTAGCTCTTTCTTCTTCAACTACTCTGCACTTTTAGCACTTCAAATCATCTGCGTTCTCTCCTGCCCCAGCTCATTTGCACATGCTGTTTCCCCTCAGGAATGAATTCTTCTGTCTGCCACCCATCTTACCTTCATTTATTTCTTGTTATTTATTTACTTACCCATTTTTAGATAGAAAAATAATGTTGCTTAATATTTTTACAAGATAGTAATTTAAGAACTTGACCATGGCATCCAAGATGGATAAGGGAGAACACTGACTGACAGAGGAAAGAGTACGAATCAAAGGCCTGAAGATTCTTATTTCATCTAAAAACTGTTACCATAAAGATACTTGAACTTATGAGCTGACATAATAAGGGATTTTGGTCAGTATGTGGCCTATTTAAGTTAGTGACTT
This sequence comes from Homo sapiens, assembly GCF_000001405.40. Classification (NCBI taxonomy): domain Eukaryota; kingdom Metazoa; phylum Chordata; class Mammalia; order Primates; family Hominidae; genus Homo; species Homo sapiens. The sequence continues at coordinate 90,472,449 of NC_000012.12, forward strand.
TGGGATAGATCCTGCCTGGTGATTTTCAGGTTCAGAATGTAATTATGGATCAGATACATAATTGGAGCTGGTAGGTCATTGGCAGTGAGAAGTTAATACTTGAGAAATCTAGAAATTAGATGGGTGATTTGATGATAAACTTTATGTGTCAACTTGACTAGGCCACGGTACCCAGATATTTGGGCAAACACTAACCTAAATATCCTTACCTTCATCAAATTATCCATGTTACAGATATCAGGACAAGCGGTCCTCAATAGCCTTCCTGATTCAGCCAAAGCTAGTCATTACATTTACTTTAAACAATCCTGTTCCTGACCTCCTTAACACTTGGATTAGGTTGTAAATTGCTATTTGTTAATTCAATAATTAATTAATATCTTTCCCTTTAGTGCAGATTCTTTGAAAATAAGGGTTTTTTGTTTTGTTTTGTTTTTCTCACTATTTTATTCCTAAACTTTAGCATACATTGTAAACTGTAATGACGGGGTCAGTAAATATATAACTGCAATTGATTATCTTGGATTACACCATACTTGGAGTCATGAGACCTATATTCTTATTCAATAAATCTTATTATTTGATTCATGCTCTTTTCAGGAGGCATGAGTTCCAGGTATTTACTTATTGTGCCAAGTCAGGCAAGTTACTTTACTTTTCTTGAGGCCATTTTTTATTTTTGAAAAGGAAACTAACACTGCCAGCCTTTTATCCAGTTGTCATTGATATATAACACATTGGTGTATATAGAAGTTCTATATTAAAACATAGTGGTTTTATAGCATTTATGTTATCTACACAATTAAGACCTGGCTATGCCCTAGATTGTTCCAACTAGAGATAGCTCAATATTCATCAAATCTTGATGAAATTCTTTTAACTATTAATTTTTTGTAATACTTTTCTAAAATAGATTTTTGAAAATAGGCATATGCCTCTGGTATTTGCAAACTAGAGTAATAATACTGCTGTATGACAGAATTTGAGAGCTCAGAAGATATTATAGACATAAAATAGTGAAACATTTTAATGCATGCCAGCTAGGTATTTTTCTCAGTGGACATTGCTAGAATTAGAAGTTCATAGCTAATATCATATTGAGTGAAATGATCAATATGTAACCAATAATATTTTTATAAGCCTTTAGTTACACCATTTATTGGGCTCACCACATGTATCTGGCAATTGGCAAGTTAATACGCTGATCTAAATGTTACCATTTTTGTTTTGAACCTAATGTCCTATTCATTTAGCTGATGTCTAGGTTTTTGCTTGTTAGAATTTTGTTCTCAAGTCTTGTTATTTTTAGTAACATGTTGATGTTCCAACAACAACAACAACAAAAAAACCCATTAGATAATAGGAAAGCATAATTGTGAGCAGAGTGTATTATTCCATTAATTATTGATGGAGATGGATGCCAGTTCATTTAATAGCATTAACTAAAATGTTCTTTGCTTAAGATTTCTTAATTGGGATGGGATTTGTAATTTATATATTAAAATTTGTAAAAATGATATTGGTCTAAACAGATGATTTTCCTGGCATATTACACACATTGTGATTGCCAAATTCTGAATCATACAGATTAAAAGTCAGAACAGAAATTCGAAATCCAAAGAAAAATAAACTGAGTAGCATTATTTTATAGATAAACTCGAGATTTATGACATTGGGATGTTCACCAAGGGGAAAGAAAGGAAGAAAAAAGGAATCACAGATATTTTCCTGTAATGTCTTTGGAATGAGAAAATAATTAAAGTCTCACAAATTGAGTTCATTTGGCACCTGAAAAAAGCTGTCATTCACAGAAATAGCAAGAAAGAAAAGACTCATTCAACCAGAGGAACACATGAAATAGTTTCTTTCAGTTTTGCTAATTCACTTGAGGGTAATTATAGATCATTACTTGGAGAAAACACAAAACAATAATTGCAATAAAATTCAACTTCAAATAAAGGAATTTCAGAGAAAAGAAAAAAGAAAAAAAAAAACGCTTTGATTAAATACTAGCTAAATAAGTTATAATGGAATTTGGGAAATATATTTTTATGATAGACCCACATCTTATTCTGATCTCTATTCTCACTGTGTGCCACTTATATTATTTGCTCAACAAAGTTGTTATTTCTCTAGATGGAAAGGATTTGGAAGATAGTGAAAAGTATGAAGAAACCCTCTTATACTTCAGGTTCAAAGAAATAATTTTATCTAAGCAAATTTTAGGAGAAAATGAATGGGTTCTACATAACACTTATTAAAATTTATGTCAATTGCAAAGATAGACTGTGTCTGGGCTGTGGGCTATATTGTTTAAAATTTTAGGTTAAAAGCAAATGATATCTATAGAGCCTCTCCAGTTTTTCTCATATTGGTTTGATTTAATTTATGTTATTAGTTATGTATTTTACTTTGTCTTTTCTAGTAGCACTACAGGTTTATAATAATCAAATTCAGCTGGCACTTCTATTCTTTTGTCTGACTTTAACATGTACCTTCTCTGTTGTAAGGCTGTACCTCTTCTCTCCAAGCTTCCTGTTTAATGCCCAGCTTGTTCCCTTGCAAGCAGAAGATTTGCCTCCCATTTCATCAGGAGATCGTTTGGTCTCTTTAAACTTCATTCTCCCTCCATATAGAAGAATTTATGTCATACACATACTTAACATTTTGTTGTCCAAGCTCATAGAATAGTGGATTCAATTCCAGGCCAAATGTTATACTATACTTTGATAATATTCCTTTTCATATATTCCAAAATCTTACTTCATCCATTATATTGTTTGTTCTGAATCTCCAATATCTTACATTCTAAATGTTATTTCCCTTCAACAATGTTTAAAATTTCTTCCTGAAAACAATTTTTAAAAATTCTCTGTTCTTGAATCAGCATGTAGCTCTCTTAAAATTTTATTCCTGTCTTTCACATCCAACTTTTTCCACGCTATGAATAACTACACACAAATTCTACTTCCCAAGCTCCTATTTCCTTCTTGAACTACTGTTTCTGCTTTCTCCTCTTGCTGCATTACAGAATCTACACTCATTTATGATCTCCTAATTGCCAAATCCAATAGACATATACTGTACTGCCTTTGACATCATTGATTTTCCCCTTTCTGCTCAAAGTCCCCATGTTTGTTGACCCTCAAGACCTTGCATTCCTCATAGTTCTCTCTCTTTCCTTCCCCTGTGTATTTCTTTTCCGTTTTATTTTTCCTCTTTCATGGATTTTTTTCTTCTTCCTTTGTACATACTTTAAATATTTTTTGTTATGGTTCTGGCAACCATACATGTTTTTTTTTATATTTTTCTTTGGTTGTCTTATCAACTGCTATGGTTTTAATTATAAAAACATATATAAAATATGTATGCAGATGATTCTCAAGTTTCCATTGCTTGGCTTCTTTTTCCATGAATTTCAGACTTGGTTATTCATAGTCTAGTCGTTAAGAACTCAAAATCCTATGCTTTTCACTATGTCTTGTTGCCTTTCATGATGATTTCATGGTCAGAGAAATTCACCTTCATCATCATCTGTTAGATTATACAGACAACCTTCAAAAGATAGCCCAAGAGATGTAATTGATACAAAATATATCTGATATTTATGGAAACCCAGATAAGTTGGCATGCATATTAACTCTTTCATTATGAATCATATTTTTTAAGAATTATGGTAAAAAACACATAAAGAGATCTACCCTATTAAAATTTTTTAAGCGCACAGTACAGCATTGTTAACTATAAGTACAATGTTGTACAGTAGACCTCTAGAACTTTTTGTTCTGCATGACTGAAATTTTTTTGTATACTTTAAGTTCTAGGGTACATGTGCACAACGTGCAGGTTTGTTGCATATGTATACATGTGCCATGTTGGTGTGCTGCACCCATTAACTCTTCATTTACATTAGGTATATCTCCTAATGCTATGCCTCCCCACTCCCCCCACCCCATGACAGGCCCCAGTGTTTGATGTTTCCCACCCTGTGTCCAAGTGTTGTCATTGTTCAATTCCCACCTATGAGTGAGAACATGTGGTGTTAAGTTTTCTGTCCTTGCAATAGTTTGCTGAGAATGATGGTTTCCATCTTCATCCATGTCCCTACAAAGGACATTAACTCATCCTTTTTTATGGCTCCATAGTATTCCATGCTGTATATGTGCCACATTTACTTAATCCAGTCTATCATTGACAGCTATTTGGGTTGGTTCCAAGTCTTTGCTATTGTGAATAGTGCCACAATAAACATATGTGTGCATGTGTCTTTATAGCAGCATGATTTATATTCCTTTGCATATATACCCAGTAATGGGATGGATGGGTCAAATGGTATTTCTAGTTCTAGATCCTTGAGGAATCACCACACTGTCTTCCACAATGGTTGAACTAGTTTACAGTCCCACCAACTGTGTAAAAGTGTTCCTATTTCTCCACATCCTCTGCAGCACCTGTTGTTTCTTGACTTTTTAATGATCACCATTCTAACTGGTGTGAGATGGTATCTCATTGTGGCTTTGATTTGCATTTCTCTGACGGTCAGTGATGATGAACATTTCTTCATGTGTCTGTTGGCTGCATAAATGTCTTCTTTTGAGAAGTGTGCATGACTGAAATTCTATAGCTGTTGAATAGCACCTCCTATCATCCCCCTGCATCCCCTAGCAACCACCATTCTGCCTTCTGTTTCTATGAGTGTGACTACTTTAGATACCTCATATTAGTTAAATCATGCAGTATTTGCCCTTCTATGACTGGCTTATTTCCCTTAGCATACATAATGTTCTCCAAGTTCATCCACATTGTGGGATTTCCTTTTTTTAATGGCTGAATAATAGTCTATTGCATGCATGCGTGGGTGTGTATAAAACATTTTTATATCATATACATATGTATTTACATATATTTATAACATTATATATAATATATACATTGTATATATTATATATATTGTATATATTATATATATTTATAACATTATATATTATATATTATATATATTATATGATATATAATATATATAACATTACATATATATATATATATATATATAAAACATTTCTTTACCCATTCTTCTGTTGATGAACATCTAGTTGGTTTCCACATACTATTTCCACAGTAGCCAAAGGCTGCTGTGAATAATTCTGCAATGAACATGGGAGTGCAAATATCTCTTCAAGATCCTGATTTTAATTTTTTAGATGAATATCCATAAGTGGGATTGCTGGATCAAATAGTAGTTCTATTTTTAAGTTTTTGATGAACTGCCATGACATTTTTTAGAGTGGCTGCGACACTTTACATTTCCATTAACAGTGCACAAGGGTTCTGATTTCTTTATATACTTACCAACGCTTGTTATTTTCTGTATTTTTGTTTGTTTGTTTGATAATGGCTATCCTAAGTGGTGTGAGGTTATATGTGAATATGATTTTGATTTGCATTTTCCTCATGATTAGTGATGTCGAGCATGTTTTCATATACCTTTTGACCATTTAAATGTACTCTTTTATGAATCATGTATTAAACAGTGCATAATACTACAGAAAAATGTTTAATGAATAGTTAGTATGCATTCATATGCAAATTTGTACTATTATTCTACAACTATTAGTGAAGTTACAAATTTAGTGTCATTATATTAGCCCCATTCTAACTTATTTAAATTCTTTTCTTTTTTGGGGGGGGAATCATTGCTTGAAAATAGTTACTAATGGTATTATTATATAGAAAATGAAGAGTTTAATACGCCTGTAATCCCAGTACTTTGGGAGGCCGAGGTGGGCTGATCACGAGGTCAAGAGATAGAGACCATCCTGGCCAACATGGTGAAACCCTGTCTCTACTAAAAATACAAAAATTAGCCGGGTGTGGTGGCGCACACCTGTAGTCCCAGCTACTCGGGAGGCTGAGGCAGGAGAATTGCTTGAATCCAGGAAGCGGAGGTTGCGGTGAGCCGATATCACACCACTGCACTCCAGCCTGGCAACAGAGTGAGACTCCGTCTCAGGAAAAAAAAAAAAAAAGTTTAATTTTGCACATTGCTTAGGTAGTTGAAAAATCATATAGAGCATATCATGTGATCATACAATTCTTAGATTTTTAGAAGGAGTTGAGAGAATAAAATGATGTGAATAAAATTATTGTGCTGAAATCAACAAGGTCTATATTCGGACTTTGAGATAATGTTTAATTAAGTTGCTTATTTTAACAGAAAATATTCATTAAAGATAGTTTAAAGAATCGATATTTTAAACAAAGAAATTGGTCTTTGCCTTAACTCACTAATTCAAAAAGAATGAACTCTAAATTCTAAATGGAAACAATTAAATCTAACAAATAGCTAAAACAAAGCAAAGCTCTTGGTTGAAACATCAGCATTTCTGTTGGGAACTGGAAAAGTATTAAAAAATGTAATTAAATGAAAACCGATAAATGTGTCAGCCTAAGTCCCCATAGCAATATAGAAAATCAAGGGAGACAAAAGACACAGAATGGTATGAAAATTCTTATTGGTTCAAAGATGATAAAATGTCAAGTTACAACTTTAAAATGCAGGCAGACCAAATCTAACTAATTTTTAAGATGTTTTCAATGGTTAGACAGTATATGGCATTAATGTACCTTTATAACTACTCATTTATGCCTAAAGTATATACTATTGGCCCTTTCATATTCCTTCCCATCGGCAACATGCTTTATTCATCTAGGCATTTGTAGGCCAGAGGCATATGTACCAGCCAAACAAACTAACATCGTATCGTTGTTTTTGTACATATTCCGCCATGGTTTTACTCCTAGTATTTGTGTACTTTCAGACCTATACCTATGCATATTATACAGTAAAAAGTAGATCATTGAGGCAATAGTGTTTAGTGAAATAAGCGTGGGTTTTTTAATTAGTCAGAACTCAGGTTTAATATCAGTTATGCCACTTACTGGCTAGTTTACCTCTGAATCTCAGTTAACTCATACCTGGAATGGAATTAATCATTTTACTTTTAGGTTCCACTTACTAGCTAGTTTACCTCTGAGTCTCAGTTAACTCATACCTGGAATGGAATTAATCATTTTACTTTTAGGTTAGCTGCAAATAGTAAATGAGATAGCACATTAAATACTTTTTGTATTTTCTTTGCCCATGGTAGAGCTTAGTCATAATTAATTTTGTTGATAGTGTGTTACCATTTTATATCAATTATGACATTGTTAAAATGCCATAATTGAGGCAGCTCCAAAGCCTCCCTAAGACATACTTGACAAAAATATAAAATGCTAACACATTATCAACTAAATTAGTGTAATGTGTCCACCCTGTTTTCCATAATGGCTGAAACTAATTTACATTCTCACTGATGATGTACAAGAGTTTTCTTTTCTCTACATCATTGCCAAAATTGTTATCTTTCACCTTTCTGATAGAAGCCATTTTAACAGGTGTGAAGTGATATCTTGTTGAGGTTTTAATTTGCCTTTCTCTAATGATTAGTGATGCTGAAAATTTTTTAATGTACCTATTGGCCATGTGTATGTCTTCTTTTGAGAAATGTCTTTTCAGGTGCTTTCCTCATTTAAAAATCAGATTATTTGTTTTCTTGCTATTGATTTGAGTACCTCGTATTTGTTCTTCTTTGGGCAAATACAAATATAAACATTTACTTTTTTTTCAAATACTGTGACCTTGTTAAACAGGTTACTCCAATTTCTTTTCACTCCAGGTCTGCATAGTGATTTAACTCATTCTTTTTAAATGGTGCATAATATTCCATTTTATCGACATTTCTTAATTTAGGTAACTATTTCTCTATTCATAAACATTCCATTTAGGTATTTACTCTGAAGAAACATGGGTTATATATCTAAAATAATATAAAGGTAAGTGTGAAAGTCAAACACATAGGAATTTAGTCATAAGGGTGAACTAAAAAAAACCATGGCTCATTTATTTCCTGCAGACTCATACCTTTTAAGGTTATATTAAATATTAAATAAACTATTAAATAGAATATTATAATATGTAAAGCATTCATTACAATTTTATGACATGAGCAAAATTAACAGTTTATGTATTCTGTGTACTGTGTCTCCCAAGACAAAATATCTTGAAAGAATTTGAAAAAATACATTGTTGGCAAGAAGTGGCTGACATAGTAAAAGTTAAAATCTTCCAAATTATATTAATAATAAAATGGAAAGCTGGGCATGGTGGCTTATGCCTGTAATCCCAGCACTTTGGGAGGCCAAGGCGGGTGGATCACCTGAGGTCAGGAGTTCGAGACCAGCCTGGCCAAGACAGTGAAACCCCGTCTCTACTAAAACTACAAATATTACCCGAGCATGGTGGTGGGAACGTGTAATCCCAGCTACTTGGGAGACTGAGGCAGGAGAATCACTTCAGCCTGTGAGGTGGAGGTTGCAATGAGCTGAGATCATGCCACTGCACTCCAGCCTGGGTGGCAGAGAGAGACTCCCTCTAAAATAAATAAATAAATAAATAAATAAATAATTTTGGACCAGACTTATCAGGAAAAAGTATTGATAAGGCCTGAACACTATAAATGTTGATTTCCCATCACTAAATGCATAATAAGTTTGAGTTGACATGTCAATAGGTAAATAAACTCACTTAGAAAGTGACTCATCTAGAGGGTCCATGGTCATTGTCCTTACACTAAATCATAGCAAGTTTTAGCTGTGGCCAAATACTACTAAAGTTACTCTTCTACTTATGTACTCTTTTCTAAGTAAAACAAAAAGGAATTTTTACTGTATTTTTTTTTGTAGAAGTGGAGTGGGATAGGGAATTGTACAACAGCTCAAGCACAGACCAATTAATCAAAGCAATTACAAGGCACTTTGCTTCAATCAATAGAATAAAAAGAAGTGGGACAGCTTGTTGTATCAGTCTTTGCTTTTCTCATTTTATTTTTTATCTTCGTTTCTTAGCCTTGCCCATTCTTTTCCCATGCTGCAGGTCTTTTTTGTTTTCCTGTTTTTGTTTGCCTACTTAAGCTTACTTTTATCCAGGCGAACTCATGCATACCTGTCTGCATCTCACTATTTCTTTGATATATAGTGTTAGAGAATGGCTGACTCCAGAGGTGAGACAAGTTAAATTAGCAAGTGAATTGTCTGCTCCTGTGGCATGATGTATTTCTGGGAAAGTCCTCCAGGTGTCTGATCTGTGCACATATTCTGCAGTTGTGCCCTTTATACACACAGTCTGAAAGCATGCAATTTCAAACTAACATTTCTCTTGTAAAAGAATACATTCCCATTCATAACACTCATCCACCAATCAAAGTTATTTTCCTTCTGAGATCCACGAAAGTTCAAAAACTGTTTTGTCATGAGTCTGTCATTACTCTTAAAAATGCCATTGGATACACTGGTGGAAAGTATTTCAAATCAAATCATGGAATAATTCACATAAAATAGCAGCTGTTTTTGAGTCACTTCACAATACTATGTAATGGTCTTTGATAACATTCTAATTATTTGTTATGACTGCTTTGATGTAGCATTTATAGGAACACAAGTTATATTTTTAAAAGCCAGAAGGAAATTAAAAGTAAACAAAAGAATTGCACTCCTGACCAACTTCTTTGCCTTGAGGTTATTATAATTGGGCAGCTGCTAGATACTGCTAGATATTTTTTCATATTCTTTTAATTCCTTGTTTCTGGGTTCTTTATGGGACATGAACAAAATTACTAGAGTGTTTAAAATAACAAGATATAGAGTAAATGTCACTGTTTATTTCTTGGTAGAAATAAAATCAAACAGGCAAAGCAAAACAAATGCTAAGGCATATGAATTATGAAATTACCCTGCAACCCTTATTCCTTAAGTTTTATGAATTCATAATTTATTTTTCCTTAGGCACTGTCCTTGCTGAGTGGCTTTAATGTAAATGTCCTTTAATATGGGGACATAAGTGGGAAAAATAAAAGAAAATCCTAGTAATGGAAGAAATGTGCTCAACTATTTAGTTTCTTTTGCATCAAATCCTTATAAGTGAGAAACACAAAATACGGGAAGGAGGTCTCACAGTTCTTACAACTTGCATAGAGAAAACACACATAATGGAACAAATTGTTAATTAAAGAAGAAATGTATGGTTACTAATGGCTTGGGATGATACATGCCTAATACTATTCTGTTTCCTGTTACTACATATGGCTGAAGATAAAAGTTCTTTAAGATTGGATAATCATCCCATTAAACACACTTATTGAAGTGGGCTTAATGGACAGTTTTAGGCATCTCAGAGAAATGTAAAGTTATTTCTCCCTTGTCTAGTGAAACGGATTTAAAGATAAGGAAACTCTTCACTTATCTACATTAAGCAAAGAATCAGGACAGGAGAATGGAACTATCTCTAAGAAATCTGGAACTGTAATATTTCTACAGACAGACAAACCAAAGGGAGGGATTGTGATTTTCCCAAAGTTGGAGGTGGGGACATATTCCTGGGTCAGAATCACATGATTAGATGCACTAGTAACTAATCCAGGGCACAAGAGGAATGGGTAGAAGAAATACAGACAGGGAATTGCAGGGATAGGAAGAACAAACCCAAGGTGATCTCCCTGTTCTCTAAACACTCCTTCTAGAGTTTTCATACTTTTATTGTTGCTGTTTGTACTATAATACCTCTCCCCATTTTTCTTCATATTTTCTCTTGTGTCTGAAATGTCTCCCATCCTTGAAATGCTATGCCTTCAACACTCCCCCAGCAATATTGTAATTTTAGTAGTGTTAGGTTTTTGTTTTTGTTATTTGCAGGGGACTGTCTTGTGCATTGTAGAATTTTTAGCAGTATCCCTGACCTCTAACCACCAGACACCAGTAGTAACCTCCTGTCTGCCAAGTTGTGACAACCAAACCATCTCCATACATTGCCGAATGTCACCTAACTGTTGAGAATCACCGTTCTTTAGAATTTACTGCCTTTGGCTTTGATATGTAATTTAATATAAGCTGACATCAATTGAATTCTATAGATATTTATGGATCACTTCCTGAGCTAGTTGCTGGGGATGCAAAAAGAAATTATAAATAGTGAAATCTATTTTTAACACTGGAGGAGATTATGAAGTACTTTTGCATGTATATACTTAAAGTTTTTAAAGAAAAATAATAAAGATAACAGACATTTATTGAGCACTTCCTGTGCATTCAAATCTGCCCTAAATGTTTATACATGTACTAACTCATTTAATTGTTATAACAACTTAGAGGGCGAAACTGTTCATAGTTTATATTTATTGCCCTCCATTCTTTCAGCAGCTAATGCAGTGTTTTGTGTCTCAATGGATAATTTACTGCTTGATCTATGGGAAAAGAAGGGATTTATACTTAGAAATTCACTATTTTTTGGCTTCATGTATGTGTGCAAGTATTTTTCTAAAAAAAGAAAAAATTCTTCACCCTTTTCCCTTTCCTAAAGAATGGCAGCATTTAGCATCACCCTCACAAATATGTGATGGGCTATTTTTAACCTATTTTAAGTTTCTGGAAAGAAAAGCGCTTATCAAGAACACCTCATGCTTGTGCTTTTATCCAAACTGAGAAAGTTCTTTATTGGCAATAAAAAAAAAAGTTTCTGCAAACTTGAGTAGTTACAATATCCTCTCCAATTTCTTTCATCTGTCACATCAAATCAGATTTACTGCTTCTTACATTATGTGTATTTTCCAAAATAGGCATCTCATAACTTTGAAATGAAGAGTAAGGCACACATTTACAGATGTGCTTAGAATGTAGCCAAGATGTTAGCACTGTGAGAGCTGTAGAGACTGAGGCTGAAATGGAGGCAAGAGGTGTGGACGCAGTTCCAACTAGCTGCCAGCAGACCTGCTAGACCCAGAGCTGCTGCAGCCTTGAAGCCCTCTCTTATCTGTGCCTACTCAGTGGTCACAGAGAGATAACTGTGAAGTGGCAGCTGTACTGGGAGAGTGGACAGCTCATAAACCAAGTCAGCACTTTGACTCGTCTCTTTGTTAGTGTTTTGAGACAGGGAAATAAGCTGTGCAGTGTTAAAATGGGTCCTAATTTTAATTGTCTTGACATTTGCCTAGTAGATACCCTCTTGGGATGTAGGAGGATATTTCTTCCCTGAGCAAGACTGACCAAAATGTTCTTTCCAAAATGTATACATCAGTGTGTTGATCTTATTTATTTAGCAGGTATCACAGGTGATTCCCATAATAATTTTTAAAATATGGTAGAACTGTGTAACGAACCTTATGAGTAACTTCAGAACTATTTCATCTCTTCTCTAACTTACTCTTTACAGAAGACTATGTCAGAGTTAAGCCTTGGGGCCCAGTGCGGTGGCTCACACCTGTAATCCCAGCACTTTGGGAGGCCAAGGCGGGCAGATCACGAGGTCAGGAGATCGAGACCATCCTGGCTAACATGGTGAAACCCCGTCTCTACTAAAAATACAAAAAAAAATTAGCCGGCCATGGTGGCAGGCACCTGTGGTCCCAGCTACTGGGGAGGCTGAGGCAGGAGAATGGCGTGAACCCGGGAGGCAGAACTTGTAGTGAGCCGAGATCACGCCACTGCACTCCAGCCTGGGCAACAGAGCAAGCCTCTGTCTCAGAAAAAAAAAAAAAAAAAAAAAAAAAAAAAAAGAATATCTCAGAGGTAAGCCTTGAACGCCAAAACACTGATGCTATTAAGAGATTATATTATTTATGTGTGTGTATAAATGCAATATATGTGTGTAATATATTATCCATATATGTGTGTATAATATACATATTATATTGTATTATATATTGTATATTATTATATATTAATATATTATATATTAAAATTATCAAAGTAGCAGCATGCAACTTCAATGTAAAATTCATATATTTATGATGAAAAACTATTAGAAATTGAAAACATCTTTAAGCATAGGCCTGGAAATCAGGCTCGTCTGGTTTAGAATCCTCTTTTCACTTATGAATTCGCTATTATACTTACGTTTGTTTTGGTCTGAAGAGATAAAAGTAGAGGAAAAGAAAGCGCTTTGGGCATGATTACACACATTTAATACCTTGGCAACTGGTATTTCTGAATATTCACACAGCCTGCAGCCCCTCCTATCAAATAGAGAAGGAAGGCTGAAATGACAGAAAAGGGAAATTTTTTTTAGAAAGAAAAGGAAGAATGAAAAGAGCTAAAAGGACCTTTTTAATATGCTTTGAGTTGACACAAAGGAACAGAATGCATACCATAGAAACCAGAGGAAAATTTGTCACAGGATATTTGGATATCACATACTCCAGTTACCATGGAATTCATAGAAGGCAGCAAGGGACAGGGAATCTATGAAGGGATGTTCAACCTCATTAGGAATGGGGACAATTCACATCAAAGCCATAATGACATGACATTTCACATCCAGCTGACTGGCAGGAATGAAAATGTCTAACTTCTGATGGAACTGCATAGTGACATAACTGCTTTGGAGTACAATTTGGCAATATCTAATAAAGTTGAAGATGTATGTATTCTTCTCAGCAAGTCTATTCCTTCTTAAAAGTCCTAAAACAGTGTCTCTCAAGTTCAAATGTGCTTTTGAATCACCTGGGGATCTTGTTCCCATGTGGGTTCTGTTTACAAAGTCTTATTGAGGCCTGATGCTCTGCATATCTGATGTGGTCCCTGTTGACGCCAATGCTGCTAGTTCATGGACTGTGCACTGATTCACAAAATTTAGAGGAACTTTTGCTGTGTGTACAAGGAGATGTGTACAAGAAAGTTTATTGCAATACTAATTGTAATAACAAGAAGTTGTAATTACGCATGACCATATTTAACAAGGGTTTGAGAAAACATATGGGAATAATATACCACCAACTGCAGGATAGTGGTCATCTGTGGAGAATGAGAGAAAGGAATTAGATATAAAGGGATATGCAGGGGACTATAATTGTAGATTGTGTGTGTGTGTGTGTGTGTGTGTGTGTGTGTGTGTGTGTATGCATGTGTATTGTTTATGGTGTGTGTATGTCTGTGTGTATGTGTAATTAGCTGGATGGTAAATACATGGATTTTTGATATAGTTTTTTCTTCACCATATAGTATGCCTTAATATTATATATATATATATACACACATATTATACATATATACATATTACATATATACATATTATACATAATTGTATACATATATACACATATATATAATCTATATATGAAAGCAGAAAGAGCTTAATTCACCCAAAACAATGGTAGTGTGGTATTATAACATTCATTCTTAAATTTATAGTCTATTTTTTAAGCTTTCAGAGCTCTTTAGTACCTATTTTCTATAATCTTTATTTTAATTATGTAATGTAGGCAGATGAGAATATCTTTTTTAGAATCATTTTACGAATGAAGAATCTAAAGACTTTGTCCAAATTGACAGAGCTAATAATTCACAGAAAGGATTTTAATTGGAATTTACTTATCTATAGGTAAGTATATCACTCTCCATTTCCTTTCTTACCAATGATTATCTTCCAGTGATAATAAATATTGCTAAATCAATCAATTCCATAGTGCATCTATTAGATAAATACATTTTTAGGGAAAGAAAAGTGGAACTCCAAACACCAACTTCTCCTCCCTTCCTATTTTGTCATACTACAGTAGGCAGAGTCATAGAGTTCTTTGGTGTGAGAAGAATGTTTAGCCTCACACAGAATACATGTTGATAACTGGTTTTTTAAAAATTATTATTATACTTTAAGTTCTGGGGTACATGTGCAGAATGTGCAGGCTTGTTCCATAGGTATACACATGCCATGGTGGTTTGCTGCACCCATCAGCTCATCATCTACAATAGATATTTCTCCTAATGCTATCTGTCCCCTAGCCCCCCACCCCCGACAGGCCCCGGTGGGTGATGTTCCTCTCCTTGTGTCCATGTGTTCTCATTGTTCAACTCCCACTTATGACTGAGAACATGCAGTGTTTGGTTTTCTGTTCTTGTGTTAGTTTGCTGAGAATGATGGTTTCCAGCTTCATCCACGTCCCTGAAAAAGGCATGAACTCATCATTTTTCATGGCTGCATAGCATTCTATGGTGTATATGTGCCACATTTTCTTTATCCAGTCTATCATTGGTGGCCATTTAGGTTGGTTCCACGTCTTTGCTATTGTGAACAGTCCCACAATAAACATATGTGTGCATGTGTCTTTATAGTAGAATGATTTATAACCATTTTATGTTTAAAAATGCCAGATCTGGAAGTTGTAGCTCACTCCCGTAACACAATGGCCATGACTCTTGGTTTTTGAAGATCTAAAAATGTGTTTCAATACCAATATGTGGGTCTTTCATCATGTCAGAGTCCTTTCCCATGTACTAGCTTTATGGTACTCAGCAAGTTATCTCGACTTTCAGAGCTTCAGTTTCATCATCCATGACATAGGAATTGGAACGTCTATTAGTTTTAGGAACATGTAAAGGAACACTCTTAAGATAAAAATTTGTGTAGTGGTAGAAGGTAATTTTAACATAGTGAATAAAGAATAAGATGAAAAATGCTTCTCTTAGCCTACATTTAACATAGTTATTCAGGAGAGAATTAAAGCCCCAGGTAGAGTTGCTAAATCAACCCTGACTCAAGGTTTTTGTACAGATATGTACAATCATGGCATTTAAAAAATGCAATGACTTTTACCTACATTTAAATAATTTCACAAACCATGTGACCCTGTGCTATGATTGTAAGGAGCACACATTATTGAGTGTCCAAGGCAAAGTGGAATTAAATTCAGGAAAGAGAGTCTTTTTGTTGAACTGCTATTTCTTTGGATGGAATCTTATTCATTCTCTGTTAATATACTTAAGTGTTTGCAAAGGTTGGAGGGAAAAAAGAGTGCTTATATTGGAAAGAAATGTTTGCTGGCTGTTTCCACTGTAAATTTCTTTAAATGCATTTATCTAAGTGGATACAAAGTGGGGTCAAAGAATGGAAAGTCCTGTTTCATATTGTAGCTGTTAAAAACAACAACAAACAAACAAACAAAAACAGTAAATTTTTCCTGGAAGCAGAGGGAAAATTTGTTATGTGCCCCCCAAAAATGGTTTTTAGAATTTGTTTTGAATAATGAAAGTCTCCCAAGTAGAAGATCCCTTTTGTTTTTCTCTTCTTCCATACAGTTTATGCTCATTGTGAATTATCTGAACCAGACTCTGATAGTATAATCGGCTCCATAAAACAAAGCACATAGGTGAAATTCATCTCAGCATTCTCTCACCCATGAGAACAATACAATAGTTGGGTTTTATTCCCTGGTGCATGTCCTATCCAGAATGCTTTAGCAGGTTCATGAGTCTCTTCTGTATTCTTGACTTCACTTTTATTACTACCCTTCACCACAGAGGACTTCATGTCTTAGTGCACTCGATGGGCCAATTTCTTATAGAACTTGTGAAGAAGGTTGAGGAAATGGATTGCAAGAGCTCCATCCCTCTTTCCCATTGCAACATTGTTTCTATAAAATTTACAGTATCACCAGATCAGATTTAACTACCTAATGCAATTTCTTTAATGAAAAAGGTCAATTTAATATCATAATGTGTGTAACTCAAAGGAGAATGATATAAAAATTTGAGCTAACTTGGCTTTCTTAGTGTCCTAAGCAAGGCATCTATAGGTTGAAATTAATGGGAGGAACCAAAGGAATCCCACATAGAATCTTCTTTTATGCTTACTTGAGTCCCCTGCCATCAGCTCAACATAAATTCTCTAAGTATATTCTTCTTCAAGTTTCACTTTCTGAAAATTATTCGCAGCTACCACAAAAATTTTGCCACATTCCCAAACAGATATATTGATTCTCACAACATTTCTGTGGCTCACATTCAGTTTTATAGTGTGAGTCAGGGAACCTCAAGTTTCAGATGAAGGGAAAACAATAGGGGAAGATATACCTTAATGTCATTTTTAGTTTTCCCATTTGTGAGATGTATGTGCCTGTTGATTGCTTTAACCCAAGCATTCGTAAATGTTAGCATGGATCGTAGTCACCAGGGGTACTTGTTAAAAATACATTTTTCTAAGCCTAACCACAGAGTTTAAGATTCAGTAAGTAATATAGTTTGGCTGTGTCCCTGCCCAAATCTTATAATCTCATCTTGAATTCCCACATATTGTGGGAAGGACCTGATGGGAGGTAATTGAATTATCAGATCAGGTCTTTCCTGTGCTGATCTCATGATAGTGAATGAGTCTCATGAGATCTGATAGTTCGATAAGATGAAACCAGTTTTGATTGGCTCTCATTGTCTCTTTGCCTGCTGCTATTCATGTAAGACATGACTTCCTCCTCCTTGCTTTCCACCATGATTGTGAGGCTTCCTGAGCCATGTGGAACTGTAAGTCCAATTAAACCTCTTTCTTTTTTGAATTGCCCAGTCTTGGGTACATCTTTAAGGGCAGTGTGAAAACAGACTAATACAGTAAATTGGTACCAGTAGAGTGGGGCCCTGCTGAAAAGATACCTGAAAATATAGAAGTGACTTTGGAACTGGGTAACAGGCAGAAGTTGGAACAGTTTGGAGGGCTCAGAAGACAAGAAAATATGAGAAAGTTTGCAACTCCTAGAGACTTGTTGAATGGCTTTGCCAAAAATGCTGATAGTGATATAAACAATGAAATCCAGGCTGAGGTGTTCTCAGATAAACATGAGAAACTTGTTTGGAACTGGTGCAAAGGTGATTCTTGTTATGTTTTAGCAAAGAGACTGGCAGCATTTTGCCCCTGCCCTAGAGATTTGTGGAACTTTGAACTTGAGAGAGGATTTAGCATATCTGGTAGAAGAAATTTCTAAGCAGCAAAGCATTCAAGAGATGACTTAGGTGCTGTCAAAGGCATTCAGTTTTATAAGGGAAGCAAAGCATAACATTTTGAGAAATTTTCAGTCTGACAATGTGTTAGAAAAGAAAAACCAATTTTCTGAGAAATTCAAGCTGGCTGCATAAATTTGAGGAGCCAAATCTGAGTCCCCAAGACAATAGGGAAAATGTCTCCAGGGCATGTCAGAAGTCTTCATGGCAACCCCTCCCATCACAGGCCCAGAGGCCTAAGAGGAAAAAATGGTTACTTGTTCTAGGCCCAGGGTCCCCATGCTGTGTGCAGCCTGGGGACTTGATGCCCTGCATGCCAGCTGCTCCAGCTGTGGCTAAAAAGGGCACACATAGAGCTCAGTCTGTGGCTTCAGAGGGTATAATCCCCAAGCCTTGGCAGCTTCTATATGGTTATGAGCCTGTGAGTGCACAGAAGTCAAGAATTGGTGTTTGGGAACCTCTGTCTAAATTTCAGAGGATGTATGGAAATGCCTGAATGTCCAGGCAGAAGTTTGCTGCAGGGGTGGGGTCCTCATGGAGAACCTCTGCTAGGGTGGTGCAGAAAAGAAATGTGGGGTTGGAGCCCCCACAGAGAATCCCTACTGGGGCACATGTAAATCCATGTGTGAGGACTTAAACATGGAACTCTAAGTCCAATTAAACCTCTTTCTTTTGTAAATTGCCCAGAATTGGTTATGTCTTTATCAGCAGCATGAAAACTAATACAGTACATTGGTACCAGTGGAGTGGGGTGCTGCTGAAAAGATACCCAAAGATGTGGAGGCAACTTTGGAACTGGACAACAGGAACCTCTGCTAGGGCAGTGCAGAAGGGAAATGTGGGATCAGAGACCCCACACAGAGTCCCTACTGGGGCACCACCTAGTGGAGCAGTGAGAAGCGGGCCATCATCCTCCAGACCCCAGAATGGTAGATTGACTGATAGCTTGCGCCATGCACCTGGAAAAGCTGCAGACACTCAATGCCAGCCTGTGAAAGCAGCTGGGAGGGAGGCTATACCCCACAAAGCCACAGGGGCAGAGCTGCCCAAGACCATGGGAACCCACCTCTTGCCTCAGCATTACCTGGATGTGAGACATGGAGTCAAAGGAGATCATTTTGGAGCTTTGACTGCCCCACTGGATTTTGAACTTGGATGGGGCCTGTAACCCCTTTGTTTTGGCCAATTTCCCCCACTTGGAATGGCCGTATTTACTCAATGCCTCTATCCCCCATTGTATCTAGGAAGTAACTAACTTGCTTTTGATTTTATTGGTTCATAGGTGGAAGGGATTTGCCTTGTCTCGGATGAGACTTTGGATTATGGACTTTTGAGTTAATGCTGAAATGAATTAAGACTTTGGGGGACTGTTGAGAAGGCATGCTTGTTTTTGAAATTTGAGGACATGAGATTTGGGAGGGGTCAAGTGTGGAATGATATGGTTTAGCTGTGTCCCCACTCAAATCTCATTTTGAATTCCCACATGCTTTGGGAGGGACCCGGTGGGAGGTAATTGAATTATGGGGCAGGTCCTTCCTGCACTGATCCCATGATAGTGAATGAGTCTCACGAGATCTGATGGTTTGATAAGGAGAAACCCATTTTGCTTGGCTCTCATTCTCTCTTTGCCTGCTGCCATATTTCTCATCCTGTTCTCCTGATAATGAGTAAGTCTCATGAGATCTGATGGTTATTATTAGGGATAGTTTTCCTGCACAAGCTCTCTTTGCTTGCTGCCATCCATGTAAGACAGGATTTTCTCCTTTTCGCCTTTTGCCATGATTGTGAGGCTTCCCCAGCCATATGGAACTGTAACTCCAATTAAATCTGCTTTTATTTTTTTAATTCCCCATTTTTGGATATGTCTTTATCAGCAGTGTGAAAACTGACTAATACAGCTACTTTAATCTAAACTCATCTGCCAAGGGCCGTCTCTGTACTGGTTGAGAACTCACAGATTCTCAGGTTTGAAGTCTAATACCTCAACTTATTAGCGATGTCACATGGACCAACTCACTTACCTTTATGTACAAGGTAAGAGGAAATAATAGTATTTTCCATGGAGAATTATTGCAAGGATTAAATGAGATAATAGGTGTCAAGAACTGAGAACAACGGCTGGAACAATATTGTGTCAAACAACCTAGAGGTAAAATTTGATTCTCAAGAAACAGAGCACTCATCCTGCCCTTTGAAGTCAGTATGTTCCCATTTTCATGGATTTTTACCCATTCAACCATGAGGACTTTCATCTTTATAAAGTCCTTTATAAAGTCACTTTATAAAACTATAATACTGGTTTTATATTGGAAAAGATTTCAAGCTTACAAAGTATTACAGAGACTAATATGGAAAAGCATCATGAATGTAGGTTACATGCAGCTTCATCAGATCTTTGCATTTGGCCATATTTGTTCAGAGGGAAATTTTCTCCTAGTGTTTATCATTATCATGCATAATTTATCTATTACCATACATGTATAAATACATAAATATAATATTGCATTGGTTTGTCTGTTTTTACACCTTTATGTAAGTAGTATTATAACTAAATAATATGTATATATTCTCCAATTTGTTACTAACAACATACTGTTTTGATATTTATGGATGCCATTAGATATAATCATAAATTATAAAGACAATATAGATTATAAATAATTTATTAATTTTCACATTTCATAAAACAGACACAATTTCTTTGCTCTTTTATCGTTTATGGAATTTTACTTTTCCCAATTATTATAATAATGTTGCAATGATCATGCCTTATGCTTTCTTTCTCTCTGTCCGTGTATATTTAATAGGTGTGTATATGATATGTGTTTGTATGTACACATATGTATATATGTATGTATATGCAAAAGTTCCCTTTGTAAATATACATGCTCCTCTGGAAATTGTATATATCAGATTATACCAAATAGATGTATCAACTTATACCAGCAATCTATTAGAGCTTCCATTTCTTCATATTCTTGGCCACAAGTTGGTATTTTTGTACATTATTATTATTTTTTACCAATCAAATGGGTGTAAAGAGCAGTCTTCTTATTGTAACCTTTTCAGGTGAATGTGGCAGGAGAATTTCAAGTTATGTAATCCTTTTGCTCCTGGATTTAGAATTTATACTAATTACATTAATGGCTATTCTCTGGTTGAGAGAAAAGACATTCCCCTTGATTAAATGCATTTGATTTAAAGAATCCTTCTCATAGAAAGAGCCTAGACAGTGGATGGTATTTTTCTGATTGCTCCCACCACAAGTGGTTTAATATA
The DNA here is from genome assembly GCF_000001405.40 of Homo sapiens. Taxonomy (NCBI): domain Eukaryota; kingdom Metazoa; phylum Chordata; class Mammalia; order Primates; family Hominidae; genus Homo; species Homo sapiens. The sequence continues at coordinate 90,493,578 of NC_000012.12, forward strand.
TATCATAGAGTTGATCATCATAGCACACATACAAATAAAGAAGAGGTAGTCTCTATTATGCATAGCTAATAAACTTAAAGGTTGAGGGAATTTACAGAAGTTATCCATTGATTAAACTGAGCTAGCAAGTCAGCTAAGATGCTATTCATTTCCTAAGCACCAACGAGGAATTACGAACTATGCCTTTTCTTTTTTCTGGAGGGCACTTACTCCAGTTATCCACCTGGCTCAGTCACACATTTTCTCCAAGTCTTTGCTTAAATGTTCTCTTCTCATAAATCTTCCTTGACAACAATCTTCCCATATGTGTTTGTGTATGTATGTGTGTGCATTTGATAATGTACTCAAGGTTTTTAAATAAAATATTATATATCAACGTATATTTGCAAATATCATCAGAGCAAAATATAGTACATTTTTGAAATAAATAATATATTGTCATTTTGTTTATATTCATTTTAGTGGCCTTCAATTTGCAAATTCTTTTTATGCAAGCATTCTCTGGAATATTTCATTTTCTTCACAAGTTGGAATTAACATTAACAAAAGGATCAAAGGGTAGCTGTACACACAGATGTCATATCTTTTCAACTAGAATTTTGGTAACACAGAAAAAACAAAGATTATAACAAAAGGAATATAGTGACATATGACTAAAATCACTAAGCTTAAACTGTGCATAAGTAAAACCTGACTTGGTGTAAGGACTTAACCTATGGAGAATTCTGGAGCACTAAATAAGACTGAATGGTGCTTTTTGCAGACTTCAACATGAGGTCTTGGACAAATCAGCTAACTTCCAAAGAGTGCCCAGGTTAGTGAAGTACTAGGGGAAAAAGAAAAAAAAACTCAGAACAAAATATCTTCTAAGTCAATGTAGAGTACTACTAACCAGAAGGAAAGGAAAACATATACATTATGTGTGTGTGTGTGTGTGTGTGTGTGTTTTGTCTTAGAGGTACAAGAATACGATTTTCTTCTCTCATTGCATAGTTCAGAATGCTCCCATTTTGGTCTGAGAATTATTATTCTAACATTATGGTTTTTAATATTTTTCCTCTGGCTAATTACCTTGGTAGTCTTAAGGAAGCTCAGGTCCTATTTTGTATTCCTGGATGTATTGCCACATGAATAAAAGTTCTCATGCAGTGAAAAAAATGGTAACTAAAAAGGCCAGGCATGGTGCCTCACACCTATAATTCCAGCACTTTGGTTAAGGTGGGAGGATCACTTGAGGCCAGGAGTTCCAGACCAGCCTGGGCAACATCGCTAGACCCCATCTCTACTAAAAATAATAACAAAAACTTTGCCAGGTGTGGTGCATGCCTGTGGGCCCAGCTATTCTGGAGGCCAAGGTGGAAAGATCACTTGAACCCAGGAGGTCAAGGCTGCAGCGAACCATAATTGTGTCACTGCATTCCACCCTGGGTGACAGAGAGACCCTGTCTCAAAAATAAACAGATAAATAAATACAGACAAATTTTAAAAATTTTAAAAATAAATAAATATATAAAAATAAAAGGTGATTAAAAATGGATAGCACTATTTTCTTTCTTGTCACTGATTTTTCAAATTAAAGAAAAACGCAATCCATCCTTTCTGCTGTGGCAGGATCACAGACTCTCTGCTGCTGCCTTTCCATCAGTTTAATGTACTGAGGTACTAAACTGGGTAACGATAAGTCCCCATTACTACCACTTTGATTCTTCTGCATGCTTCTGAAAATTTTTCTCCTTAATTTCACAGTCTAACAACACCATCTAAATTTAGCACTTGGAAATTATTTTCCAGTTTATTTTCTGAAATACTTCTAATTTTCTACCCATAATACCTTCATAAAACTATTAATGCACCCCTTTTCTTCTGACATTGTCTCATGATACTTAGTTCTTAAGCTGAATATCTCTGCTTAATCATTTCATACATGTTTTAGCAAGTATCTATGGAGGGCCTAGGCAATGTGTTATGTATTAGGCTAACAATCAATTTTCCATCTGTACTTCTCTGTTCTGGTAAACAAAGTGACATGTTTCCTGAAAAGTTTAGAAGAACACCTATTGTAAAATGCAAAAAGTTCTCAGGAAATTAATTTAGTTAAGTCCTTTGCTTACTTAAGGCGGTAACATTGAGTTAGAGGCCAGGAACTCAGGGTTCTTTTCTGAGTTCCAGACTCCTTCAGATCTCTCTGCTATTTAGTTTTATGGACAAGTGTGTCATCATATGTGAGTCTCACCTGTCAACTAACAATGTTTAATATTTTTCTTAAAGAGTCTGTCTATTCTTAAGTAAATCTGTTATGTTTTTAAAATTAATTATTAGGGGTCATTATTATAATCAGTCATAATGTGTTAGATTCAAAATGAGCTTTTTGATTTAATAATTCACCTAAGCTTCTTCAAGAATCTCTAACTTGTTGGAAAGTGACTGTAAAGTGGGGGCGGCTGCAGTGAGGAGTAAAGGGGAGATACATTCTAAACAAGGCCACCAGTGGTACTTTTCTCCCTAAGCTTTAAAGAGTCTTTTAGACATGACTCATTCTCTTTTTGAGAAACTCTATTTTTTGAATTACTCCTTCTTTCCCCTGTTTTGTTCCAAGATGGTGTCTGAGTAGGTAGAATGGTTTAAAGAGAAAAAAAATGTAAAGGACATGAATTTGTTCCTTGAGAAATCTCCAAACTGCTGTACACGTGGCTGGAGTAATTTACATTCCCACTAACAGTCTATAAGTGTTCCCTTTTCTCTTCAGCCTCGCCAACATCTGTTGTTTTTTGACTTTTTAACAAAAGGCATTCTGACTGGTGTGAAATGGTATCGCTTGTGGTTTGGATTTACATTTCTTTGATGATTAGTGATGATGAACATTTTTCTATATGTTTCTTGGCCACTTGTATGTCTTCTTAAGAAGTGTCTGTTCATGTCTTTTGCCCACTTTCAATGGGGTTATTTGTTTTTAACTTGAGTTGTTTAAATTCCTTGTAGATTCTGGATATTAGACCTCTGTCAGTTACATAGTCTGCAAATACTTTCTTCCATTTTGTAGGTTGTCTATTTACTTCCTTGATAGTTTCTCTTGCTGTGCAGAAGCTCTTTATTTTAATTAGGTTTCACTTATCAATTTTTCTTTTCATTGCAATTGCTTTTGAGGATTTAGCCACAAATTATTTGCCAAGGCTAACATCAGGAAGGATATTTTCTAGGTTTTCTTCTAGACTTTTTATAATTTGAGCAACATGAATGTAGCTGGAGGCTATTATACTAAGCTAACTACTGCAGACACAGAAAACAAAATACCACATATTCTCACTTATAAATGGGAGCTAAACTTTGGGTACATGTGGACATAAACATGGCAAGAACACACACTGAAGACTAATAGAGAGGAGAGGGAGGGAAGGGGAGTGAGGGCTGTAAAACTACCTAGTGGGTACTATGCCCAGTACCTGGGTGATAAGTTCGTTTATACCCCAAACCTCCATATCATGCAATATACCTTTCTAACAAAGCTGCACATCTACCCCGATTCTAAAATAAAAGTTGAAAGAGAACAAAAAAGGAGAAAAAATAAATCAGCTCTGTGGTAGCAAAATAATGAGCACCCAAAAATACCCACATCCTAATCCTCAGAACCTTGAAAATGTTAGATTATGATGCATGGAGGAATTAAGGTTATAGACGGATTTAAGCTTGCTAATCAGCTAACTTTGAAATGAACAGGTTATTCATGGTTATTTGGGTGGGCCCAGTGCAATTACAAGGATCCTTGTAAGTTAAAGAGAAAAGCAGGAGAGTAAGTATCAGAGTGATACAGGGTGAAAAATATTCCACCAACTGTAGCTGACTTTGTTGATGATTGGGGACCCTCAGTCAGACAGCCCCTAGAAGCAGGAATGGCCAAGAAAATGAATTTTCATCTAAAGGCTCCAGAGAACTGCAGCCATGCTAATAACTTGATTTTAGCTCAGTGAGACCCACTTCAGACATCTGACACTTAGAATGATAAAATAATACATTTATGTTGTTTCAATCCATTCAGTTTAGGGTAATTTGTTACAGCAGCAATAGGAAACTAATACAACGCCCATGCCACATTATTATTATTATTCTAATTATTTATTTTTTGAGATGGAGTCTCACTCTGTCGCCCAGGCTGGAGTTCAGTGGTGCAATCTTGGCTCACTGCAACCTCCACCTCCTGGGTTCAAGTGATTCTCCTGCCTCAGCCTCCTGGGTAGCTGGGATTACAAGTGTGTGCCACCTCATCTGGCTAATTTTTGTATTTTTAGTAGAGACAGGGTTTCCCTATGTTAGCCAGGCTGGTCTTGAGCTCCTGACCTCAAGTGATCTGCCCACCTCGGCCTCCCAAAGTACTGGGATTACAGGCATGAGCCACCACTCCCTGACATTTTTTTTTTTAAAATCTTTGCTGCTCACTGTAGTGAAACAATCGAGTCTAACTGATCACCACTGAGGCACAACTGTTTCTATCTGGCCTTTCTGGGCATCATGCTAGATCTTATCACCAGGGTCTGTGGTCTCCACTGTTTATCTCTGGCACAAAGTCCCTGCACTGTTGACTTTGTGTACTAATCCGCTGGCCATCTGAAGACCTCTCTTTTATCTTACTGGAGTATGACACATCCATGCTACATGCAGACCAAGGGAATCCAGGAGTTATGCTATATGCTCATATATCTAAACATCCCTCTTGGCTGTGCTGGGACATCATTGCCCAGGTTGAGGGGTTATTTGTTTTTTGTTATTTGCAGAAAACTGCCATCGTGGCAGTTTTCTCCATAGTTTCCAAGTGGAAAGCTAAGCAGATGGTCTTTTAGCTTGAGGTTTCCTGTGAATTTCTCTGTCTTAGTGAGGATACAGCAGAGTTCTAATTGTCTGCATCCTATGTCACTGCTTTACTTCTCATTCTCGCAATGCTCTAAAGCTTAAAGAAATGTGCCTATTACATCGACCTTTATTTTTATCATACTATGGATTCCTTCCATCTCTAATTTATAGATAGTAAAATCTATGATATGGTGGGCAAGCTTGAATGTCAATATGTTAAAGGCAGTTAAGTTAATTTCTAATGGGCTTTCTTCCCAACATAGCCTGATTTTCAAAATCAGTGCTTTGATAGGGGCTGAGGAATTTTTACTTCAGAGGCCAAAACAAGAATTTGATTACCTATTTCCCTTTGCATTCATGCTGTGCAATTCTCATCCTTCACGAAATAAATAGATGCCTCCATAATATTATTAATGGAGATAGTCAAATACAAGAAAATTAAAAGAGAAAAACTCTCAATTAGTTTTTCCATTCCACCCAAAATGTAGAGTTTTATTTTTCAGTATGTGTATAGGCTAATTATTTCAAAATAAGGTAGAGATTATGTAACTGTGAGAAGCAGTGATGATGGCTATTATTTAAAATGCTTCCATATCCTTAAAATGTGTATTAGTGATTATGCTTGTTATTAATCTTAAATTAAATAACATGCTTCAGTTTTAAATTAGAAAATTCAAAAGGGTTTATTAAATTCAGGCTCTACATATGGTATTTATTACACCAAAGTGGTGATAGACATATTTCATAAGGTCCTTGATTAAATTGGATTTGCAAAATGATGGTGCTAGTGCAGACCATAAGAAATCACTTAGTGCATTCCACTGAATCCCTGAAGTACCATTTATAAACATGCTCAAAAAGATTGCCTTCAATCCTTTAGATATCACTATCATGTCTTTAGTGTTAGGAGGCTATTTCTAAGCAAATGGAAACTTTTTCTTTTCTATCACTTGTATATCTCCTGTAAGATATGCTTTGATCTATGCTTCTCCTTTACATTTTCTTCTTCTGTAGAAGTTCATTTTTTTGTGGAAGTATTTGAGTGAAATATGTCTAATTTTACAGAAAGACTATATGACAACAATCATAATGATTCAATCTTGATAACATTTAATGGTCCTTTAATTGACAGCCATTACTTGAGTTACTTTGGTAGTAGAAGCAAAACAAAGCAGAATTATTGACCAGTCTCAGAGTGGTCCTGACTTTCTGCTCTACATAGTCTCCATAAATGACACTGCACACAACTATGGCTCTTATTATTAACAATCATGTTCCCATTTATACCTGTTTTTTTCCTCTTGACCTTTGGACCAATATTTAACTATCTATAAAACCTCTCTATTTGTCTGACATCTAATTTGATATGTCTCAATCAGCACTATTTCCCCCCTCCTTTTAACTCTCACATTTGCTTCTTTATCTTGTTTTTGATGTCTTCTTAATGGTTACTATACTGCTAGCCATTCTAAGTAGGAAACTCAGTTATCCTTGTGGTAGCCCTGATGAATACATGCTCAGACACATGAGAAAGTCCAGCCAGTATCAGCAAAACTGACTCACAGCCAGCCTGCCAGGTGAATGCAAATATACACACAAAGCCATCTTAGAGCTGCCATTTCCCAAGGACTGTGTGGATCTGAGAGCAAAATAAATACTTCTTGGTGGCATTCCCTAAGAGCTGGGTGTTTGCAATGTAACTAATACAACCATTTTGCCTTTCTCTCTCCTTTACTGTCTCTATCTAATAAGTTACTGAGTCCTCCACATTTAACACCCACTGGGAATTTGAATCCATACCTTTTTCTCTATTCCTATTATTACTACTTAAATTCAGTGCCTCATATACTTTTTCATCCTAAGCTATTGCTAGATAAAAATTACTGATAACCTCTGCTTGTGTTGTTTCCCACTCTACTGAATTCTCTACATGAATCAAAGTGGCAGTATAATGTAGTGGTTAAGGGTTCAAATTCTGGGTTTGAATCCCTGCTCTGCTACTTAGCAGCTCTGTAATTTGGAGGAAGTCACTAATCCCACTTGTCTCAGTTTTTTTTTTAATCTGTAAAATTGGTATAATTATGGTACCTGCCCCATAGAGCACTCAGAATATATTTTCTTAATTAGAACACTATCTGGCAAATAATTCATATTTATTTGCACAGCATAATTATTAAAAATACATTGATCGTGTTACCAAGAACATGTATATTTCATGGAACATGTTTTGAACAAAATATTCACTGAAAGGATGTATGACCAAACAGATTTACAAACCACTCATAAAATACCATTTTTTTTTTTGAGGCGGAGTCTCACTCTGTTGCCCAGGCTGGAGTGCAGTGGTGTGACCTCAGCTCACTGCAAGCTCCACCTCCTGGGTTCACGCCATTCTCCTGCCTCAGCCTCCCGAGTAGCTGGGACTACAGGCACCCACCACCACGCCCGGCTAGTTTTTTGTATTTTTTAGTAGAGACGGGGTTTCACCATGTTAGCCATGACGATCTCAACCTCCTGACCTCATGATCCACCTGCCTCGGCCTCCCAAAGTGCTGGGATTACAGGCGTGAGCCATGGCGCCCAGCCCAAAATACCATTCTTGAGGTAAATAGAGTTATAATGCTGAACTATTCACTTCTGGTTGGTGTTACAAGAGCAACAAATTAGATTCAACTGCTGCTACTGAAAAGAAGAGTTCCTACACAAGTAAAAAAGGAAGCATGCCAGGATTGAAAGAAAGCAAGAATGAGCAAGTCCATTCTTTCTCTACTAGTTCCACATTTTCCCTCTAGTACACCTTAAGGGGGAACCAGCTTTTCCAGGAGGAGGAAGGTATTTTGCAGTCTAGGAGCTTGTGTCACAAAGCAGAGTATAGAGTGATTGATTTAGAGTGGAGATACAGTAGATTAATAATTTTCACAGAATATAAAGAACACACTCCAAATATGATAGACTTTAATCAGAAACATAAAATTGACAAGAAGATATATAAAACATTAGTTAAGAATTCTAAACATGCTAAAAGATAAATATTAAGAGATTGACAGACGTCTCAAAAGGTTTTGAAAATATTGGTATGCTTTATGAGATCCTTTATTCATTGATGAATCTTGTATATATTCCATATCAGTGTCTGAAATTGAATATTCTCGTTAAAGCACTTGCAACTATTTTCAGTAAATCAGTGACTAGAATTTCAGAAAATTGGTGATGCAACAAAACAAGTTCCAGGAAATTGATTTTCCTCAATTGACCTATGTTTGCCATCATCATCTTTTATCATCATTATTATTATTATTAACTACACACAGTGGTCCAAATGCATTGGGATAAAATACATACATGTAATGTCAGTTTCTCCAGTCTTCAATATACATCCCTCTGTGACTAACTTCATGCTTTTGGCTTTACTGCAAGTGACAGCGTAACCTTTTTAGTAAATAGTAACATCCAAAAAATTTCAGTTCACGTCACTTTCTCTCTGAAGTTTCCCTGAAACCCTTTGGGAGAGTTAATTAGTTCCTCTTCTGAATTCCCATTCTGCACATGTTATTATGATTGCACTTATAACATATTACTAGAGTTTTGTGGTTTTTAAGGAATTTTTTCCTTTTAAAATTGCTAGATTCTTAAAAGCAATAATGTTTTACTTTCTTTCCTATTTATAGGCAAAAGTACAACATCTAGAACATAGAAGCTCAATACATTTTTGTTGAAAAAAAGACTGGTATAATCTAAAGCTGTCTTCAAAGTTAAGAAACTAGTTTTCATAATATGATGTGCATCATCAATCTAACACAGGGGTTCTCCAACTATGACCCCTACAGGGACCAAATTCAGCTGCCTCCTGTTTTTGTCAATAAAGTTTTGTTGAAACACAGCACCCTCATTCATTTATGTATTGTCCATGGCAGTTTTCAAGCTAAAATGGCCAAATTTTATAGTTGCTACAGAGATTATAGGGCACAGAAAGCCTAAAATATTTATTAAAATTTTGCTTCCTGGATTCAAATGATTACAGTGATATCATTAGTATCAACTCCCCCCACACACCCCCAAATGCTGGAATTTGCTGGAGAATAGTAATTCAGAGAAATCAGGATGGAGTTCTTGAAAGTTCATCATCATCAGAAGAATAAGCAATTCCCACATCTTCATAGGCTTTTTTTTTTTTTTTTTTTTTTTTGAGATGGAGTCTCACTCTGTCGCCCAGGCTGGAGTGCAGTGGCGCAATCTCCGCTCACTGCAAGCTCTGCCTCCCGGGTTCACATCATTCTCCTGCCTCAGCCTCCCAAGTAGTAGCTGGGACTACAGGCATCCGCCACCACGCCCGGCAAATTTTTTGTATTTTTAGTAGAGACGGGGTTTCACATTGTTAGCCAGGGTGGTCTTGATTTCCTGACCTCATGATCCGCCCATCTCGGCCTCCCAAAGTGCTGGGATTACAGGCGTGAGCCACCATGCCCGGTCATAGGCATTTTTAAACTTAACTAACTTAACTAGCTCCACTTATGTTTTCCTTTCCACATACTTTTCCACCCATAAGGAAGTGCTTTCATCTTTATTTTATATGTAATTATTATGACATAGTTCTCCAGAATATAGAAAATGTGGTCCCTTTTTTATTATTTAAATCAGAACTAATTAAATACTCCTTGTATTAGTTCATTCTCATGCTGCCCCCCAGTAAAGACATACCCGAGACTGGGTAACTTATAAAGGAAAGAGGTTTATTTGATTCACAGTTCAGCATGACTGGGGAGGCCTCAAGAAACTTACAATCATGGTCAAAGTGGAAGCAAACATGCCCTTCTTCACATGGTAGCAGTAGGGAGAAGACTAAGCAAAAGGGAGAAAAGCCCCTATAAAATCGTCAGATCTGAAGAGAACTCACTTATTATCATGAGAAGAGCTGCGTGGGGGTAATCGCCCCATGATTAAATTACCCCCACCAGGTCTCTCTCAGGACACATGGGGATTATGGGAACTGCACTTTAAGATGTGATTTGGGTGGGGACACAGCCAAACCATATCACTCCCTTTTCCTCTCCTCTGGTGGGTCAGAACCTCTATAATAATCACAAATCTCCAGGATGCTTACTCACATAATTACATTCTCATCACTCAGCCCCACAAATGGAGCTAGAGCTCACCTGGAAGCTACAGGGTGCCACAAGCATTGCTGGAAATTAGTTGCCCCAGAATGAGCCACCACCCTGTTGTGTTCCTAAAATGATGTAAGCAGTAGTTATCTGATCAATTCAACGTGATTCTGTACTCACTATTTTCATAATTGTTATTATGAAGTATGAATACACTTCATACACTGAAGTATGAAGCTCATGGACATAACCTGAGAATTAGCCCTGCTTATAAGTCACATCTTGTCTCTTTCCACATAATTGTGTTAAACTTCCTTATGATGAGGTCTTCTCATTTGAGTTGTATGATATCTAAACACTCCAGTACTGGTTAGGTACAAAATATTTGTACTAGACAAGATTCTCTAGAGAAATACAACTAATACAATATAGATAGATGATAGATTGATTGATTGATACATACATGCATACATACATACATATACACATAAACATATACAAGAGAAGATTTATTGTAAGAATAGGTTTATACAATTATGGAGGCCACGAAATCCCAGTATATGCTTTCTGAAAGCTGGAGAATCACAAAAGATAGTAGTGTAATTCAGTTCCAGTCCAAAGATCTAAGAACCAGGAGAGCCAATGGTGTAAGGGAGTCCCAAGGCCCCAGATCTCCCTGATATCTAAAAACAGAAGACAAATGTCCCAACTCAAATAGAGAGAGGGGGAGTTTGCCCTTCTTCTGCATTTTTATTCTATTCAGGCTCTCAACAGACTGGATGATGCCTGCCCACATTGATGAGGGCGGCTCTTCTTTACAAAGCCTACTAATTCCAATGCTAATCTCTTCCGGAAACACCTTCACATACATGCCCAGAAATAGTATTTTACCAGCTATCTGGGCATCCCTTAGCCTAGTCAAATTCACACATAAAATTAACCATCGTGGTGTTAGTCCTGGCTCCAAGTATTTTACAGAGAAAGCATTGGAGAACCTGCTGTTGCCATCAAATGGAACCCAGGTTAATGCTGTTTCATGCACTACTTAAATGATCACCTTTTGCCATTATGTTGGTCAGGGCATATACTTTAACTCTGGGCAGTGAAGGAAGAGATGTCCTTTCCTCCACCAACTCTACTCCAGGCAACACAGACTTGGATTCACGGACCCTTGGCTCTTTATAGCCTTTTCCCTCAGCAAATTCACGATACTATGATGGCCGTATCAGTAAAGGTGTTCAGATTTGGTCATGTTTGATTGTTATTTCTCAGCTCTTGTAACAGGGTAGTCTTCATTGCTTATAAATCTAGCCCCATACTTCCCCAGTTAACTTATCTTTTGGGGTATTTTTGGTTCCATTTTCTGTCAGAACCCATCTCAATCCATCCAGAAATATTCTAGTAACCCTATCTCCCAAGACAATATTGTTTAAATCCTTCTTCATCCCTTTTGCAGTTGCTTAATGTCTTCTTGACAGCTTTAGTGTCTTGCATACCATGTGGTAAAAGATGGGACACTCTCAATGTTAAGCCAAAATACTGTTTTATTATAATCTTCCCTGGGACAAGGGTGTTAATTTTATATAATGGAACCAATGGAATAAATAATTCCTTCCCAAAAAACAAAGATAAACTGTTCTGAATTAACTAGTTCTCTTGGTATCTTGGCACAGGAGGAGTTACACATTTAAATGTAACAGAAAAAAGTACAAAAATATAACAACAACTACAAATATATATATATATATATGTATATACACACACATATATATACTCTGCCATTTCAGAAACATTATTATATAAAGAAACTAAATTCAGAAAAAAAAGACATTTTTCAGAGGTTACATAAAATGTGCCTCTATATACAGACCTATTTAAAATTAACTAACTGCATTTGGACAAATGTTTAGAAACTGGTTTGGAGCAGCAAATTGCTCAAATCTAACAGTGCTACGAGCTTTGGCTTATTTTAGTCACCTGATCTTTGAGGTTCTTTTTCAATATCTTCCTTTATCTTGGATTTGTTGAATTATTCCTACAGGAAGTCCTGGATACAGCTTGCTATTGTAAAAAACCTGAATATTTTTTAGAAAAACCTAATTTTTATTGAAAAATGTTAGTTGAAAAATGACCTAAATTATTTGGAATTTTGAACTGCCTACGTGCCCACACTGTTACTTGGTTTGTAAATAGAATCAGAGAGAATTGTTCGGGAATTAAGAAAGAAAAACCCAAAAAGAAGTTTGCATGCCCTTTCTGGTGTATTCCGCTGGCAGAAATTGTTTGGGGGAGTAAAGAGCTGCTGCTGCCTAGAAACGAATTAAAATTGCACTGTGAAAAGGACCCAGATTTCATGTTTTCCAATACATGTTTTCCCCAACTCTATCTCTTTAGGAAAGAAGCACTTTGTATTGTCCAAGGAAGTCCCCTTATAAAAACCCAGCTAGAAATCCTTCAGTATGCACTAGCCTCTTTTTCCAAGATCCTGGGCAGTTGTAACAGGTGTGAACCTTGTGTGTTACGATTAGTCTTCTCTGTCTTTTTCATATTTTGACATGCATTTTTTGTAGTCATAGAGGCATGAGAAATAGGCCATCTATTTATCTGATGTTTGACGAGTCACATAATCTTTTTGGATTTCAGTTTCCTTATTAATTGAATAAAGGTGTTTGGTGGCCAATAATTATTTGTGGCATTGATGGCCCAATAAAATGATATTATTCTATGAGAATTAAAAGGTTTTGGAACTTCTTACTCATCACTGAAGGTAGTAAACATGAAGGCTACTTAAAACGTGTATCAGAAATGATAAATTCTGGAGAATTTAGCCTCACCATTGCTTTGGAGAAACGTCATAATGACACAGGTAAAATGCAGATCATCACTTGACAAGAAAGCAAATTTGAACAGATGCTGTATAAATATCATCAAGATCTCAGGGGATAAAACAGAGAAAACCTGTGAAGCAAACAAAGTTGTATAGCCCAAAACTGGAAAAAAAAAAGATAGACAAAAGAATACATAATATAGTAATGTTAAGGAAAACTAATGGAGAATATGTTCATGATACAGGAAGCATCATGTAATTATTACATAAAATGACAAATATATTATCTTAGTTCAGGGACAAGTAGTCTCTAGGTTGTCTGGGTCCTGGTCTGTATTACTACTTTATCACTAAATATTTCCCCCACTCTGATCTCTGCTCTGCATCTCACTTTGACTTTCACATGATAGAAAGGAATGGACTGTTTTTGAATTTTTTCCATGTGTCATGAATTGTATGTGATGTTTTATATATATTATTTTATCAAGTTATCAGACCAATAGTATACACTGCAGATTCAGACTATTTTCATTTTATAGAAAAGGAAATCTGATTCTTGCTAAAAAGAGACACAAAGAAAGTCATACTACTAATAAATCAGGTTAAAAATATGAAACTAACTTTGATCTCTAAATCTATGTACCCTTCTTAATAACTTTCATAAAAATGGAGATAGTTAAACTGGGTTCAGGTTAAGTTGCATTTTCTAGATTAGTGAAATATAATGTTCAATTATGAGATCCAATGTTTTCACATTTTAATATAAATTATGCTCTGTCTTAATTGATGACAGTCATTGTTAGGGATAATTTTTAATTCTCTAATGGTACATGAAGCAATGTTTTTAAAAAAATCAATGGTGTTTTAGATTTTTCGTAGTGTGGTAACATTTACTTCATTAGAAGTGAATTCAAATGAAATAGGTAGCATTAATTTCTTACAATTGGCAAAATGTGAAAAGTTAAGACACTTGCTTCTGTGTTCACAGAAAAATAAGAAGTAAAAAATCTCTGTCACCTCTTCTCCATTGTCTGATATTTATCACCAACATCAATATTCTTACACAAATGGGCTGATTGACCAAAGAAAAATAAGGGAGTCTTGAGTCAAATTATTTAAGTGTAAGCTTCATATTAAATGATGACTCTTAATCAAACTGTTTTGGTTGTAGGTAAGGCAAAAATATTAAGGAAATCTTTTAAGCTGTGCCTGTGGAACTTCACAATAGTAATGGTTACAATAAATAAAAGGTGAAATTATGTACATACAATTATAATTTTATTTAATAAATTATACCATTTTTGCTCATATATAGAGACTGCATTTCAATTTAGTTCACTATTGGCTGTGGTTAATCCTACATGTCAACTGAATTATCTGTATTGCCTAACTCTGTGGGATCTGTTGTGGCACTCCATAAATGTTATGTTGAATAAAAGAATTTTCAAAGACTCACTTTTCCCCCTAAGTCGAGAAATGCATAGAAGCATACAATAGACTTAGCCTAAACACCACTAACTTTATAGCAATGAAGAAAAAAAATTAAAAGCCACTGTAATGTGTTGAGTAGTTTCTATGTGGACAATATTATATGAAAATTTTACACCCTAGTCAACAATCCCGGCAGTAATGATCTCCATTTGACAGAGGGCAAACTGAAACTTGGAGAGTTAATATAACTTGCAAAGATTCCTCCAACTCTCCTCCACCTAGCAATGATTTATTGAACACCTCTGAAGAGCCAGGCACTGTTGTGAACACTTATCTGATGGTGAAACAAATGTAAGGAGCATACGTTGCATGTGTCTTACAGGTAGAAGACGAGCCAGATATATCACACAGCACTGTGTTTCAAGTCTGAGTATTGAAATAATTTCCATAATTTATTTGATCATAATTACCTCACTAACACCAGTCTAAAAAGTTGTTTTGGTTGTACCTAAAAGAAATATGATCAAGATCCTAAGAGCACTGCCACTTCTGATGTGCCTTGGTAGATATATACAAATAAATACTCTAGTTTGGTTAAGGCAAATGTATACTCACTGTAACTATTTAAGGTTTTGGGTCCAAGTGCTTGTCTTGTCACCTCTTCAGCAAATCTCCATTTGGCCTGCACCTTTTGCCAGAGTTCATCTTTCTTTTAGGGTAAAGTGAGTAGAGAAGAAGCCTGAACTCCCTCAGAGTATGAGGCCTACAAAGAAGGCCTGTGTGGACAGGCTGTTGTTGTCTACTGTTAACCCAGTAGGCTTAAAAGTCAAGTGTTAGTCATGGCTGGGGGCGGTGGCTCACGCCTGCAATCCCAGCACTTTAGGAGGCCAAGGTAGGCGGATCTCCTGAGGTCAGGAGCTCAAAACCAGCCTGGCCAACATGGAGAAACCCCGTCTCTACTAAAAATACAAAAATTAGCTGGGTGCGGTGGTGCGTGTCTGTAATCCCAGCTACTTGGGAGGCTGAGGCAGGAGAATTGCTTGAACCTAGGAGTCAGAGGTTGCAGTGAGCTGATACTGCCATTGCACTCCAGCCTGGGCAACACAGCCAGACTTTGTCTCTCAAAAAAGAAAAGTCAGGTGTTAGTCATGAAGTCTTTGCCCATGCCTATGATGTCCTGAATGGTATTGCCTAGGTTTTCTTTTCGGGTTTTTATGGATTTAGGTCTTATGTTTAAGTCTTTAATCCATGTTGAGTTAATTTTTGTATAAGGTGTAAGGAAGGGGTCCAGTTTCAGTTTTCTGCATATGGCTAGCCAGTTTTCCCAACACAATTTATTAAATAGGAAGTCCTTTCCCCATTGCTTGTTTTTGTCAGGTTTGTCAAAGATCAGATGGTCATAGGTATGTGGTGTTATTTCTGAGGCCTCTGTTCTATTCCATTGAGATATATATATATCTCAATCTGTTTTGGAACAAGTTCCATGCTATTTCAGTTACTGTAGTCTTGTAGTATAGTTTGAAGTCAGGTAGCATGATGCCTCCAGCTTTGTTCTTGATGCTTACGATTGTCTTGTCTATATGGGCTCTTTTTTGGTTTCATATGAAATTTAAAGTCTTTTTTTTAATTCTTTGAAGAATGTCAATGGTAGCTTGATGGGGATAGCATTGAATCTATGAATTACTTCGGGCAGTATCACCATCTTCACGATATTGAGCATGGAATGTTTTTCCATCTGTTTGTGTCCTCTCTTATTTCCTTGAGCAGTGGTTTGTAATTCTCCTCAAGGAGGTCCTTCATATCCCTTGTAAGTCGTATTCCTAGGTATTTTATTCTTTTTGCAGAAATTGTGAGTGAGAGTTACTCATGATTTGGCTCTCTGTTTATCTATTATTTTGGTGTATAGAAATGCTTGTGATTTTTGCACACTGATTTTGTATCCTGATACTTTGCTGAAGTTGCTTATCAGCTTACGGAGATTTTGGTCTGAGATGATGGGGTCTTCTAAATATACAATCATGTCATCTGCAAACAGACAATTTGACTTCCTTTCTTCCTATTTGAATACGCTTTATTTCTTTCTCTTGCCTGATTGCCCTGGCCAGAACTTCCAATACTATGTTGAGTAGGAGTGGTGAGAGAGGACATCTTGTCTTGTGGTGATTTTCAAAGGGAATGCTTCCAACTTTTGCCCATTCAGTATGACATTGGCTGCATGTTTGTCATAAATAGCTCTTATTATTTTGAGATACGTTCCATCAATACCTAGTTTATTGAGAGTTTTTAGCATGAAGAGGTGTTTCATTTTATCGAAGGCCTTTTCTGCATCTATTGAGATAATCATGTGTTTTTTGTCAATGGTTCTGTTTATGTGATGGATTACATCTATTGATTTGCATATGTTGAACCAGCCTTGCATCCCAGGATGAAGCCGTCTTGATCGTGGTGGATAAGCTTTTTGATGTGCTGCTGGATTCGGTTTGCCAGTATTTTATTGAGGATTTTCTCATCAATGTTCATCAGGGATACTGGCCTAAAATTTTCTTTTTTTGTTGTGTCTCTGCCAGGTTTTCGTATCAGGGTGATGCTGGCCTCATAAAATGAGATAGGGAAGAGTCCTTCTTTTTCTATTGTTTGGAATAGTTTCAGAAGGAATGGTACCAGCTCCTTTTTGTACCTCTGGTAGAATTCAGCTGTGAATCCGTCTGGTCCTGGGCTTTTTTTTTTTTTGTAGGCTATTAATTACTGCCTCAATTTCAGAACTTGTTATTGGTCTATTCAGGAATTTGACTTCTTCCTGGTTTAGTCTTGGGAGGGTTTATTTGTACAGGAATTTATCCATTTCTTCTGAATTTTCTTATTTATTTGCATTGAGTTGTTTATAATATTGTCTGATAGTAGTTTGTATTTCTGTGGGATCTGTGGTGATATCCCCAATTAGGATTCTGGTTGCTAATGTTTTATTTCCTTTTCTCACTTTTTTTTTTTTTTTTTTTTTTTGGTGTATATTGCCAGACTAAAACCTTGGTTCTCTTGTGGTCAGTTGGGGTTGTATTACCAGTTCTAGACAAAGTGTTGAAAATAGAAGTTATGTGTGCTAATTTCTGATTTGAGTTTAAAGCACTTAATTGCTACTGTGAGACCTTCTACAGCTCATTGCCGTCTGACTTGACAACTAGTCTGTAGCATTTACTTAAGTTTCCAAGTGGCTGTGACAAACAGGGCTCTTTCTGCCAATCCCTAAGTGTCATATAACATGAGAGACAGAAATAATCATTTGTTTTCTTTAAACCATTATAATTTGGGGTTGCTTACTACACCATGATGTAAGTTAATTGGAATGATTCAAGCCCATGATTCAAGAGAGCTTCAGAACAAGAGCATAAGGGTACATTGATTACATCATTGCTTCTAAGAAGGCTTTGAGTAGTTGAGCCACAAGAAAGGCAGTGATGCATATGAGGCCTCAGGAAAAGTTGAAACTGGAAGTTGATTGTGGCAGAACTCTCTCTTTCTCCTTTCCCTCTTGATGATACTTATTTTGGTCTATTTAGAATTATTTCCTCTCACTGCAAACTGGCCCTCTTCACTTGGATGGAAATATTACCTACATTAGTCTCTGAATTTTACAACTCACAACTTCAGTGAAATGACAAAAATGACTTCTACTTTCTCTGATCACAAATTCTAAAATCCCAGGAAATGTATCTGATTGGCGCACTCTGATTACCCTTTAAACTGCAGTTATAGAAGGACATGACACAGAACTATGTAGATGGAGTGGAAGAGGAAGCATTCCTAGAAGAAAAAAGCAGTGGTAGATGAGGGCTTCTTAAATGCTAAAGAGCAGAATTTATAGATCACATAAATATTTAAAGCTATATATGTAGTCTTAAATAGATGTATTTTACTTATATACAATATGAGTACTTAAATATATATTCTCTTAAATAAATTTGTTAAAGTTTCACAGGATATGTGATTTCCAAGAATTTGCAATATATTTCCATTAGTTTATAAAAAATTGCTAGATTCTTTGATGTGTGGAATATGATTCATGGGATAAAGAATTAGCAACAAAAATTAAAGTAAATTATATTACAGATGTTAGTAGACAAGATGGGAAATTATTATATAATCTGCAAGATACATGAAATATTGTTATATGTTCCTTGCTAGTCTATTTACTAATGTATGTTTAACTTAATCTGTGCTAGAGTTTATTAGTCACTAATATGTATTTAGTGCAATCTATGCTAATGCTTATCACACTGTATTGTTAGTGATTGCTACTGCTCTCTGTTTTCTTTAAGGCTGTGTGATTGTTAAGTATGACTTTTTTGTCTTATTTTCACTATATTTCAATATATAAATTAAGAAATTAGAAAAATATCTTCCTATAGGAGTATCTTAATCTTCCTTGTCAATCAGGAAATATCCAAATTCAAAGTGAATATAATGTTCATACTACAGATAAGTTTTTTTGTTGTTGTTGTTCTTAATTTAGGGTTCTACACGAATCTACATGGCTGCTCAGGTTGGGCTTTTGTCTTTTCCTGAAACTCAGCTGTTAGTGCATATAAAAAATAGGGAAACTGTTTTAAATTTAGACAGAATTAGAGAAGTAAAATCAAGTTTTAATTAATATTGCTAATTGAAAGCAGGAAAGAGTGTAAATAATCTTTAAAAATTACAATTGGCTTGGGAATTTACACATCAGCCACACATATTGAGTTTTTTAAGGTTAAATTTGGTAGAGAGTGACAGGAAAATACAAATAATTGTGGCTTAAGTGAGAGAAAAGTTTAATTCTCTCTTACAACAAATGTGGAAGCAGATGGTCCAGAGAAATTTGGTTCAGTCCTCTGTGGTGTCAGGCACCTGGCTCTCTCTTTTGAGTCCTTTATGCATAGCCTTCATTCCTAAGTTTGTTTCATCTTCCAAGGTGGCCACTCTTGATGAAACCATTCATCTGCATTTTACCAAGTAGGAAGAAAACAAGAGAAGGATAAGAATGCTTTGTGTCCTTTTAAGAATGTCACCTAGCATCTGAAAACACAGTTCTCATAAGTCATTAGCAGACACTTAGTGTTACGGTCAAAACTTCATGCAAAGGAGCCTGGGAAATGCAGAATTTGTTCCAGATGGTCATTCATCCTGCTAAAATTCAAGGCTTCTATCACCATAGAAGAGGAGGAGGAAAAAATATTTTGAGGCAACTGGCAGTCTCTGCATATCTGCTATACCCACACTGACAACTTTGACTTTTCACTTCCCTTGTAATGAACTCACATCTAGCATACTCATATATAAGCTTTACTCTGGCCTGTCTACATATTGGACTCACACCTAATATACTCATGGTTGCAACTTGACTCCTGCATGCATCTATGATAGACTTTGACTCCATATCAGCAATATTATGTCTTATTCCTATGAAATTGGAACTGAGGGAAAATGTTTTTTCAGGGAGATTCGCGTTTCAGTAAAATCCAAATTTACTCTTCTTTTATAAGCAGAGTCACTGTGGACAAGTTATGCAGGTTGTGCACACAGACTATGGACAGTGGGGAACTAATATCTAAGTGGAAAGAGTATATTTTGATAATTAAAATGCTCAAAAAAGCCTATCTTTTACAACTTTTATTTTAATTCTCAAGTGAATGCCTTATTCTATTTCATACAGTTGCACTAAGTGTGCCTGTTGCATAGTTTTAGTTAGGTGTAATTACACAAATACATATTTTGAACTAGAATGATTTGCCAAAATATGGATCTGAGAACATTGATTCTTCAGAAATATTGAGAGGATCAGATAAGAAAATGTGTTTCGTAGTAAAAATGTAGGTCCAGTGATGTTAACACGTTTCTTTGCTATTGATGGGAGTTTCAAGAAGCTTTATTGTGCTAATTTGTGTTTGGAAATAAATGGATGAGATTCTTGTTTGCAGTGGTTGAGCAGGTATCCATTTTCTTGCAATGTATTTTATAGGACATTGTAGTATAACACTGATTTAATGCAGCGATTCTGAAACTTATCTAAAGAGAAAATATATTTCCCTCCTCACCACCATCTCTGAATTTATTTAATTCAGATTCTCCAGAATAAAGTTCTGGCAACCTGTGTTTTTAACTAGCTGCCTAGGCCACTCATAATTAGGCATTTTTTTTGAAACACCAATCTATACAAATGCTTTGTCCACTAGGAATCTACAACAAAATCACTTGAGGAGCTTTTTAAAATATACATTTATTCGATCCCCCTCGCATTTATGAATCAGAGGGAGGTATGGTCCCTCTATAGCCATTTCTTATGCTAACTCTCAATTAAGAACTATTGTTTCAGACCTAACTTTCTTATTCTTTGTATGTTACTATTTAGTTATACCTCAAGGTACTTCCATATGGAAGTTTTCTTTCTTGAGCCCATTTCTTATCATGTATCAAGCTCTCCCTGCCTTTTCTACTTCTCTCAAGGCAAAAAGAAATAGAACTCTTAGCAGTTCTTTATCTCAGGGCATAACTGATGGTAGAAAAAGGAAAGACTTTGAATTTTTGGAGCACAATCCAGCCAGCAGATAAAATATTTGCAAATAATGAAAAGCTGATTGCTTAAGTGTGAGACATTTTATAGCTCATATGCTTTCAAATGCATACAGTTGGCATGAACAGGGTGGCCGATTTTAAAAAAGAGTAACTGGATTAAGTAGATTCCCTTGTGTAAAATTCTGTCTGCTTGATCTGTTTTCCAGATGTTTCCGTGACAAATGTTTTCTTAATGTGAAGCCCAACCATAAAAAGCACCTGGCTAGTATACAGCTCTGCCAGACACAAATCATCCTTTTTTTTTTTTTTTAATACAAATACTTAAAGAGAGGAAGCCGAATTTATTTTAAACACAGCAGGGATCATCCTACTTCATCTTCATATGGAAATATGAAGTGACAAAATGTTTATTGAAACACCAATCTTAATATAAAGAGCTTCATCCATGTCTGCAAACAACACAATACTAGACTCTTTCTACAAGTCTGCAGAACAGTTTGGAAGCTATAATTGAAGCGTTTATTTTCAATTTTAATTTTTATGTACAGTCTCTGGCTAAGAACACAGGAGTAAGCGGCAATATAGTGTGGCAGTCAACAGCTGAGGTTTTTGAGCCAGACAATCTGGGTTCAAATCCTTCTCCACCACTTACCAGCTATATAGACTTGGGCAGTTCACTTAACCTTCTATTCTTTATTATCCTTATCTGTAAAATAGGAATTATAATAGTACTTACCTCAGAAGATTGTTCAAAAGATTAACAGTATTTATATAAATAAACACTTAAAATATTTTTTAGCCAATAGTAAATGCCCAATAATATTAGAGTTGATAAAGTGGATGTCTCTATTGGTTATTTTCGAGATTAAAAGAAAGAAAACTCCAGTGATTTTGAGACTGATATTTTGCTTTGTTAGGGGACTAAAATTTGGTTCACAGAGGCTTATTTGGATAAAAGCAGTAGCTAGTCATGGTAAATGATAAACTCCCATCCTCCTTAAATGTGCTACTTGATTCATAACTACTTACTCATTTCCTTAATTTACTGAGATATA
The DNA here is from genome assembly GCF_000001405.40 of Homo sapiens. Lineage (NCBI taxonomy): Eukaryota > Metazoa > Chordata > Mammalia > Primates > Hominidae > Homo > Homo sapiens. The sequence continues at coordinate 90,515,381 of NC_000012.12, forward strand.
TTGGAGGGAAAAACAGCTACTATTTCTTATACAGTTTAGTTATGTAAGTCACCATAGAGATTAGGTGTTATAATGTCATTGGCCCAAGAAGGGAGAAAAATAAAAGGAGGAAACACATGGGGGAAACTAGAGGGTGAAAGAATAAAAGACACGAAGGAAGATCAATTAAAGAAGCAAGATAAAAATGTGCAGAGGTGTAGGTTGAGAAAGGGATATGCTATCAATTGAATATCCTTTGTGTCAGCTGTACAAGTGCCATGGATATTTCTCACAAAAATGTAATTGGAACTTTTCTTCCATTATCAGCTAGCAATTTAACAGGATATTTACTTTAAGAAGAAGGTCCCATATTTCAAATACTTTGCTCTTTTGCAACTCCAGATGAGCAAGTCATTCTAAAAGGCATTTAAGTAAACATTAATAGCTGGTGAAAGCTTTGTGGCATCTCAAAGATTTGGGCTAAAAGCTATCTTCCATCAAACAGGTCTCTTTGTTAGTTGCCATTCTTGTCAAATTAAAGGAAAGAGATGAGAAACATACATGGCTACACACTAAATTTCTCCCACCCACTTTTTCTTTTTCTTAAAGTCAACCTTTAGTTTCGTGGTGGTTATGAATTTATTGGTTTTACTTTCAATATGAAATAGACATGCATACTTCCTCTTAAAGCATTTTCTTCAAAAGAAAAAACCTTTCTGTTCAAAGTTTAAAAGCAAAAAAAGACATATAAAGATTTTTACAAGTGATTATTAATGTTTTGAAGTTAAAATATTCACATCAGCCCTTGATGAAGTTTAAACCGCAGGCAGCCTCCTAATAATATTGTGAAAGTGAGAAAGCTTATTCATATTTAGTTGGTATCAAACTCAGGGTTTCTGTAATGCATACTCCTCCTATTTTATTTTAAATTTCCTCAAGAAATATTAAAAATAGCAGATCTCAGGATAGTATCCCAAATAAGGCAAAATCCTAACTATAGCCCAAATCAAGCTGGTCCAACCCATGGCCTGTGGACCACATGTGGCCCAGGACAGTTTTGAATGTGGCCCAACCCAAATTCATAAACTTTCTTAAAACATTATGAAATTTTTTTGCAATTTTAAAAAACTCATCAGCTATTTTATGTGTGGCCCAAGACAATTATTCTTCTTCCAATGTGGCCCAGGGAAGCAAAAAGATTGGACACCCCTGCCCCAGAAGTATCCACTTTTCCATGGCACAGTCTCTGACTCTATCAAGATGCCTGGACATTCTGGAGAAAGGCATTCCAGCAGAGTTACAATGATTGACAATATAGTACAATTTCCATCAACACCCACATTGTACTTACTCATAGCAAAAACCTGGAAATAGTGAAACCTTTGAGAAGGAAGGAATTAAAATGGTTTGTGATGCTGCAACATTTACTTAGTCTAGATGTACTTTTCCCGTTTTCACCCAGTTGTTGATTACTTCAACTTTCCTAAATGATACAAATTTCTAAATCAAGGGAGGTTTTCTATCTTAAACTTGTTCATGTTCTTTTCTTTTATTTTCATCATTTGTGATTATTAATGGTATTGGTCATTTTATTAATAGATGATTTCAACAAATACATGATGTGCTTCCATGTGAACATTCCCCAGCAAACTCATGGTCATTAAAATAAACTGGCATCCTATTTTATTAATTTGGTCAGTTTGGGAATCTATGTATCAAGTTTTTGTGAAATAAGCTGAAAAAGGCATATTTCAAAATCCTATCCTTATCTTACTCTATACAGAGTATAATCCAAGGTTGTCTTCCTGACCATTTTGAGGAGCCTCCTAGGGAATAACAAAGTACCCTCCTCAAGAGACATGAATTTAGAGTTTTAGGTCCTATCATGTTGCTAGTAACAGCCAGAACCCCTCCTCCTCACAGTTAATAGAGATAAAGATTCTATAAAGCTGAAAAAGGGGCATGGAATAAAGGTCCTTTGTTATTACCATAATTATTATTAAAATTAAATATGTTATTTAAATATCGTGCCATATACTTGACTCCCTTTAGCTCCAATCCATGGATTCACTGGTACTTATGCTGCATGTAGTTAGCCCTTTTCTCCTGGGGTTGTAGTTTGTTTTCTTCACCTTCTCCTCTATGAAATTCTATTTCTTGAGGTATTCCATCTATCTGTCATAGCACCCATTGACTTTTGCCTGAGCTTCCTGTACCCACACGGGGTCGTCACTCTTCTCTCGTTTTGGATAAAACATCTCAGTGCATAGTGTAGTTTCTGGCTTCTTAGCCACAGAGGGGCAGAATGATGCAACCCAAAAGTTTAGGGCTTGTATCTTGACCAATGAGAAATGCAAGATCAGAGTTGGGAAGATCAATTTTTCTTCCTTACTTTATTTGGTGGACTAGTCTGAATGGCAGTACTTCTTTGCCTTCTGGAGAAGCTCCAGAAGCTGACAAGCCTGCTGAGAGATCTTTTCTGCCTATTCCCAGTTTGTCACAAAGCCACAGCTGGCATGGTGACATATCACATTGCTTTGCTTCGAATATTCCGTTTCACTTGTTTTTTCTTTCCTTACTTTCACCTGTCTGGGCTGGTACCTCCCAAATGTATTATCAACTTCATCTTTGTCTCTGCTTTCTAAAGGGGCCTATTAAGACACTCCTTTTAAGTCCAATTAAGACATTTCCTTTAGAAAAAAATTTTCTAAAGGAAATTTTTAATTCATTGCAGATAAGCTTAGCATTGGAATTATTAGTTTTCATTTAACTTGGGAGCTGCCACAACATTCAGTACTCAAGAGTCTGCTCATATCAACAGCAAGTACCCTATTCTCTTTCACATCTAACCTCTACATGGCCTCCCTTCAATATAACCTATTACCATTACATCTTTCTTCATCATTTGAATAATAGGCCCAGGTATAATTTTCCTGAGTGTGGCATCTCTTCTTGTGAGTGTAACAGAGTAAGAGCTCCTCATTGCAGACAAAGTTCCTTCTTCAGTAGCTTCATTTCCTGTCCTCTGACACACTTGAACCAGAGCCTAAGAGTTGTTTCTAGTCACTTTGCAGTTCAGCTCCTAAACAATCATTTGTTGGGTACAAATCATTTATTTCTGGATCATCAACATATTTTTTTCTAGCATTCAATGGGACATCTTTCACAAGATCTCTGGTTTGCACACATTGCTTTGAAGATCAATTTATTAAGAAATAAACTGTTGAAGATACAACAAACACATCTTTATTTAAAGATAAAAGGAGTAGTTGACAGAAAAATTTACAGACCTACTCTTAGTATGAAATACACGATACTTATTCAGTTTAGCAACAACATTATCATAATCAATACTTAACAAAAGTCCTACAGAAGTTAGTGATTCAGGTTGTCTGGAATGATGGGCTATTGTTTTCTAAAACCAATATCATCCTTTTAAAAGATTGCTAAAATTCTACAATCCTAGTTTCAAATTTCGAATGTCCATGCAAATAGATCTATTTTTGTGCATTTTGGTTCCATTAGTGGAAAATAAACTTGGCTTTTCTTTGTATGAATATCTTCCCTGAAAATTAGAGACTCAGTATTGACTATGTCAGAATCCTCTATGTTTAAGTTACTGTCACAAGTTCTTTTTAAATTTTTTTTCTGATACATTTATCACCATTTTTTGGAAGTAGCAGTTTTAAGTATTAAAATGTCTCTAAAGTGACATAACTGTATTAATCCCAAATTTGTTAGACTTGTGGCAAAAGTCTACGTGAATCTCAGGTGCTATTTTATTGTACACTTAGTGTATATCTTGCATTAAATGTTTGAAAAAAATAAAGAATGAGTAAATTAAAGACTGATGTACATTCTCATAAATTACGTCCAATTATCTTGGAAAATTATGGTAGTTCTGTCTCAAAATTTATCTTAGGTCTAACATTTTTCAATATCATTATCACCCTGAGCCAAGGCACCAATATCTTTTGCTGAAATTGAAAAAATAATAGCATTCTAACTAGTCTCTGTGCATTTGTTGTAACTCCACTATAGTCCAGTCTCAATACTGTAACCAGCATGATCCTTTGTTCAAAGTGGATCATATCACTCTTGCTCAAAATCCCCCAGTGGTTTCTTTCTATCTCACTTACAGTATAAGTCAGCATCCTTGAAACAGTCTAGAAGGCTATATGTGATCTGTCCCACATCACTTGATATCTTCATCTTTTACCATCCTCCCTCTCCACATACATACACCACAACTCATTCTATTTTTACCTTGATAGTCTGTTTACTGTTACTTGAATTTGTCAACCCTATTCTTATTAAAGGGTTTTAGGCTTGCTGTTTTTTCCCCTTACCTGGAATACCTGTGCTTTAGATAACCATATGACCTCCAGTCTCCCTTCCTTCAAGTCTCCACTCAAATGTCTTCTTAGCCACTCTGTATAAAATATAAAACCATCAACATCTAGTCTCTTCCCTGCTTTATTTTTCTTTATAACACTTGTCAAGACATGACTTGTGTGTGTGCATGTTGGTTGTTTTTCTTTTTTATGCTCAAGTTTAATTTTCCAAAGACTATAAAACATTACTCTCAGACAAATGTAAAAAGGATACATGTTAAAATGTTAATTCTATTCCTTGATTAGTAAGACGACCAAGATAATGTTAAAACTTGCATAAAAGCATTGGGTAGAAATAGGCACTTTAATAAAGAAATATCACAATAAGAAGTTGGGTTATACAGGATTATTAATGTATGGCAGAAAAATAAAATGTAACCTTTGGCACTATCTAGTTCATTGGATGGAAATCATTTACGTCTTTATTGGACAAAAGTTTATGAGTTAACCTCTGCCCAACAGAGTTGTAAAATAGCCTTATTGACAGTAAGTCAAGCCCAAAACTGCACTGAAAGGAAACTCACTAATCTCTTTGCCTATTTCCAAGTTGTAAATAATTTTTCTCACTTCTAACATCTGGGAATTTGCTTTTTCACTTCTATATCCCCACATCTTTCAACAACAATGAGCAGTTAGTATGCTTTTGTCTTAGTTTATCTCCCAGAAATAGACTTGAAGCAAGAATTTGATTTCCTAAAGTTTGAGAGGTCATCCAGAAAAACTAGTAGGGAAGTGAGGAAATGAGATAGGGAAGAGAAGGAAGCCCAAATGAGTGAAACAATAGGCAGGTTATCAATCCAGAAGATGGGAGTTTAGTTCCCTGGAGCAATGTGAGAGTCAGCGCAGAAAATAGCTCTGAATTATTCCAGCTAGAGAATGAAGGACCTATGGTGTTTATTTACCAAATCTTTGACTATAATCCACTGAGGCCTGCTCCTAGAAATGTTACCTTTATTTTATGTCTAGTTTTCCCTGAGTGAAGGCTGATATGTTTCTCAGGCAAAACTAAACACAAAACAGCAAAAACAAACAAACAAACAAAAAACAAAAACCTTCCATCAGAGGGTTCAGGTATTTTCACTAAGCAGCTTTCGGCAGTTGGGTCCCAAGGGGAAATGGGTGGGGCATTGACAATATCTGATATGGTGTTCCATATAGAAAAAGTACAATTGAAGGAATAAATGAATGAAATGTTTCTAAGGATTTTGTAATTGGGACACCACAGGAAGTGATATGAAGATCTTGGAAACCTATCAGCTTTCTTGCCTAGTTGACAGAGCAGAACAAAACTTTAGGGTCTGGTACCAGAGAGACTAGGTTTATGTCATTCTAGCTATATGAGCTGGGTCAGGTGACTTAACTTCTCGAAAATTCAATTTTCTAACCTCTAAAAATTGAGATAATCTTTTATGTTTTGCAATTGGGGAAGAGGACTCAAACTATTTTAGATAAAAAGCATTTTCTAAGATCATCCAACTTACTTGTTTGGTTTAACAAGAGATGCAGTGATCATAGTTTGATCATCATTGTTTTTCAATGTAAATATGCTTCTAATGAAAAACTCTCAGATCACTAAGAGTATTATGTTTCTAGTTAAAGTTATGTGCTTTATAGGTTAATTTTCAAAATGCGACTTTTGTTTTATTCATACGTTTCTATGGGTCAGTGAGACTGATGAAATTGCAATGTTGAGGATAAGAGCAGAACTTTCTTAAATGCCACCCTGTGAGGACTTTTCAGAGACAGCTGATCGCTTCTGTCTTTTGTCTTCATGCAAAGCATCGCCAATAAATTCATGTGCCCCAAAGACATGGGATATTCCCAATTTAGAAATGAATGGAAGAAGGGAATATGTAAGAATTCTGAGGAAAATATATTAAAAAATACCAGTATCTCACCTGAAATAAGAAAAGTTGGACTCAGTAATTTGGACTTTCTTGTTTTCAGTGTAAACTGGAGGAAGGAAGAAAAATAATAAAAATTCATAAGTAATTTCTAGCGGGAAAGGCAGAGCCTCTGAGGAAGGGAGGGTAAGAAGAGAAGAGAACCTAAAGTCTTAGTTTTAGATGATCTCCTCTGAGACGAATTATTCTGTGTGCAAGCGATTAATAAAATATAAAGACAATAGATATACATTTTCAAATATTCAAGAACCCATAACCTAATAAACCCTGGGACTATCCTGGATAACATGAATAAACAAAAGAAGCAAAACCAACAAACTACAAAGTAACCATAATCATGGTCTAATGGAACAATGGTGATCTTTGGATCTGTTTAAATGGAGCCCTCAGTCTAAATACAGGTAAATATTATTACAAAACTATATACTATAAATCTAGACAATTTAAAAATACTAAATAAAATTAAAACTCTGTATATGAAAAACTGAAAGAGAGGAGAAAGATAAAGACAGTAATTTTCTCATCTGGTTTAGTAGAATATAGATATTACCTAAGGTGAAAAAGTCAAGAAATATAGGTTAGTTATGCTATTTGAAGTCATCAACAAAATAAGAGAATGAAAATCCCTCTCATTAGAATGGGAAGCCATATTACCTAAAAAAAAAAAAAAAAGAAATAGAGTTTCATATATATTAAATAAAATTTTAAAGGTAACTACTATAAAATGGAATCAAAATAAATAATATGATGATCTGAATTACCATTAGAAAAATCACCCAGCTACAGGACAAAAGGAATTTTGTCTGCTGGGTTCACTCTTATCATCTCAGCTCGTAGAATATTGCCATCTGTAAATAGTAGCCACTTAAATATATAATGAGTGTATCAACAAGAAAAAAACAGGATCAATACAGTTACCAAATATGGAAATAAAATAAAGTTTTAAAATCAGAGAATATAAAATAAAATGCTGAAATTAAAAGTCAAGACACATCTCTTATAACAAGACATATAAATAGAATAAACCCACCTCCTAAAAGTAGTCTCATGTGGAGTCAAAAATCAAAACCTAAGGATATTTTGTCTCACTATGAAGATGTCTAAAACAAAAACCTTAAAAATATTACAAGTGAAAAGAAGTTCATAGCTTGAATATGGACGAGAAGGGAGGAAAATAAGAAAAATTAGAGATAACACATAGTTTGTTGTTATGATGGTTAATTGTGGTATATATATTTAGATGTGAAGATGTTTTTAAAAAGTAGGTTCAGGGAGTAAGGGAGAATTTGGATAACTTTATCCACCTTAATTTTGAGATTCTACTAGATACCTAAGCGGAGATATAAAGTAGGAATTATAAAATGTAAGTCTGGATTTCTGGAGATAAGCCAGTGATTTAAATATAAATTTGGAAATCATTAACAAATATATGACACCTTAGACATTTTGAGCTAATATAATAAGATACTATAGGTTGGAGAACTTATAAATATCACAAATCTATTTCTCACAGTTCTGGACGCTGGAAGTTCGAGATCAAGCATTCTGGAGCATGTTCTCTTCTGTGTTGCAGACTGCTGACTTCTTGTTGTGTCCTCAAATGGGAAAAAGAGGGCTAGAGAGCTCTCTGGGTTCTCTTCTATCAGGGCACAATCCCTTTCATGAGGGCTCTACCGTCATAACTCCATTGCCTGCAAAAGGCCTTACCTCCTAATACCATCACATTGGAGGTTAAGATTTCAATATATGAATTTTGGGTGAACACAAACATTCAGCCCATTGCATATGATATTCAAAGTCACGAATTAGCTAAGCTCACCCAGCAAAAGTGTGTATACAGAGATGTTCAGTATGGAGTAATTCCAGATTTAAAGCTTCAACAGAAGAGAAGGAGCCAGGAAAGGAGTTTAAGAAGGGAGAGTCCATAGAGATACATGGAAAAGCAAAAGTGTGCAATTTTCTGAATTACTCAGACCTTCATCTCTGCCACTTTACCATGTCCATTCATTTTAACATCACTAATGATGGTTAGGTTGCCAAATCTAAAGGTTTCTTCTCATTTATACTTGATATTGCAGCAACATTTAACAGGGATGACCATACTTACCTTCTGAAAACACTTTCTTCTTGTAGTATCTGGAAAACAAGATCCCCAGGGAGTGACATTTCTCTCTGAAGGAAGATCCAGAGGTTAAAGATGCTGCTCAGTTCCCTTAGAAGATAGCCTGCATCCCTATTCCTTGAGTCACTCCCAAGAAGAGAAAGTAACCCCAGAGGTGTTGAACAGATGGCTAAAGTTGTGCAGAATTGGTGATGCCTGGCATTTAATTAGAGGCGTTGATCGAGGAATTCCTGTTATAACCTCCAGGGAAGGATTCCCATTCCACAGAAGCAGCATACCCAGGATGCCAATCCACATCATGGTTCAGGGTCAATAAGAAAGATAGAACTCACACATGCACTGGATGGAACATGGCTTTACCCACATAGAGGAGACAGAACAAGATTAGCTTCAATAGTGGGTGCCAATCCTTGTGGCTCAGGGGGTTGTATTGCAGCCAATGCACACTGATTAACTACATGCACTCCTCTTGTTCTGCAAGTGAAGGAACCTATTTCCTCCCGCAGCTAAGAATGGGTTATGGTGGTAGAGTTGGCCTGGTATCACGTGAAGCAAATGCTTAAATAGAAAGACAAAGTTATTATTGGATCTGAAACAGGCAAATATATTCCCACACAAAGTTATAATCCCAGCACAGGCTTTGAGGTCTCCCTATCTCTTGGTTAGGAAGCATTCCAGGCCCAAAGCCCATTCTTATGTTGCAGAGCAGAATTGAAAGATTGCAGGCATGTGACTGCCTTTCCCGGCAAGAAAGTTGGAGATAGCACTTCTCAAACCTCTGAATCTTCTTCCCTATTATGTACCAAGGTAAGGACTTCACTCAGGAACATCCTTGAAGTGTCCTCCTAGCTCCGTGGCTTCCCCATGGATGACTAGCTGAGGATTTTGTGGCTGCTGTATTGCAGCTCAACTTCTCCCCATGCCCTCTCTTACTTCCTTCCCTTGTCTATGTGAGTTGTTCTAGAAAGCATTGCCCAATAAACCTCCCCCATGCAAACTCCACCAGAGCCCATTTCCCAGAGAATGAACCTAAGGCAGATTTGATGTGATTGGTTTTCTCATGGAAACCAGTACAAGGAAAGGGAGCCTTCTTCATTCTCATGATACTGGGCTCATTTTTATACAGAACTGATGAAATAGGATCATGTAGAAGGAGAAAAGCACAAGGAAATAATATATGGAAATATGTCTTTGTTTAGAGTCTTTTTTTTCTGAAGTCAAACTGCCTGGGTGACCATCCCAATTTTACCAACCACAGGTTGTGTGAAATTGGAAAAATTACTTTACCTCCCTCTGCCTTGGGTTTCTCATGTGGAAATTGGGAACAATGATAGTATTTTCTTCATAAGGTTGCTATGAAGATTAAATTAGTTAATACATGTAAAAGTGCTTAGCATAGCCTTACATTTAGTAAGTGCTGTGTAAGTATTGTTTCTTATATATATATATGTACATATATATGTGTGTATATATATATATATACGTATATATATATATGCACAACATGCAGGTTTGTTACATATGTATACATGTGCCATTTGGTGTGCTGCACCCATTAACTGGTCATTTACATTAGGTACATCTCGTAATGCTATCCCTCCCCTGCTCCCCCCACCCCACAACAGGCCCCGGTGTGTGATGTTCCCCTTCCTGTGTCCATGTGTTCTCATTGTTCAATTTCCACCTGTGAGTGAGAACATGTGGTGTTTGGTTTTTTGTCCTTGCTATAGTTTGCTGAGAATGATGGTTTCCAGCTTCATCCATGTCCCTAAAAAGGACATGAACTCATCATTTTTTATGGCTGCATAGTATTCCATGGTGTATATGTGCCACATTTTCTTAATCCAGTCTATCATTGTTGGACATTTGGGTTGGTTCCAAGTCTTTGCTATTGTGAGTAGTGCTACAATAAACATATGTGTGCATGTGTCTTTATAGCAGCATGATTTATATTCCTTTGGGTATATACCCAGTAATGGGATGACTGGGTCAAATGGTATTTCTAGGTCTAGATCCCTGAGGAATCACCACACTGTCTTCCACAGGAAATACAGTATTGTTTCTATAGTTGAAATCTTGAAGAGTGTTCTAGATAGTTTAGGCTCTGCAAATAAGTTCAGGCCAAATTCAGCCATCTCTGAGGAGCAGACACTACTAGTGGCAAATGTGTTATATACTATCATTATACTTATGTCATACATTTATTTAACATAAGATTTCATTTAATTGCTGACAGTCCTCTCTCTTCTTCCCTTGTTCTATTTTCTATCACATACTGCCAAATTTAAGAGAATGCATATTTGTTCTATAGCATGCAATGACTAAACAATAAAGGCAGCACTGGAAAATGTCTGTGCCTTAGCATTAGAAAAAAATAGTGTAAATCCTGGCTCTGCCATGCAACAACTGCATTACATAAGGGTGGGCAAACCACTTAACTGCCCTGGTCTTCATTTTTCTCAGCATAAAATAGATATAAATGCTTTTTCATAAGGCTGAGTCTAATACAGTGACTGACACGTATTAAGTGCTATTACTATTATTTTAGATAAGTCTTTCCACTGAGAATTCTTTCAGTCCATGACTTCAAGGAATTCTTACTCATTGGGTCTTATTTTTACCTTCTGAAAATTTTGCTAATCAAAATCATCAGCAACAGTAGATACTATTTTCATTATTAGTATAATTGCTAAAATTTATAGAGTACTTACTGTATACCAGAACCTAGTTAGAGATTTGTATGCTTTATAATACCAGACATTAAATCATTTGCATGTTTTAATTTATTTACTTTTTACAACAAAGTTATTGAATAGACCATCTCAGTTTCCCATATTGGATTAAGTAATTTTTCTAAGATTATACAGCTTATAGCATACAGATGCTTGGAAAAATACGTTGGTTGCTTACTTGTAATGTAGTTTCCTTTCATCCTGGATCCTCAGTGGATTCACAATGAAGAATGATACTGTCTTTCAGTGGCCCACACTTGATTTTCTCCCTTTGATATTTGTGGGTGGTTCTTTCTCTACAACTAATCTCAGCTTATGGCATGTCCAAAAAGCAGGATCATAGGTTTCTATCTCTCCACAAATCAAACAATCAACAGCCTGATTCTTAGACAGAATGGTGTAGAGGACAAAATAGTAGTCTAGGTTGTAGGTTCTCATTTATAGTGAGAGTGTATAAAGAGGACGCAATATCTCTGTAAGCCTCACTTTATCTCATTTGGGAAATAAAATAATTTTTATATAATCAAAGAAGTAAGTGTTCCCAGGGCTAATGTTTTATTTTGACTTTATATTTCTCCTTAAGTCCCTTAGCTTATTCTTGATCACCAAACTTCAGGAAATCCTACTTTTATTCTTTTCCTCCTACCTCTTCCCCCTCCTACCTCTTCCCCCTCCTACCTCTTCCCCCTCCTCTCCATAGAACAAATAAATTGGGGTCTACTCTATAAGTGCTTTTTATTCACAAGGAGTATGGACCCAAAATTAACATTTAACACTTACTAGCCATAGTTAATAACTTCTATTTTTATTTCTGTAGAAATATAATGGACAGATGTATATCTGCTTTAATTTTTTTTAATTTGCATAAATAACTTTTAATCTAAAATTAATATCACCTGCTAACAAGCTGTTAAATATTCTTTTAAGTTATGGGGCAAATTGTTACTAAAACAAGGGAGACAAAATTTAAGCAGAAAATTGAAGAGGATTTTTTATATTGCATTATTCCAACAGGTTTAGCAAAATTCCTTCTGTGACCTGACTTGACCTAGAATTATCAGCACTTCATTTACCACCACTGAGTTGTCTTTACTAAAATTCTCTGCCAGGAGCATGTTTCCCTTGAAGAATAATTCGTTCTTGAGGGAGTTTTTTCCTTTAATTGTACAAACTCTTTTCATCTATCTCTATTCCCATGACACATCCTACAAATGTAAATTTCATAGTGTCGTATTTTGCATCAAGTAACAAAAGCAGTATTAATGGAAATTATTAAAGAAAGTACATCTATTCAGTAAATATGAATTGAATACCTATTAAGAGCGAATCATTCTGCTGGTTACAAGTGATACAAACATGCAAAAGGCGTTATCACTGAGGAGCTCATGAACTATTAGGAGAGTTAAATACACAAAGAGGCTTGTTTTTCATTGAAACCAGATAACTCCAGAGTGACACTAGGTTCAGAGTTCTGAGAAGGATGAAGAAAGGGAGCTTGGTATAGCATAAGCAGATTGGGGCCAAGAAATTCTTCTAGAAAATTATTAATGCTAAGCTGTTGAAAACAAGAGAGAAAGAAACAAAGGTAAACATTAAGAGGGAAAGAAGGAGAGAAAAAGGACAGAGACAGTGAGGGAGAGAGAGATAGAGAGAGAGAGATCTAATATATTGCGTGAGGAGAAACTAGTTAACATAGTCCAAACAGGACTTTAGCAACATCATAGGTCATAAAATTTAAACTAACAAAAATAACTCTTGTTATCATTACTATTTGGTACTACGAAAAGAAAACAATTATGTCTTTCAGTTGATGGTTTTCAGTAACATGATTATAGTTAACCTCAACCTCAAACTCCTGGGCTCAAGGGATCCTCCTACGTCAGACTCCCAAGCTGCTAGGACTAAAGGTGCATGCCACCATGCTCAGCTATTTTTTTTTTTTAATATTTTGTAGAGATGGGGTCTTGCTATGTTTCCCAGGCTGGTCTTGAGCCCCTGGCCTCAAGTGATTCTTCCACCTTGGCTTCTCAAAGTGCTGGGATTAACTGGCATAAGCCACTGCACCCAGCATTGTTGTGACCATTAATATGATTAGGAATAATTCTATTTGTTTCTATATGTCTTGTCTGTTTTTTGCTATTGATTTTTCTGCCACTTTTTGTATTAAATACATTTTATAATCTATTTTATCTCCTTTGATGTCTTTTTCTTTGAGATGGAGTTTCGCTCTTGTTGCCCAGGCTGGAGTGCAATGGCATGATCTCGGCTCACTGCAACCTCTACCTCCCAGGTTCAAGTGATTCTCCTGCCTCAGCCTCCCGAAAACGCCTGGCTAATTTTTTTTTTTTAAAGAGAGATGGGGTTTCTCCCTGTTGGCCAGGCTGGTCTCAAACTCCTGACCTCAGGTGATACGCCTGCCTCAGCTTCCCAAAGTGCTGGGATTAAAGTTGTGAGCCACCACGTCTGGTCCCTTGATGGCTTTTTAACTTTTTGTTTTGTTACTACAGTGGTTATTTAAGTATTTTATATCTTTAACTTACCATAATCTGCATTCAGTGATATTATAACATTTGATGTATTACAGAATATAGGAATCTTAAAATAGTATGCTTTCATATTTTTCCTTTCATAAGTTTTACTTTTATTTACAATATAAATACTATACTATACTGTTATTGTTTATGTTTAAGCAATGAGCCCTCTGAAAACATCTTTATATTAAAAAAAGTGCTCAATATTTCAGGGATGAAGTAATAAAAGAATGAATGAAAAGACAACATTTTAATTTTTAAATTAATATTGTTTTTGTGCTCTTCCTCTTAGTATTCTGAAGAATTTGATAGACACATTTTGAACATATTAAATGCAAATACAAGAACTATTTTGATATACTTTTTGTTAGTTATTTCATCAATGTCAGTTTTGGGACAGTTTTGAGTGATTTTTTTTCTCCTCAATATGGGTCATATTATCTGCTCCTTTTGCATTATCTGATAAACCCTAATTAGATGCCAGGCATTGTGAAGTTACCTTGTTGGATGCTGAATAGTTCTGTATTTCTAAATGTGTACTTTTGAGCTTTGTCCTGGGATGCAGTTGAGTTACATGGTAAGAGTTTGATCCTTTGGGTTTTTTAATCTTTGTTTGGTGAGATGAGAGGAGCATTTAACTGAGGCATAATTATTCCTCATTCCTGAGGCTAACCACTTCTTATATTCTAACCAAAAGCTGTAAATTATGACATTTTCCATGATGCCTTTTTGGACCATCCACTGTTCCCAGATCTGTATGCTCCCTGGGTACTATTTTCTCTAATTCATTTGATGGTGTCTTCCCCTACTTAGGATAGCATCCTCAAATGCATATACTGATTAGAGTTTGCTGATTTTTTGACTGGACTCTCTATAGATCTATAGAATTGTCTCTCTGTTATGTTTACTTCTTTTCAGTCCTGTCAACTGCAGCTTCCAGGGTCTACCCTGTCTCTTAGCTTGTCTCTTCAACAAGTCTGCTTAGTGCTGTCTGGGTTCCCTCTCCCTGAGCCATTCCCTAGAAATTCTTCAAAGCAGTAATCTGGGGCAACTGTAGGGCTCCCTTCAATTATCCTATCTTGTGATGTTCTGATATAGTGGTGTCATCTAATATGCCATAATTTTACTTTTTATTCAATAATGTAACTTTTAGTTCTTTCCATGTTGGTATATGTGGAACTAGCTCATTTTTAAGTCTCTGCATACTTTTGCATAATTTGAACATAATATAGTTAATTTTTCTATTTTTTTGATAAACAATCTGATTTTCCCCAATACTTTACTATTGTAAATTAGATATGGTGAATACTTATACATGTTACCTTTACATCTGTATGTATGTGAATGTATATGTGTGTATCCAATTATTTCTCTAGGATAGATAATAATGAGTGACATTCAAATTTTATACAGTTGAATCATCCTTCATGGAGGTTGTGCCAATTACACTATCCCAAAAGAATATAGAGGCACCATTACCTCACAGATTCATCCCCAATTGATATAAAAAAGGATTAAAACTTCAGTTAAACTTAGGCAAAAAAATTTGTCTTTCCTCTTTTTCTCTACAAGAAAACATCTGTTTATACAGTTGCTCATTTTCAATTGAGATGTTTGTTTCCTTACTATTTACAAAAGGTTACATGCATACACATATATATACCCATTCACACATATATATGTGTGTGTACGTATGTGTGTGTATGGGTATATATATATATATATATATATATACACACACACATGCACACACACACATATATATGTGTATGGGTATATATATATACACACACACACATATACGTGTATGGGTATATATATATATACACACACACACATATATATACACATATATGTATACACACACTGTATATGCATATACAGATATATACAGAAACAAGATATAAAATAATTTTAAATTATGTAATATCTCTATATTGCTAAAAATGTGTGTGAAAATTATTAAATCCCACAAAAATTTTCATTCAGGGTTTCACTTTTTGTGTCTGATGTAAGAAGATTTTTCTCACTTGAGTTCATAAACATATAAAGATATTTTCTTCTTATATTATTTATGTTTAAAATTATAGTTTAAATTTTGGATACACCATAATTCATTTTTGTGAAAAGTGTGAGTTAGTATTCAATTTTTTTTTCAACGTATAGGCAATTGACTCAATGCAATTAATTGAGGCCAAAGTGGGCAGATCACTTGAGGTCAGGAGTTTGAGACCAGTCTGGCCAACATAGTGAAACCCTGTCTCTACTAAGAATACAAAAATTAGCTAGGTGTGGTGGCGTGCACCTGTAGTCCCAGCTTCTTGGGAGGCTGAGGCAGGAGAATTGCTTGAACCTGGGAGGCAGAGGTTGGGTGAGCCGAGATCACGCCACTGCACTCCAGTGAGACTCTGAGATTCTGTCTCAAAAAAAAAAAAAAAAAAGAAAGAAAGAAAGAAAGAAATTGAATAAGTCATCCTTTTCCCACTGATGTGAAATGTTCCCTTTATGTACTATCATAATAGACACAGCCATAGTTTTTGAAGGTTTTTATTTATGTTCTCTCAGTTTATTCTAGCTGTGGTCTGTGAAGTAAGCTCGGTAGGTAGTATTAGTTCCTCCCTTTTTTTGTGTGAAGAAACTGAGACTTGGAATTTTTACTCAAGATGAAGAAGCTCTCAAGAAATTGAGCAAATATTAAAACTCCAGGCTTTGGACTTAAAAATCTTATGCCAGTTTCTTTATCTCCAGAGTCCCACCCAGTTTGTTTCTCTCAACTCTTGATTCAATGTGACTTTTAAACAGCTTCAAGATATAGACAGAGCAGTTCTACTTCCTCTGCTGAAAGTAACTAATCTCAGATAAATTTTGATCTCAGATAACTCACACACTTGGCAATGTGTCAAAAACCCCAAATTACTCTTTGGATTCCACTCCTCAATTTTTAGGGGGTGGGGACACAGGCGTAAATCATTTTACTCAATTCTCAGGATTATACACACAAATTAGATAAGTATAACTTGGGCTTATTTTATGCACGTTGTAGATTCCTTTTCTGTGCAGGTTTATGGATCTTGAAAGATACAGCTGAAAGAAGTTGCAAGAAAGAACAAATCCATTTAAATGCCTCTTAAGAACACAGTCCCAAAAGCTTTTTATCCTTAATGAAAGTGCACCTGTAAATGACTGTGCATCACCATCCATTTTCACCCACATGTGGCTGATGAGTAACTGAAATGGGGGTTGATTAAAAAATAAAAGCAAAGCAATTATAAGGACTGAGACACAAAGATCAACAGCCATTATCAGTCAGAGGAAATGGTGTGCTCAAAGAGTTTTACTTTTCAACTAGTTTCAATCTACTTTAGGCTATGAAATGATAATCCCTGCTTATTTTTTTTTTCCAGCAAATGCGAACAATGTCACTTCTGTTTACAGACGAGTAGGTTTCAATCTTGAAATGTTTATTCTCTGCCTCTATTATAGAAAGAAAAAGATTTTCTTAGCTTGCCTCTGGGAAAGCAATATTGTCTGCATTTGTATTTTGAACTACACTAAGGGAAGAAGCATTGAAATGGGGAATTACTCTACGTGTCTGATTGAATTGAAGCTCTGAGAGACCACAAAGCAGGTTTCATGGTAATAATAATAATGAAAAAAAGCAAGCAAGCAAGCAAAAGAGATTATATACTTCTCCAATGTGGGAAAAAGGTAACATACAGGACGTAAAATGTATGGACAAATTGTCAACATCACTTGGTACTTTTCTACTTCAATCACTATTCTTAAGGACAATCTTAAGGACAGGCATCTTGATATTGATAAAAACAGAATTCTGGCAAACAAATAGACCAAGCTTGAGTTTTCTTAGCTTGCAAAAGTGAGTCTATGGTTAAATAGTTTCACATTTGTCAGAATCTAGCCAGATTATTTGCTTAAATGCTTTTTATAGGTGGATTTTGGGTAGTATGGAATGTGTGTTTGCAAAAGGAAATAATATTTAATAGTTTATATTTTTATTAACTATTTCATACTCATTTTTAAATATTGTTAAGCTATAAGGGAAATAAAATTAAATGTATGATATTGCCTTTCAGAAATGTTGTGTATATTATGACAAAATTATTTTAAGTCAGTTTTTAACACTGAGTTTCTTGGTATTCTATAGTCAGAACAAGCTGTGTACAATGATACACCTGGTTCGTTTTACTTCATTTTATGATATACACATTCAGTATAACTTTTTGCAAACTACTTTTTATAAATATGCAAAACTTTTCAATGGCATTGTAGTTTCTATCAAGAGGTTCTGCTGTAATTTATTGAGTCCTCATATGGGGAAATTTAGTTATTTTTAAGTATATCTTAAAATTATAAATAGTCCTACAGTAAACTTATCTATTAATTAAAACATAAAGCATAAGAGATAAAATTACTGGCAAGAGGGCATCGTTAAGGTCCTTGATAAAAAAAAAAGTGGCCATTGATTTTCATTACATTTGCTACAGCAGTGGTGGAATCCACCATGGTCTTGTTCATGTAACAAGCATAGAACAGTTTTCCAGTTTAGCCCAGACGCCTACTCTCGTGCATACTCAGAAGACTCCATTACTAAAGAAATACAGTGATAGGAGGGCTGATGCTTTGGTCTTTCAAACTAATGGGGAAAAATGATAACAGTAATCACAGTATGGGAAGCCAAAATTTTAACTTTCCAAGACTCATGCTTTTTCAGAGAAGAAAATAACCTAAAACAAAATAAAAACTCAAACACTACAACAATATGTAGTTTACACATACATTGCATCAGTTGCATGGGCATATGTATATATAGTCTAGGATACATGCCATCTCCCTCTTTCTCTCTCTCTCACACACCTTTGCCCCCTGCCCCTTGTGTTCTATGTCCTTTACTAATTATTATTTACATTCTATATGTTTCAATCCAATTTAAATTTTAGTATTAATCTTATTTTAATTTTATTTTTATTATTATTTTTTTCTTTTTTTCTTTTTTTATTATTATTATACTTTAAGTTTTAGGGTACATGTGCACAATGTGCAGGTTGGTTACATCTGTATACATGTGCCATGCTGGTGTGCTGCACCCATTAACTCGTCATTTAGCATTAGGTATATCTCCTAATGCTATCCCTCCCCCCTCCCCCCACCCCACAACAGTCCCCAGAGTGTGATGTTCCCCTTCCTGTGTCCATGTGTTCTCATTGTTCAGTTCCCATCTATGAGTGAGAACATGCGGTGTTTGGTTTTTTGTCCTTGCGATAGTTTGCTGAGAATGATGATTTCCAATTTCATCCATGTCCCTACAAAGGACGTGAACTCATCATTTTTTATGGCTGCATAGTATTCTATGGTGTATATGTGCCACATTTTCTTAATACAGTCTATCATTGTTGGATATTTGGGTTGGTTCCAAGTCTTTGCTATTGTGAATAGTGCCACAATAAACATACGTGTGCATGTGTCTTTATAGCGGCATGATTTATAGTCCTTTGGGTATATACCCAGTAATGGGATGGCTGAGTCAAATGGTATTTCTAGCTCTAGATCCCTGAGGAATCGCCACACTGTCTTCCACAATGGTTGAACTAGTTTACAGTCCCACCAACAGTGTAAAAGTGTTCCTATTTCTCCACATCCTCTCCAGCACCTGTTGTTTCCTGACTTTTTAATGATTGCCATTCTAACTGGTGTGAGATGGTATCTCATTGTGGTTTTCATCTTATTTTAATTTTAAATTTAGTTTTGCTCCAGAAAAGAATGAGAGATTCTTTTCACAGGAAGATTTTTTTATTTGTGAGGGGCAGTCTTAGAGAGAACTCCATCCTCCCAAGAGTAATGGAAATAATTTCAGAGTAAAAAACATGCGATATAAAACACTTCATCATAGTACTCATCTGGTAATTAATCAGGACCTATTATTGACTTTAATAGCATTCTTTAAAATGAATAACTGGTATCAAGACAGCATGTAGATGCACCCCAAAGTGCAAAAATAAGAATTCATTTAATAACAAATTTCCATGAACATTTCCTCCCGAATTGCTAAAGGTGGGGACAGCATTTCCATTTGTGATTTACAATTCTGCTACATTGTGAGTGTTCAACCAGCAGAAAATTATAATTGTCAGGATGAAAATCCTCTTTATTACAATTATGTGATGTAAATGTAAGTGGCTTGGGTTTTTTAAAAAAATGTTTATATCCACAAAACTTCTCATGAATCTAAATATAATTCTATTTTTTCAAAATGGAATGTTTTATATATCTCCATACAATGAAGTTTCATTCATTTAAGCCATACAAATTTGTTTAAACACTAAATGATCTTTATTTCACCTACATAGATATTTTAAAAAAGCCTAAATACTAAATATTGGGGAATTGGATATATGTCATTCTAAAAATTAATTGTTTTTGGTAAACTATTTTTAGCATGGTGATTACTGACTTCAATTTTTTTGTAGAAAATAAATTTTCATTTGAAAATACAACAAAATCTAAAGTTTAAGAGACTAGTTTGTTGAAATATCACTTACTGATCTTTATTATTTCAACAATGGTAAGAAACCCAGGGTGGCAGGACTTATGTGAAATATATAGAAGTTAGAGAATTTAGCTCCTCACTTAGAAAGTGTTCCAGAGAGCTGCTTCTGTCTTTATTAGTAATTAACCCTTAAAAAATCCTTCAGGTTTCTTCACTGTGAATGGTGTGACGTTGAGCAGATTTGACAATCAATACGTCCTAAACTGAAAGTTAGTGCTCCTTATCCACTAAGTTGGCTTCTTCTCCATTGTTCCCGCTCTCAGTCAGCACTCTACACCTGACTGCTCTTGTCTGCAATTTTACAGATATTCCAGGCACCTCTATTTCTCCTTCTTTCTACAGCTAAATGCCATTCTTCCTATTTTTCCTTTCCACAAAGCATTCACATCCATCTACTCCTCTTTATCCTCCAAATCATTCTTCTTGATCAGGACATCTGAATTACTGCAAGCCGCCTGGCTCCAATATTGACTTTTCTCTCTCCTATTTATAAAATGCAATCAGAGCTATTCCTCTAACATGCAAACATGATCATGTCTTCCTGCTTGCAACCATTTAGCAGTTAATTGCAGCTATGAAAATAATATTCAAACTTCTTCACATGGATCATAAAATGCTTCATAATCACTTTCTACCCTGAATGCAACCTCATCGCTGAATTTCACATAGCCACCACCTGCTGATGTCACTTCCTACACAAGCACCTGGGCTCACCCAACTCTTCCAGCTATTCTGAAATTTCACCTTCAAGAATCACACAAACTTTCATATCACTAGATATTTTCACATACTTTTATCTGCAAGAAAAAATTTACTTGTCTTTCCAGAAAAATTCTTATTTCTTATCTTTGACTATCTAATTTTCACTTATCCTTTAGGCTAGTGGATTTCAAAATATTATTGGTCATGACTCATCTTGGAAAATACATTTTACATCAAAACTCAGATCCCTCTAAGACACACACAAATATAACTGGAAAAAGTAGATATATACTGGAAGGAGGAGCCAAGATGGCCGAATAGGAACAGCTCCGGTCTACAGCTCCCAGAGTGAGCGACGCAGAAGACGGGTGATTTCTGCATTTCCATCTGAGGTACCGGGTTCATCTCACTAGGGAGTGCCAGACAGTGGGCGCAGGCCAGTGTGTGCGCGCACCGTGCGCGAGCCGAAGCAGGGCGAGGCATTGCCTCACCTGGGAAGCGCAAGGGGTCAGGGAGTTCCCTTTCCGAGTCAAAGAAAGGGGTGACGGACGCACCTGGAAAATCGGGTCACTCCCACCCGAATATTGCGCTTTTCAGACCGGCTTAAAAAACGGCGCACCACGAGACTATATCCCACACCTGGCTCAGAGGGTCCTACACCCACGGAATCTCGCTGATTGCTAGCACAGCAGTCTGAGATCAAACTGCAAGGCGGCAACGAGGCTGGGTGAGGGGCGCCCGCCATTGCCCAGGCTTGCTTAGGTAAACAAAGCAGCCGGGAAGCTCGAACTGGGTGGAGCCCACCACAGCTCAAGGAGGCCTGCCTGCCTCTGTAGGCTCCACCTCTGGGGGCAGGGCACAGACAAACAAAAAGACAGCAGTAACCTCTGCAGACTTAAGTGTCCCTGTCTGACAGCTTTGAAGAGAGCAGTGGTTCTCCCAGCACGCAGCTGGAGATCTGAGAACGGGCAGACTGCCTCCTCAAGTGGGTCCCTGACCCCTGACCCCCGAGCAGCCTAACTGGGAGGCACCCCCCAGCAGGGGCACACTGACATCTCACACGGCAGGGTATTCCAACAGACCTGCAGCTGAGGGTCCTGTCTGTTAGAAGGAAAACTAACAACCAGAAAGGACATCTACGCCGAAAACCTATCTGTACATCACCATCATCAAAGACCAAAAGTAGATAAAACCACAAAGATGGGGAAAAAACAGAACAGAAAAACTGGAAACTCTAAAACGCAGAGCGCCTCTCCTCCTCCAAAGGAACGCAGTTCCTCACCAGCAACCGAACAAAGCTGGATGGAGAATGATTTTGACGAGCTGAGAGAAGAAGGCTTCAGACGATCAAATTACTCTGAGCTACGGGAGGACATTCAAACCAAAGGCAAAGAAGTTGAAAACTTTGAAAAAAATTTAGAAGAATGTATAACTAGAATAACCAATACAGAGAAGTGCTTAAAGGAGCTGATGGAGCTGAAAACCAAGGCTCGAGAACTACGTGAAGAATGCAGAAGCCTCAGGAGCTGATGCGATCAACTGGAAGAAAGGGTATCAGCAATGGAAGATGAAATGAATGAAATGAAGCGAGAAGGGAAGTTTAGAGAAAAAAGAATAAAAAGAAATGAGCAAAGCCTCCAAGAAATATGGGACTATGTGAAAAGACCAAATCTACGTCTGATTGGTGTACCTGAAAGTGATGTGGAGAATGGAACCAAGTTGGAAAACACTCTGCAGGATATTATCCAGGAGAACTTCCCCAATCTAGCAAGGCAGGCCAACGTTCAGATTCAGGAAATACAGAGAACGCCACAAAGATACTCCTCGAGAAGAGCAACTCCAAGACACATAATTGTCAGATTCACCAAAGTTGAAATGAAGGAAAAAATGTTAAGGGCAGCCAGAGAGAAAGGTCGGGTTACCCTCAAAGGAAAGCCCATCAGACTAACAGCGGATCTCTCGGCAGAAACCCTACAAGCCAGAAGAGAGTGGGGGCCAATATTCAACATTCTTAAAGAAAAGAATTTTCAACCCAGAATTTCATATCCAGCCAAACTAAGCTTCATAAGTGAAGGAGAAATAAAATACTTTATAGACAAGCAAATGCTGAGAGATTTTGTCACCACCAGGCCTGCCCTAAAAGAGCTCCTGAAGGAAGCGCTAAACATGGAAAGGGACAACCGGTACCAGCCGCTGCAAAATCATGCCAAAATGTAAAGACCATTGAGACTAGGAAGAAACTGCATCAACTAATGAGCAAAATCACCAGCTAACATCATAATGACAGGATCAAATTCACACATAACAATATTAACTTTAAATATAAATGGACTAAATTCTGCAATTAAAAGACACAGACTGGCAAGTTGGATAAAGAGTCAAGACCCATCAGTGTGCTGTATTCAGGAAACCCATCTCACGTGCAGAGACACACATAGGCTCAAAATAAGAGGATGGAGGAAGATCTACCAAGCAAATGGAAAACAAAAAAAGGCAGGGGTTGCAATCCTAGTCTCTGATAAAACAGACTTTAAACCAACAAAGATCAAAAGAGACAAAGAAGGCCATTACATAATGGTAAAGGGATCAATTCAACAAGAGGAGCTAACTATCCTAAATATTTATGCACCCAATACAGGAGCACCCAGATTCATAAAGCAAGTCCTGAGTGACCTACAAAGAGACTTAGACTCCCACACATTAATAATGGGAGACTTTAACACCCCACTGTCAACATTAGACAGATCAACGAGACAGAAAGTCAACAAGGATACCCAGGAATTGAACTCAGCTCTGCACCAAGCGGACCTAATAGACATCTACAGAACTCTCCACCCCAAATCAACAGAATATACATTTTTTTCAGCACCACACCACACCTATTCCAAAATTGACCACATAGTTGGAAGTAAAACTCTCCTCAGCAAATGTAAAAGAACAGAAATTATAACAAACTATCTCTCAGACCACAGTGCAATCAAACTAGAACTCAGGATTAAGAATCTCACTCAAAGCTGCTCAACTACATGGAAACTGAACAACCTGCTCCTGAATGACTACTGGGTACATAACAAAATGAAGGCAGAAATAAAGATGTTCTTTGAAACCAATGAGAACAAAGACACCACATACCAGAATCTCTGGGACGCATTCAAAGCAGTGTGTAGAGGGAAATTTATAGCACTAAATGCCTACAAGAGAAAGCAGGAAAGATCCAAAATTGACACCCTAACATCTCAATTAAAAGAACTAGAAAAGCAAGAGCAAACACATTCAAAAGCTAGCAGAAGGCAAGAAATAACTAAAATCAGAGCAGAACTGAAGGAAATAGAGACACAAAAAACCCTTCAAAAAATCAATGAATCCAGGAGCTGGTTTTTTGAAAGGATCAACAAAATTGATAGACCGCTAGCAAGACTAATAAAGAAAAAAAGAGAGAAGAATCAAATAGACACAATAAAAAATGATAAAGGGGATATCACCACCAATCCCACAGAAATACAAACTACCATCAGAGAATACTACAAACACCTCTATGCAAATAAACTAGAAAATCTGGAAGAAATGGATACATTCCTCGACACATACACTCTCCCAAGACTAAACCAGGAAGAAGTTGAATCTCTGAATAGACCAATAACAGGCTCTGAAATTGTGGCAATAATCAATAGTTTACCAACCAAAAAGAGTCCAGGACCAGATGGATTCACAGCCGAATTCTACCAGAGGTACAAGGAGGAACTGGTACCATTCCTTCTGAAACTATTCCAATCAATAGAAAAAGAGGGAATCCTCCCTAACTCATTTTATGAGGCCAGCATCATTCTGATACCAAAGCCGGGCAGAGACACAACCAAAAAAGAGAATTTTAGACCAATATCCTTGATGAACATTGATGCAAAAATCCTCAATAAAATACTGGCAAACCGAATCCAGCAGCACATCAAAAAGGTTATCCACCATGATCAAGTGGGCTTCATCCCTGGGATGCAAGGCTGGTTCAATATACGCAAATCAATAAATGTAATCCAGCATATAAACAGAGCCAAAGACAAAAACCACATGATTATCTCAATAGATGCAGAAAAAGCCTTTGACAAAATTCAACAACCCTTCATGCTAAAAACTCTCAATAAATTAGGTATTGATGGGACGTATTTCAAAATAATAAGAGCTATCTATGACAAACCCACAGCCAATATCATACTGAATGGGCAAAAACTGGAAGCATTCCCTTTGAAAACTGGCACAAGACAGGGATGCCCTCTCTCACTGCTCCTATTCAACATAGTGTTGGAAGTTCTGGCCAGGGCAATCAGGCAGGAGAAGGAAATAAAGGGTATTCAATTAGGAAAAGAGGAAGTCAAATTGTCCCTGTTTGCAGATGACATGATTGTTTATCTAGAAAACCCCATTGTCTCAGCCCAAAATCTCCTTAAGCTGATAAGCAACTTCAGCAAAGTCTCAGGATACAAAATCAATGTACAAAAATCACAAGCATTCTTATACACCAACAACAGACAAACAGAGAGCCAAATCATGAGTGAACTCCCATTCACAATTGCTTCAAAGAGAATAAAATACCTAGGAATCCAACTTACAAGGGATGTGAAGGACCTCTTCAAGGAGAGCTACAAACCACTGCTCAAGGAAATAAAAGAGGACACAAACAAATGGAAGAACATTCCATGCTCATGGGTAGGAAGAATCAATATCATGAAAATGGCCATACTGCCCAAGGTAATTTACAGATTCAATGCCATCCCCATCAAACTACCAATGACTTTCTTCACAGAATTGGAAAAAACTACTTTAAAGTTCATATGGAACCAAAAAAGAGCCCGCATCGCCAAGTCAATCCTAAGCCAAAAGAACAAAGCTGGAGGCATCACACTACCTGACTTCAAACTATACTACAAGGCTACAGTAACCAAAACAGCATGGTACTGGTACCAAAACAGAGATATAGATCAATGGAACAGAACAGAGCCCTCAGAAATAATGCCGCATATCTACAACTATCTGATCTTTGACAAACCTGAGAAAAACAAGCAATGGGGAAAGGATTCCCTATTTAATAAATGGTGCTGGGAAAACTGGCTAGCCATATGTAGAAAGCTGAAACTGGATCCCTTCCTTACACCTTATACAAAAATCAATTCAAGATGGATTAAAGATTTAAACGTTAGACCTAAAACCATAAAAACCCTAGAAGAAAACCTAGGCATTACCATTCAGGACATAGGCGTGGGCAAGGACTTCATGTCCAAAACACCAAAAGCAATGGCAACAAAAGCCAAAATTGACAAATGGGATCTAATTAAACTAAAGAGCTTCTGCACAGCAAAAGAAACTACCATCAGAGTGAACAGGCAACCTACAACATGGGAGAAAATTTTCGCAACCTACTCATCTGACAAAGGGCTAATATCCAGAATCTACAATGAACTCAAACAAATTTACAAGAAAAAAACAAACAACCCCATCAAAAAGTGGGGGAAGGACATGAACAGACACTTCTCAAAAGAAGACATTTATGCAGCCAAAAAACACATGAAAAAATGCTCATCATCACTGGCCATCAGAGAAATGCAAATCAAAACCACTATGAAATATCATCTCACACCAGTTAGAATGGCAATCATTAAAAAGTCAGGAAACAACAGGTGCTGGAGAGGATGTGGAGAAATAGGAACACTTTTACACTGTTGGTTGGACTGTAAACTAGTTCAACCATTGTGGAAGTCAGTGTGGCGATTCCTCAGGGATCTAGAACTAGAAATACCATTTGACCCAGCCATCCCATTACTGGGTATATACCCAAAGGACTATAAATCATGCTGCTATAAAGACACATGCACACGTATGTTTATTGCGGCATTATTCACAATAGCAAAGACTTGGAACCAACCCAAATGTCCAACAATGATAGACTGGATTAAGAAAATGTGGCACATATACACCATGGAATACTATGCAGCCATAAAAAATGATGAGTTCATGTCCTTTGTAGGGACATGGATGAAATTGGAAACCATCATTCTCAGTAAACTATCGCAAGAACAAAAAACCAAACACCGCATATTCCCACTCATAGGTGGGAATTGAACAATGAGATCACATGGACACAGGAAGGGGAATATCACACTCTGGGGACTGTGGTGGGGTCGGGGGAGGGGGGAGGGATAGCATTGGGAGATATACCTAATGCTAGATGACACGTTAGTGGGTGCAGTGCACCAGCATGGCACATGTATACATATGTAACTAACCTGCACAATGTGCACATGTACCCTAAAACTTAAAGTATAATAATAAAAAAAAAAAGTTAAAAAAAAAAAAAAAAAAGAGATAACAAGAAAGAAAAAAAAAAAATATACTGAGCAGACAGAACAGTGGGCATACAGAAAAGATAGTAATTTTAATTGTGATCAATGTAAAATCCTGCAATTAAATACAATTAATAAATATATTCTAGAGGATAAAAAAAAAAAAAAACTGGAAAAAGTACTTCTTGAAACAATACTTACACATTTTATGTGCAATGCAACCTCATAGTTTCTGTTCTTTTCTACTCTATTTGATTTACTAAATTGATCAACCTCAAATTTGAAAACATGAATTAAATATCATTTCCTCTAGGAATCTTCCTTGACCTCATAAACTAGCTCATTGCTCCTGCTCTGTGATTTTACTAGATTTTGCACTTCCTGTATTGTAGCTCTAAATACATTTGGTGTTACGGTTTGTTTACTTTTCTGCCCTTTTAAAGACTGAAAAATGCAGAGACATAGGCTTAGTGTCTATCTTACTATCATGCTTTCTGCATTGAATACAGTACTTGTCTTATGTTAAGTGCTTAAAAATTAAAGTTGAATGATTTGGTAAGTGAAATCTAACCTATTTGAATTAATGACACTAAAAAATAAAGTTGTTGTGTTTGTTCTTGCTGTTGTTTAAATCCTAAGAATCCTACGGATGAATTATTTCAAATATATCTTCAAGAAAAGAAATAAGTACAAGAAAGTTTTAATGAAAAAATTTTAAATGATCATAATGAAGAAAACAGAAAACACATCTTTTTGGCAACTCTCTCTACAAATGGCTATATTTCATCTTGTTTATACTATTGGTTATGGGTTATGAACTGCAAAATCCCAATTTACACTGAGAGGATATCCTGAGAGTAACAGATTATCTCTAGCTATTGTTCCAGTGGAATGTGTCTGGAGAGAAATAAGGCATGTTACTTTATCATTTAAAAGTTAAAACAATTAGTCTTTCTTTTGGTACAAACATTTCAAAAAAGCTACATTCCAAATTGGTGAGTCAGGTAGAAATCAGAGGTTTGCTTATATTTAATTAGGAGAATAAGTATTGCTCTTCACCCAGGCCATGGTGCCATTCTGTATTTTAACGTGACTTGCCAAGATTTTTCACACACATTTGTAACCTTGGTTTTAGCTATGTACAACCCTTTCATAATTTTCAGTAGTGAATTTATTGGGATTAGAAAAGAGAAGCTGGAAATGACTTCAGTGATACTTAAAATATATCTTTTTTGGCAAAAAACAATTTTCTCTCATTATTTTGGTTACTTTAAACACTGATTTATGAGAAATTCAATCCATTTGTTTTTATTTCATATATCACAAAAATGTTGTCACAAAAGAACTTTACAAACAGCCGTTTCCGCTCCCAGTAATATAGTGAAGCTTTGAATAGCCTATATTTTGTGTTAGGATTTTTGCCAAACACCAGGTTCCCAGTCAGATGACTCAGTACAGTGAAATGGATACAGACAAATATTATATGTTCCTTGGAATTATGTAGTATATACACGATATTAACAAAATGTATTTTCATATAAAGAAATAATTTTTGAGAGGGCCAATGTACATGGAAAAACACTAACTAAACAATTCCGTATTTTCAGCTGAAATAATCCTTACCCCATTTGTATTAGGATAATCTCTGCTTCAAGGAAAAGAAAAACTTTAGAGACTTGCCTAACAGAGAAAGGTATTATCTCACATAATTTAGAGAAAACATTTAGAGACAGAAATTTAGAGAAAAATTGGTTTCTAAGTTGTTTAAGAAATTTGATGTCAAATGTGCTTTCTTTCCAGTCCTCAGGTCTGCCATCTTTCTTCCTCAGGATGGTAAAGGTGTGGTTGCAGTGGTCCCTTATGTGACTATGTTTAGAAAAAGAAGAGACATTATAACTTTTTGTGCTCCACTCTTAGTGAGGAGGAAAATTTTTCTAAAGATGCTCTCCATCCCAGCAAACTTGTCATCAAGTCTTATTGGTGGAAACTGGGTTGCATGTTCTTTTTGAACCAAGAGCTGACAAGGAAAATGAGATTGCCTTTTGACCAATAAGGCTTATACTTTGGTTGGAGATGAAGTAGACTTCTTCTAAGGCACATACATAGCTGATTCATGAAGTTGATGAGGATCATTACAGTTTCAAGTAATTAATATTAATTACAAACGGACCATTTTTTGGTAAAGAAAAAAGACTGTAAGTTTCACTAAATTGAGGAAATTATTATCTCTATATATGTTTCTTTCTTCATGCTCAAGCCACATTTTATGCACTGTCAGTGATTAGTTACAAATAAGAAATGAGAACAATTAGTAAGTTGAGAAATAGATTGACAGAGGCACTTGAAGTCCATGGTTTGAAGTTCAGACTTCAATGAAGGACCATTATTAAACTTGATTTGGAGTCAGTTTAGAGTTCTGAAATAGAGTTACATGGAATAAATGCCCGAGTAAGATGATTCTTGCTGCTCTTCCACAAAGTGGCACTGACCATGTTTACCGCTTAGTCTATCTTCAACTTCAGTTGTGGATTTTCATCCCTGATAAGAAACAAGTGAGAATACTTGGACAATGACCTTCTTGATTTCATTTTCCCTTCTCCCACTTGCGTGGCTGAAAGGCAAGTTGAAAATATAAAATGGAGAGTGCTTAGCAGTTATGCTGGAGTGTGGGTTCATTCTGTGCTTTAATAAAAAACTTTAATACATCTTTTAGAATATTTTGAATATTATAGAAATAAAAGCATGTTTCTTTAAAGTAAAAGATAAATATGAATTTCTTCCATACCACTCATCAGTCTTTTGATGGAAACTATACTCCATAAAATAATGGAAAAATAAAACACAGATCTTTAGAAACAGAATGGCTACTCATCTGTAAAATGTGGAGATTTCATCAAATGATCTCTGATCTCTTTCAGGTGTAAAAGTTAATGAGTCCATTCAAGTAGATCTGTTTAAAAGCAGGAAAGAATATTATGTTTCACTTCTCTCACTTTTATTCTATCTAGAAAAACTTTCAATCCAATTTTGGAATTTCTTTTGCTAGACGATTCATGGTTTACATTGAAAGAAAATGGATTTTAGCCCAGTTGGTTTCAGTGAATTAAATTTTACCATAAGAAATGTGAAAAAATACCTGCTTTTTTCAAATTCATAATATTGCCCCAGTTTCCAAAAGATCCAAGTATAAATAGTAATGAATTATATCAGATAAATCATAATTATATTAACATATAGTAAAAGTACATTAACTTATGATTAACCTCCGATGCAATTTGAAATTAAAAACACAAGGTGGCCAAGAGCAGTGGCTCAAGCCTTTAATCCCAGCACTTTGGGAGGCCAAGGCGGGTGGATCACTAGGTCTGGAGATCGGAGATCTAGACCATCGTGGCTAACATGGTGAAACCCCGTCTCTACTAAAAATACAAAAAAAAAAAAAAAAAAAAAAAAATTACCCGGGCGTGGTGGCAGGCGCCTGTAGTCTCGGGAAGCTGAGGCAGGAGAATGGCGTGAACCCGGGAGGCGGAGCTTGCAGTGAGCCGAGATCGGGCTACTGCACTCCAGCCTGGGTGACAGAGTGAGACTCTGCCTCAAAAAAAAAAAAAAGAAACAAGGTGTATTAAGTGAAAATTACTATCCATATTTGTAGCCTCATTGTTCTGGGATGGTTTATGCATGTGTGCACATGCACATGTGTACCTTTACCAGAACTTTTGTAAACGCTTTAATTTTACTTATTCTTTCTTTCATTTTTCACTGTTAAGATACGATAAACTCAAGTCAGAATGACTAAAATATTTTCAAGGACATGCCAAGAGAATTTAAGCAAACAGGGTGGCCAGTAACCAATGGGATTTTCAGTTCACCACTGCAATGGTATTGTACAAACATTGGAAGTATAGAGAACGTATTTTGCCTGGGATTACCTTCTCCTCTTGCTCACCCCAGTAAATTCTTATCTTCAGATTTCTCATTATAAGTCTATTTCTGAAGATTTATTCTTACTTGATCAGATAAGTAACAAAATATCTAACAAAATGTCTTACAAAACCAGTTTTTCTGGCCTATGCTGGGAGATACATTATTACATGAATCAAGTATCATCCAAGTCAGTGTTGCCATATGTCGCATTGGCTACTTAGACTCAAAACAAGAGCAGATTATCTGGCCTCTGTCTCACGCTTCTTCCTGATGCATCTGTTTCTCTTAAATGATGCTGGAGTTATTTTCCTTATGCATATAGCTGCTTAATACTTTCTTTTATTTTACCTGGAATTCAGCATGAGGCGATACTTGGAATGGTTTAAAAACCTATCGTAATTTACACATCTTTCACCCTCCTTTACTCTCCCACAAATTCTATATCCTACATTTTAGCCATGTTCAATGCTTTATTGTTTTCACATGCTCTTCACTCTGCCCTAATTGTTCTTTGCCTCCTCGACCTGTTCACCTTACAAATTCCTCATTCCATTCTTCAGAGCAGCAAATGATAGAAACAAAAGACCAAGAATCAAATGACACAGGTTTTGATTTCTAAGTTTTTACCTATGTGATTAAATCTTGGAAGACTCTTCCTGCTTTCTGAAACTAAGTTTCTTAATGTGTAAAATAGACTTTAAAAGGAAAAGCATTGGAAAATGCTTTCCTTTAAAAGGAAAAGTAAAAAGGAAAAACTAAATACATGTTAATTTTGCTTTCCTTCTCTGATATACTCCAATGATAATAGATCATTCTCTCTTTTTTTTTAAGGCTTTTTATTCAACATCTCTCCTTAGATTTTTGTTACATATGTAGTTTACAGCCAGTTATTGATTTTTCTGATTTCACTGTATATATCGTGAAGAAAAATTTATATCAGACCTGTTTAACTTTTCAATATGTGAGACACTTATCAGGTATTTAATAAATTATTGTTCAATTAAAAATGAATAATATTTAATAATATTTAATAGTTTAATCAAAACATCAATACATACTGATAAATGCAAAACTAAAAGTGGTCAAAATATTTTATTGGTAAATACTAAATTCATTTATATTAGCGTTACTTCAGAGTGTACATTTTTATAAATTAAAAACATTTTTTATGAGTTGCACAAATTTAGGGCGCTAAATATGACTTCAACATCATCTGTTCTCCAAATATCAACTCTTAAACCTTTCAAAACCATTAAAATATACTTTTAAATTCATCCATTTTTTTGGAAAAAATCCTGATTGATATTTCAAAATACTTCTATTGGATTTTATGAAATGGTGCATTGCTTGAATTTATAGTTAATAGATTAAATAGTTCCTAACAAAATGTGATATACCTTTTAAATTATAAACATAGTGCCAAGAGAGTTCTCTGTGCTCTAACATAAGTAAATTATAAAAATGGCAATAAGTATGATTGTTCCCCAAATTAGAGCAAAAATGTTACAAACCTCAAGAAATAACCTTGAAAGTGGCTATTTATTTTTCCATTTATGCCTTCAGGGGACAAATTAAATGCAAGAACTAGACTAATTTTACAATAGCCATAATCTATTATTTTAACTGATGGGGGAAAACACATGATAGAATTTAGCTAAACATCTACAGCCATATTGAGTATAATAATAATAATAATAACAAATGTTTCTGTGTCCGAACTGAAGTTGTGCTCATTATTGAAGAGTGTTCTAAATTACAACACATCTGTTAAATCAACAGATGATCTCCTCTGTTGATATTTCTATGACACAAATTATTTTATCTGGCTTTTGTTTGAATATCAAGCCCATATGATTTTAGGGTCAATTACAATACATTATTCCCATATATGCCATGGCCATCTTATACTGGAGAATTCCTAAACTAACCAGAGCCAGCATCCCTGCTTTTTCAGTGTGGGCTGGGCTTAGTAACAGAAGTCAGGCAGTGCACAGAGGAAAGCAAAATTAAAAAAAAAAAAAATTCCTGACAAATGTCAAGTTTCTGATTTCACTTTCTTTCTAGTTCTGAATATATGCCTGTCCTTGGGCTCCATGAGGCATCCCTGTGTCCTTATCTTATGTCTCCTGTTTCACTTAACCTGTGTCCTGTTGGTTTCTGTTACTTGCCACCAGTCTAACCACTGTGTTCTCTGTGTCAGGTTTAAAGGATTAAAGATAATCTACTTAAAATATTTTCAGGAGTTCTTTGCACATAGTAGATGTTCCTACAAATATAATTGTTTATATATAAGAATGCCAATTGGATTACTATAAAACTACCATGTGAAAAATGTTAAAACTTGGCCAGGCAGTGTGGCTCACACCTATGATCCTAGCAATTTTAGAGGCTGAAGTGGGCAGATCGCTTGAGCCTAGGAGCTTGATACCAGCCTGGGCAACATGGTGAGATCCCATCTCTAAAAAAAAGTACAACAATTAACTGGGCATGGTGGTGTGTGTCTGTAGTCCCACCAGGTAATCTAGCGGCATAGGTGGGAGGATCGCATAAGCCTAGGAAGTCGAGGCTGCCATGAGCCGTGATCACGTTACTGCACTCCAGCCTGGGTGACAGAGCAAGATCCTATCTAAAAAAAAAAGTGTATACATATATATATATATATATATATATATATATATATATATATGATTAAAGAAGTATTGTCAGAAAAAAGAAAAATATTAAAACTGGACTAGAGTCCTGTCTGATAATATTACCAGAAGTGAAACAGACTCTTGGTTACTAGAGGTTCCATGACACCTCAACATTGGTATTTAAACACATGTAGAAAAGCAAATGGCATCTCTACCTAGTATTCTTCATTAACCCTTCTTATCTTGGATAATTCTTCTTTCATATATATGCTGCTGCAAAGTGATTTTATGAAACATGTATAATTCTTTTATATGTCCCTTTGCAGTGTACAAACGGGAAGGAGTATGTTTAGGATTTCAGGTTTCCAGTAATAAAACAGTGAAAGCACATGACTGTGGTGATTCTCTGGGTGTTGCTTCATGCCTTTGCAATCGAAAAAATAAAAAAAGTAAGTCTAAAGGATCTAGTACAGTAGCAAGAAAGTATAACACGTATGCCAGGTGTCATCCAAAAATTATTAAAATTTGATATTAAATGTTGGTTAGAAACCTATTATAGCAAATATTCTTTTAGAAAATGCAGCTTTAAATATGAATGTTAAGGACCCTTAAAGACTTCATAGTCTAAATGAAAACAGATGAGAAAAATAACTAGCGTACAATGTAACGATTCTATAGTAGAGCTGTAGTCACTAGATAATGACAGCATAGATCAAAAGGAATAAATTTGTGGCAGTCAACAGTAAGTTGATTTTTAAATACAAGAGTAGCACATTCCTTACTTGCTACTTTTTAATTGTATGTATATGGTCAGCTCTCTAGGATTCTTGCTTATTGGAAAAAAGGGATACTTTCTGCATAGCACTAATGCCTTCCACTGATATAAAGATAAATACCAAAAATACCAGCTAGAAGTCTTGTTAGAAGTTGTCACAGGGGGAGCAATAATTGGATATGAATGTTCAAGGATTATAGTTTTTAAAATAAATACTTTGTGAAAGTAACCCTTGGTTATCACTAAAATATCAGCAATGATATTGACTTACCACATGGAATAAAAAGTCAATTCATTTTATTTGTTTATCAAAAAAAGTAATTCCAGAAAGTTATAGGGCCCAGTTTGGATTTGCAAATAACAGTACATTTCTATAATCAATATATATCAGGATATTCATGAATGTAAGTCATTGTTGTCTGATTTTTTTAAAAAATGTGATTTGTGAAAAATTTAAAGGTCAGTTATGCTTGTCATTATTTATTTAAAATATTAGAGCCAAGATAACTACAAAGCAGAAGCATTTTGAATAACAGAAGCCGATTGCGAATAAAAAA
Source organism: Homo sapiens (assembly GCF_000001405.40). Taxonomy (NCBI): domain Eukaryota; kingdom Metazoa; phylum Chordata; class Mammalia; order Primates; family Hominidae; genus Homo; species Homo sapiens. The sequence continues at coordinate 90,550,528 of NC_000012.12, forward strand.
CAAATGCGAGATAAAGCAGTTAAACAGTTTCAATCACATTTTGGGAATTTTTCTTAAGTGCTTTTTACTCCTTTTAAAACTAGAGACAGAATTTTTTGTCTCTAGCATTTATTCAGATAAACCAAATTTACCAAACTATCCAAGATTCATCTATAAAGAAGAACATACACAGAATTATGAATTAATGTTTCTCAAGAAAGGAATAGAAAATGCCAAAGTCATTAGAATAGTTTGTGTCCAAAAATTAATGAGATATGAAAAGCATCTATATGGCATGTTAACATAGTATCATTTACTTAAGGTCAACATACTGTCACTTAATATAGAAATTTGAGATAACCATCAAAGTTGATTTTTTGTTGTATAAATAACATTTCTAATTTATTCTGATACATCCATTTTCTGTACATATCCTGCCACATAAAAACATCCTGAATGACTGACCCTGGTAGAGAGTAAAAATTAAACAAAGGCCGGGTGCAGTGGCTTAAGCCTGTAATCCCAGCACTTTGGGAAGCCGAGGCGGGCGGATCACGAGGTCAGGAGATCGAGACCATCCTGGCTAACACGGTGAAACCCCGTCTCTACCAAAAATACAAAAAATTAGCCGGGTGTGGTGGTGGGCGCCGGTAGTCCCAGCTACTCAGGAGGCTGAGGCAGGAGAATGGCGTGAACCTGGGAGGCGGAGGTTGCGGTGAGCCGAGATCGTGCAACTGCACTCCAGCCTGGGCGACAGAGCAAGACTCCGTCTAAAAAAAACAAACAAACAAACAAACAAAAAAACTGACTGGAAAATATCATAAAACAAACTTTTGATTATAAAATGGATTGATGAGAAAACATTAGGATAAATAAAACAGTGTAACTCCATTTGCCAAGTTAAAAAATGTCCTTACATCTGTTTTTCTTTGAGAATCATTATTTTCTAATTATATAACTACTAACATAGATATTCTAAGAAGGATATTTTAATCTAATAAAGAAATTATTTCTACACAACTCAGGAATAATTATTATTAAACATTACTGTAAAGATAATTTACCCAATAAAAGGCTGCCAACCCATATGAAACAATTTCAGTGTTGCTCTTTTTTAATTTTTTTATTTCAATAGGTTTGGGGGGCACAGGTGGCATTTGGTTACACGGATAAGTTATTTAGTGGCGATTTCTGAGATTTTTGGTGCATTCATCCCTCGAGCAGTGTACACTGTACCCAATGTGTAGTCTTTTATCCCTTAACACCCTCCCACCCTATCCCCCGAGTCCCCAAAGTCAATTATATTATTCTTATGGCTTTGCATTCTCATAGCTTAGCTCACACTTATGAGAGAGAACATACAATGTTTGGTTTTCCATACCTGAGTTACTTGACTTAGAATAATGGTCTCTAATTCAATCCAGGTTGCTGTGAATGCAATTATTTCATTCTTTTCATGGCTGTATATAAATATATACACATACATTATGGAATACTACTATGATCGATCTATCTATATATATATACACACATCTATACACATATATATGTGTGTGTATATATATATATATATATATGTACACAAAAACAGCTAATTTTTGTTTGTATTTTTAGTTCAGACAGGGTTTTACCATGTTGACCAGGCTAGTCTTGAACTTCAGACCTCAAGAGATCTGCCTGCCTCGGCCTCCAAAAGTGCTGGGATTACAGGCATGAGCCTCCATGCCCAGCCCAGATCATGTGATTTTTGTTTTTAATTCTGTTTATGTGGTATATCACATTTATTGACTTGTGAATGTTAAACCATCCCTGCATCTCTGGTATGAAACCCAGTTGATCATGGTGGATTATCTTTTATATGCGCTGTTGAATTAAGTTAGCTAGCATTTTTGTTGAGGATTTTTGCATCTATGTTCACCAGATATATTGGTCTGTAGTTTTCTTCTTATTTTTATTTCCTTTCCTGGTTTGCGTGTCAGGGTGATACTGGCTTCACAGAATGATTTAGTGATTCTTCGTAGAATGATTCCCTCTCTCTCTGTCTTTTGGAATAGTGTCAATAGATTGGTACCAATTCTTATTTGAATGTCTGATAGAATTCAACTGTTAATCTGTCTGGTCCTGGACTTTTTTGTTGGCAATTTTTAAAATTACCATTTGAATCTTGCTGCTTGTTATTGGTCTGTTCATAGATTCTGTATCTTCCTGGTTTCATCTAGGAGGGTTGTATCAAAGTTGTTAATTTATTTCTTTGACTCAGTTAGGGTAAGAAAAGTAAGAATGGAGCTATCAGTCAATGCCTGTGGTGAACACAAACTTGGTAGTTCCTATGATTCCCACACCCCAGTTTCCACCTCTTGAGTATTGATAAACCTGTGAACTACTTGTAACCAACAAAATATAGCAAAGGTGATTGCATATTATGCCCATAATTATGTTCAGTTCTTGCACAGGTGATTGGATTTTTCAGGTGTAATTATAGGCTTTAATCAATTGATTTTGAGATATAAAAAAGAGAGATTACCCTGATGGGCCTGGCCCAATCAAGTGAGTCCTCCAGAAGACAGTCTAGGTCTTCTTGGAAGGCAGAGGCTCCAAATGGGAGAGAATTTCTTGTTGCTGGCTTTGAAGAAGCAAGCTGCCCTGAATTTTGACAGACTCAAGGGATTAATTATGATGGAAAACCTAACAGGGCTTAGAAACTGGTCCTTTCCTAATCCAGCCTCCTGATAGGAACACAGCTCAGCTGGCATCTTGAGAGACCCTAAACAGAGGGCCTAGTTAAGCTTTGTCCAGACTTGTGAACTATAGACACAAGAGAGGTGACAAAATGAGTACAGATTTAAACTGTTATGTTTGTGGTGTTTTTTATATAGCATAGAAAAAGTAATACAAAACCTTCTTAGAAAAATTTTATTTAAAAAAAGCAAGTGTCCTTATATTTCCAAACCAACCCTAGGCTTTTTAAATAAAGTATTCTAATGTTTCATTCATCTTTACTATAATGTGAAAGCAGTATATCTTTTGCTCATAGGCAAACACAATGATTTCTGCTTAAAGATGTTTAATGTTTCTTAGCTTCTTTCTCATTGATAAATACATGTTGTACTCCTCTGTGAAAGGCAGCAAAAGAAAAAGATGAAAGCATGGGCAGGACCTTCACGGTTTCCACTTGCATTGTTTTCTTCTTTCCTATATCAGTTTATTAGAATTTCTCCTTTAAATCACCTGAGATTCACAGCCTAAACTATAAGTCATTGCATTTTGATTTTTACTCACTTTCTTCCATGATAGTTAGACTCCAATGGAGGGGTGTAGATAATATTATTATATTACTTGTCAATATTAATGAATTCCCTTCCATCAATCAATGCTAGAGCATTCTCTGGAAGGTCTGTATACTTGGTGGATCAGATTGGCATGACTTTTAACATTGTGCTGATTTTGAGCCCAGTGTTCTGGAGAAATTGCTTAAATTTTCTGAAACTCCATTTTATTACTTATAAAATGGGAATAATAATACCTTTATCATATTGGTGTTGTGACTAAAATTCACAAAATATGTGACAGCACTGGCACTTATTAAGAGCTCTATATAGAGTAACCATGTCTGAAGACTTACCTTTTGTCAGTCACTGGGCTTGGCTCCCCTTCTTCCTCTCCCTCTCTCTCAGTAAGAATGCACATTTTATTATCATAATAAGGATACAAGATGAAGTTCCTTATTCCCATTATATGATGAGGAAATTGATTTTCAAAAAAGTTAAGGGCTTTCCTGAGATTAAATGTATAGTGAAAGTCAAAACTAAGAAATGAATCTAAGACTAATTCCAGAGCTCTTAAAAATGTTCATTGTGACTGTTCTGCCTATGTCCTCTCATCATCTCATAACAGTCTTTTATCATATGTGTCATTTGCAAATAGTTTTGCGATAGTCTGAGGCTTTATTGTTCTCTTGATACTGTCTTTTGCAAAGCATAAGTTTTAAATTCAAATCCAACCTATCAATAATTTATTATCTAAAAACTTATCAACATACCTAAGGTCATCCTGATTTTCTCATATGTTATCTTCTAGGACTTTTATAGCTTTGCATTTTACATTTAGGTCTGTAATCCATTTTGATTTAATTTTTGTGAAGAATATAAAGTCTGTGTCTAGATTTCTTTAGTGCATTTGGGTAGTTTTTCCAACACCATTTGTTAAAAGACTATGTGTTCTCCATTGTATAACCTTTGCTCCTTTGTCAAAGATGAGTTGCCTATATTTATGTGGATCTATTTGTAATATCTCTATTATGTTCCATTGATCTATTTTTCTATTCTTTTTTCAATACCACACTGTCTTGATTACTGTAGCTAATATTACTATAGTAATTCTTGAAGTCAGGTACTGCCAGTCTTTGACTTTGTTCTTTTCCTTCAATGCTGAGTTAGTTTTTCCAGGTGTTTTGCCTCTCTATAAAACTTTAGATTAAGTTTACACTATCCACAAAGTAACCTACTGGAATTTTGATTGGTATTGGATTGAATCTATAGATCAAATTAGAAAGAACTGACATCTTGACAATATTGAGTTTTCCTAACCAGGAAATACAATCTCTCTCTATTTAGTTCATCTTTGATTTCTTTCATCAGAGTTTAATATCTTTTAAATAGATCTTAACACAAATTTTGTTAGAGTTATACTTAAATATTTTATTTTGCGTAGAGTTGGTAAGGTAAATGTTTATGTGTTTTTAGTTTCAAATTCTATTTGTTCATTGCTGTTATATAAGAAAGCAATTGACACTTGTATACTACTCTTATATATTAAAACTTTGCAACAGCCATGTTGTAACACACAGAAGAATGTGTTCCAGGAGTGTTTTAGACTATTCTTTCAGTTTTTTTCTACATAGAAAATCATTTTACCTGTGAACAAAGAGAGTATTATTTCTTCCTTCCCTATGTGTGTGTCTTTTTTTTTCCTTATCTTATTGCATTAGCTAGGACTTTCAGTATGATGTTTAAGAGAAGAGGCGAGGGGCGACATCTTTGCCTTGTTCTTGATTTCAACAAGAAAGCTTCAACTTTCTTACCATTAAATACGAGGTTAGCTGTAAATGTGTGCATTATTTTATCAAGTTGAGGAAGTTCTCCTTTATTCCTAGGTTGCTCAGAAATTTTAATCTTGAATCAGTATTGGGTTTTCTTAACTGATTTTTTTTTTGTATCTGTAGATATAATCATTACATTTTTTTCTTTTGCCTTTTGATGTGACAGAACACAGTAATTAATTGTCAAATGTTGAACCAGCCTTGGGTTTAGCATGGGCTAAACCCCAATTGGTCATAGTGTATAATTTTTAAATAAATTTTTAATTTTGATTCGCTAATGTTTCTTGAGGATTTTTGCATCTATGTTTATGTGAAATAGTGGTCTGCAGTTTGCATTTGTAATGAGTCTTTTTGGTTTTGGTATTAGGGTAATTATGTCCTCGTAGAATGAGTTAGGAAATAATTTTCCTGCCTCTATCTTGTGGAGGAGATTATAGAGAAATAATATAATTTTTTCCTAAATATTTCATAGGATTTTCCAGTAAACCCATCTGGGCTTAGCACTTTCTGCTTTGAAAAGTTATTATTTTCATCTGTTTCTTTAATAGATACAATACTATTAAGGTTATTTTTGATTGTTTGAGTTTCAGCAGATATCTTTCAAGTAACCAGTTTCATTTCATCTGGGTTATCAATTTTGTGGGCTAAACATTGTTCATAGTATTCTCATATTATCTTTTTAATATCCATGGGATCTGTAATGGTGTTCCCTCTTTCATTTCTGATATTAATAATGGCTTCTTCTTTTTTTCTCAATTATCCTGGCTAGAGGTTTATCAATTTTATTATATTTTCAAAGAAACAGCTTTTGGTTCTATTAATTCTTTCTATTGATTTCCTGTTTTTAATTTTATTAATTTCTGCTCTAATTTTTATTATTTGTTTTCTTTTACTGATACTGAATTTTATTTACTCTTTCTAGTTCCCTAAGATAGAAATTTAGATAATTATTTTTTAATCTTTCTTACTTTCTAATACATATTCAGTGCTAAAAATTTTACTGTTTCTGCTGCATTGCACAAATTTTTATAAGTTGTATTTTAATTTAGCTCAAAATATTTAAAATTTATCTTGAGATTTTTGGACCCATGCATTATTTAGAAATATGTTTTTTAAATCATATCTTTTAAATTAATATATAATAGTTGTACATATTTTTGGAGTACATGTGATAATTTGATACCTGTATATAATGTGTAATTACCATTTCAGAGTAATTAGGATATCATCACTTTGAATGTTTATTTTTTGTGTGTTGAAAACAGTACAATTCTTCTCTTCTAGCTATTTAAAAACATGTGAGTTATATTTAACTATAATTTCTCTACTGCATTGTTGAATACTAGAACTTGTTTCCTTTTATCTAACGGTATTTTTGTATCCCTTAGCTACTCTTCATCTCTCTTCCCCTCTACAAGTACTTTGTTTAATCTCCAAATATTTTATTTCCAGTTACCTTTATGTTATTAATTTCTAGCTTTATTCCATTGTGATCTTAGAAAAGATATTGTATGACTTCTGTTGCTTTGCTTTGTTTTAGTTTATGAAGGTGTGGTTTTTTAGCCTAGCTGTATACCATCTTGATGAATGTTTCATGTGAGCTTGAGAAGAATGTGTATTCTGTTGCTGTATTATACAAAGTCTATAGAGGTCAATAATATATGTCCTTACTGATTTTCCATTTCCTGAATCTGTCCATTTTGGATAGCAGGGGGTTGAAATTTCCATTTATAGTAGTTGGTTCATCTATTTTTATTTGAAGTTTTATCAGCTTCTGTCTTATGTATCTTGCTGATCTATTGTTAGGTGCATACACAATAAGGATTGTTATGTTGTCTTGGGCAATTGAGTCCTTTATTATTATGCCTCTCTTTATCCATGACAACTATCCTCAATTTGAAGTTTGAAATTAAATTTTTGTCTCTTGATTTTCGCAGGGTGCCAATGAGATAATAAAGTGATGAATTTCATAAAAGCAGTGGTATGAATATGTGTTTTTCTGGGAAAATATGTTAGGAAATGGAGCAGGAACTTCAAAACTTGATATACTTCACAACACACAGATATAAGCTTGCCTTGTTAAAAAATGTCCTGGTTACAGTTTTAAATTCAGTGTTCCATAATCAGTTTTCTTTAATGAAGATAAAATTTTTTATCAAATATTAAGTAACTGGATATGTGAATTAATTCATTGTTTAATGATATGAGTCATTAATTTAGTAGATTTTCTTTACTTATGAACAACAGAAATTAATTTCTCATAGTTATGGGGGATGGAAGTCCAAGATGAAAGTGCTAGCAGATTTGGTGTCTGGGGAAGTCTTGATTCTTGGTTCACAGATGGAACCTTCTCACTATGTCTTCACATGGTGAAAGGAGATTGGGGTTTCTCTTGGGACTCTTTTATAGGGGAACTAATCCCAGATCACCATGATCTAATGACCTCCCACACCCCCCATCCTTATGATCTAATCACTTCTCAAAGCCCCTACCTCCTAAAACAATCACCTTGGGTGTTAGAATTGTAAAATATGAATTTGTGGAAGACATAAACATTCAGACCTAGCATCTTTGGTATTCCCTTATTCCATGAGGGTGGTAAGGATCAGCTCAGGTGAATGCTGTGCACACAGTGGATCACAGCTAAAGAATCTCAATTTTAAGAAACTCCCATTCTTATAAGAGGGATGCTACCAACCTGCCTAACATTTTCCCTGGTGGGGAAAATTATCTCTATTATTTCTTTTACAATGATTTTTTTTTTTGACTTTTTTTTTTAACTGTTTTTTTTTTTTTTTACTATTACCTTTATTGCCCTGATTGGGAAACAAATATCCAGGGGGAGTCATTATCTATTTTTTGAATATGTATTTTCATCTATTATTTTAAATTCAGGGGGCATATGTGCAGGTTTGTTACATGGGTACATTGCATGGTGCTGAGGTTAAGGGTACAACTGATCTCATCACCCAGGTAGTGAGCATAGTAGTCAACATTTTTTCAACCCTTGCCCCCCTTCCTCCATCACTCCTCTAGCAGTCCCCAATGTCGATTGTTGCCATCTTTATGTTTATAAGCCTTCATTGTTTAGCTCACACTTATAAGTGAGAATATGTGGTTTTTGGTTTTCTGTTCTTGCTTTAATTCACTTAGGATAATGGTCTCCAGCTGGATCCATGCTGCTGCAAAAGACATGATTTCATTAATTTTATGGCTGCATAGTATTCCATGATGCATATGAGCCACATTCTTTTTATCCAATCCACCGTTGATGGGTAATTAGGTTAATTCCATGTCTTTGCTATTATGCATAGTGCTGTGATGACTATATGACTGTGTGTGTCTTTTTACTAGAACAATTTATTTTTCTTTTGTATCTATACCCAATAATGGGATTACTGGGTAGAATGGTAAGTTCTATTTTAAGTTGTTTGAGAAAATCTCCAGTTTTCCACAGTGCTGAAATAATTTGCATTCCCACCCACAATGTATAAGCATTCCCTTTTCTCCTCAGCCTCACCAGCATCTATTATTTTGTGATGTTTTAGTAATAGCCATTCTGACTGACGTAAAGTGGTACCTCTTTGTGGTTTTGATTTACATTTCTCTGATGGTTAGTGATAGCATTTTTTTCATACGTTTGTTGGTTACATGTGTGTCTTTTATTGAGAGGTATCTGTTCATGTCTTTTACCCATTTTTTAATTGTTTTTGTTTGTTTGTTTTTTGCTTGTTGACTTGTTTAGGTTTCTTATATATTCTGAATGTTAAGTTTTTGTCAGATGCGTGGTTTGTGAATATTTTCTCCCATTCTGTAGGTTTTCTGTTTACCCTGTTGATAATTTCATTTGCTGTGCAGAAGCTCTTTAATTTAATTAGCTCCCACTTGTCAATTTTTGTTTTTGTTGTAATTGCTTCTGACCATCTCTATCTGTTCACTATAAAAACATCCTTGAAAAAGTAGTCCAGAAAAAAAACAACTGTAATGCCTCTTTTAAAAACATGCAGCAATGTAAGAGACCATGGAGAATTCCCTCCCAACGTGTAATTTTAAATAAATTATTTCATATATGTTTATGGCACTCAGGGTATTATAAGGTACAGGAAATAATGCAGAGGCATCTCTTGCCTGGATTAATGGGTATAGCTGACAGCAGTGAATAAAATAGGTTTATTTCACAGAGCTTATATTCTAGTGGATAAGACAAGCATTAAAAACAATCAAATACACGTTATAAAATCAGTAATAAATAAAGAGTGGGCAATAGACTGGACGAAGATAGGAAATAGCTATGTTAGGAGAAGTGAGCAGAAAAATTCTCTCTGAGTAAGAGGCCTTGGAATAAAAACCTAAATAATTACAGAGAGGACTATGTAAATATCTGAAACAAAATTATTCCATGAAGAAATAATGTATACAAAGTTTGAAGACAAGGGTCTACTTGTCATGCTGAAGGACTAGTAATGAGACTAATTTGGCCAAGAGGAATGGGGTAAAGGAGAGAAAGAAGAAAGGAGGCAAGAGAGGTATACTGGGGCAGCTTTCTTAGGGTCTTATATACCAGATAATTTTTTTTTATTATTATTTACTTCTGAGCGAAATGGGAAAACCTTGGAAAGTTTTGAGTGACATGATCTGACTCATAATTTTGGATACTGCCTCCCACTGCTTTCTGCAGTCCAAAAGGTGGGAAGATACAGTTGAAAAAAGGTAGATCAGTTTAGGCAGATTGCAATAGTGAGAGCTTTGTCAGACAGTTAGAATAGTAAAGATTTTGGACATATTTTAAAGTTGTAGCCATAAACATTTATTAGTGGATTGAATGAGGAATATGAGCAAGAGAAAGAGGCAAGGATGAGTCCAGGGATTTTGAAAGTCGCAACTAGAAGAATAAATGGGGGCTCTGAGAAGAAATTATTTTTGAAGAAAAATCAAAATTCCAAATTTTGGACATGTGAAGCTTCAACTATTTTTTTCTTATCCAAGAAAATACTTTGCTAAGGAGCTAGTGAGCAGCAAGAACTCCTATCCCTTTCAAACAGGGAAGTTGAGAATGTATACAAATTGTCATTTAGAAGGTAATAATATAGTTACCTATTAACAAAAATTAGAATGCATTTAAAGAATCCCAGGTTTTGAATTGATAATCCCAAATAATTTATAAAACATGTCTTTGAGGGACAGGCACGGTGGCTCTCACCTGAAATCCCAGCACTTTAGGAGGCCAAGGCAGGCGGATCATGAGGTCAAGAGATGGAGATCATCCTGGCCAACATGGTGAAACTCCGTCCCTACTAAAAATACAAAAATTAGCTGGGCATGGTGGCATGTGCCTGCAGTCCCAGCTACTCAGGAGGCTAAGACAGGAGAATCGCTTGAATCCGGGAGGCAGAGGTTGCAGTGAGCTGAGATTGTGCCACTGCACTCCCGCCTGGGGACAGAGTGAGACTCTGTCTCAAAAATAAATAAATAAATAAATAAATAAATAAATAAATAAATAAATAAAATAGATCTTTGAAATAAGTACACATTGAGGGTATATTAATTTCAAGTGTTATGAGAGTTGAGAAATCCATAGATTAATTGCAGATACTTATCATTTCTTTCAAATATAGATGTAAATAAACTGAGAGCAAGAACTACTAAAAGAATTTGAGTTACTTTTCTGCTGTGAGGAATCAAAGCATTATATTTTCTCTAAATCTTTGGAAAAGACCTTGAAACTAATTGCTCTCGGCTGCTTTTAAGTTAAAATTAATAGAACTTCCCTTTTTTTCCCCTGCTGTCTTTAAAACATTAGCATCTGATTGTAAAGTCCTTATTGATGATTTTATGGTAAAACGGAAATAAAGTTTATATGAAATAAAAAGCTCATTAAGAATTTGCCACAAAGTTTGAGCTAAACATTAAACCCAGCATATCAAGAGAGTAAACATTTACCAGTGTCTCAAAAGATGAGCGAAGATGCAAACTTTGTAGACTGCCAATAGTTTATTATTTTGACCTTAATAATTCATTCATCAATATTTACTTCCTAAGTATAGGGAATATGACTGTGATCAACAAAGAGTCTCTACCTACCTTTCAAATATCCCATGGGGTCATAAGCAAGTAAATAGAGAATTGAAATTCATGGGGATTAAGTGTTAAACATGGGGTAAACAGAGGCTTAACACTTAATCCAGTCTTGTTTATCAGGAAAGTGTTCCCAGAGAAATGACATCTGAACTGATCCTTAAATAATGCAGTCGTTAGCCTAGTAAAGAGGGGAGCGAGACACATCATGCAGGTAGTGGTCAGGGCTAGAAGGACATTGCTTCAAGTATTTCTATGGTTTACTCCTTCTCATCATATAAGTCTAAGCCTTCAGGGAGGGTTTCCTGACAACTGTATCCAGATTTGTCCTTTTCAATCTCATTCTACTTTTTTCTCCAACTTAGTACCCTGTCTTATTTATTAATATTTTAGAGCACTTATACTTCTCTGAAACTAGCTTATTATTTTTAATTTACCCACCTTTTACTCAACTGGAGTATAAGCTAGTGCCAGTCTTTTTATAATCATTGTGTCTATTGCTTCAAACAAGTCATACATGTAGTTGGTACTCTTTGAATATTTATCAATTTATCAAACACGTAAAAGACCAGAAAGACCAAAGGTACAAATAGTTTAGATCTCTTGGAGAAATCCAAGCAGTTTTACTAGAATGCAACATGAGAAAAACGAACCATCCTTTTTTTCTGTTTCGAAAAATATTGTTGGTTACAACGGGGACTAGGAAGAATGAGGCTGGATCAGTGACCACTGATCATAAAGGAAAACAAGAGAAGAGCACATTCTATTGAAAGTGAGATTCTTAGATTTGAAAAACTAGCAATTGGTTTATAATATAATCAATATGACTTACAATTCTCCATAATCTGAACTTACCCTGTGATTTTACAACTATTCCTTTGTAAGTCTATTGCTTCTTCCACTCCATTCCAATTTATACCTCTCGATATCTTTCATTTTGGAATTCAAACAATCTAAAGCCTGTCGCAAAGCCATTTCTACTACAGTGTCTTCCTATAACTCTCCCTAAGGCAAAAAAAAAAAAAAAAGCTCCCCATTTTCATTTGTTTTGTAGCCAATGCAACATATGGCAACACTGACTTGGATGATACTTGATTCATGTAATAATTTATCTCCCAGCATAGGCCAGAAATTTTACTTTTGCATATTTGTACCATTGGAATCCCTTTTCAGTGTACAAATATTTGATAAACATTTATCAGTTTGGATTAGAAGACAACTGCTATGCAGTTCCAGTATTCTCTAGCAGTTTACTAGTGAAAAGTAAGCCAGAACAAATGTCATGATTCCAGTAACATGAGTATCCAAGAGCTAAATCATTTCAGTGATGTTGGTAAGTGAAAATCACTAGAGAAAATCTATAATTTGTAATACTAGTGACTCATAGAAATTGGGAGGGAAGGCTCATTGAAGTCAGTTTGTCCAATACCCTCCCTCTTTTTATAGATGTGGAAACTAAAGTCACAATAAACCAAGAGTCCAGGGCTTCCAACCTCTGGTTCAGTGGCCTTTCCATCCTTTACTAAATTACATGATTAAATAACCTCTAAAGCCAAAGATTTTAAATTAATGATTTAATAGTTTGATCCAGATAAAATTTTTTTAGATTGTTTTTATACTCCCTAACTTGAATGAATTAAAATCATTACCTTCAGATGGCTTAGTTAAGTTTTTCAATCAAATAACTTTCTTTTTATTTTGGTATACTAATGACCTACAAAATTTACTGGAGTATTATGGCATTGGATTTCAGGATATTCCATAAATAAATAAAAATTTAACAATGTTTATTCTTATTTATACTTTTAAACTATTCTGTTTTGTCAAATTTAAAGGTGATTAAAAAACAAAAGGCGCATTGCAAAATAGCTTGAAAGATCCAAAAAATCTATCATTAAGTTAAAAATATCATGCATTTGCCAGCATCTCATTATCATTTAATGAAAAATAGAACAAGCTCTGCTTTAAGATTAAAGGGTTTTCAAAAATCAGATATGTATTTTTGGTACCTTAAAAATATACAATATTGGTCCTAATTTAAATCTTGCTGCTATAATCTTTAAATATTAGTAGGTCTTAAGTGCAGTTATACTCTTTGGACCACAAAATCTGCCTGTATTTTAGAAAAGATTAATTTAACAACAAGGCCTTAATTTAATACAATTCAGAGTAATAGGTCTTTTGGACAAATATAATATGCAGTCAATTAGTTCAACATTACATATACATTTCCCTTTTAATTCTGTCATTTTTTAGACATGTTTTAGTAATCTCTATTCAAAGACAGAATTTATAAAGCTGAAACTATTGGATAAAAAATAAATATGCTAAAGACAATTTTTTCTATGGACATCTTTAGTAAGTGGTGATAGCAGAAGCAATTAAACAAAAGAGGGAGAATATGAAGAAAACCTGTTCTTTCTAGCAGAAGTTAAAAACAAGCCTAGGAAAAATGATACTAAAATGGCGGCATGACCACTAAAGATATTTGTTTCTCAAACAAAAGTCTCACAATTTTTTACTCTAGGAAACAACTTACGTGGCTTTTTGTCTCTTTTGAAAGAGTGACTTAGGAATATCTCCTTCAATTTCAGTCATACATAAATCCTGAATGTATTCATATCCTAAGCTGCAATTAATAAAGTGGAACAGACATTTCACAGAAGAAAAAATACATATTTAAGGTTTAATATTTTTCTTTCATTTATTAATTCATAGGCCTGCTGGTGTGTCTCCACTGTTTCACTATGTTTACAAATAACCTGATTCCTGTGGTAGTTTTTATTCAAACTCAAGAAAGATTTAAACCTAAAAATCAGGGTAATATTAGTCACTTGACAATTGTGGTCAGTTTATATTCTACTAACATATTTAGTTGAATATGTCAAAAATAAAAACAAGAATTTATTTATTTTTTGTATATTTATTTTCTCAATAGCAATGTAAAACAATTATCCTTTTTATATAAGCTGTTTTCCCCCTAGAAACCCATGGCCAAAATAGGTGTTGAATTACAAATAAAGTGTATCAATTAAGTGATATTACAAAATTTAAGCATTTCTCCCCAAATTAGCTTTGTATGCTCATCCAAGCATAACTGCTATATCTTCAAGTTTCCTAGCATTCTAAAACCATCTTTCTTTTTTTTATTTATGTAAAATAACTTCTTAATTCTTCCACTTCAAATTATAGGAAGCCTGACATCCTTCTCAATATTTCTATGGATCCTGGGGAAATACTTGTATGTTCTTGTAGGTTAACCATTGTGTTGCTCCTTAGTTCTTAATTGTCTCAGGCTGTCTTGTGATGGGTTCTGTGTGGGGCTCAGCTACCTTGGTCCTCTCTCTCTCTTTTTTACTCAGTAGCTTTGTTGTGACATAATTGACATAAAATTCTTCATACGTAATTCTCACATACAACAAACTCTATGGATAATACAACTCTCAAATAAAACAAACTTGGCTTAATTAATTTATTCCCATCTCCTAGTTCTCTTGGAAAAAAAAAACATGAGAGCAAGCTCTTTTCTCTCCTACAGGTGGCAATTTGTGGGGGGTATAACAGTTATGAAGTGTGGAATAAGTTGAAGTTAAATTTAAGATGCTAATCTTCACAGCTACCTGTGGGCATTTCTGCTATAGAAAAATCCAGCCTTCTCATTACTGAGCCTCTGGTTTGCAGACTGTATTAGTTTGTCCTCATGCTGCTATGAGGAAATACTGAGATTGGGCAACTTATAAAGAAAGGAGGTTTAATTGAATCAGTTCTATATAGCTAGGGAAGCCTCAGGAAACTTATAATCGTGGTGGAAGGCACCTTTTCATAGAATGGCAGGAGAGAGAATTAGTGCTGAGTGAAAGGAGAAGCCCCTGATAAAACCATCAGATTTTGTGAGAACTTACTCACTATCATGAGAACAGCATGAGGGAAAGCTCCCCGATGATTCAATTATCTCCACCTGGTACCACCCTTAACACATGAGGATTATGACAATTCAAGGTGAGATTTGGGTGGGGATACAGAGCCAAACCATTTTATTCAACCCCAGGCCCCTCCCAAATCTCTTGTCCTCACATTTCAAAACAAATTATGCCCTTCCAATAGCCCCCCAAAGACTTAACTCATTCCAGCAGTAACCCAAAAGTCCAAGTCTGAAGTGTCAACTGAGACAAGTCAAGTCCCTTCCACCTATGAGCCTGTAAAATCAAAAGCAAGTTAGTTACTTCCTACATACAATGGGCATTCAGGAATTGGGTAAATACATCCATTCCAAATGGGACAAATTGGCCAAGACAAAGAGGCTACAGGCCCCATGTAAGTTCAAAATACAACAGGGCAGTCAATAAACCTTAAAGTTTCAAAATGATCTCCTTTGACTCCATGTCTCACCTCCAGGGCATGCTGATGCAAAATGTGGGCTCCCACAGCCTTGGTCAGCTCTACCCCTGTGGGTTTGCAGTGTAGAGACCCCCTCATAAGTGCTTTATGAGCTGGCATTGAGTGTCTGTGGCTTTTCCAGGCATACAATGCAAGCTGTTGGTGGATCTACCATTCTGGGGTCTAGAGGATGGTGGCCCTCTTCTTACTGCTTCACTAGGCAGTGCCCCCTTTGGGACTCTGTGTGAGAGCTATGACACCACATTTCTCTTTACACTGCCCTGGCAGGGGTTCTCCATGAGGGCTCCACCCCTGCAGCAAACTTCTGCCTAGACATTCAGGCATTTTCATATATACTTTGAAATGTAGGTGAAGGTTTCCCAAACTCAATTCTCGACTTCTCTGCAACCACAGGCCCAATACTATGTGTAAGCCACCAAGGCTTGGGACTTGTACCCTGTGAAGCAATGGCCCAAGCTGTATCTCAGCACCTTTTAGCAATGACTAAAGTTGAAGCAGCTGGGACACAGAGCACCATGTTCCTATGCTGCATGGCAGAGGGGGGCCGTGGGCCTGGCCAACTGAACCATTTTTTTCCTCCTAGGTCTCTGAGCCTGTAATGTGAGCGGCTGCTGTGAACATCTCTGACATGCCCTGGAGACACTTTCCCCATTGTCTTGGGGATTAACATTTTGCTCCTCATTACTTATGCAAATTTCTGCAGCTGGCTGTAATGTTTCCCCAGAAAGTGGGTTTTTCTCTTCTATTGCATGCTTAGGCTGCAAATTTTTCAAACTTTTATGCTCTGCTTCCTCTTGAATGCTTTGCCTCTTAGAAATTTCTTCTGCCACATACACTAAATCATCTATCTCAGGTTCAAAGTTCCATAGATTTCCAGGGCAGGGGCAAAATGTCAACAGTCTCTTTGCTAAAGTATAGCAAGTATAACTTTTATTCCAATTTTCAACAAGTTTCTCCTCTCCATCTAAGACCACCTCAGCCTGGATTTCATTGTTCATTATCACTATTAGCATTTTGGTCAAAGCTATTCAATAAATTTCTAGGAAGTTCCAAACTTTCCCACACATTCCTGTCTTCTTCTGAGCCCTCCAAAATGTTCCAACCTCTGCCTGTTACCCAGTTTCAAAGTCTCTTCCACATTTTTGCTTATCTTTATAGCAGCACCCTCCTCCTTGTACCAATTTACTGTATTAGTATGTTCTCATACTGCTATGAAGAAATACTTGAGACTGGATAATTTATAAAGAAAATTAGTTTAATTGACTCATAGTTCCACATGGCTGAGGAGGCCTCAGGAAACTCACAATCTTGGGGAAGGCAGCTCCACTAGGAAGAAGGGTGGCAGGGTTGCAAAAGAGAGAATGAGTGCTGATTGAAGGGGAAAGCCCCTTATAAAACCCATCAGATCTTGTTAGAACGCACTTAGTATCATGAGAACAGCATAGGGAAGCTTCTCCCATGATCCAGTTATCTCCATCTGATCCTGCCCTTCAAATGTAGGGATTATTACAATTCAAGGTGAGATTTAGATTGGGACACAGAGCCAAACCATATCACAACCCTATTGATGCATGTGACTTCTATGAGTCTCAGTTTAAGAAACACCAGAAACATTGACAGTAACATGTATGTTTGTTTATGATTTCATGTTTGTGAATTGAATTCCAAGGCAGAGTATAAGATCAAATAATTTATAAGAAAGAAAGCAAAATATTTGTTCTTCCCCTTCTACAGGTTTGGTATTGTTTTTTCACCTTTTAGTAATACAAGTAAGGTTTAATTGTGTTGTGTGGAATTCTTGTACCAATTCACTGGAAAGCATTGCATGAAGCCAGAATTTCCCCTTAACATTTGATAAATATAATTTTGAGTTGAGTGTTGTGTTTCTGTTTCTCAAAGAGTGATTCAAAGGTTACCTGCATTGGAAATTCAGAAGAGTTTTTGAGATAGATCTCTATGAGCCAACACAAATGTAAGGGACTAGGACTTTTGTGGATTTTGCATTTTATTTGACTAAACTCCATAGATAATTCTCATATACAACACACTTGGCTTAGTTTATTTATCCTTACTCTTGTTAAATAATCACAAATTTTAAAGTTATGGCCTTATTTTCAAATATATGACCTTATTCACTTTCTTTTAATTTCTATATACAATGATCTCATTGCCAATATTTCTATACATTCTATATTTCTGAGTTCCTTCCTCAATAAAGTTATGTTTAATTTAAAAGTAAAACCATTGTAATAATTTTCCCATCATTTTTAACATTTAAAACATTCTCGTATCTGGTATTTAACCTGTTGACTATGTAAATATTTTCCATGTTATTTTTTCCTTAATTTGATTTTAGTATTATTCAAATGATTTTGTTAATTTATAAAGAATTTATTTATTGACTATTTCCTCTATTTTTATGTTCTCCTATTTTAAGGCAACTT
Organism: Homo sapiens; assembly: GCF_000001405.40. Taxonomy (NCBI): domain Eukaryota; kingdom Metazoa; phylum Chordata; class Mammalia; order Primates; family Hominidae; genus Homo; species Homo sapiens. The sequence continues at coordinate 90,568,522 of NC_000012.12, forward strand.
AAAAGAATTTTATATGTTGTTAACTTAAAAGAATCTTTTAATTAAAATGTTATTTATTCATTTTATTGCTGAGGGCATTTGTTTGTTCCCAGCTTTAAATCTTCATAGTGTTCGTATGAACATACTAGTATATGTTAATTAGTGAATATATGTATAAATTTATGATATATATATGTATATTCTTCTCAGTGAAATTACAAGGCCATAGAGTATGGCTACAGCTGGATGTAGTAAAAACTACCAGTTTTTAAATGTGGAAATTATAGGATTACAATTGCTGTAATTCATTAACAATACTTTTCATGTTAATCCTTCTGTAGGTGTAAAGTAGAATTTTTTTAATTTTTTATTTTAATTTTTCTAGGTGCATAGTAAGTGTATGTATTTACAGGTTATATGAAATATTTTTTACAGGCAGACAATGAGTAATAATTACATCAGGATAAATGGGGCATCCAACACCTCAAGCACTTATTTGTGTTACAAACAATGGGATTATACTCTTTTGGTTTTTTTTAAATGTACAGTGAAATTATTTTTGACTATAGTCACCCAGTTGTGCTAGCAAATACTAGGTCTTGTTAATTCATAACTATTTTTTCATACCCATTAGCCCTTCCTACTCCATTTCTACACCTCCTCCTACCCACTACCCTTCCCAGCCTCTGGTTACTGTACTTCTATCCTCTATCTCCATGATTTAATTGCTTTAATTTTTAGCTCATATAAATATGTGACAACATGCGAAGGACAGCTCACTGTGCCTCCCAGCCTTAAGCGATCCCGTCATCTCAGCCTATCGAGTAGCTGGGAATACAGACACACACCACTACACCCAGCTAATTTTTGTATTTTTTGTAGTAAACAGGTTTTCACCATGTTGTCCAGGCTGGTCTCAAACTCTTGGGCTTACATGATCCACTCACCTTGGCCTCCCAATGTGCTGGTATTACAGGTGTGAGCCACTGCACACAGTCATCTCATTCTTGTTTATGGCTGAATAGAATTCTGCTGTGTGTAAGTACCACATTTTCTTTATCTGTTCATCTGTTGATCGACACTTAGGTTGCTTCCAAATCTTGGCTATTGTGAATAAACATGGAAGAGCAGATATCTCTTCGATATACTATTTCTTTTTATTTTGGGTATATACCTAGGAATGAAATTGCTGGATTATAGGGTAGCTCTATTTTCAGTTTTTTGAGAAACCTCCACACTGTTCTCCATAGTGGTTGTACTAATTTACATTCCCACAAACAGTATATGAGGGCTCCTTCCCTTTTCTCCACATCCCTGCCAGTATTTGTTATTGCCTGTCTTTTGGATAAGAGCCATTCTAACTGGGGTGAGATGATATCTCATCATAGATTTAATTAGCATTTCTCTGATGATTAATGGTGTTGAGCACATGTTTATATGCCTGTTTGCCTTTTGTATGTCTTCTTTTGCAAAATGTCTATTCAAATCTTTTGCCCATTTTTAAATTGAATTATTAGATTTTTTCCCTACGGAGTTGTTTGAGCTCCTTGTATATTCTAGTTATTAATTCTTTGTCAGAGGGGTAGCTTGCAATTATTTTCTCCCATTTTGTGGGCTGTCTCCTCATTTTGTTGTTTTTTTGTTTGTTTCCTTTGCTGTACGAAGCTTTTTTTTGTTTTGTTTTGTTTGTTTTGTTTTGTTTGTTTGTTTGTTTTTAGATGGATTCTTGCTCTGTTGCCTCAGGATGGAGTGCAGTGGTGGGATCTCAGCTCACTGCAACCTCCACCTCCCGGGTTAGCTGGGATTACAAGCACCCACCACCATGCCTGGCTAATTTTTGTATTTTTAGTAGAGACTTGATTTCACCGTCTTGGCCAGGCTAGTCTTGAACTCCTGATCTCATGATCCACCCACCTCAGTCTCCCAAAGTGCTGGGATTACAGGCGTGAGCTACTGCACCTGGCTTTTAATCCATTTTTTATTTGATTTTTGTACATAGCCAGAGATAGGGACCTAGTTTTGTTCTTCTGCATATGGATATTCAATTTTCCTACCACCGTTTATTGAAGGAACTCTCCTTTCCCCAATATATGTTCTTGGCGATTTTTTTAAAAAATGAGTTTACTGCTGATGTATGGATTTGTATTCAGATTTTTAAATTCTGTTCCACTGATATATGTGTCTGTTTTTATGCCAGTACCATGCTGTTGTGGTTACTATAGCTCTGCAGCATAATTTAAAATCAGGTAATGTGATTCCTCCAGTTTTGTTATTTTGCTTAGGATAGATTGGGTAGATTCTGAGTATTTTGTGGTTTCATAGAGTATTTTGTGGTTTCATAGAGATTCTATGATAGTTGTTTCTACTTCTGTGGTTAATGTCATTGGTATTTTGACAGGGATTGCATTAAACCTATATATTTCTTTGGATAGTATGGACATTTTAACTATATTGATTCTTCCAATCCATGAACCTGGAATATTAATCCATTTTTGGTGCCTTCTTGAATTTTTTGCATCAATGTTTTATAGCTTTTATTGTAGAGATATACCACTTCTTTGGTTAATTCCTAGGCATTTTATTTTATTTACAGCTATTGTAAATGAGATTACCTTACTGATTAATTTTTCAGATTGTTTGCTGTTGGCATATAGAAATGCTACTGATTTTTATGCTGATTTTGTATCTTGACACTTTACCGAATTTGTTCATCAGTTCTAACAGTTTTTATTTGTGAAATCTTCAAGTGTTTTCAAATATAAAATTATATCATCTGGAAACAAAGATAATTTGACTTCTTTCATTCCAGTTTGGATGCCTTTTACATTTTCCTCTTGTCTCATTGCTCTAGCTAGGACTTCCAGTGCTATGTTAAATAACAGTGGTAAAAGTGGCATCTTTGTTGTGTTCCCAAGCTTGAAAGAAAGGCTTTCCATTTTTGTTTTCATTCAGTATGATATTAGCTATGTACCTGTCATATGTGGCTTTTTTATGTTGAAGTATGTTTTTTCTATTCCCAGTTTTTTGAGGGTTTTGATTATGAAGGGGTTTTGAATTTTACCAAATGCTTTTCCAGCATCAATTGAAATAATCACATGGTTTTTGACTTTCCTTCTGTTGATATGATGAATCACATTGATTGATTTGCATTTGTTGAACCATCTTTGCATCCCTGAGATAAATGCCACTTGGTCATGATGAATTGTCTTTTTGATATATTGTTGAATTCAGTTTCCTAGTGGTTTGTTGAGGATTTTTGCATCAATATTCATCCATTATATGGGCCTATAGTTTTCTTTATTTATGTGTCTTTGTCTGGTTTTGATATCAGGGTAATACTGGCCTTATAGAATGAGTTTGGAAGTATTTCCTCCTCCTCTATTTTTTGGAGTAGTTTGAGTAGGATTGGGATTGGTTTTTCATTAAATGTTTCACACAATTCAACAGTGAAACCACTGGGTTAAGGGCTTTAATTTACTGAGACACTTTTTATCTTTTATGGCTTCAACCTCTTTACTTATTATTCATCTGTTTACGTTTTGGATTTTTTCATGCTTCAATTTTGGTGGGTTGATGTGTCTAGGAATTTATTCATCTCTTCTAGATTTTCCAATTCATTGGCATATAGTTGATCATAGTAGCAACTAATGGTCCTTTCAATTCCTGTGGTGTCAGTTGTAATGTCACTTTATATCTGATTTTATTTATTTGGGTCTTCTTTCTTTTTTTCTTAGTCTGGCTAAAGGTTTGTTAATTTTTTTACTTTTTCAAAAATCAACTTTTTGTTTTTTGTATTGTTTTTGTCATTTCAGTTTCATTTATTTCTGCTCTGATTTTTATTATTCCTTTTCCTCAAATAATACTGTGTTTAGTTTGCTCTTGCTTTTTTATTCCCTTAAGATGCACCGTTCAGTGTTTATGTGAAGTTTTTCCTCTTTTTTGATGTAGGTACTTATAGCCATAAAATTCTTTCCTAATACTGCTTTCACTGTATCCCATAGGTTCTGGTATATTGTGTTTCCATTATCATTTGTTTCAAGAAATTTTTAAATTTACTACTTAATTTCTTTATTGACCCACTAGTCATGCAGGAGCATGTTGTTTAATTTTTATGAATTTGTATAGTTTCCAAAATTTCTCTTGTTGTTGATTTCTAGATTTATTTTGTTGTGGTCAGAGAAGGTGCTTGATATTATTTCAATTTTAAAAACTTTTTAAAACTTATTTTGTGAGCTAACATGTGATCTATCCTTGAGAATAGTCACGTGCTGAGGAAAAGAATGTATGTTCTGTAGCCATTGAATGAAATGTTCTGTAAATATCTATTAGGTCCATTTGGTATATAGTACTCACTAAGTCCAATGTTTCTTCAGTGGTTTTTTTGTCTGAAAAAATCTGTCCAATGCTGAAAGTGCAGTGTTGTTCTCCAGGTATTATTGTATTCGGGTTTCTCTCTTTTTATTATCAATATTTGCTTTACATGCTTGAGTGCTCCAGTGTTGGGTACATGTATTTTTATGATTGTTATATCCTGTTGCTGAATTGACCCCTCCCTCTATCATTATATACTAACCTTTTTTCCTCTTACAGTTTTTGTCTTGAAATCTATTTTCTTTGATATAAGTGCAGCTACTCCTGCTCTTTTTTGGTTTCCATTGGAATAGAATATCATTTTTCATCCCTTTATTTTCAGTCTATGCATCTCCTTATAGGTGAAGTGTATTTGCTATAGGCAACAGATCACTGGATCTTGTTTTCTATTTATTCATTCAGCCATGCTATACTTTTGATAGGACAGTTTTGTGCATTAACGTTCAGTATTATTAATGATAAGTAAGGACTTACTCCTGCCATTTTATTATTTGTTTTCTCATTGTTTTGTGGTCTTCTCCTCCTTCTTTCCAGCCTTCCTGTCTTCCTTTTAGTGAAGGTGATTTTCTTTGGTGATATGATTTAATTTCTGGCTTTTTATTTTTTGTGTATCTATCATTTTTTTTATTTGAAGTTACCTTGAAGTTTGCAAATACTACCTTATAATCCATTATTTTAAGCTAATAACAACATAACACTGTTTGCATAAATAAGCGAACAAGAAAAGGGAAAATGAATAAAAACTCCACACCTTAATTCCCCACTTTTTACCTTTTAAAATTTCTACTATTGCACTGTCTATGTCTTAAAAAGTTAATGTAGTTATTTTGTTTGATGGGTACATTGTTTAGTTTTTCTGCTTAAGAATTGTTTACACACCACAGTAACAGTGTTATAATACTCTGTGTTTTTCTGTGTATTTACTAGTAGCAGTGAGTGAGTTTTCTACTTTCAGATGTTTTATTATTGTTTATTAAGGTCCTTTTCTTTCTGATTAAAGTACTTTCTTTAGCATTTCTTGTAGACAGGTCTGGTGTTGATGAAATCCCCCAGCTTCTGTTTGTCTCAGAAAGTCCTCATTTCTCCTTCATGTTGGAAGGATATTTTAACAAGATATACCGTTCTAGGGTAATTTTTTTTTCTTCAACACTTTAAATATGTCATGCCATTCTCCTGGTTTGTAAGGTTTCCACTGAAAAGTCTGCTGCCAAACATATTGAAGATCCATTGTATGTTATTTGTTTCTTTTCTCTTGCTGCTTTTAGGATCCTTTCTTTATCCTTAACACCTTTGGGAATGTGATTACTAAAGGTCTTGAGGTAGCCTTCTTTGCATTAAACATGCTTGGTATTGTATAACCTTCTTGTACTTAGATATTGATATCTTTCTCTTGGTTTGGGAAGTCCCCGTTAGTATCTCTTTGAGTAGATTTTCTACTCCTTTCTCTTTCTCTACCTCCTCTTTAAGGCCGATAATTCTGAGATTTGCCTTTTTGAGGGTACTTTTAGATTTTGTAGGTGTACTTCATTCTTTTTTATTCATTTCTTCTTTCTTCTCCTCTGACTGTGCCTTTTTAAATAGACTTTCTTCAAGCTCACTAATTCTTTCTTCTGCTTAATTCTGACAATTGCATTTTTCAACTTCATAATTTCTGCATAACTTTTTAAAATTATTTCAATCTCCTTATAAATTTGTCTGAAAGAATTCTGAATTCTTTTATGTTATTTTGACTTTTTTTTAGTTTCCTCCAAAAAGCTATTTTGAATTCTCTGTCTGAAAGTTTACATATGTCTGTTTCTCAAGTATTGGTCCCTGGTATCTCATTTAGTTAATTTGGGGAAGTCATGTTTTCCTGTATGTTCACGATCCCTTTGGATGTTCGTCTGTGTTTGCATATTGAAGAGTTAAGTCTTTAATGTAGTCTTTGTAGTCTGGGCTTGTTTGTACTTGTCCTTCTTGGGAAGGCTTTCCAGGTATTCAAAAAGACTTAGGTGTTGTGATCTAAGCCATATTTACATTAGGGGCCACACCAAGCACAGTAACACTGTGGTTTGTGCAGACTCATGGAAATGCCACCTTGGGTGTCCTGGATAAGTTACAGAAGAATTGTCTGGATTATCAGGCAGAGGTTCTTCTTCTCTTACTTTACTTTATCCCTAACAAATGGAGTCTCTCTCTTTGTTCTGAGCCACCTAGAGCCATAGGCACCCCTGTGGCTACTACCACTGGGATTGTGCTGGATCAGACCTGAAGCTGGCACAGCACTGAGTCTTTCCTAAGGCTCACCGTAACCATTACCTGGCTACTTATGTTTGCTCAAGACCCTGGGGCTCTACATGAGCAGGTGGTGAAACTAACCAGTCTTGTGCCCTTTCCTTCAGTGCAGCAAGTTTCCTTGGATCTCAGGTGGGTCCGGAGGTGCTGTCCAGGAGCCAGGAATTGTAGTAAAAAACCTTAGAAGTCTACCTGGTGTTCTGCTGTACTGTGGTTGTGCTGGCCTTCAAACCATCTTCCCCCCACTTTCCATCACGCAGGAGCCTCTTCTTGTTTTCACCACCTCCACAGACCCACAGGAAGCACTGCTGGACTATTGCCAGTGTTACCTTAAGGCCCAAGGGCTCTTCAGTCAGCTTGTGGTGAGTGCTGCCTGGCCTGGGACTTACCCTTCAGGGCAGTGGGCTCCCCTCTGGCCTAGGTCAGGTCTGGAAATGCTGTCCAAGAGCCAATGCCTGGAATTGGAGACCCCAAGAGCCTGCTTGGTACTCTACCCCTTGTGGCTGAGCTGCTGGTACCTAAGGTATAGGACAAAGTCCACTTTAAATTTTCCTTCACCCTTCTCAAGTAGAAAGAGTTTCTCCCCATAGCCACCACATCTGGGAATGTGAGTCTCAACCAAGGCCCACAGCATACTACCTAGGTATTACTGCTGGTTATTTAGGTCCCAAATGCTGTTTACCCAGCAGGTGATGTGTCCTGCCAGGAATGAGTCCTTCCCTTCATGGAAGCAGGTTCTCTTCTATCTCAGGTGTGTCTAGAAATATTTTCCAGGGCCTGCCAAGGGGACCTCATGACTCTGACTACTGCCCTATCCTACTGTGACTGAGCTGATATCCAAGATGCAAGACAAAGTCTTCTTTATTCTTCCTTCTCCTGTCTTCAAGCAGAAGTCAGGAGTCTCTTCTGGAGCTGCAAGCTGTTCACCCTGGGGTTGTGGGAAGGGTGTGCAAGCACTCCCTTGGCTGCCCCAGCTGGTATCTCAGAAGGTCACATGGTCTTAATTCCACTGGCTCTGAGCTCAGCAAACCCTAGCACTCACCTAGGAACTGCAGTCCTTATGTCACAGACTGTCTTTCAAGTTTATTTAGAGCACCAGAACACTTTAGCCCGTGGGTGAAAAGGCTTGCCAGAACTCAAGTTCTAACATCTGGCATGGATGATTCCCTTCTAGTTAGGGCTGATTTAAATACTCCCTTCATTGCGGTATGGGGTGACAGGTGAGTTAAGCCTTGTTTTGTTTGTCATTGTGACAGGTCAGCACTGAGTTCAATGCAATGTCTCACAATTGCTGTGCTTACTGTCTCCGAAGTGCTCAGATTCTCTCTCTGTGCCACAGGGCTGCTGCTGGGGGATGGGGAAGAGATGGCATTGGTGATTCAAGACTCTTTGCTATCCTCTTCAATGCCTCTTTCAGTGTAGGAAGTTAAAATCAGGTACTGTAAGTGCTCACCTGATTTTTTTCTTCTTAAGAAGATTTGTGTGTGTGTGTGTGTGTGTGTGTGTAGATAGTTGTTAAATTGGTGTCCTTATCAAGGGACAATTGGTGGAGGCTTCCATTCAGCCATCTTGCTTCATTCTCTGTATAATGTGATATTATAATGTCATCTTAATTGAATATCTTTGAAGAAAAGGAAATTGTGAATGTTTGCATGCATTTATTGCCTACTTGAATATTTTCTTTTATGAAATATTTTTAAATCTTTGCTCATATTTCTGTTGATTGCTAGTATTCTTCCTATTTTTGAATGCATGACTCAGCAATTATTTTTCCTATTTTTTGAATGCATGCTCAGCAAAATGCTCAGCAGTTGGTCAGCATTCTAAATGCTACTTAATATTTAAGTGTGTAATTATTACTCATGATGTTTTGTGTTACATTTATTCACTATTTTAATTTTTGAAAGGATATATAGAAATAGATATTGGTATAGAATTAAACATATGTATCTGCAGAGAGAATGAAAAAAATATGAAAAGTAATTTTCCTTACCACTCCTTACATCATGGTGACATATGTTTTATTTTTTTAACTCTCTGAATCTTATTTCTCTGAGCTGTCTGAACATATGTCAGAAAAAGCATTTGAAAAAATTCAATCATCCCTTCATGATAAAAACCCTTAACAAATTAGGCATACAAAAACATACCCCCAAATAATAAAAGCTATATATGTCAAACCCATAGCCAACATCATACTCAGCAAGGAAAAGTTGAAATAATTCCCCCTACATACTGGAACGAGACAAAGATACCCACTTTCACCAGTCTTATTTAATACAGTACTGGAAGTTCTGCCTAAAGCATTCAGGCAAGAACAAAAATAAAATGCATCCAGATTGGAAAGGAGAAAGTTAAAATATCTCTGTTTGCTGATGATATTATCTTACATCTATAAAACCCTAAAGATTCCTCCAAAAGGCTCCTAAATTTGATAAATTATGTCAGTAAAATTTCAGAATACAAAATCATTTTACAAAAATCAGCAGCATTTTTATACACTATTTACAAGCTGAGAACTAAATCAAGAACCCAATCCTATTTACAATAGCTATGAAAAATAAAATACCTATGAATACAGGTAGCCACAAAGGTATAAAATTCTCCACAAAGAGAACTATAAAACATTGATGAAATAAATTATAGATGACACAAATAAATGAAAAAGCACCCTATGTGCATTGATTGGAAGAATCAATATTATTGTAATGATCTACTGCTCAAAGCAATCTACAGATTCAACATAATTTCTATGAAATTATCAATGTCATTCCCCACAGAATTAGGAAAAAAATTTCTAAAATTAATGTAGAACCAAAATAAATCTAACATAGCCAAAGCAATCCTATGCAAAAGGAATAAAACTGGAGGTATCACAATTACATTACCAGACTATGCTACACTAAACTATACTACAAGGCTATATTAAACAAAACAGCATGGTACTGGTATAAAAATAGATATATAAACCAATGGAACAGAATAGAGAACCCGGAAATAAAGCCATGTAACTACAACCAATTGATCTTTGACAAAGCTAACAAAAATAAACTCTGGGGAAAGGACACCCTATTTATTAAATGGTGCTGGGAAAATTGGAAAGTCATCTATGGAAGAAAGAAACTGGATCCCTCTCTCTTAGCATATGCAAACCTTAAGTTAAGATAAAGATTTAAATGTAGGACCTAAAACTAAAAATCCCAGAAGAAAACCTAGGAAAAAATCTTCTTGACATTGGCCTAGACAATTAATGTATGACTAAGTCCTCAAGAGAAAATGCAACAAAAACAAAAGTAGACAAATGGGACTTAATTAAACTAAAGAGCTTTAGCACAGCAAAATAATCAACAGAGTAATCAGACAACCTGCAGAATGGAAGAAAATATTTATAAACAATACATCTGACACAGAGCTAACACCCATGATCTACAAGAGACTCAAACAACTCAATAAAACTGAAAAGGTCCCCCCAAAACCTCATAAAAAGTGAGCAAAAGACATGAACAGACACTTCTCAAAAGAAGATATACAAGCAACCAACAAATATGAAAAATGCTCAACAACACTGATCATCAGAGAAATGCAAATCAAAACCACAATGAGATACCATCTCACATCAATCACAATGGCTATTATTAATGTCAAAAACCAGCAGATGTTGGTGAGGATGTGGAAAACAGTACGGAAATTTCTCATAGAAGTAAGAATAGAACTACCTTTCAATCCAGCAATTTTATTACTGGTTTTCTACAAAGGAACAAAAATCATTATATCAAAAAGATAACTGCATTTCTATGTATATTGCAGCATTATTCACAATTTAAAAAGTCACAGAATTAGGACTGGTGCAATGGCTCACGCCTGTAATCCCAGCACTTTGGGATGTCAAAGCAGACGGATCACCTGAGGTCAGGAATTTGAGACCAGCCTGGCCAACATGGTGAAACTCCGTCTCTTCTAAAAAAAAAGTTGTGAATAGTGCACACCTGTAATCCCAGCTACAGGGGAGGCTGAGGCAGGAAAATCACTTGAACCCGGGAGATAAAGGTTGCAGTGAGCCGAGATCACACCACTGCACTCCAGCCTGGGTGACAGAGTGAAACTGTCAAAAACAAACAAACAAAAAAATAGAATCAACCCAGGGACCCATCAATGAATGACTAGATTTTTAAAAGTGGTATAAATATACCATGGAATACTACTCAGACATAAAAATAAAATAAAATCATGTATTTTGCAGCAACATGGATGTGACTGGAGGGCATTATCTTAAGTAAAATGACTCGAACAAAAACTCAAAAGCCACATGTTCTCACTTATGAGTGGGAGCTAAACAGTGAATACACATGGATATGCAAAATGAAATAATAGACTTTGGAGACTCCATAAGGTGGAAGGATGGGAGAGGAATAAGGAACAAATTACCACCTGTTTAGCACAATGTACACTATTTGGGTGACGGGTACACTAAAAGCCGAGACTTCACCACTGCACAATATATCCGTGTAACACAATTGCACGTGTATACCTGAATTTATATAAATAAGTAAAAAGCAAAAAACAAAAACATGTCAGTGTTCACTGATTTATGAAAATGGCAGGATTTAGAATTATTTTTATATGAGTTTATCACCCATTACTCCTACATATATAAATAAGATTTGTTATTTATGGTTATTATTGTATATATTTAACTCATTATACTTTCCCCACTGTGCAGCACAGTTTGGTTAACTGACTTTTAGTATTTTATTATATTTAATCTACTGGCTTTTTACATATTTTTCACATTATTCTTGTAAAGCCTGCTTTGGAGATTACAATATATATATCTTAAAATTTTTATAATCAACATAGAGTTAATTTTAGATTGCATTATGAAAAATGTAGGCATTTTGCAACTATGTAAGCAATTTATGCTTTCTTCTATCCTTTCTGCTGTAGTTATCTTAATATAGTCCTATCTATATTTTCTTCATATATTTGAGTTTTAGCAGTTAGCCTCTATAGCCACCCTGTTATCTGGTTTCTCAAGCCAGGGAGATGACAGCATTTCCTCAAAACATTGGTTACCCTGCACCACATGGCAGCAACAACTAGTCCTCAGGCCATAGCTTCCACGTATCAGCTCCTATTAAAGAAAAACTTTCATTCATTTGTGGTGAAATTTTAAACATTTAAAAACCCCTATTGAAAGGTAAGTTAGTAATACAAAACAAAATATTATTCTGTGTAACAGGATTCCAAATGCTAAGTAAACTTAGGTATTAATATGTAGAAAAATAAAAATATACACTATGATTTTATCATTGAAGTATTAGTATTGATAAACTGAAATATTTGATATTGATATTAATAAAATATTGATAAAGTTGACATAAAACAAAGTCAGCACAGGATGGGTGAAAATATTATCATCCATGCTTCAACTGAAAACTATGCAGTCCTTAAAGTTTTGGTAACAGATTTATATGTACTGAAACTATAAAAATCCATGAGACATTGTTGAGCCAAAAAACCAGATTAATAAATACAAGGAATTATGTGATTCCAATTGTGTAAAATGGCATGTGTGTATCACATGTATAGGAATACTCTGTGAGATACATAGAAGAATTTTAACAACTAAAGTCTTAGGAGTGGGTGTATTTGATTCATGGGATATGAGGTGATTATTACAGATCTAAGTTTAATAAGGCTATATTAAACAAAACAGCATGGTACTGGTATAAAAATAGATATATAAACCAATGGAACAGAATAGAGAACCCGGAAATAAAGCCATGTAACTACAACCAATTGATCTTTGATCTAATTGATCTAATTAGATCTTCTTTTTCAAATTTGATCTAATATTTCAAATTAGAGATAGCTTTATTTTCAGCACATATGTTTTAGGCCCCCCTAAAATAAAATTATTTTGAAAAATCGAAGGTAAGATATATTTTTCTGTTAAAATGATATGTAAAACATTGGTGATAAACTGTTAAATGAAATACTAAGGTTACAAATGTTGTAAATTACATGTGAACACAATGTATATTAAAAATATTATGCAATGTTAGGTGTTAATTGGTTGTCTTCGAGCCATAGAACTAAGGCTCAACCCATGGTGAATAGAAAGATAACTTATTTTTAAGAAATTTGAAGAAAGAGGATCAGAAGGAATTACGTAATTCCTGGTATCTGTCAAATTTGTGACTGTTTACAGGTCACAAGTAGAACTGGGTAACCAGCTCTTCTCAAGTGCAACAGTCTTCATAATTCTGACACTGTTAAGCTGCATAATGATGGCTGGTAGACAAGGTTTTTTTTTTTTTTTTTTTCTTTTTTTGGTCACAGATGTTTGCCATGAAGAATCTTGGCCTCCTTCACTATCTTAATTTAGTCCTCTTTGAATGGGAGAACATCAGTCCTTTCCCAGGGTAATATTACAGCTGGGTCCAAACCTTAAGTGTATACCTGTATAGTATGTCAAAACCTTGTTTGTGAGTCCATTTCTGCCATCTTATTTTTCATGATTGGAGAAGCACTCACCCATTTTATCAAATATGTGGAATTGTCTGGGTGCTGGGATTCAAATCCTGTGGCTGCAGCTATATATAGTTGCACAACTTGTGTCCTGAACCACCACTTTTGTAACTTAGAATTTCTATCTGAACCATTTGACAATAGCAGTCTCCTTGGTTCTTCTAGGAAGTCAGCCTGCAAAGAATCATTTTTGGAGAAGTAAATCCTTACATGTCAATATTTTTAAGTAAAATTAGCCTGTAATTGTATTTTAATATCCATGTCAAGTTTTGCTATTCAATGTTATGCTAGCTTTATATAACTGATTAGAGAATATCTTTCTTTTTCTGTTGTGAGGAAATAATTATAGATGATCAGTTTTATTTCCCGAACATTTGTGAGAATTTTCCTCAAGCCGCTTGAGCCTAAAAATTTTCTTTATGGAAAAGTTTATAATTACATATTACAGATCCTTCTTATTTAATAATTAATTACATAATTTTTCAAATTTTTAAATTTCTTCCTGTGTCAGTTTTGGTGACTTTCATTTTTCTAGAAATTTATCTCTACCACTGAAAATCTGAACTTTATTAACAAATTTTTCATTATAAATTTATCTTTGTAATATCTAAATTGGATCTGTGGCGGTGCTATTTTCTCTTTCATTTTTGATAATGATTTACTGTGCCTTTCTTTTCTTTCTTGAAAAGTATTATCAAGGGGTATTCATTGTGTTTACCTGGTAAAATCAATTTTTTGCTCTATAATTTGATTGTATCATGCATTAATTTTTCTTTTACTATTTATTTTCATTGAATTGATGTAGTAGCATATCAACTATTATATCTTTTTTGATTCATGGGTCATTTAGAAATAATTCTCATACTTACAGAGGTTTTCTAGTGTTCATTTTTTTCATAGATTCACATCTTGTTTTATTGTGGTAAAAAATATTATAAATGATTTCAATTCTTTATATTTGTTGAGGCTTGTTTTATGATCTATCAGAGTCATTTTTGTATATGTTACATATATGCTTAAAATGCATATTCTGCAAATATTGTGTTCAGTGTTTTATATATGTTAACTGGGTACAGTGTGTTAATTTTATCACTCAAATATTTTATATCCTTCTTGTTTTAGTGTGCTTGAGAAACACTATGTTAAAACATTCAACTTTAATTTTGAATGTGTCTATTCTTTAGTAGTTCTATCAATTTCTGTTACATATATAATATTTATTTATAAATAAATTAAATATATAAAATATGTGTCATATTTTATAGATAAATAAAATTGCATATTCAAATTTAGAATCATATTTTTCTTTTGGTGAATTAAGATCATAATTTTCAAGTGTTCATTATATTCTTTTATAATTATTTGGACTTAAACATTCACTTTATTTGATAATATAATCACATCAGCTTTCTTTTAAGCTAAAACTTGAATATTTTTATATTATCTTACCAATTGTTTTATGTCATAGATGTGTCTCTTGTATACAACATACAGTTATTTATTTGCCTATTCAATTTTAAATAAGTGCTGGATAATTTTAATTTTTATTTAGAGCACTTAGCCTTTAAGACACAATAAAAGTCACAAGATAAATGAATAACATCTTTAAGCTGCTGAGAAAAAAGAAAAGATAAATAACCGTCAATCTCAAATACAAGGAAGTATCAACTAGTATGCCGGAGTGAGTGGTTCGCTAAAAAGGGAAAAATAGCATATAATTGGCTCTTAAAATCTGCTTAGGTAAGTCTAGGGTCACACTGTCTAACAATAATAATATGGTCATACATAATGCAATGTAGTTACTAAAGTGCAAGCTTACTATGACCCAGAAGGAGAAGACCTGGGAATATTGAAAGGTAGCATTAATGCCTATCAAAAGAGCTAAGGATAAGGAGAGTTTTAATTCTGCTTTAAAAGTCAAGGAATGCTTTAAATAGGAAGTAGTGATTGAGCTACTACTCACTTGATAATACAGATAGAAAAAGAAAGAAGTCAACCCCAGGATTATATCAGATATCTGCTCTACATTTAGTCTGGAATAGAGATAAACTGCTCAGAAAAATCTAGGTATTTTAATCTTATTAAAGTATAAAGTGCCAATGGGAGAGGGCAAAAATTTGCTGGAGAAATAATCAAAAGTAAGGTCATTACCAATTTTGTATGCTACAGCTGGATTTTGTCCTATAGTCAATGGAATTCCATCACTGAATGATGGGCTTAAGTAAGAAGATGGTGTAAAAAAACAGTGGTAACATTCTTGGCTGTATCATGGTTCAAGTATATAATAAATATTTGTTCTGTGTAGACGATCAGGAGGTAAAAGTGAAGCAAGGGTGAGAAAAAATTGGCAATGAGTTTATATTTTAATGTATTGCATTTGAATTCTTGATAAGAAATACAACTTGATATATTTTTCTTTTTTTTTTTTGCCTTGTAACAAAATTATAAATTCACAGTTCAAGTTTAAAATGCAAACACATTAGCCCAAAGAAGTACATACATTTTTTCAGTGTCATATGTTTTGATTTTAAGAGATGGAAAAAATACATATTACCCTTGAATATTAATAGCTTATATTGCTATCATGACTATAGCAATTTCTTTTTTAGCTCTTTAAATGTTAAGATATTACTAAGATATCTTCAAATTTTAAATATCTTAAAATTAATTTAAGATAATCATTGGAATCTGTGTTTATTTTATACATTATCCACTTACATAAGTGTGGAGTAAAAATACATGGCTATTATGATATGGTATAAATGTAAAGAGTTTGAAGTCAGAGACACAGGGGTTCTAATTCCAGCTTCACCATTTGCTAAGTATATGACCTAAAACAGTGTACCAAACTATGACCCAATTTTTTTCCATGCAAAAAGCAGCATATTAACATAGTATATTTTGAAGGTGCAATATATTAATAGATGAAAAAGCATAGTGGCACAATTTAGGTGATTGATAAATGCACATATTTTCCCTTCCTCAAATTCATTAATCAGCTTGAAAATTTAAGTAAGATTGTATACAATTTGGGAAAATGTGTCCTACATATCTTAGAATTTGAATTATTTTTTTTCTATATAATCATTGAAATAATTATTCAATCATCAAAAATACATTTAATGATTAATCTAATGAGATCTCAAAGATGAACAAAATAAAACCTATGTTATTACAAGGAATAAGCATAAACAACAAAATGGTAGATATTTTCTACCACAGGGCTTTGAGAAACATTCCAATTTATTCCCTGGAAAACATTCTAAGGGAAGAATCCATAAAAAGGCCATTATCTAACATATTGCACTTTCTGTTTATATTCCATATTTTTTAACACTGGAAGGTCATAATTTTTAGTTTAATTGCAATAATTCCATAGGAAAACTTAATTGAAATATACCTCACTAGGGCTCTTATTACCATATCAAGCTTGTGCTCTACTTGAATTTTTC